>NC_000008.11:104464222-105089222 GCF_000001405.40 Homo sapiens
ACAGACTATACGCCATAAGGACCTACATTCTCAGTTAAGAATTATAAATCTCTCTGAACTAGAGAATCCCAGAATGGCTAAGGAAAAGATAGAAGACCAAGAACCACTTCCCAGGACCTTGGGGCACGCAAAGATAATCTTGAGAAAGAGAGGGAATGCCCCTCCCCCACAGCATTCCACTTCCTCTTCTTTGCTGCTTCATCTGGAACCCTGATGGCAGAAAGAGAATGAAAGCTACTGCTCAGCTGTAAGAGGGAGAATGATGCTAGTGGGCAACTCATGGTCAGAAATAGCAGCTCCCCACCTTGCAGGTGGGAGTGTTCAATGGGATGCCCTGCCATCAGCAAAGCACTTTGTTAATGATAAGTCTGTAATAACAGAAAGGGCTTGCACTATGACTGAAAACTGCAAGTTCTGACATTTTAAATATAGGTGTACACACACAGACACATGCACAATATGATATCGATTATGTAAAATAGAGCATGCTAAAAAGCATAAAGGCAATACACCAAAACATTGGCTGTCACTGAGAGGGAGAGTATTATTAATGTTTTGCTTCTTTTAATTTTCCTATTATTTTTCCAATTGTTTCCTACAATCACATATTGTTTTGATAGCTAAAAAATTCTTTAAAATGGAAAAATAAGTTCATTCAAATTCAGTGCATATTACTTTTTAGCAAAAGGGAAAAATGAATAAACAAAACAAAGTTTGCTAATTTTCAAACCATACAACAATCTGTCCTACAAAAGACTTTATTGACATAAAGATATAGGTTGATAATTAGTAATCAGGAAGAAGCTTTCCAAATGGTGATTTGAGCAGCCTGCCCAGATCCTTCTCTCTGGGTCAAATCTACCTGCCTTCCTTTTTTTCTGTTAATCATTCCAGTCAATTATAGAGGATTGGGGAACTTGGAGAGGGGGAGGTGTAAGGAGAGCAAAACTGTCAGAAATCAGTATATGAATGAAGTAGCTATCACCAAAACTGCTTTGGAAGACTGTCAGCCTGTCCACAGTAACATGGGAATAGAAAGAAAGAGAGGGGTGGAGGGGGTAGTGGGGGGAGAAAGAAGGGAGGGAGTGATGGAGAGAAGGAGGGAGGGAGGAAGGAAGCCTACTATACACTGGACTTAATAGCCCAACTTGTTTCACACATCAAGGTATGGTCCAAGTGAAAAGCCAAGGCCTTTAGTATATCAATACATCTTCACTTTGGAAGGAGCCATTTCTCTCAAGGCAGCTCAAAACACAGGACTTAGGGAGGATGTGGGCTTTACTTTAGCCCAAGTGCTGAGAGTAGAATTTTTACTCTATGTTCCTGTAAAGCTGCTCTGTTAGTCTCTTGATCTTGTGTTGAGGAGCTTTGGGGAAATGTTGCAGGGGTGTCCAATCTTTGGCTTCTCTTGTCTTGGGCCACACATGAAATATACTAACACTAACGACAGCCAATGAACTAAGAAAAAAAATCTCATAATGTTTTAAGAAAGTTTATGAATTTGTGTTGGGCCGCATTCAAAGCTGTCCTGGGCTGCATGCGGCCTACAGGTTGGACAAGTTTGGTTTAAGTTTCCTTTCATTGACCCAAACTTCTAGGCCTTTGTATCTAGAGAAACCCAAGCCTACCTTCACCTGGGGAGTGGTGATCTGATTACCCTCCTGCAACATCAGTAAAACTATGGGTACTCCAGCAGCAAGAATGTTGTGTCCCCAGCGCAAGTGGGATGGAGAAAAGAGCCTGCTGCGAGGCTGCGTTGGTGTGTGTGAGTGTTGCGAGATCATTTCTGGAATACTTTCTCTTCTAAACCCTGGTCGGGGCTATATTTTTTCTACTGGGGGTGGGAGTGGGGGCAGAGGGTAGGGGACGGGAACGTGAACACGGTGGGCATCTAGCCTACTCAGACACATTACCTGCTACACTGCTCACTTTGAGTCAAGGCTGTAACTACCAGGTGAATGGATTTTTCATTTGGTTTTGGTTGGGGATAAAGGATGGGTCGAAATGGTTGGGAGAAATGGCTGGAAGTGCCTACTTTAAAAAAAGATTCTAAAGAATGTATGGAAGATTTGCGACTTCCACAGAACACCAATCAAAATGGGGTTGCGGGGAGATTTGGGGAGTAAGCGGTATAGAGAAATTAGGGTAAGGGGATGGCCTTAAACTCGTCAAATTAACCACTAAAGGAGGAGTCGAGGGCATCTGGTTGAGCCAAGGCTGCTCGGCTGCCGCCGAGAAGGGGCGCCTGAAAGGGACCCCAGCGAAGAGAATCTGAGTCCCCTCTGACACCCGCCGGGGCTGCGCTCCTTCCCGCCCACCCAGCTCCTCGGCGCCGCGCCGCGCGAGGCGGCCCTGCTGAGGACCCCGGGACGACTGGGGAGGCTGCCCGAGCCTCCGTGGGTACCGCGGGGCGGGGGCGCGGCGGGGCGGGTACCTTGGTGCCCTGGTGGAAGTCGTCGATGGACCGCGAGCCCATGAAGGGGAACTGCATGTGCGTGTGTGTGTCGATGCCTCCGGGCAGGACGAGCTTGCCGGCGGCGTCGAGGACCCGCAGCCCCGCAGGAGCGCCCCCGGGAGGCAGCAGGTCGTGCCCGAGTGCCCGCACCACGCCGTCCTCCACCAGCACGTCGGCCACCTCCGAGAAGTCATCGTTGACCACGCGACCCCCGCGGATCAGGAGCCGCGAGGGCGCCGCCATAGCGAGGGGCGCGCGGGGTCCTACTCGGCCCGGGCTGCGCGCAGGGGCTGGGTTGGGCGGGCCGGGCGGGCTTGGGGTGCCCTCCTGCAAGGTCCCCACCGACAGCCCCCGAGCTCTGCCTCAGGCTGCAAATCCGGAGCCCGGCGGCCTGACGGGTTTATGACCTGGCCGCATATGCGGCTCCTCCCCCCGGGAAGGCTGGGCTGGAGCCCAAAGGCCGGGATTGAACAGGTCCGCATGGTCCTTGCACACTCAGACCCCAAGTGTTCTGCGCCCTGAGTTGAGGTATCCACCCAGGCTTCGGAGTCATTGGAAGGGAAAGATCTTGGAATTTTAAGAGAAAGGAACCTGCGTTTTTCATCATAAGATTAGGTGCTAAAGGGAAAGAAATCCACCTCACCCTTTCCCTTGGTTGGGGGTGTGTTTGTACCAAAAGACAGATCCAGAGGGAGAAAGAAAGCAAGAACCATCACTAGAAGCAGCAACAAAAATACCCAAACCCACCCAAGCCAGAACAGAGCCACTCGATCTGGGTTTCCTGTTAAATGTTCTTAAGCGAGGAGCAAATTATCATATAATCCCAGTAATTGGCAGACACAGGGAAGGATCAGAGTAAAATATTTAATGTATTTGAAAGAAAACGACTTGGTGTCAACTATTCTCCACAGTTTAATGATACAACACATACCAGCAAGTGTTTCTTGGAAAATAACCGGTACTGTAACTCTAAAGATTTAAATTTCTACTCCCAGCTTTTCCACAAAACCAGTTTAGAGATCTTCAGTTAAATCTTTTATTCTCTTGGTTCCTCAGTTTTCTCATATATAAAATTGATTAATACTTGTTCTTGCCTTCCATATTTGCTTTGAGAAGCAAATATGATCATGGCTGTGAATACACCCTAATAAAGTGGGAAGCACCATGCAAATTCACTTAAATACTGGCTTTGTAAGGACTACAAAGCTTACCTGACTAGGGGGATTGGCTAGAGGGCTAAGTGGGAAAGATAAACCACATTTCCACCCTCAAGTAGCTAACAGCCAACAGTGACACACATTCATATTTCAATATATAAAACAGAACATTCTATCTTTGAGAAGGGATAAAGATAAGAATTTAGAGGAAAGAGTGAGTTTATTTCTGGCTTAAAGACATCAGATATGGAAGATTTGTGAAGAGGTATTTGAACTAGGATACAGAGAATGTGAACACGCAGAGGTGAGTGGTGGGAAGAGGACATAGTGCTCCAGGTAGAGTGAACAGAGCGTGTAAAGGCACAGAGAGGATGAAGGAATGCACTCCCTGTGGTTAAGCTATGAGGGATAGGCTTACACTGAATCCTGGACCATCCCTTTGCTTATAGGGGAGGAGGAGGAAGAAGAGACAGAGTGGTCAGAGAGAAGGGAGACCACAGGTCTGTGTGATGGAAGGCAGGAATGCAGAATTTTAAGAAGGGCAACAGGATGGAATCTTGCAAAAGGGTTATGAAGGGTCATGGGGAGGTGGGGTGGACATCTGCTGACCAGGCATATATTCTTGTCCTTATTCTGGTAACAGTCACTGGCATTTCTTTGGTGGGAAATCCTCTGCCTGAAGTCTCAGAACACTTGTTTTGGAGAAACTGATGGTGAGAGACAGGACTAGCTGGATTTCCTAGGCTGACTAAGAATTCCTAAGCCTAGCTGGGGAAGGTGACTACACCTACCTTTAAACATGGGGCTTGCATCTCAGCTCACACCCTACCAGTCAGGTAGTAAAGAGGGCTCACTAAAATACAAATTAGGTTAAAAGCAGGAGGTAAAGAAATAGTCAAATCATATATCACCTGAGAGCACAGGAGGAGGGACAATGATCAGGATATAAACCCAAGCATTCCAGCAGGGAGCGGCAACCCCCTTTGGGTCCTCTCCCATTGTATGGGAGCTCTGTTTTCACTCTATTAAATTTTGCAGCTGCACACTCTTCTGGTCTGTGTTTGTTACGGCTTGAGCTGAGCTTTTGCTCACCATCCACCACTGCTGTTTGCTGCCGTCACAGACCCGCCGCTGACTTCCACCCCTCTGAATCCAGCAGGGAGTCCGCTGCGCTCCTGATCCAGCGAGGCGCCCATTGCCGCTCCAGTTCAGGCTAGAGGCTCGCCATTGTTCCTGCATGGCTAAGTGCCCGGGTTTGTCCTAATCTAACTGAACACTAGTCGCTGGGTTCCGTGGTTCTCTTCCTTGACCCACGTTTTCTAATAGAACAATAACACTCACTGCATGACCCAAGGTTCCATTCCATGGAATCCATGAGGCCAAGAACCCCAGGTCAGAGAACAAAAGGCTTGCCGCCATCTTGGGAGCGGCTCACCACCATCTTGAGAGCACTAAGAACAAAGACCTGCCTGTAACAATGGGACCTCTAGCTCTGCAACTGAGCTCTCACCTAGACTCTTCCAATCAAGGCAGGGAATCCTCAAACCACAGTGATGATACAGGGATGGGCACATGCTCCAAACTTCTCATGCCCAAGAAGTGAGTGCAGATCCCAAGACTTCTTATTTTTAGGTTGAGCAGATAAGAGGCTTGTTCTTTCCTCTTGGACTTGAATTCTAGGGAGTGTAAACAAGGGGCTTCTGGGAGCCTTCTAGACAACACAGAGAAATAGCCCTTCTGTGAACAGAGCCAACACCAAGAACAGGAAGGAGAGACGGAGAGAGGCTGGGTTCTCATGACACTGAGTTCCTGAATCCCACCATGCCTAAAGGCCCCTCCCCTAGACTTCCCACTTTTGGCTTAAGCTGATTTGAGTCTTTTGTCACTTGCAGGGTCCACTGACAGACACTGGGAAGATACCTTCTTCATGTTTCGAGACAAGGTGGCCACATGTGACCTCAGAGATGGCATTTTCAATAGTGGAATGTGAGGTATTATTATTGCCAAATCTCCTAAAGCTTCAGCTTACACAAACCTCAAAATAATTAAAAATTAGAAAGCATCAATAATTTAAAGTTCCGTAGATTTGGCTGTCAAGCCAGGAACAAGAAACCCAAGGAGGTTATGCAATTATTGTCAAGGGACTTTTGTGTAAGGGTGAAAGGGGTAATTATAAACATAATGAAATTTCTACAAGCTGTACAAGTAAGCACCACCTTAGGAAAATAAGATTGGATGTCAGTGCAGCTGTGCCATCCTTTCTGAAATTGTCCAGATTAATGATTTCAAAGGTTTCTTTTATCTTACACAGTTTACGTCGTGAAATGCCCTGTAACACAACACAAAACAAACTTCCCACATTTAATTAACTCAAACTTTTATCAGAAAAGGGGACTTGTAGAATGTCACCGAGGTGGGAGGAAATGGCTCATTGAGATTAACTGACAGCAATAAAAGAGAGAGGGGGGTAGTTTTAGGGATAAATGTTAGCTCACAGAACAGAAGGGGCTTTGCCCCTTTCTGGCCATCATTCCCGCACACTAGCTTGCAGGGCAGGTGGCTGAGCCTGGACAAACCGGCTCAGTGGGGAAAGCTTGTTCTCAGCACACACTCACCTTCATTTTCTTTGTCCTACACAGCCTCCTCCTTACCCAGACACTCCAGGCCCTCCGTGGGCAGTAAACAAGAATCAGGGGACACAATGTTGTCATTGGGAGAAAGGTGGGATGCAGAGCTCCTGCTGTTCTTCATTCTTCTTGCTGGGGAGAGAGTCAGTTGTATTGATGAAAATATCAAGGATGTCTGAGAACATATTACCCCTCAGAGGAATAGTTTTAAAGAAGCATTTTACAGGATGGTTACAAAGATTGTCAGTGCTTAACCCATGAAAACACATCTATCTGGAAGTGTAGGTGAGGGTGATTTGGCAAGAAGAGCCTCCCATCCCTGCTTGATGGTCTACAGGGAGAGAAAGCCTGGAGGAGCAAGCAGGTGACTTCCTTCACTGAGTGGTTGAGATTTTGAGAAACAAGTCCACCAGGGTCAGTTGTATTTCAGTCTTCGGCTATCCTGGAGGAGCCAAGTTTGCTTTCCCTTTGCTCCTGACCCTCTCCACTCCTACTAGAGGCTCCTGTGGGCTAGGAGAGGTTTTTAAGCTGTTGTTTCCACCCAATGGAAGAGTTCTCTGGGGCACAGGGAAGGAATGGTGAGGGTGGGTGAGTGAGACTGAGCAAGGAGAGTTGGGCGTCTCAAAGCAGTGCACGTGCACCAGCATCTGTGGAAACTCCTGTTCCCTGGACCACTGAGGGATAGAATTCCCTGGCAGGGTAATGTATTTATACTTGAATCAATGATGAAAGTTGGGAAAGGTAGATGGCATGGAAAGGGTGGGAGAAAATTGAATGAGGAAATAGTAATCTTATCTAATAGTAATCTGATGCCAGCTTCTGCTGAGAGCTTGGGCAAGTCACTTAATGCTCAGGGTCTCCGCCTCCTCCACAGCTAGGTTGGCAAAAGCTTGTGAGACCCACCCTTCCCACTTTTATAATTTTATGATTCTCTGAATGGAGAGTTCCTGGTGTAGTCCTAGAATTACACTCTTCCCAGATTCAGATGAGTGAATTGGGAACCAAGTAAAACTTGCCTTCTAGATTCAGAAATATGTTATTCCTGGTCCTTCCACTGGGGCCAAGGGGCTCTCCTTGGAAAGGAGCTACATACAGAGTGTAAAACCTACAGTCATGGGGATGGGGCTGTGATGCTTGGTGGGACTGGTTTGAAAGTCCTCGGACTGAAAAGCAGGTATGGCATTTTAATCACTGCTCAGAATTAACATGCACGGTAGGCAGGGATGGTCACCCCTGACTCTGGGGGGCCATGGAGAGAGCTGGCCCACTACACAACCCCAGTGGATACTGTCCCTGAAGCACCGCTCCTGGGCAGAAGGAGAAAAGAGGTAATCCACATAACAGTACCAGCGACAGTAGCTAAGATTTGTCCAGCACTAACATCAAGTTAGTACTGGGCCAAGATTTTTACGTGCAGTATTTTACTTAATCCTCACAATTCTTTGAGCTAAGTACTGTTTTTCCCTTTAACAAATGAGCTTTTTAAGGTCAAGTGATTTGCCCAAGATCACATGGCAGTCAAGGCCTTCCCTTCTGGAACCTGTCATTTACCCACTATGCAACTCCACGCTCCAAAGCCATGTCCAAATCCTGGCTGCAGCTGGGCCTCAGATTACATAAATGAATCAATGATGATCCTGGAATGAAATCTGACATCGTGAACATTACCTTCAGACCTTGTTCACTTCTGTCTGCTGCTTGCAGGCTGGTTCATTTAGTCATCTCAATATTGTAGAGGCAGTCTATGTGTTTGCTCAGGTGATCAATGTCATCAGTGTTCAAAAAAATTATAAAGCAGTCCTTTTTGTAATAAATTAACAAATTTGGTGGGACCAGATTCAACACACCAACACTGAACTGCCTGGGGGAAGAACTTTCAGATATGCTATTGTGTAACTCCAAGAAATTCAAGGAAATACTTATTTAAAAGTTCCTATTTCCAATATTGTCTGGTATTACATGGTAGTGGTATTATTTTTTGGTTGTTTGCTTGTTTTTTGTTAAAGATATTCTGATGCTAAACAGGCAGTTTCAAGCATATCCTGGAGAAGCTGGCTCTAGCAGTGTAGAGTAAGTCCTCCCTGATTCTCAGGGGACACACTGCGGATAGTACCAAAACTGCAGATAGTACCAAACTCGATTGCCATCAGCTGGAACACGTTTCTGTTCACATCTTCCGCAAACTTTATGCCTTTTCCATCTTAACTAAGCACTCATCCACCACACACTATGGCTGTAACTCTTGTAGTCTGAGGAGCAACAGCAAAACTAACACTAATTTCTTTTTTCCTTGTTCACAATTTCATGCATAGAAGTTTTTTTCTCACCGTAGATCTCAGCAACCTCAGTATATGATTTTTCCTCTTTACTTATTAAGTGGAGAACTTTTACCATTTCACTTAAAGAAAACACTTTTCTGCTTCTCTTTAGTGTATCAGAATTGCCAGTATCACTACTCTTGTGCTTTGGGGCCAGTATGAAGTAAAATAATGGTGACTTGAACACGAGCACTGCGATACTGGAACAGCCAATCTGATAACTGAAATGGCTACTGAGTGACTGGTGGGTGGGGAGCCTCTACAGCATGGGTATGCTAGACAAAGGGAAGATTCCTGTTTTCAGGCCCAGGTTAACTGTGCGCAACGAAACCTTGGAAAGTGAAATCAGGGATAAGTGGGATAACTAAGTATATTAGTTTTATGACTGCTCTAACAACTTATCACAAACTTGGTGGCTGGAAAGAACACAGACTTATTTGCTTACATTTATGGATGCCAGAAGTTCAAAATTAGCTTCAGTGGGCTAAAGTCAAGATGTTAGCAGGGCTGATTCCTTCTGGAGGCTCTGAATGAAACAAGAATCTGTTTCCTTGACTCTTCCAGCTGTTGGTGGCTGCTGGCATTTATTGGCAGTGGCCACATCGCTTCATTCTTCCATAATCACATTACGGATGCCTCTGTAACCACATCGCCTTCTCCGCGTCTGTGTCAAATCTCCCTCAGTCTCCTTCTTCTAAGGATGCACGTGATTACATTTAGGGCCCACCTGGATAATCCAGGATAATCTCTCCATTTAAAAAATCCTTATCTTAATCACATCTTGGGAGTCCCTTTTGCCATATAAGGCAACATTCACAGATTCCAGGGATTAGGATCTGGATATCTTTGGGGGCTATAATTTAGCCTATCATAGTGCCTAACATTGTTGCCCTTAAACAAAAGGATGCTGTCTTTGTTAAGAAATGACAAAGAAACACCAGGCTCTGCTCAAAAGTTTGTCTACCCATCCTGCCAACAGCACTCACTTGTACCCACAGAAACCCTCCTACTCCTTTAACTCACTCATCTTGTGTCATAAATTTCCAAGTTGTTTTGAGTTTTTTAGCAAAATATATTCCAGCATATAATAACCTTTAGGGGAATAATGAAAGTGTTCCCTTGATTAGAAAAAATATAATAAAGCAAAATAAAATTAATAAATAGGCTTGTACTTGGGAGCCAGACTGATCTGGAAGTGAACTCTGACTTTATTATCTGTTATCTGTGATTCTTTGATAAGTTTCTTAACTACTCTTAAGCTCTTGTTTCCCCCTAATGGTGCTTCCAATCCACACGGTGGCTGTAAACGTTTAATGAGATATTCATTTAAAGCCCACAGCACAGTGCTTGCTATATATTATTAGCAAAACCAACTATGTTACTCCCATATTTCAGCAACTTTCTTTTCATTAGTAGTTATAACTTTTAAGTGTGAGATACACAAGCTTATGAAATGCTTCTTCTGATCTTGAGAATTAAGAAGCAAGATTATTTAGCATTAACAAAATACTTGGAATTTTGCTACATAGATCAGAGTTTGAATACTGTATTATATATTTTACTTTTTAATAAATATAGGCTAAAATACATGGAGTAAAAGTCATCTTTAAGAAGCATAGAGTTCTGTGAATCTTGACAACAGCAAAAAAAAAAAAACAGTTATGTCACCACCACAATTAAGGTAGAGAACATTTCCACGACCCCAAAATAGTTTCCTTGTGCCCTGCTTAGAGTCAATCTTCTCTCCCACAAATTCTGGCCCCTGGCAACTACAAATCTATTATTTGTATTTTATTTTGTTTAAAAAGAAAATTTAACTTTAGTCTTGTATACAAAGCAAGCTGCAGGATATCTGCAGAGGAAGAGATTACCTACTTTGGTTTTAAACGTTGTCTGTGACTTGGCAGCACTGTTCCTGTCCCCTACATATAAAACAAAAATTCTTAATGACGTCAAGGTCTAAAGTGAAAGGTGCACCTCACTGGGATTCACTGAAACTTTTTCAGGAGCCCTGGGAGGCCCTAAGCCAGAACCACAGCTGGGGCTGGAGCAGGCAGAGCAGGCACTGTTCCAGAACCCTCACAACACTGCATTTAAGTTATGTAGACGAGACACTGGTGAGGCTCTGATGATCCAGATGTTGGAGGAATCAGTGTAAGCAAGACTTTGAGATACAGAGAGAGGCAGTCATGGTGTGCCCCTTTTTACCTGCACTTCTTCCCACTCTCCTTGAAGTTAGAACTTTTCTACCTCTGCATCACTGTCTATGTGATCTCATTTCACTACACTTGCGTTTCTTTAATATAAATGGAAGGTAATGGAGTTACCTTCCTCCTTCATGAAAAACGTGATTCACGTTATACAAATACTTCTTGAGAGAAAATTATTTTTTCTGTAAGAGATATTCATGTAGAACTATACATGGTAAACACAGTAAATATGTTGTTGTGGGTCAAGAATAACACCTGACTGCCCATCTGTTACATAACCATGTACTTAAGGGCACTAATCTGTGAACTTCTGGGAAACAAAACTACATCATACATTTTTGTATTCAAAGAC
Organism: Homo sapiens; assembly: GCF_000001405.40. Taxonomy (NCBI): domain Eukaryota; kingdom Metazoa; phylum Chordata; class Mammalia; order Primates; family Hominidae; genus Homo; species Homo sapiens. The sequence continues at coordinate 104,475,342 of NC_000008.11, forward strand.
CTATAACCTATTGAAACTGCAGTGCAAAAAGAGTAACTCACTAACTTTTCATTTTTGCCTTATCAACATTCCAATATGGGGCTCTATGCAGGGATTTTAGCGTTTGGTCTGTATTAATAAGGACACAGATCAGATTTTTCTTCTATTCTTTTTTTTTTCTTTTTTCTTCTTTTTTTTTTTTTTTTGAGATGGAGTCTCACTGCGTCTCCCAGGCTGGAGTGCAGGCTCACTGCAGCCTCAACCTCTCAAGCTCAAGAGATCCTCCCACCTTAGCCTCCCTAGTAGCGGGAACTACAGGTGTGTGCCACCACATTCAGCCAATTTTTAAATTATTTGTAGAGACGAGGTTTCCCTGTGTTGCCCAGGCTGGTCTTGAAGTCCTGGGCTCAAATGATTCTCTGACCTCAGCCTCCCAAAGTGCTGGGATTACAGGTGTGAGCCACTGTGCCTGGCCCAGGAGTCTTTTTTTAAACTCCTTTGGAACTCCAAACTCACTTTCAGTATCATTCACTTTTCATTTCAAGGAAGTTCAACTGAGTGTTACAAAAAACAAGTTATTAAACAAATTGTGTTGCAAAATATGTAAGGGTAAGGCTGGAATAAACCACTAGATGGCTTCTTGAAAAGACTATTTCTTTGGTTTGTTCAGCAATTTGTCATCAAAAAAGTGTCACTCCTGATGATTTTGCATCTATATTGACATATAGTTGTTATCCTTTCTTCAAAATTGGAAAGGAAAGTAGCTTCTTTGATCCCTTTGAATATGACTACTGCATCCTTTAGTGCACACTAAGTTATAAGTCCAGTTTTATATTATAAAAGTATAGCTTTTTAGATTTATACAATGTATTCTTCACATTAAGCAAAGTTTTCACATCATGATTAAAAGAAAATACAGATTGAGCATATTATTCACTTCAAAAAAGGTTTACTAATGGGAGTTCCTTAAATAATAAGCTTCCATCTTACATTTCCAATATTATGTAGTTCACATACACTTGATTTACATATTCCTATTCAGGCATTTAACTCTCACATCGATTATACTTGAATACATTGATTATACCTGATGTATGTAGACTTGAACATTTGGGGAAATATCAAAATGTTAGTGACACATACAATAAGGAAATAAGTAACCACTTTTATTTAGAGATAGAGAAAGAGAAAGAATAAAGTTATTCCATCAGACTCTAACTATGAAATATCTTTAAAATTCTTCTTTCATTCCTCCATCCCACATTTCCCCCCCTTTCCTTAACATCTATTTATTCCTATCTACTTTTCCCTCTGGGAAAAGATTATGGTACATAGGGAATTTGCATAAATGACTTTTTAAAAATAAGGCATTTTTATTCTTATAAACATTTGGATTTTCTTTGCAATGAGTCCTTCATGGGAACAAGAAAAAATATAAATTAGAAATGAAGTGAAGATGCATAATTACTAAAGGCAATAATTCTTCATTTATTGTAGTTCAAGTCAAGCAAGTTTTCAAGGGGCAAGAAACTTTCAGGGCCATAGCTTTGTGCTTAGAGCTAAATGGGCTTGGGCTTTAAGAGAAAAGAAAAAAGTTAAATGCACTATAAGTATTCTTCCAGATGGCAGAAATAATTCAGTGTTTTTAATAATATTCATATTTGTTTTAGATATTGTCTTATCCCCAGTGCCAGAACCTGTCTTGCCCCTAATATTTGCAGTGCTCAGGGCAGGATTATGGATGGCAAACACTTGTCCCTTGTCTTCCTATCCCAGGCCCTGTCCTGCACCATGAGAGGCCTTATGCTCGTGCTTGTGGACACCGCAGCCTGCCTAGCCACAGTCCATCCAAGCTCCTCACTCCCCTGGGGCCTGGGATATTCATGCTAGCAGTTCCATCCAGCCCCAGGAAGATAGATCCCAGGAAGACACGAGGGAGGTCCTGCATGTAGACTTAGGCCACTTGGATGGGAAAATCTAGGATTCTGGGTACCAAGAGTGTGGTCTAGAAGTGGAGCGAGAAAGAGCAGCACTCATTTCTCCATAACCCTGTGGATTCCTTGCCTCTTAGGGAAGCATGTGGTGCGGAGAGCCAGGGAGAGGTGCTCTCAAGCAGGGCTCTGGAGCTTGAAGTCAAGAGTAGTACTCATCAGAACAATGCCTGGCATGTGGGATTCCCCCCCATCATTGTTTATGGAATAGTCAGTTATTGAATTTGAATATGCTTGGCACTGGACTATAAAGCCCTTGCATATATGATTTTATCACTACAGGAACTCCATGAGGTAGGAAATATTACCTCAATCTTACAGATGTACAAGCTATGTCTCAGAGAGGTTAACTGCCAAAGTAAGTTACTTTGATCAAATTTTAATGTCAATGGTACCTACAACCACCACACTCACTATGTTATGGGTTTTTTTTTTTTTTTTTTTTTTTGAGATGGAGTTTTGCTCTTGTTGCCCAGGCTGGAGTGCAGTGGCGCGATCTCGGCTCACCGCAACCTCTGCCTCATGGGTTCAAGTGATTCTCCTGCCTCAGTCTCCCGAGTAGCTGGGATTACAGGCATGCGCCACCACGCCCGGCTAATTTTGTATTTTTAGTAGAGACGGGGTTTCTCCATGTTGGTCAGGCTGGTCTGGAACTCCTGACCTCAGGTGATCTACCTGCCTTGGCCTCCCAAAGTGCTGGGATTACAGGCGTGAGCCACCATACTCAGCCCTATGTTTTTGACTAAAGGAAGATGAATGGTATTTTCTGCAACTCTATTTGTTTGTTTATTTATTTATTTATTTTTGAGATGGAGTCCTGCTCTGTCTGCCAAGCTGGAATACAGTGGTGTGATCTTGGCTCACTGCAACTTCCACCTACTGGGTTTAAGCAGTTCTCTTGTCTCCACCTCCCAGGTAGCTGGGACTACAGGCGCGTGCCACCACACCCAGCTAATTTTTGTATTTTTAGTAGAGACAGGGTTTTGCCATGTTGGCCAGGCTGGTCTTGAACTCCTAACCTCAGGTGATCCACTCATCTTGGCCTCCCAAAGTGCTGGGATTATAGGCATGAGCCACCATGCCTGGCCGGTATTTTCTGTAACTTTTTAGTTTCCTAAAGCAACTACTTGTTTCCTGCAGAATAAGCAAGGTTATTTATAGTGGAATAGCTAGATCTAATTCTAAAAGCAAACAGAAAAAAAGGGATATTATTTGTATTTTTGTTCTCTGATCTTTTAAACACAGCTTTATTGAGCTATAATTTACATACCACAAAGCTGACCCATTTAGGGTGTACAATGTAATGGTTTTTAGTACATTTACAGAGTTTTACAACATTCATTTGATCTAATTTTAGAACATTTTCATCATATCAAAAATAAACTTTGTATCCATTGGCAAAGACAGTATTATTATTCCCCTCAGGTTGACTAGCCTATAGACAAGTTCCTTCCTGATTATAGGTCCCTGACCTCCCTGTTCTTAGAGCATTTACTTTAGAAAACTTGTAATTGAAAATTATTTGCTCCTTTGAAATGAAGATAGATCCTCTTCCAGCTTCTTGCCAGTTTAATAACCCAAGTATCTCTTTCTCAAGGACCTAGAGCCATTCCTTCAAATGTAATCAAGTAAGCTGGTGCCCCTATCTCCTAGTCTCTGTGGAAGGGTAGGAGCCTAACTTCACTAAGTACAAATTAGCAAGCACAGTTGGCCTAATTACACTGACCAACCTCCCCTTCTATGTCCTCCAGGACTTTTCCACTAGCTCACCCAGCACTTCCAAACCTGCTGACCTTTTGTTTCAGCAGACTTGAGTTTGATCTCTCCCCTTATTTTAAGTCTTAGAAAAGTCTTCCTTGCCTGTTCAACTGTGTAGCACGATTTTCCTCTGACACCCACCTCCTTCCAAATTCCTTTCGCCTTCCTTAGCTCTGAGCAGCTACCGATCTACTTTTTGTCTCTGTAGATTTGCCTCTTCTGAACATTTCATATAAATGGGATTATACAATTTGTGTTTTTCTGTAACTGGCTTTTTTCACGTAGAGTGTTTTTGAGGTTCATCGCACAGCATTTCTTTTTGTTGCCAAATACTATTACATTGCATGAATATATTACATATTGTTTGTTCATTTATCAGGTGATGGCCATTTGCCTTGTTTCCACTTTTCGGCTCTGGTGAATAAGGCTGTCATGAACATTTATGCACAAGTTTTTGTGTGGATACGTTTTTATTTCTCTTGGGTATATACCTAGGAGTGGAATTTCTGGGTCATATGGTAACTGTACATTTAACTTTTGAGACACTGCCAGACTGTGGTTTTACAGAGCAGCTGCACCGTTTTACATTCCTACCAGCAATGTATGAGGGTTCCAGTTTCTCCACATCCTCACCAATACTTGTTATTCCCTGTCTTTTTTATTACAGCCATCCCAGTAATTGTGAAGTGGTTGTTTTTTAATATTTCTATATTTTTTGTAAAGCAAATATGATTCCAAAATAAAACATAAATCCTTACTATGAGGCTATAACATTTAAAATAGAAAATTAAATCCCTCAATTATTCTATAAGTGAAAATACAATAAAGAATTAGTTCAACTTCCAAGAGCTATACTGCTTCCAATCCCAATGATGGAGGTACTTATTGATGCTGCTTCTTCTGCTGTTTGTGTGAATAAGAACATCTATCACATATTTGTTCTGGGGATTAGAAACAAAGTACATAAGGCATCTAGTATGAGGGTTGGTACTCAGGAAGTACCAATAAATGCTTATGTTTACTCAAAAGCAAGGAATTGGTTACAAACAGTTGCTTTGCACACTTGGCTAACAACTCTTTAATTAAAACAATTTTTTTAGAGACAAGGCTTTGCTCTGTCACCCAGGCTGGAGTGCACGGATGCTATCATAGCTTACTGCCACCTCAACCTCCTGGACTCAATCGATCCTCCCACCTCAGCCTCCCAAGTAGCTGGGATTACAGGCACTTGCCATTATGCATGCCTAGCTAATTTATTTTTACTTTTAGTAGACAAGGGTCTCATTATGTTGCTCACGTTGGTCTCAAACTCCTGGCCTCAAGCAATCCTCCCTCCTCGGCCTCAGCCTCTCAATGTGTTGGGATTACAGGTGTAAGCCACCAAGCCCAGCCTTTGACTAATTACTCTAATGGCAACATGAGATAGAGAAATGGAAATTAGGTTGTATGGTAAAATCTCAATAAAAAATGTCAATGTGCAAAGTACCACCAAAGGAAATAGGAACAGGATGCAGCTAAAACTCACAAAATGAAAATCCCCCCATCGATAGCGGGGGATACCTGTCAAGACCCCCAGTGGATGCCTAAACCAAACCCTATACATACTATGCATATACTTTTTTCCTTCTTCACAATTTCACACATACATTTGTTCTTATCATAGACCTTAGCAACCTCACCCTACAATTTTTTTTTCTTTCCTTATTAAGTGGAGAACTTCCAACGTTTAACTTAAAGAACACATTTTCTGGCTTCTCTTTGGCATATCCAAATTGCCAACATCATTACTCTTGTGCTTTGGGGCCAGTATGAATAGTAAAATAAGAGTGACATAAACTCAAGCACTGTGATACCACAACAATTGATCTGATAACCATGACCACTATTAAGTGACCAGGGGCATGCAATGTCCACAGTGTGGAGAAGCTGGACAAAGGGAGGATTCACATCCTGCATGGAATGAAGCTGGATGGCATGAGATTTCATCACACTAGTCAGAATAGCATACAATTTAAACCTTATGAATTGATTTCTGGAATTTTCCATTTAATATTTTCAGACCAAGGTTGACTGTGGGTAACTGAAACCACAGAAAGTGAAACCTCAGACAAGGTGGGGACTGTTTTACAAAATTTTTATTTAAGGTAACCCAGACTTTGGAAAACTAAATCTATAAGGAATTTCCAGGGTCACTTGAAATCAGAGCTCAGCAGTAATACAGAAATATCTTAAAAAGCTGCTCCCATTATAATGCAATTGAGAATATTCCATTGAATATTGTTTATATGTTGCTTTTTATCATAACTTCTGTTATTATTACGAGCTCAACATATGTTGCTAAGCCCACAGGAAGTAGCCACGTCTTTTCTGTTCTAGGGCTCCATGGAAGTTCTTTATTTTGGCTTCTGTAAATAATAAAAAGGAGTGAGCCAAGACATCACTCTACCTTTGTTTAGTGAAGTTAGTTTTCATTGAGATACAGCCACAAGTTGCCCTATAACCAAGAAAACAGGACAGTGGCTATTATAAGAAACCTGCTCTTTCAGAAAGCTCTAGTAATACACAAAATGCTTAATACATGGTATAGGGGAGCTCTTTTAAAATACTGTTTTATTTTGGAAAGTGAATCTATGATATTGACAATTAAAATTTGTTTTCAATCTCTATGCGTAAAGCTCCAGGAAAGGCTTCTGCATAATTTTTTTCTTGCTTTTTTAAAAATTTGATCTTTTCACTGGTAACCCTTAAGGGTAGGTGTGATCCCATTTTCCAGATGAGACAAGAAAATCAAGTGATTTATTCAGTTACAAAACTCTAGGCTGGGTGCTGTGGCTCACACCTGTAATCCCAGCACTTTGGGAGGCCAAGGCAGGCGGATCACGAGGTCAGGAGTTGGAGACCAGCCTGACCAACATGGTGAAACCCTGTCTTTACTAAAAATACAAAAATTAGCTGGGCGTGGTGGCGTGCGTTTGTAATCCCAGCTACTCAGGAGGCTGAGGCAGGAGAATCACTTGAACCCGGGAGGCGGAGGTTGCAGTGAGCCAAGATCACACCATTGCACTCCAGCCTGGGCGACAGAGCAAGACTCGGTCTAAAAAAAAAAAAAAAAAAAGACCTCTTTAGTAGTGGACACAATTCAAATTTTGATGTGCCTGACTCCAAAGCCCATGCTTTTCCATCTCACTGTACTCTATTACTTCTCCTTAGTAAAGCTTCCAAGTCACTTTTTGGGGGATATTAAGCTTTTTGGGGTTTGAGCTTCCTTCCAACATATGGGAAAACCTGCCCTAATTGACACCTCAGTATCCTTACTGGAAAACACTCTAAGCAAATTCTCATTTCATTCTCAGTAAACCAGGTGTGTCCTACGTAGGAGAAGGCGACTTGGTCCTGTGATGTTCTAACACTAGTTTTCAAATTGTATTAATCCTTAAAACCCTCTGTTCAAATGAAATCTTGCAGGAAAGTCCAACATATAAATAGAACTGCTGTTAGGAGAACACAAGGATGAGCAGTTTACTGAGAGAACCCATCAACTGGAGCTACATTGACAGAGCACCTACATTGATTGAACTCATTGATTGAGCTCCATTGATATGTGCCTCCTCATCACTGTTCTGCTGCATTCACATCATCTCATTTAATCCTCTACTCCACCGTTACTATTCCTGACTTAAGAGCCAGTAGACTGGTTAAGAAGGTTACTCCATGGGTAACTGAGAAGCCTACCAGTTGCTTAAATACATACAGGTTTATTTTTTTCATGGAACTAGAAGTCCAGAGATAGCCAGGCCAAGGTTGATGCAACTGCTCAGTGAAATCAGGCTTTTTCTCTTCCTTTTCCATCACCCTTAAAATGAGGCTTTTCTTTTCATGGATACTGGGTATGCAAATTAGTAGTGTTTGCTACAACAAGATAACAACGTGATCTGAAAAACATCCGGATCTAGGAGTTCTGTAAAGACCTCGCTTTAGTTCCCTGTCACTAAGGTAACTTCCTTGGGCCCCCTGAACTCTGCAGGATCCTTTCATCTGTGTCTGCTTGGTCTTGGAATTCTATTAACTTATCACAAGTGGGCTGTTATCCTTTCTTCTCCCCTGCTCTCTTATTGACCTTTGTTCTGGGTTGCAATTCACTTTCATGATCCCAGGAATAAGCACACATAAGAAATGGAAAATGATCTGTTTCTATTTCTCTTCAGAAACCACTATTATTTTAGAACTTTTCATGTACGATAGCTTATTTAAATGTAAGATTCAGAGATTTTTTTGAGACGGAGTCTTGCTCTGTCACCCAGGCTGGAGTGCAGTGGTGTGATCTCGGATCCTGCAACCTCCACCTCCCGGGTTCAAGCAATCCTCCCGCCTCAGCCTCCCAAGTAGCTGGGATTACAGGCATGCACCACCACACCCGGCTAATTTTTGTATTTTTAATAGAGACAGGGTTTCACCATGTTGGCCAGGCTGGTCTTGAACTCCTGACCTCAGGTGATCTGCCCACCTGGCCTGTCAAAGTGCTGGGATTACAGGCATGAGCCACCGTACCTGGTCAGATGTTTTAACATTTAAACAATGACAATAATAGCAAACAGTTACACAGCACCTACTATAAGCCAAGAGCTGCTATGTGTATATTACAATGCTGTTCCCAGAGCATTATGTATATTAATTTGTTTGATCCTCCAGTAGCCCTATTATCCCCATTTTACAGATGAAGAATGGAAGTACAGGTGATTGACTTCCTGAAAGGCACATGCCAGTAAGGAGTTGGACAGAAATTAGAATCCAAGCAATCTGACTCCAGACTTTTACGCACTATACTGTTGCCTCTAAGCAATTTTAAAATAAACATTTTATAGGTTACAACATGTTGAAATATTAATACAAGTTATTTTAAATGTAGAGAAATAACTGCTAATCTTTAAATTTTACCAACTGCCTAAATATGTTTATTTAAAATTGCATCAATGCTGTGATTTCTGACTGAATATGCTAAGGCAAATTGTTTTATCCTTGTATTTGTAATAAACAGATATGAGATACACATACATGCCTGACATGACAGTGGAGCAGAGTTAATTTTATATCCTTTTAGCAAATACATTTCTAAGGCTGTAAAACTTTTTCTACTTAAAATATTAATAATGGCAACTTAATGTTTCTTGCTATGTATTAGGTACTGTGCTGGGGTAAAGATGGAATGACTTACCTGCTATTCCTTTTATTTAGAGGTGAGTCTATTTCTTTTCCTACTGAATCTGGGTTGGCCAGTGATTTGACACGTAGAATGTGGCAGAAGTATTACGTTGGTGCAAAAGTAATTGCCAGTTTTGCCATTGAAAGTAATGGTAAAACTCGCAATTACTTTTGCACCGACCTAATAACATTCTAGGATGTCTGAGACTCTGTCATAAGAGCCTTGCAGCTTCTGTATACTGTAACATTCATTCTTGGGTCCAGCTTCCATGCTCTAAGGAAACATAAGCAACCTTGAGGAGACTCATATGAAGAGGATCCCAGGCTCCTGGCTGAGCACCCAGCTGACAGGCAGCACAAACCTGCCAGTCACTCAGGTGAGTTCTTTGGGGAGTATATTCTCCAACTCCAGCAGAGGCCAAGAGGAGCAGAATGAGCCAATACCACTGAGCTCTGCCCACATTATTGATTTGTGAGAAAACTGAATGATTGTGGTTGCTTTAAGCACAAAGTTTGGGGGTAGTTTTTTATGCAGCAATAGATGGACAGAACAAGTGCTAAGGCCTTTACACGTTATCTTTATTCCTCACAATGATCTTATGAAGAAGCTATTATCCTTACCTCAAGATGACAAAGCTGAGGCTCAGTGAGTTGGCATAATAATCCAGGTCTGTCAACTCCAGCTTGATAGATATTTCTCCTGATAAATCTTACTTCACTTTATGATCCATCTTATTCACAGCTGTTGAGTCAGGCACGACTAAGGTTAAATCTTAGTTCTGCCCTTATTGGCTATATGACCTTGGATAAATAGAAGGTAAGTTTGTTACTTCACAGGACTGTGAAGATTCCAAGGATACATATAAAGAAATTGGCAGGTGATAGGCACTCAACAATGGGCAAATATTATTGCTTTGAAAATTCCTATAATGCAGAAGCAGCTGGTGGTAAAAGGCTCGCAGAATAGCATTTGATGGTGTGAATACCATCACGGTGTGGGATGCACTCATTTAGGAGCAGGCACGTGCAAAAATGTCAGAATGGCCTGACTTCTAATAGGAAAAAACCTCATGACATCACATGATGGTAAACCATGTATGCATACATGGCCTATGTTTACCTGTATGTATAACATAATATGGGTATATAATTGATTTAAGTCTAGAAAATTCCCGACTAAACAGCTATGTCTGTTACTTCATTTTAAGATTCCTTCCAGCTCTAAAATTCTGTGAATTTTACTTAGCATCCTTTGTCTACCTTGAATGTTGATTACCTTAGGAAACAAATGCAATCACAGCCAGCTATCAGCTCATGCCAATAACTATATACAATTTGCAATTTGTATGCTATTCCTGAAGAAGAGTTCAGGTATTCAGAGAAAAGGCCTTTCTCTCTACTGCCTGCTTCTACTAATTTTTAAACAGGGACCTTCCTGAGTAAAGCAGGTCCTATCAAGTTGCTGTCATCTTCTCCCCTGGAAATTTGGGGGAAAAGGTGTGAGGGAATGGTGGAGCAGGTGAAAGGAGGGCCGCTGTAAACTGCTGTGAACATTGCTGGGTCTGTTGTAGGTGCTCAATAAACACTTAGAGAATTCAATGAACTTGTTCTTCCTTTATCCCATTTAGCCTGTCTTACCCACTTATTTCCAGATGAACAGTGGATGACGGTGGTAAGCAGTAGTGAGAATTAAAACCTCAACAGCTTATTGAAAGACCCCTTCATCCTGTGCTTTTATATTCTTAGTGCTAGTGTATGACATGAGCCAGTAACAGGGCTTCTGGCCCATAGATCCCTTCTGATAACAGCTCCTTTTGTTTCCATTCTCTTCCCTACTAATATTGGTGCTCTGACTGACAAGACAAAGGACTGTATCCTGTTGAGAAGATCTAAAATCTGAGTAACTCCCACTAAAATCTGTATCCTGTAAAGAAATAACACACTTTCTAAAAGTGCTCTTGGGACATTTAAAAATTGAAAGACAATAACCGCCCCCCCAACACATATACTCTTAACATTCTGTTTTTGATGCCATAAAATGAAAAGAATCAGAAAACAAAACTAAGACTCACACCAAAAAATTATCATTATCTAGAAAAAAAAGCAAAGAAAAAAACTTCTTTTATACAACTTTTGGATTAAAGAAGGTATCAAAACTGAAACTTAAGAACATTTAGAAAATAACAGTAATGACATTAATGCAGCCAAATGATTCGCCTTAAGCAGTGCTCACACTTAAGTCCATGTCTTCATCTCTTCTTAAGAATTAAGAAGTAAAAATAAATTACATGCTAACTCGAGTTAGAAAAAAACAAAATAAACCAAGGAAAGCAAAATGTGGAAAACTTATTAAAGTGGAAATCAACTAATTAGAAAGAACAAAATTACAGAATAGAGACATCCAAGCGGTTTGGGGAAAATAAAAAAATACACAATTAAAAAAGTAGGTAAACTGTTAGCTACCTTTATCAAGAAAATAAGGGAGAAACTTTGGGAGGCCGAGGCAGGCGGATCACGAGGTTAGGAGATCGAGACCATCCTGGCTAATACGGTGAAACCCCGTCTCTACTAAAAATACAAAAAAATTAGCCGGGCCTGGTGGCGGGCGCCTGTAGTCCCAGCTACTTACGACGTTGATGCAGGAGAATGGCATGAATCTGGAAGGCAGAGCTTGCAGTGAGCAGAGATCGTGCCACTGTACTCCAGCCTGGGCGACAGAGCGACACTCCGTCTCAAAAAAAAAAAAAAAAAAAAAAAAAAAAAAAGAAAATAAGGGAGAAAGCATAATACAAACTAAGGGGCAACATCCACATGCATAGAAGACGAAGAGTTAACTTTCCTCAACTAGGCAAATAAATTTGAAAACTTGGGATTAAATGGATGGTTCCTGATCCAGATAGGATATAAAAACTACATGGATTAATTACCTAGATGATACCAACAAAGTTGTCAAAAAGCTGCTTGCCAAACATCCATGAAACCCAGATAATTTCACTGAAATTTTAAGAAACAGAAAATTTCAATGCTATTTAAACTGTTCTAGGGCATTGTAAAAGGAGGGAAGTTTCCAAATCCACAAGCATAAAATACTACACTTCTCAAAGTGAACACGTGTATGCATGCACACACAAACTATAGACTACTGATTAATACAAGTGCAAATATCCTAAATAAAATATGAAGTGCAGTCTAGCAATATATTAAAAAAATACACATGGCCAAAAAGAATTTATTTAAAGAATGTAATGATAGTGCAAAATTACAAAATATATTAGTAAAATTCATCTTAAAGGATCAAAGGAAAAAAAATCATATGATCATCTCCACAGATGTCGAAAAGGCATGTGATAAAATTAAACATGCAGTCTTTAAAAAGTTTTAAGACTAGGGATTAGTTGATACTCCTTAATATGATTAAATCTATCTCAACTCAATTCATTATAGCCAGTTATTGAACATTATTTTAGAAGTACTAGACAATGCAATTAAGATACAAAGAGGAATGCAAACTGTAACAATGGTTACATTATCAGTGTTTGCTGATGACAGGACTGTGTAGTTGGCAAACACAAACTAATTAAGTGAAATACTATTAAAAACAACAAAAAAATGGAATCAGGTAGCCAGGTAGAAAATTAACATAAATAATTGGCCTTTACATGCACTAAAATTAGGCAAAATTATAAACAGGATTTCATTAATAAAGGCAATAAAATGTAAAAATTAAAAAAAATAAACTCTTAAAAATGTATGAGATCTCTGTAAAGTGTAAAATTCATCTGAAGGAAACAAAAAAAGATGAAGGGGCATGATTTTTAGATAGTGCACCATGGTTTAGATAAAAAGCTTTAACATGATAATGATGTCAAATTCCCCTAAATTAATCTATAAAATTAAAACTGTCCAAAAAAAAAAAAAGTACCCATGGATGTTTTGTGGAACTCAACAAATTGATTGTCATTCAAATGGAAATATAAATAAGAATATTTGAAACACTTAAAAATCACAGTTATTAAAACAATAAAGGATTGGTACAAAAAGAGAAAAGCAGATCAACAGAAGAAAATACAGTGTAGAAACATACCCAAATAATATGGAAATGTACTATGTAAGTTCCATTTCAAATTAGTAAGGAAAGGATTTATTATTTAATAAATAGCTTTGTGAAAACTAGGTAGTCATCTGGAAAAAAGATAGTGAAGCCCTAAATTCAGGAGAGATCAATGATTTAAATGTAAAAAAAACAAATAACAGAAATGCTTGATCTTACTTTTAATATTCAAACTCTAATGATGTATTATTTCCCTTTGAGAAAAGGTACAGAAAATGTATGCATAGTTATGTTACAATTTGCATTACTATATATGGTACTGATATGCCTATGTACATATATGGTTATTTCTAGAGAGATATACAAGAATCTGGTACTGATATGTGTCTCTTTCAAGTGAACTAAAAGATGGGTGTTGGGATAGAAGAGGAATTTACATTTTACTGTTTGAACCAGGATGATGTATTAGTTAATTAAAATAATAAATTAAAACATATGCTAGAAAACCAAAACCCTTGTACTTGATAATATATTAGTACTAGGGCATAAAAGATTATTTGGTAACCCAAATTCTGCCAGTAGAATATATTATAGGGGTCTAAAATGTATGTGAAAACAATTTAAAAAGAGAACTGATTGTGTTACTGCATCTTGTGAGATACGTCAATTAAAAGGCAGTTTAATCAATTAAACTCTCTCATCTTGTGAGATACATCAATTGAAGGGCAATCTCAAGCAAAATAATATTCAAGTCCTTAGAAAATTTTACCCTCGAGTACTGGTAAAAGCTACTACTTTACTATAAAGTAGTTAAGGAATGATCTCCTTCTAATCATTTTTATTCTAGATATATTGCATATTTTATGGCCTGAATTTGTATATGCACCAAAATTCAACAAATAAAGAACAGCTTTGATTTAAAAAGTACCTCAAGGCAATAAAAAAAATCATTTTAATTTTTGATACATATTAAAACATCTTAGTCAGTTCCTCCTGACAGCATTAACACAGACAAATACACAAGACTTCAAACATGCTTTAAAATGACATTCAGCAAAGTACTTAAAATTTAATAAATAGCAAATCACACACAGATACATTTTTCATAATCATTAAACTACTAAAACAGACAGTTAAAGAATAAATAAACCGCAACTGACAGTAAAAAAAATATGTTGGGTTTTGCAATTCACACTACTTAAAAAGGGGGGATGATCTGAATGATTTCTTAATTTTCTTTTGAGAGTGTAGCATGATCCCCCCCAGGAATAAAATATATTGAAAAAATCACTCTTACAACAATGTATTTTTTAAATACAACAAATAAATATGAAACCAGCAAAGCAATTTCAAGTTGTAATAAAAATGTCCCCCGCCCCCAGCCAAAAGCTATGGAAATATATAGTTGCTGTGGTAGCAAATAATAGTATTTAAAGTGATAGTGCTTGTGCACTAAGCTCATCTGAGACCTTGATATAATTTTAGTGCAAATCCCTAGGGTCCAATGCAAGCGCAACCCTGTATTAGGGAAAGACATTACCAGGTGGAACTTATCTTGTACAATTTTTGTACATGTTTTATAAAGTTCAAGATTTAATGCATAGTAGAATATCTTCATCCACTTAATTCTGTTGCTAAATAGAGATGAAAAAAGAAATGACTTGGGATTTTACCATTTGGTTTGTACCATGTTAGAGTATTAAAGTCAACATTAGAAAATCTTTATAAAAGAGTTTTGTTTTTGCCAGTAATTTATCGAACTCTGCCTAAATTTCACATGATTGTATGTTAAACGTAAGAGAAAAATTTTTAGACAGTTTGTTTCCCACTGACAAGTTCATATGATAATGAAATCCAATAATAGACAAATGTCAAACAAATGAAAACGCAGGTGAGTATAAGGGTTTTTTTTTTGTACATTAACAACCTTAACATCTAGTATATTAAGTTACAAGATGTGTTGGCAAAAGCATAAACGTTTCAATTAAAATAAGGTATTATTTTGTAAAAACAAACCATTTAACATAGGATAGATAAAAATGACAATCAAATGAGTTTCAGCAGCCACATTTCTACAGTGAACTACAGTATCAGGATGAAAACAATCAGAAACAAATGAAAGGACATTATTGAACAATATGAATATGTGATGCATTTTTAGCTGCTAAAATAGTAAACTCTAAGTTCATAGAGTTACAAGTTGTCGAATTTAACCATGCAGGCTAACATATAATAATAAGAAATCACCCTGCATTTTTTCTTTTTAAACTAAAACTAGTTTAACTGTAAAGTTACAAAATAATAAATGGATATTGCTCCAACTTGTATACAATCTCCCTTATGTGATTCGTACCTAACAAAGTAACAAAGCCTCATCATCACTCGTTTCGTTTTTCAGTGTTACTTCTAAGCAAGTGTCTGGTATCTGGGCAGTGTGGACAATACCACAGCGCTCACAGGGGCCATCTCGATTACTTGGCCTTACTCCAGGATTTGTTGCATTATATGGTTGTCTAAGCCCTTGTCCTTGATCTGAGGCAAGATCAAGAAGAGGTCTGGAGCAGTCATTCACATCAAAGTCTGAAGATCCATCAGAAATTGGAATTAGCATTTCAACATCATCATCATCTTCTCTTCCACTTACCCCATTATCAAGTTGTCTCAAAGGACTCTGGTTCTGACTTAGGGAACTTGATCGTCCTAATGTAAAACGTACCCAGCGTAGCCCCTGAGTCATACGACTGAGTGCACTTGTAAGCTGGTGACGTGCTGGACTCACACTTGGGGGTTCCACACTTGTCACATCCCTTCCATTATCTGCATGACCACCTCGGGTACTCTGAGTTGAGGAACTTGCACATGCTCCTACTGTCGCTTCTACTGCCGTTGTGGGAGGGACTTTTTGAGGCAAAGGAGCTGCAACCCCACCAGATGCTCCTGCCATATCTCTTCTCTCATTTTCTGTGTCTGTATCATCAGACTCCACGGAAAACAAACTTCTGTGAGTATGATTTCTCTCAGGTTCTCTACTGGTACTCTGACTAGGGACAACCTCATCTCCATCTGCTGAGACCAAAGCCAATGACCCAGAATGACGTGATCTTGCAAAATTAAAAATACGGTTCCAAATGTTGCTTGATCTGCCTGCCATAGGAAGCCTGACTGAAGTAAATCCAAGCTGAGATCGTACCGCTAGCCTCAGATTTTCCAAAACAGAAGCCTACAAAAATAAGAAAAGATCTTAAGATAGTTAACAACAAGGTACTAAGATAAAAAAAAAAAAAAACACCCTTCTATTAAGAATGTGTTGTGGTTAAAAATTCTGTTACTCATTGTTGCTTTTGGGTCTAAGAAGGAAAAATTAAATTCTCTTACCTATGTGGGTTCATCCTACTACAGAATCTAATCTACTAATCTAACTTGAATCATTGTTTGTTTAAACTTTTCTTGATATTCCATTTTATATATGCAACTTAAAAATGATATTTAATGTAAATTATAACAGTTGTTTCAAAATCTCACATCGTAATCCAACATGAAAAGTGTACCAAAGCTAGAAAATAAAATTGATACTTCTGTAACTAGGAACATAGGAGAATCTCTACATAATTGACGAAGTGACCAAAATGAGTTTGTGAAAACGAGGACTTTTATCTTTTTTTTTTTTAAAGAACAAATTAGATTTAATTTACAAGGCTTAACTTTTCCAAAACATGTGAAAATTGTATTTCACAGAGTTGGTTCTCAAGCATTTGCTGAATGGATACTGAGGATTTAATTATATTGTCACAAATAAAGGAATTATATTTGTAATACAGCACCGAAGACAACAAGAAACAACAAAAGAACCTGTTTATATCATTACTCAATGGTATCGACATTTAGATTCCTTCTTAATCTTTAAAGTTTTATTTTCTATAGTTTAGTATTAAGTATAAATATATCATTCTTTGAAAACTAGTTAGCTGTAATTAGTGTACATGAAAGGTTGTCCAACTGAATAAAAAATCTATTCTTTTTTCTAGATGAACGAGTTTAGAGTTTGTTTTTAAAAGCATATAGCATTATATAAGATAGTCTTTAAGCTCCATCTAGTGGTTATAAAAAGAAGTATTCAAACTTGAAACAGCTTTCACCAACCTGGCATTTAGTATTTAAAAATTGTATTTCCAGGAAACAATCTTAAGTTGATATACTCTCCTTCAGTTGATGATACCATCTCCTGCCAAAACTCACACCTCTTCCCTTTCCCCTCACAGAAGAAAGAAGGTAGAAAATAAGGAAGATGTCCTCTTATGTTCTGTATCTCTTTGTGACTGGTATTGCATTTATTTATGCTTTCCATATAGGCCCTTCCATAGTGCCATGAACATAATTTATGATAAGAAGCTACTATCATAGGAACATTTCATAGTCTAACATTAGTAAGGCACAGATTGTCAATAAGAAATTTGGATATCAGCACACATGGATTTGCTATACAGATGAGTAAGAGTTTTCACCAATTAAGAAGTACCTAACTACAAATTAAAAAAAAAAAGAAAAAGAAAAAGCGGTTCACATTTATAATGAACTTCTCCACAGATCTGCTCCTCAACAGTGAGCATGCAAGTTTTAAGGCTTCATGTTGAGCACTATGCTATTATGTCCAGCAATGAACAAAAGGCTCTTCTGTTATCCTCTGTTGTGCTGCTATTAGCCATCAAGATCAACAATGCCTTCAACATACTTTATTGCTGACTTTAACATTTGGTTTGTCATACTGAGGTGAAACTCTCTATTTAGTTAAAAGTCAGTTAATTAGGATTGGCAATCTAACATTATATTTTATGAGGGGATCTCACGAATGTTCTAGGAATAATTTCATATACTTCTTCAGTTTATGAAGGAGAAAGCATTCCTCAAAAAGCGTTTCTCCTTTGAGTGAGATGGTGAATTACATCATTACTTATTTTTTCCAAAATCTGCTATAAAAATTTGGTAATTTGTTACCAAAAGCTTCAAACTTGAGAGTTTTTAATCTCATTAAATGAATACAATCTAACTTACCACCCATAAACATATTTTATTCTAAAATGTTGAAGTAGAATTCTCCCACGAGGGTACATATAACCTGAGAAACTGGGGTAGTGTGAGGTAATAAAGAATTTAACCTCACCCAAAGCCTCTGTCCTTGGCTTTTGGTACATCATCTCCAAGCCCTTCCACTGTCATGTCTGAAAGCAGTGTCTTTGCCTGGGGGCCTTGGACCAGCCAGATAGTAAAACTGATTTAGACTGGAAGCTCTGAACCACACCAACAGTGTCATGTAGGGTGAGGGCTTTGGGTCAGTCAATCTCTGGATAAGGCTAGAAACTGGGATTGGCCACATGTGCAATTAATCCTGCCTATGTGCTAGTGCACCAGTACAAACTCCGGACACCCGAGGCCTGGGTGAGCTTTCCTGATTGGTAACACTCCATGCATATTGTCACATATCTGTGTTCACACAGTAATGCCCTCCTGCCTCTATGGGGAAAGGACAACTGGAAGGTCCATGTTTGGTACCCTTCTGAACTTTGTCCTATGCATCTTTTCCCTTGGTTAATCTGTGTCTGTATCCTCTCCCTGTAATAAACTGTAATCGCAAGTGAGCTGCTTTCAGTGAGTTTTTTGAGTGTTCCTAGTAAATTATCAAACCTGAAGGGGATTTGGGGAACTCCTTGAATTTGCAATTGGTGTTAGGAGTGAAGACAATCTTGTGTGTACCGTGTTCTCTCTAACTTTATGGGGTTTAGGCATGGTGGGTGGTAGAGAATGAAGTAGGTGTGTAAAATTAACTGTGATCTGATTCTTACCTAAAAAAAAACTTTCCCCATAGCAGGGCTGATATAAAGAAGCCACAACTTAGGTTTTTCCTACTTTGCACACAAAATTCCAACAGTGGAACTTCTGAATGATTTACTTAGGAAATTACATATGGAGAAATGTTTTGAAACTACAAATTCTCACCAAAGATTTCCTAAAATACTCCAATAAGGTGATAGACTGTAATCAGAACTCACATTTACCAAAAAGGAGATGGTATTCTATTTTGAAAGTAATTATATTACTGGGAAAACAATGTTTACCAGTTTTAATTATAATACTGGAAACAACAGTTTTTATAAATGTTTCTGAATGAATTTACAATTTAAATGAATAAATCCTTATGCCTAAAATGAACACTGGCACATTTTTAAGCACTACGAGAAAAATTTTTTTAATTGCTAAGAAATTGAAAGAATTCAGAAACATATAATGAATTACTATATAAACAAAATGCTATAAATTGTTAAACACTGTAAAATCCAGCTTGAAGATGTTTTTCCTGAGGTAGAAATGTTAACTTCATTTTAATTACTTTTACTTATAAGTGGTTAATCTAGCATGTTATATTGCTAGCATATTAATTTTAGTGTTCATTCTTAAATCTTGCAGATGTTCAGGTCAAGTAAAAAATAATTTGCCAAGCTTAATACTTTTGAATTATAATGCACTAAATTATCCTAAACAGTAAAATGCTTAAGAATTGCACAACCAAATCAGAGGAATGAAAAATATACTTTTGCAGTTTGTAGTGTTAAACTATAATGAAAACTATGACTTCAAATCTTCCATACATTTAAATCCTTGATTGCAAAAATTCTGACAGTCAAGGGTCTTTGCTTTATCATATATACAGGCGCAGATTTCATTTTAAGAGGAAATGTAATAGAAATTACACATTGCAATATACCTGATTAGGTGAACAAACAGGAAAATCTTCAACTGGTGGAATTAAACCCTGAGCAATCAATTGTCCATACGAGGGAGGAGCTTCTCTTCTTAACAATTCTGCTTCCACTCTTGACAACTGTGTTTCAAATGATCTTTGAGAGTAGATGGAAAGAAAAATGATTAAAAGGGGGAGCGAAGAAAAAGAACAATTTTCTATTATCAGTAATTAAAACAATCTGAGTCTTGGCATATTTGATCATTTTAAAGCTTAGTCATTTGACAAACATTTACTGAATATATGTATTATCCCTACAGTGGGAATACAAAGCTGACGCAGGCAGTCTGTCTTCATAGGGCTTTATGCTAGTAGAAGCCTAGATCACTGAGTTTTAATAAATGAAAATCCCTGTAAAAGGTAAAGGGAGAAATAATACAAGATTTAAAAACTCCTAAGAATACTGTATTTACTGAATATACGTTGAAGCCACTGCGCCCAGCTGGGATCTTTGACTCTTCATTGTGCTCTTTTGTTGCAATGTGGTAAAAAGTTTTCTGGCCATTTACACTTGGCCAAAGATGCAGTGGTCGGGCGCCGTGGCTCACACCTGTAATCCCAGCAGTTTGGGAGGCCAAGGCGGGTGGATCACGAGGTCAGTAGTCTGGGACCAGCCTGGCCAACAGAGTGAAACCCTGTCTCTACTAAAAATACAAAAAATTAGCCAGGCGTGGTGGCGGGCGCCTGTAATCACAGCTACTTGGGAGGCTGAGGCAGGAGAATCGCTTGAACCTGGGAGACGGAGTGCAGTGAGCTGAGATCGCACCAGTGCACTCCAGCCCGGGTGACAGAGCAAGACTCCCGTCTCCAAACAAACAACAAAAAAAAAAAAAAGGAAAAAAAAGAAAAGATGCAGTAATGGTTATTACGATACTGTGCATCTGTGTGCCACCTATTAGCCATCTGTTACGTAAAAAGTTGTTAAATCTATTATTTGTAATTCTCCTGGGACTGAAGGTCATTGTCTCCACAGGGACATCTCTGCCATTAACTTCTGCCAGGTCCCATTTATCCTGCATCAAACTGAAAACTACTCACTCTGAAGGTCACTCTTTAACAGTTAACCATTTCTTACTGAACTGAGAACTCTGAAGTGCTGTTGTCACTTAACTCTACAACAGGACATTAGTCTTGTGTTCCAATCGTATCTCCTGTTAGCCCTTCATACGCATCCTGGGCTCCAGATAAACTGAATCATGTGCTTACTTTTTGAGCAATGCTGGACATTCCTACTTCTATATATTTTCCTAGGTTATTGCTTTAACAACACCTTTTCCCCTATCTATATTCTTCTACTCATACATTTCAAGTGGCACCCCTCCAATTAAAGCCTTTCTGCCTCTCTCCCTCATTAGATTACGTATTTTTGACTTTATACCATTTTGTTTCATAGCTCTTTATAGTATTATACTTTTGTCATCTTATTCCATGCCCCAATTCCTTCCTCCTAACTGTAAACTGCTTGTGATATTATGCCTTATTCATTTTTCTATTTACCTGTATGCTTTGAACATAGCATATAGAATAACTGGAATTTTTGAATTTGTATTTAGAAAAATACAGGTTAAAACACTAAAACTGAGAGCTGCAGCTTACAATATTCCTATAAAACAGATTAATCTGAAAACAGGAGCTGGTAAATAGATGGGCTTTTTCTCATAACTCTAAATATTTAGTTTGTAATGTGTCTGGCCTTCTGAGTCTCGGGTTTTTCACGCTAATTTTATACATCATCAACAATCTTTATCCATTTTCTAAACTAATATAAAACAAAAATACATTGCTAATCATCAAAGAACTTGTTTCAAACACTTGGGCCTGCTTTTATTGAGGCCCAATAGTTCTGTCTTGATACTGACCTTCTTTCAAACATTCTCAGAGAATAAAGCTTACAAGTACATCCCAATGCTATGACGAGTAACAGGCCACAGATGAGGCTCCCTATGACGGCAGCAGTGATGACTCTTGTAGGCACGATTACTGGGCAATTTTCTTCATCGCTGCCATCACCACAGTCATCTTGAGAATCACACACCCAACTTTCAAACACACAACGATTGTTTTTACAATGGAAATTTCCTGGTTGGCAAAAAAAGCAGTTTTTTTCATCTGAGCCATTTGGGCAATGATTCTGGTAGTTGCAGCGATCAGAACGAGGATAACAGACACCATTTCGGGAACATGGAAATTCTTCCTTCTGGCACATGGTACAATTGGTTTCATCCCTTCCATTTGGGCAATGCCAATACCCATCACAACGCTGCTGCTCAGTATAACACCCCCAGTTACCTCCACAGGGTATTTCCCATGGCAAACAGAACCCATCTACTTGGTAAGTAGCATTAAATCCCCTTGCAGCATTCACTTTATCAGCACAAAAATGTACCCTTATCTGTCCAGAAGAAGAAACAACTGTAAGAGGTGCATGAGAATCAAAAGCTGTCAACACACGCAAAAGCTTGTGTGGATTCTCCTCTAATCCATCATATATTTTGACATAATCACCATAACCAGTACCATCAAGTTTAAAGTCAGTGAAGCGTAAAATGACTTTACGGTGATCACCAGTGTCTATTAACCAGGTGCAATTGCTTCCAGGAGGATAAAAGTCTGGATAATTGGGAGAATTAAAAGTACCATAAAAATATTTTAGCCATTGCCCACATGTTGGCACATCACAGTCTATCTCATCTCCTAGGTCAAGGCAGTCAATGTTCCCATCACATTTTAAAGATTCGGGGAGGCAAGTGTAAACTTTGGTAAAACGGGATAAACACTGGAACTGGTTGTAAGCACAGGGTTGAAAAGCAGCAGCAGTTGGAGGATTTGCTTCTTTGGCACAGATCTCTTCATCGGAACTATCTCCACATTCATCCATGTTATTACATTTCCAGGCTTCTGGTATACACTTTCCATTACCACAACGAAACTGATCACAAGCACAATTTGGTTCCTCAGATTTCCCTGTGAAGATGTGAGTAGAAATAGATGGAAAGAGAAGGAGAAAAATTATAATCTTTAAAAGACATAAAACAGCAAGTGATATTTTTATAATAAATGTTCATAAAGCCCAAGTGCTAGAAGTTTTAAAAAACAGGTTGGTTTTTTAATATTTTAATTTTAAGTTCCAGGGTACATGTGCAGGATGTGCAGGTTTGTTACATGAGTAAACATGTGCCATGGTGGTTTGCTGCACCCATCAATCCATCACCTAGGTATTAAGTCCAGTATGCATTAGGTCTTTTCCCTAATGCTCTCCCTCCCACCCCACCCTCCCTAGAAAGGCCACAATAAATCTGGGGCCTGTGTCCATGTGTTCTCATTGTTCAGGTCCCACTTATAAGTGAGAACATGCAGTGTTTGGTTTTCTGTTCCTGTGTTATTTTGCTGAGGATAATGGCTTCCAGCTTCATCCATCCATCCAGCTTCCAGCAAAGGACATGATCTCGCTCCTTTTTATGGCTGCATAGTATTCCATGGTGTATATGTACCAACATTTTCTTTACCCAGTCTATCATTGATGGGCATTTGGTTTGATTCCATCTCTTTGCTATTGAGAATAGTGCTGCAATCAACGTATGTGTGTATGTATCTTTATAAATGGAATGATTTAACAGGTTGGGTTCTAATGACAAATTAGTACTGGCATGCTTACTCAACAATTCAATTTGTTAAATACTTATTATTATTCCATGAAGATCTTGCATTTTGATCTAAAAGAGAGGACTAATTCTGAATTATTCACATTTGTATGATCTGGTCTTGTTTTTTAGACACAATTTAAGAAAAGAAAAGATGTCGTTTTTTCTGAGACTATAAACTATGAAGGTGAAATTTGTTAGGTCTTTTCTCTGGAGGTATAAAAACAATGACAATTACCACAAAAATACATTCTGAAGTAACTTTCTGGATATGCGTAAGCACTTGAGGGAGAAAAGGCTATTCTTAGAATAAATGTATTTAAGATGTTTAAAAAGAAAATTAACCTTAGTATATGAAGTTAATCATTTTGTTAGAATTATACAAAACACCTTTTGGAGACCCAGCTTTAGGGCATCTAACTTTAGCTTCTAATCCTCAATCTCAGCTGCCTCAAGGGCCTACTCCTAATTAAATGAACACTACTTAGAAGATTAGCTCCGAAGTGACAGAGCAGTTAATACCATAAAATTCAGTTCAATATCTTTCTTATTTAAAAACACACCTGAAAAATATGCCAGTCTGAAACCCTTTCTAGAGATGTTGTCATCCGAATGAAACCTAATCCAGATGTGGTCTTGTGAAGAGATATACGGAGGTGGAATTGTGGAACCACAAGCTCTGTAACTTTCAATATTCTTGTATGTTTCTATTGTCAACCAGTCCAAATTGCACCTTCTGGATCCTTGAATATCAAAATCCTGAAAACTGAAAAAAAAATCAGAAATGTCTATTAAAAAGTCAATTTTGGAAAAAAAAATCGTATTACAAAGTAACTGAGGATATTATTATAAGCCTCCATATACTGACTGATTCTCCTGGGTTTTCTAGGCATACAACCGTATCATTAGCAAATAATAATACTAATTCTATGTTCCTCATATTTGTATTTCTTCCCCAGATTGTAGAAAAATAATTCTTCACAAGTAATGCTAGGTTCCAAAATAATGTTAAAAAACAGGTGACAGTTGGCACCTTTTCTTTTTCTTCTCTGTGTGTACGGTTGGGAAAGACCACTTCTAACTCAGAACATCCTAAACTGTTCTGTGTTCCAACCAGAATCACCTCTCCCCAATCTGATGAATTGAAGTAAACACAGAGAAACTCAGCCTTCTCTTAGATTAATACCTGCTTAATGAAAAGTTTGCAGCTGACATTCTTAGGAGAGTAATTAGCACAAATCTGAGCAAGGTAAAAGACTGAAAAAGGAACACACGAAAAATGTTTTTGGTGAAAAGTCCTTGAGTTTGGGAATACTTTTTTACATAAATCACTTTATAGCCAAATACTATCTTGTAGTTAATAAAATGTGGGCATAAGTATAGGCCAAAAACATCAAATAAATAAATGCACACAGAAAATTAGTCACTGCTTATGAAAAAAGAGAAACCAAAATACAGTTTTACAATATCTGAATATGCCTCACCAAAAAGTAAAGATCTGACTTTATATTCTTGCCTTTGCCTTAAACTAAGTGATAATAAAGTTAATTACCCAAGGATTATTATACCAGAATGTTTCTTCTTCAAATATTCTGAATAACTAACAAAAGCTGATAGACAATTTGATTGTTTCCAGGTTTGCACTATTATGAACTATGCTTTAAAAACTCCTGGCCGGGCATGGTGGCTCACGCCTGTAATCCCAGCACTTTGGGACGCTGAGGTGGGCGGATCACGAAGTCAGGAGTTTGAGACCAGCCTGGCCATGATGAAACCCCGTCTCTACTAAGAATACAAAAATTAGCCGGGCATGATGGTATGTGCCTGTAATCCCAGCTACTCGGGAGGCTGAGGCAGGAGAATCTCTTGAACCTGGGAGACAGAGTTTGCAGTAAGCCGAGACTGTGCCACTGCACTCCAACCTGGGCAACAGAGTGAGACTCCGTCTCAAACAAAACAAAACCAAACAAAACCAAACAAAACAAAACCCTTATACATGTACGTATCTCTCTTACAAGAACAAGAATTTCTCTAGGACAAACTATTCTAGAACTAGTATTGCTAGGTCAGAAGAATAATTCCTCTTTAAATCTGACAGACACTGGAAAAACATGTTTATACGAATTTACAGTTCTACCAAGTATGTACCAAAGTACCATATACCCCACACGTTTAGCAAAATGACATATTCTATTTTTAAAAATGTTTTGCCAATTAGGTAGACAAAAGAGATTTATCACTTCTATTTAGCATGTCTTTATTTACTGAGATTGAAATCCTTTTCCAATTTTTGGGTTATTTCTATTTCTTTTACTCCAAATTGCCTTGTTTTCCAAATTGCCTCCTTTATTCATTAATATTTCTTAAGAACTCTACATATTATAAACATGAGCTTATTCGGGGGCATGTATGTTATGTGAGACATGTCATATCCACCTACATCCACATTCTTTCTCTCCAATAGTCAGTGTGGTCAGTCTTTTTCATTTTAGTCACTGACGGGTGTGATCTCTTATTGTGGTTTTATGTACACTTCCCTGAAGACAAATTTGCTGAACATCTTTTCATGTGATTATTGGCCATTTTTATATCTTCTGTGAAGTATCTGTTCATGTCTTTTGCCCATTAAAAAAAAAAAGTTATAAAAATCCCTTTTATATTCTTGGCCGGGCATGGTGGCTCACACCTGTAATCCTAGAACTTTGGGAGGCTGAGGTGGGCAGATCACTTGAGGTCAGGAGTTCGAGACCAGCCTGGCCAACCAAAATGGTGAAACCCCGTCTCTACTGAAAATACAAAAATTAGCTGGGTGTGGTGGTGCATGCTTGTAGTCCCAGCTACTCGGGAGGCTGAGGCAGAAGAACTGCTTGAACTTGGGAGGTGGAGGTTGTAGTGAGCTAAGATCGCACCACTGCACCCCAGCCTGGGCGACAGAGCAAGACTCCACCTCAAAAAAAAAAAAAAAATGGATTCAAGTCCTTTGTTAGACATGTGTATTGCTAATATTTTCTTCCAGCCTGTGGTTTGTCTTTTCATTTTCTTAATGGAACCTTTTAATAAGCAGAAGTTTTAAATTTTAGTCTTCATTAAGTCTAATTTGTTATTTTTGCTTTGTGTTTAGTGCATTTGTTGTCCTAAGATATCTTGGTGTTTCCAAAGATCTCAACGATGTTCAACTACTTTTTAAGTATTTCAGAGTTTTAGTTTTTACATTTATAGCTGAGATTTATATAAATTTTCGTGTTTTCAAGTAGAAAATGAGATTCTTCTTTCTTACATTTATCTAGAACATAGAAGATACTAATTTTTGTTCTATCACACAGTTAAATTAGTCTGATGACTATGAACTTGAGGAGGTTTGGTTTTACACTTGTTTAAAGTGAGTTTGTTTCTGCTTTGCCCTTAGTCTTAGGGGGAATTCTTAGTTTAAGGACACTGTCTTTACTTGTAAAGTATGACACACAGAGTTTCATTAAAAATCTCAAGGCATTTATTTATGAAGCCCTATACTCGGTCTCCCCTGTGATGGACAGGATTCAAACTCCACATGCTGCCTCTGCTGTGGGGTGCAGCAGCTGAAATCTTCAGCCTTCCTGCTGTTACTTTCCAGCAGGTTCCTTGGAGTCTTCTTTAAGCACACACAATTCATGGGTCAGCTAAGGATTCGAGAATAATTTAAATGCAGTTACTTTCCAGCTTGTGGTTCTCTCCTTTCCAGGAGTTACCTTATTAATTTCCAGTTACTGTCCCATCCTCAACTGCATCCTGACACCTCAAGCTGACAAGACCACGGTGATCTGCTTGAGTTCCAGTCACTCCACGTTGCACAGACTGGCAAGAATCTTCAGAGAACTGGTAGGAAACAAGCCTATCTCACGAAGTGTGGTTCCTTCTTTCAGGGGTGGAATACTCTCCAGTTTTTGCCAGTTTTTTATTACTCTCCAGAGCCTTCAAATATCTTTTCCAAACTTAATAGCTCTTGTTTATGGGAGGTCTAGTCCCATTCAAACTAGGGAATCCCTAGTTTGGTTTTAAAATATCTTATCCAAACTTAATAGCTCTTGTTTATGGGAGGTCTAGTCCCATTCAAACTAGGGAATCCCTTAATAAACTTTTAGTCCACTAAACATTTAAGATTCATGAAGGCAAAGGCTGGGAGAGGTGGCTCACGCCGTAATCCCAGAACTTTGGGAGGCTGAGGTGGGTGGATCACCTGAGGTCAGAAGTTCGAGACCAACCTGGCCAACAAGGTGAAACCCTATCTCTACTAAAAATACAAAAATTAGTTGGGCGTGGTTTTTAATTTTAGTCTTGATGAAGTCTAATTTTTTATTTTTGCTTTATGTTTAGTGCATTTAGTGTCCTCTCTAAGCTATCTTGGTGTTTCCAAAGATCCCAAAGATGTTCAACTATTTTTTAAGCATTTCAGAGTTTTAGTTTTTACACACCTGTAATCCCAGCTACTCGGGAGGCTGAGGCGGGAGAACTGCTTGAACCCGGGAGGCAAAGGTTGCAGTGAGCCAAGATGGCGCCACTGCACTCCAGCCTGGGTGACAAAGCGAGACTGTGTCTCTCAAAAAAAAAAAAAAAAAAAAAAAAAAAAAAGATTCATGAAGGCAGAAACCTTGTTTAGAATAAGAAACAATAAATATCTGTTCATGTATACCCTATTTTAGTTTGCTAATTCATTTAGGATTTTTAAATAAGTAAAATTACTTTTTGGTTTTTTAAATGCTTCATAGTACTTTGTGTAATAAAAGCACTGTTGACATATTTGTGCTCTGTGCCTATTTAGAATATATTGAGTCAGGGAGAGAGTTTCAATTTCTTGATGTTTTTTGGTTTAATCAGTGTTTCTTAAACTTTTGACCATTTAAATTTTCTTAGAAATTGATCTTATGTTGATAGTAAAATTTATTACTACAAAGCTCTGTACACAGTACTTTCATACAATTTAAAGACATTTTTTCCTATCTGTGATCTTTAAGTTTGCTTTAGACTGCTTAAAACAAACATATAATTAGCAAATAAAGGTTTTCTCTTCCTTCCTATTTTCTTTATATCACTGATTTCTATCTGTTGCACTGTTGCATTCACTAAGAATTCTACTATAACCAGTAAAAGCACACATTTTTGTCTTGGTCCTTGGTGCTATAATTAACTTTGACATTAAATTTGCTTTTGAAAATTTTTAAACAGACACCCTTTACCAGGTTAAGGAAATTCCTTTTCTATTCATTTAGTAAAACTTGCCTATAAAACTAGTTCTAGAGTCTTAATTTGAATGCTGATTCAATTTCTTCAATGGCTACTGATTTCATCCGTTTTCTAATTCTTCTTGAATCAATTTTAGTAATATAAATTTTCTAAAAAATAATCCAATTCATCTACTTGTATAAAAGTATTAACATAAAACTGCTTATAATATTCTCTTATGACATTAAAAATTTTGTTTATAACTACAGACACTTTTGCTCTTTTTATCTTCTCTTTTTCTTCAGTTTTGCTTTGAGTTTTATCTATTTTCCTGAGTTTTTCAGAAAGTCAGCTTTTTGTTTTATTGAATTTTATTGCGTATTTTCCTGGTCTTTACTGCTACTTTAAAATTTACCCTCTAATTCTTTTCCTTAACTCTTGAGTTAAATGCTGAGCTTATTTATTTTCTAATTTTTAAATCAATGCATTAAAGTTGTAAACTTTTCTAAGTATTCTTTCAATGTATTCTAACAGTTTTAATATGTATTACTTTCACTATGGTTATTTAAAAAATATTTGGTCCCATTGTGATTTCCTCTTTAATTCAGGAGTTATTTAGGAATATATTTCTAAACATACAGGTTTATTTTTTTCTTTTATTTTAATTGCATTGTGGTAAGAAAACACAATCTGAATGATGTACAGTCTTTGAAATGTATTAAGAGTTCCTTTGTGATGTGAAACATAATCAATTTTTATAAATGTTCCACATGTCTTTGAAAAGAATGTGTATTCTTTGTTGAAATAAGTATTAAAGGTGTGTTAAAAATCTCCCACTGCAACTGTGGATTGGTCAAATTTGCCGGGCAATTCTCCACATTTTGCTTTGCATGTATTTTAGGCTATGTAATTAAGTAAATGAAATTTACTGCTGGTTTATTTTCCTGGTAGAATACCCCAATTGTTACTAGTATTTTGTGCCTTAAGCTCAATTACAATGGATGTTAATCTTCCTACACTAGCTTTCTCTTGATGAGTAGCTCCAAAACTAACCTTTTCTATCTCGTTTTGTTTTTGTTTATTTTTAAGACTAAGTCTCATTCTTCCACCCAAGCTGGAGTGCAGTGGTGCATTCATGGCTCACTGCAGCCTCAACCTCCTGGGCTCCGGTAATCCTCCCACCTCAGCCTCCTGAGTAGCTGGGACCACAGGCAACGTGCCATCATGCCCAGCTAGTTTTTTGTATTTTTTGTAAAGACAGGGTTTCACCACCTTGCCCAGGCTGGTGTCGAATTCCTGAGCCTACCTTGGCCTTCCAAAATGCTAGGATTACAGGCACGAGCCACAGCATCTGGCCCATCTCCTTGTTTTTAGACATTCTGTATTAGTTTTGTTTTAGATGTGTTACAACCTTTCTACTTGGGAGAGAGTTCTCATTTTCCTTCTTTCCTTTTTTTTTTTTTTTTTTTTTTTGAGACAGGGTTTCACTCTGTTGCCTAGGCTGGAGCACAGTGGCATGATCTTGGCTCTGTAACCTCCACCTCCTGGGTTCAAGCAGTTATCATGCCTCAGCCTCCTGAGTAGCTAGGATTATAGGCGCGTGCCACCATGCCCAGCTAATTTTTGTATTTTTAGTAGAGATGAGGTTTCGCTATGTTGGCCAGGCTGGTCTCAAACTCCTGACCTCAAGTGATCTGCCTGCCTCAGCCTCCCAAAGTGCTGGGATTACAGGCGTGAGCCACCACATCTAGCTTCCTGTCTTTTTTGAATATATTTTTAAAGTTCCTTTTCCTCTGTTAACTGCTCAATATTACTCCTATTTTTAATCAGTGGCTACCTTTTGATATTTTAACTGAAATGCTGAAACACACTTTTTTTCTAACAAAGTCCAAGTAAGAATATTCGGTGTTTCTCCTGTCCCCTCAAAAATCACAAATAGGGTAGAAACAATTTAAAGCTTTATTTTCACTAACCTTTTACTAAAATTTAGCATTTCCTACACTTATAAACAACAAACCATGACAGTATTTATAGCACTGGCCACTCCACCACTATTCAAAATTAGAGATATTTTTATGTTACATTTCAGTTTTTACAGATATCTAAAAATACTATTTACACGTAAAATTTTTTCTTTGAAATTAACCACTTGATTTTGCTAATGTGTTCATAAATAAGCATATATTACATTACAAATATTAAAAAATATCTGATAGCTGTACTTTAACATAATTGGTTCCCTTTGTAATGCTATGTATTTTTTTTAATGAATTTAAACACATTATTCTGGGAAAGAATACATAGGTTTTACCAGAATACTAGGTGGCCGTGGCATAAAGAAAGTTAAGAAATAATTCCTGACAGAATACATCTTAAAATGCCTGGAGTAAATTTGAGTTCCAACTTAATTTTGTTTGGCTGTTTTTCTCAGCATTCAATTTTTTCACACATTCTGGAATTTTGGTTTACAGGTTTATTTTATGGAAGTTTTTTGGTTTTCTCTCTTTTTTTTAATCCTCTCTTCTTCTATGTTCCCCTACTTGGGTCTACATTCCAGAACAAGTCTTAAATGATGGTTCAGAGTATTACAGATCCTTTCATGGAGTCAGCAGGTGACATAGTTATTCATGTTTGTTAGGTTATGCCCTCTCAGCTCTCTAAGCTCTCAGCCCCATATAAATTCAGGCTGTGGTTGGTGGAAGATTTTTCAGCCTCCTGTCTGGAGCAAAATTGCCCGTCCCTAGTCCTTGGCTTCAAGCAGGGTGCTGGTATTCAATCCTCTCTTCCCCATGGATAAGGTGGCCTTTGTTGATTATAGTGGGTTCCAAGGGAGAGGAATGAAGTAAAAATGCCTTTATTTCACCATCTTAAGCAAGTTTTATACAGACAGTTCTCAGTATTGTTTTTACTCCGTAACTTTAGTTTCCCTCTTCTATCCAGATTTTAAAAAATCATGTTTCTAATTCCATTTTACTAAGAATTTAAAATTTTTATTTTAAATTCAGGAATGAATGCTGATTTTCTTTTTTACCAAGATGCTTCAAAGCATCTGTGTACACTAGATAATCATATACTTTTTCTTTTGACTTGTTTACATGGTAAGTTAATTTAATATTTCCTAATACTGACTCATTTGTATGTCTAAAAGAGCTACATTTAATTATGCATATGATTCTTTTGAATCATTTAAGATTATGCAATGATAATCATATGTAAAACTTGTCTTTGTGTATATGCAGGTGTGTCATCTTTTTAAAGTTATGGTATTACCATGATAATGACTTCAGTAAAGAATCTGAACAATTACTAAAATCACCTTCTGATCTGTATACATCGAAATTCATTGCTCCCTTCTAAAATTCAGGAAATTTTCCTTTAGCTGTAGGGCTCACTTCAATTTTATTCTGCATTTCAGTATTGTGCTTGGTTTTTAGTGTATCTTAACCTCATGAAATCTCAAGGATGCAATACATTATCAAAACCAGATGGCAGTATTTCATGTAATCTCCTCTGTGCTGGTAAGATTTTCAAGTTTTACAAAACTGAGCTATAAGTTGTAAGTTAAATTTTTAGGTTAAAAGGTGAAGGTCTCTATAAATTCTAGTTTTATGCTAAAAAACTCCCAATATGTGGTAAAAATGTTATTTTGTAAACATACTTAGTCACACTACAAGTAACAGAAAATAGGTATATTATTTACATTTAAACACTGACCCTGTTACAGAAAGATAACCTTAATGGTGCATTCTACCACTCAATCAGGCAAGAGAAAAACACTGCATGGAGGAGGAGAACAACAGCTTTTGTATGTGCCAAGCTCTGGGGTTCCAGAAGAGGTAATGTAGGGTAGAGGAAAATAAAAGGAAAACAAACTATGGCCCTTGTTTGTGGTTTCCACCAAAAAAAGGAGATAGATGACAGTTATGCTTCTCAAGAGAGATTGGTTTCCTCATCAGTTAATAAATACAAAAAAGGAAGATGAAAAAAGATGAGAAAGTAGGCTAAATGTATAAGTCTTATTTTAAAAACATAAAATGAAGGAATTTGAGTTTATGATCTCCAAAGTCTCTTCTAAATCTAAAATTCTATGCCTCCTACCCATACAATGTTACACATGAAAACATGTTGAAGGTGCCTTTGTGCTACACTGTCTCTGTGATGGAAATGACATTCTTATTTGTGTTTTGTTCCAACTGCAGTTCTTCATTCGGGCTATTTTTTTTTCCCCTGTAGGTAAATATTTTTTTCCTAATGGCCTTGATAGAATTTTCCTAAGCAAGCAGTATCTAGTTCTACTAAATATATTCTTTACAATCTTATTCCCGTACTGTTTTTCTCTGCAAGTAATTTGCTAAATGTTTTAAAATTTAATCTTAACCTTCCTTATTTATATGTCACATTCATTCTTAGAATCTTAAACTTACAGCTATTTCCCCTAGGAATGCCTTTCATTTGTATTCTTAACAAATGTTCTTTTGTTTCGAAGTTATAAACAAAGATTTTTCTAGATATAGTATTTCTCCATTATCAGTTTGTTTCAAGTTTTATACATACATACACATATACAGACAGGCATGACAAATTGTGTTTTAACTCATTTAGGTAGAAGGCTCTACTAATGAGACAAAGGTTAAGAGCTAGATATCCAAGTGAATTAATGAGTTTTGTTTATTTGTTTGTTCCACTGCCAAAGGTTAGTCTTGACCCTAATAGGCTATTTTGCAAATGTCTATATTTTGTTAAAAAGTAGCTTAGAAGAATATAGATGATTCAATGCAAATACATTACCACCCTTAGAAAATACTCAAAACACATACCAGATGGGCTGTTACTCTTACTCTTAAGATGACACCAATAGCTAATAGCTGTTCTTTATTACATCTCCTGAAAAGCCTTCTTTTTATATTACTGCATGTTAAGTAATAATAAATGAAAATGGAATTTATGTTTTGTAATAAATTATATAGTAATACAGAAAGGTAGAATTACCTTATAGTAATGATTTCGCCTGGGTTTGCCCTTATGAACCAGCTACAGTTGATTTTTGCAGGATATTCAGAAGGCCAGCCTGGGCTTGTGATTATGCCACTTGGTGCTCGTATTTGCTCTGGAGTCTCTCCACAAGCTGGAAGATAGCCAAAGCAATCTTTCCTTATTATTACACATTTAAATGGTATTAGGTAAATCAGTGTTTATTTTTTAAAAACCAAAAAACTTTACACATCAAATAATAACCAATAAGATATGGTAGTATCAACTTTAAAAAGCTATTATTCTAATGAGATATTTCAATTTTCTCCCTTTTAGATAAAGTCCCTTATTCCAATAAAATACAGTAGCCCCACTTATCGGACATTTTGCTTTTCATTGTTCAGTTACTTGGAGCCAACAGTGGTCTGAAAATAGTAAATGGAAAATTCTGGAAATAAATAATTCTTAAGTTTTAAATTGTGTGCTGTTCTGAGTAGTGATGACATCTCTTGCTGTGCTGCTCTGTCCCTCCCGGGACATGAATCTTCCCTTTGTCCAGTGTATCCACGCTGTGTATGCTACCCACCCATTAGTTACTTAGTAGCCATCTCACTTATCAGATCAACTGTCACAGTATTGAAGTGCTTGTGTTCAAGTCACCCTTATTTTGCCATTATGAATGGCCTTGAAGCACAAAAGTAGTGATGCTGGTAATTCGGATATGTCAAAGAGAAGCTGTAAAGTGCTTCCATTAAGTGAAAAGGTGAAAGTTCTCAACAATAGAAAAAAAATCGTATGCTGAGGTGTCTGAGCTCTAAGGTAAGAATGAATCTTATATCCATGAAATTATGAAGAAGGAAAAAGAAATTCATGCTAGTTTTGCTGTGATACCTCAAACTGCAAAAGTTAATGGCCGCAGTACCTAAGTGCTTAGTTAAGATGGAAAAGGCATTAAACTGGACAGCAATCAGGTTTGGTACTCTGCAGTTTCAGGCATTCACTGAGGGTCTTGAAGGTATCCCTCATAGATAAGGAGGGACTACTGTACATGTTTTGGGCAGGCAAGGAAATTTCAAACTGGATCACTGAATAAGAGTTCAAGATTACTGGCTTTGGCCATGGAGACTGATCTATCCATCCACCCATCTTTTTTCAAAACTCATCTTTCAAGTTTATTTTCTTTATCATAAACTACCTTTCCAATATTTGCTTACCTACTTTGTTTAGATCCTTAGGAGCATAATGCTGCTTTTAGGGTACTCTAAATAAGCCTAACAGTAAGATGCTGGATTGTAATTTTTGTTAAGAAGTTAGTGGATGATTGAATAAAGATAGTAAAACACTCAAAATCACTGCAAAGCAGTTCTTCAATTTATTCCATTAATACTTCCAAGCTATTTATTACAGGGTTATGAATGATTCCTACATTATTTAAAAGTAAAATTTTGAAATAGTGCTTAAAATATCACCATGTGATTAGACATCTGCATATCACAGAGGAAAATCTTCATGCATATAGAATAAATTAAAACTAATACCAACACTTTCCTGGATTATTCTTGCACTATCTGGAACTCTCGTTGCAATATAGTTAACATTATCCAGAATTCAGTTGATAATGTGACAATTTATTCTCTCTCAATCAAATACGTGATGTTTAAGCCTTTAGTAGAATTTAAAATTCTAGAACGTCTTATTTAATACAATTTCAACAAATTAGATTACTTGATTTTAAAGTAACAGCAGATTAGAAGCAGAAAATTAGAAGTGGGGAGAGTAGCTGCCAGGGGTACATAAACAGTTATCAGAAGTGACGAGTAAATTTTCAGAAAAACAAACACTACATACTAAACTCAAAAACCATGAGCTCATAATTTATATATTGCCTGTCTCTCAAAAGGTAAGACTGTTGTATTATATCATCATAATAAATTAATATTCATACTGATCTAAGAGTTGTTGAGTGAATAATGAATCAGTATAGGCAAAATGACTGGTATAAAACACGGCCTGCACTCCCATGCTTTTTAAGTTCTGCTGTAGTTTAAAAATCAGGTAACCCAAGAGATGGCCAAATACCACTATTACAATTGTAATTTGGAAAAATGACTTTTTTTTTTTTTTTTTTTTTTTTTTTTGAGATAGAGTCTCACTCTGTCTCCAGGGTGGATGGAGTACAGTGGTACAATCTCGGCTCACTACAACCTCTGCCTCCCAGGTTCAAGCAATTCTCCTGCCTCAGCCTCCCGAGTAAGTAGGACTACAGGTGCACGCTACCACACCCAGCTAATTTTTGTATTTTTAGTAGAGAAGGGGTTTCACCAGGTTGGCCAGGATGGTCTCGATCTCTTGACCTTGTGATGTTACCACCTCAGCCTCCCGAAGTGCTGGGATTACAGGCGTGAGCCACCGCGCCCAGCATTTTTTTTTTTTTAAGAGATGAGATCTCACTATGTTGCCCAGGCTGGAGTGCAGTGGCTATTCACAGGCACTAGCATAGGACACTACAGCCTTGAATTCTTGGGCGCAGGTGATCCTCTTGCCTCAGCTTCCTGAGTAGCTGGGACTACAAAGAGCATGCCACCATGCATGGCAACTTTTTTTTGTTTTTGTTTTTGTTTTCCGTAACAGGGGTTATACACTTTTCAATTTAGGTTAAGAATGCTAGGAAGTATATTATGTAATTTAAAGAATTTTATCCATAATGATCAAAATAAAACAAGCTATATTACTTAAAGTCAATCCTTATTTCTATAGAATAACCTACTCCCTGAAGAAAACATGCAATCAAAGCTTTAAAAGTATATTCTACTGCAGAAAAAAAAGTTCATATCGAAAAATGGGTCTGCCCTGGAATTAGGGTGCACTGCCAAAGGGCATCTGTTTTGAATCGCTTTCAGAACAGATTCATGGCATACAGCACAGATATATCAAGGGCTTAGCATTCATCTCATTGCCAAGGCATAGTCAAAGCTTCTTTTTTTCTTTTTTTTTTTGCTGCTGTTTCGTTAGTAAATCTCCCTTACAAAAAAGTTTTAATTTTAATAAATGACGTTTTAGAAAAAGACTATATGTATCCAAATGTAATTCTTTAAGAGTTTATTAATAATAAACTGCCAGTTTTCTTCCACTTTACTCTGAGTTATCATTACAATAATTTAATAAAAAGATAGCTAAGTTATTTGTAAGAACTTCTTTTTCTCCTGGCCAACATGGTGAAACCCCATCTCTACTAAAAGTACAGAAATTAGCTGGGTGTGGTGGCGTGCACCTGTAGTCCCAGCTACTCAGGAGGCTGAGGCAGGAGAATTGCTTGAACCTGAGAGGCGGAGGCTGCAGTAAGCTGAGATCGTGCCACTGCACTCCAGCCTGGTGACAGAGCGAGACTTTTCATTATCTCCTAACACAGCATTCTGGAGTCGCAGTAAGCTAAAGGAAATCTTAAGTTCATGAAAATATAAACAAACATATAAATAAACAGCCAAAAACAATCATCACCCTTTCCCCAGAATATGGAAAATTGTTCATTTTTATTAAAAGATTCACCTACGTTAAAGAGACTAATACAATTTTGAGTTAAATTACATTTAACTCAATTATAATTCTGTACTACCATGTAAGTACTCAACTATTTATTAAATGGTTTAACAGCAGTGACATACAGCCAAAAACAAGGTGGGATTAATCTAGGACAAAGAACATTCCTAACCTTTGACTAAATCGATAGAATAATTATAGGGAAAAACTAGAAAGAATTTTATTAGGTTTTGTTTTAGGAAAAAAATTTCAAGTACATGAGAAACCCATAGGTGGTGCTCTTATACCAATAACTGAAGATTCTAGTATGGTACTCAAAAATACATTTTGTGAATATTTTATTTTCATGCAACGGCCCAGGGATAAGACATACCACCCATAAATAAGAATGACTATTATGAGATTCAATATTTATATTTCTAATTCAATATGTACTTTTATAACATTATTTTAAAATATTAATGATTCTTCCTAATCAAAAACAAAACCATAGTATCTTAAAATTTCTTCCTGAATTGGTTATAAATATATATATTGATTTAGTTATGCACATTTCCAACATGACTGAATTTGGAATCTGGCTTCAGATCTAGCCAGTGGCTTTTTTTCAACCTATTTCTGCATGTACAACACACTGAGTATGTAGACAAATATGCTGTAGCACAGCCATAATGTATTCCTTTCTATATCTAAGAAAGAATACATTTCAAAAGCCAAAAGAAACCATTAAAGCAATTTTT
This sequence comes from Homo sapiens, assembly GCF_000001405.40. Taxonomy (NCBI): domain Eukaryota; kingdom Metazoa; phylum Chordata; class Mammalia; order Primates; family Hominidae; genus Homo; species Homo sapiens. Next base: position 104,513,198 of record NC_000008.11, read on the forward strand.
AACTCCCTTTTGGGTTAAGAGTTTGCCTATGTATACTGGCAGATTTGGTATCAGAAGACCTAGATGCTGTCTGTTCTACCTGCCACTTACTGGCTTTGCACAATATAAACTACTAAATTTTTGGGGGCGCTATTAATAATTTCCTCATGTGTTGAAATACGGAGTTGCTATTTGATTACCTCTAAGGTCTATTTCAGCCCTCAATCATGCACCTCTTCCCACTATATTTCTGATAGCTCAATGGGATACATTGATAAATTTTTCATTTTCTTCCTTTGCATTTTTTCTCTGACCCACTGAAATAGACTTTCAATTCTGACCTTATCTCCACAGAAACCATGCTAGCAGGAAAAGGCCATCAGTGACCTCACCGCTAAATCCAATGGACACTCATTCCCAAGGTACTTGATCTTTCTGGAGCACCTGACACTGACTACCCAGACTTGGAACTGTACTACCCAGACTTTGTGGACATCACCTCCTCTAATTCTCCTTCTAACTCTATTCTGTGTTAATTTTCTAGCACTAGATCCTCTGTCCTTGGCCAGCCAGCCAGCCAGTCCTTGATACTGGTTTCATGGTTAATTCCAAAGCCCTCTGCTCTTCTCACTCTCAATGGAAGATTTCATCCACTTTTACAATTTCAACTATGGTCATGAGTTTAAAATTTTTAACCCAGAGGCTTTGCATAGTCAAATGCCCACTGGACATTCTAACCTCAAATTCAACATGATCAGACCTGTGTGTTTCCCAAATCCGTCTTCAGAATATCCTATATTCTGAATCTACATCATCTCAGGCAGCATTTGTTTGATGGAATAGGTACTGAAGTAAAAAGAAATTGAAGAATACTACAGGCGTTTTCAAGAATTTTCAAGGACAGGAAATAAGTTAGGCCTCACAGAGATTAAAACCGGAAATTTCAGTCAGAAATTGAGCCTGCCTTCACCACTTCTTAGGGAACCAAGGCCTGTTTTATCTCTTACACATCTGCCCCAACCTTCCAAAGGAAATCCTCTGGGTCTTCCATTTTTTCATTATTTCAGTGCTTTATAAATGGCTTCCCAGTCCCAACTTATCATTAATACTTCAGCTCCAGTACCTACTATAACCTGTAATTTCATTTTTCCTAGTTTATCATATTTATATTACTGTTACTCATTTTACATTATAGATTTGAGGTGGCTTATTATTATAATATTGATAAAACAGATAAAACTTAAGTCTCCGGCCAAGTGTGGTGACTCACGCATGTAATCCCAGCACTTTGGGAGGCCGAGGCGGGTGGATAATGAGATCAGGAGTTCAAGACCAGCCTGGCCAATATGGTGAAACCCCGTCTCTACTTAAAAAAAAAAAAAAAAAAAATTAGCCAGGCGTGGTGGTGCGCACCTGTAGTCCCAGCTACTCAGGAGGCTGAGGTGAGCTGAGATCGTGCCACTGACTCCAGCCTGGGCAACAGAGCAAGACTTTGTCTCAAAAAAAATGACAGAAAAAACAACAACAAAAGAAAAACAAAAAAACCAAGTCTCAATTTCCTCACTTGTAAATGGGGATTAAAATACTAGTACACAGGATGTTCCAAGGATTACATGCAATTATTTTGGTAAAAGACATAGCACACTGCTTGTATTACAGTAAACTGTCAGTAAACAATATTACATGATATGCCAAATCAGACTGGTTGGTAGTAATGCCTGGAATGCTGTATTGAGATGGCTACTAAGGCTGTGTTCAGGCTAAGTGAGAAAGAGGACAGTGACTGAAAGAGGATGTGTGATTGTTTACTTTGTAAGTGCTGGGCACTATTATGCACTCGAAAGAATGAGAAATTATGTCATGATTAACTGGTTACCTGACACAGATAAAAGCCATGGGAAGGATAGGGTTGGGACACATACTCACAAAACTTCACTTTAGGAAATAAATATTTGTTTGAAATCAAAATCTTTACATGGTTTGAACTTCATCTTTCTATATTTTGACTATCCTCCCAGTTTAAAATACATCAAACTTGACCTTCTTTTGCTTACATTCATTCTATTCATACCTTTTCTATTGCTTAAACATAGTTATTTCAGCTATGGTCTGGCTAATTCTTCCTTAAGAATTAGTTTATATGTAATTGGCAAATAAATAAATCTTGTCAGTACAATGCAAAATTATGTAAGATCTTATTCCCAGCATGCTAATGATTTGAAATAACCAGAGGTAGAAGTTTTCAGAGTTTAAGAAAAAATATGAAAACCCTATAGAAGCTGCCTTTCTTTATTGCAAAATGTGGTTACTTTTTTTGGCTAAAATTACTGCTTGGTTTTTGTCTCTATTAAGCTATCTTGGGAAGGTGCAAAATGCAGATGGAAATATGAAGACATCACACCACTATGAAAACAAAACAATTTAATTGATGAGGGATATCCCTGAAGTGTATTTTTAGTTTTGATTAAATTGGTCTCCATTAAAAGCAAATACCTTTAAGTGGGGGAGCATGAACCTATGCATATATGGCTGCAGAATATAGACTGATTGTAATTGTAAATGTCCACAGGTATTTGACTGTGGTAGTATTTGGATTGATATTTTATTTGCTAGGGTTATACTTAAAAGGTATGTAGTTGTAAGTGATCTATGCCAACACTTCTCTCAGAAGCCTTGTTAGTCTTTGTTCATTTTGCTTCCTTAATACATCTCTTAATTACTTGCATCAATGTTTTAAATTTACTATTTTTATTTTTTTATAAAGATGGGGTCTCCCTATGTTGCCCAGGCTGGTCTTGAACTCTTGAGCTCAAATAATCCACTCTCCTTGGCCTCCCAGAGTACTGGGATTACAGGTGTGTGCCACCAAGCCCAGCCAGTATCAACTTTTTGTTTTACAAACATCATCTAATTTACGTTGGTGAGTTATCTTTAGATATAAACAAATATTCAAGTACTTTGGATAATGATGATCTACATTCTCTACTTTTTATAAATTTTCTATAACCCAGAAATAGAAATCCCCAAATTAAAGAGGTTCAAAATGTTTATTCAAAAGATAGCAACTTTCAAACGTAGATAGCATCTTCTTAGTAGGAACCTACAGGCTATCTGACTAGCCCCCACAAAAGCCTATTTAATTTACAGTTGAAGTAGTGTATAGGACATCTGAAATGAAAAAAAAAAGGCAATGACATTATTATAATGCTAATGGTTAAACTATATGAAAAGATTAACTGAATACATATTTTTAAAATTTATCATGTATGTTGTCAATTAAGAAAGGGAGAATTAACTGAAGAATGAACAGGTAGAGATCCTCTGATGGAGTTCTTAAGATTTTGGTATTAGTTTTCTCATTTAAAATATAAAGATCTCACTGTATAGTTTAGAAAACAGGGCAAAGTTAACTGATGAAACACTGAAGACTTCTTGTTTTTACTTATACTATTTTAATAATCCTACAGAAAAGCAAAGGACTATGGTTTTAAAACTAGATTAATGCATCATACTTATTATATTTAAATCAATTATTTAAAAAATTGGCAGTGCTCAGCCTCTATTAAGAAGACACATGAAAGAGGGAGGATCACTTCAAAATAAAGTCAAGCTGTCTTACAATTTGAGATTTCATAGTTTCAAAACACCTAAAAAATTACAGAAAAAGTACATATTTACAATTAGAGCTGAACTACTGTCAAAGAAAAAGTATAATTTCCTGCTCCACAGATGAAGAACTGGGTTTTTTAAAACTGACAAGAGTTGATACTTCATGACAAAAAGTAGTTGAGACTAAAAGTTATGTGAAATCTTTGACTTTGATTTTAATAAATCACAAAACTGAAATGCAAGTAAATGTCTGTTTATGTTTACTGACCACCTAACTTTATAAGACACATATGAAGGGCACAAAAGAAATAGAGAACTCATGTTCTCATGGAAATTATAGTTTTATAACAATGACATATACTTTTTAACTGAATCCAAGAAGCATATAACAGTTAATATGACAGCATACCAGATAATACAGTACATGATTTAATGCATAACAAGTAACTTTAGGCAAAGTATCACATGTTCAGTTATAGACATGGTGTAATTAAACAGAAACAAAGGCCGACCAAAAACCTATATTATACAAGTATAGAACAGAGAAGGTTATGCTTGACTATGAACAAAAGATTTCTTTCATAGAAGAGAAGTTGGTAGAGCCACAGAAAAGCATACTCTAAACTAGTTAAAAGAATTTAATGACCCAAATTCTATAGACAGCAGTCAAGCCAAGACAGACCTACTACAAAAGGAAGTGATGTGATCCAAGTATTTTGTAAAGGTTATTGAGGGAAGAGAAACCAGTGAGGCAAAGAGATCACCTAAAAAGCAATTATAAAAACTCATCTTTTTGTACAATTTTACTTTATGAAAGTTTCACGACAGCAAAATCATGCTCACTCTGTTCATAAGCAAAGGATAATAGCATATATAGGTAACGGTGGTTAGTGTCATTTGGCCATCTCATTTTTCAGAGTACTGTATAGAGTGTATTATAAAGAATATTAATTCCATTATGGCTGATGAGTACAAAAGCAATTCCAAGTGTTGAAAACTAGTAAGAAGGATTTGATTCCAATGGAAATAAATGTACTTAAAGAAACCCACCATCTCCAAAATAAAAATTTGGTAAGCAAATGGTGTCTGGATTGAATGGCCATATGGGATGACAGTAAAAATTATTCTGAAAGTTAACAAGTGAATCATTCAATACATGGAAAATATTATGCTTATGCAAACAACTAAAGGCACCCAAACATGGAAAAAGCAGAGTATGTAGTTAGATGATTAGCATAAAAATCAGGTACCTCCTGGCCTACTGTTAATTTAGGAAAATAATAGCAGTTTGAAAACTTAAAAGGCTAAGTATGACACATAGTGCTGAGGATGAGATTTCTGCTTCAAGTCAGAAATATATGGTTTCCAAGTCCAAGAACTGTAAGTATCATTAAAGTGAAGCATGTATGCAGGCCTTGGATCCACAGCTGATGATAATGTTATAAAATTACCTAACACTTATTGAACTCTTATTACCTGGCAGGTACCTTAATACTTATTATTATTATCCCTATTTAACAGATAAGAAAAAAATGGAGGCACAGAGAAATTTGGTAATTTTTCTAAGGTCACAAAAAAGCTGTAAGTCTCAGAGCTGGGATGGAACCCAGACAAGAGGCTTCATAAAAGCTGTATTCTTAACCACTAAGGCAAACTGCTGCCCACTAACGAACTCCCTATAACATCTGGAAAAATTACCAGGGAGGTGGAAGGGAGCCGTTTCAATAGCATTTAAATGACAAAAGTGGTCTATTCTAGAAAAATGAACTATTGGTCCTACATTAACATGGATAGAAAGGGTAGATAATCTATAATAACACAGAGAAAATAAGTATAGTTAGTAGTTTTAAAGCTTCTAAAGATTGATTCCTTATTTGCTACACATTATCTAAGAACTACAGGCAGAACTGACCAGCTTCTTAGTATCTTTGGTATTAAAAATTTTATAAACAGCATTCTAGAACCTACTTTTAATGATAAGAGAACATATATACATATAGTTAATTATGGGTAAGATGCTTAGGGCAAGGAGTAGAATAGTAGCAATAAGGGGATGAAGTGGAGGCTGAGGGAGACATTTCAAAGGAAAGAGCAATGGACAGATACTTAAAGACACTTAATAATGGACAGTCTGGAAAGCATGCATGTTCAGCATAGAGTCTATGGGCCACTGAGAATACAAGGCAAGTGACCAACTGTTGGAATCTGCAAGAAAAATAAGTTAGAGTACTATAGTTGCCCTTTGTTGGACTGCCATGTATAACATAACTAAGCCCTGTAACCTGAACAGGAAACACACGCCCACAGCTAGGCAGAAATTACTTTGATTCAAAAGTCCTCTTCCTGTATCTTGACTGTGTTTGTTGCCTAAATAGTGTCCTGATTTCTCTGACCCTCCAGACTCTTTAAATGGGGTTTTCTGACTCCTTGGCACCTGAGCCAAGCTGCGTTATAATGTGAATGTCAGAAGTCAACATTTTGAGGATGGACAGAGTTGGAAGGGGACAGAGATTGAACATGAGTAAGATTTCCTTAGAATTACTCCAAATTTCATTCTTTTTAAAAAAGAAGTTAGAAAACTGAACTTCTCCCTGTATGGGAATAATTACTAGCACTTGAACATAGGTTGAGTATCCCTAATCCAAAATGCTTGGGACCAAAAGTGTTTTGGATTTCAAAATTTGGAATATTTGCGCATACATACTGGTTGAACATCCCTAATCCAAAATCTGAAATGCTTCAATGAGTATTTCCTGTGAGCATCATGTCAGTGCTCTAAAAGATTCTGGAGCATTTCAAATTTCAGATTTTTAGATTAGGGATGCTCAACTTGTAGCAATATTTACTAGTCTAAGATGGGAAAGGTTTTAACTATGACTTGAAAGACAAGAATCAGGCAAGCAGAAAAAATGATATTAATCCATCACTCCCACTTAGGACTCTCATTACTCTGAGACTTATTATTAGAAACCGCAAGTGCCATGGCAAGTAGGAAATCTTATATCCAGCTGTTTATAATTTAAATATTCTTCTGCATTAGTACCGATATTTAAGACTGAATACAGCAATATATTTATTCATATTATTCTAAGTGACATTCTTTAAGGACCAAAATATTTTACTTGGCTATCAGCTGTAATCAAGGCAGGTAATTTCTTGGTATCTTGAAGGTCACTAATGTTCAGAACAATCAAACTATAATCAAGGGTTATATGGCAGTAAAATAAAATACAAAGTCAGAAGAGGCAAAAATATAAAGAGAGAAGGAGAAATAAAAAAAAAACGGGTCATAGCACAGTATGAATGAAGATGAGGAGAGCAAAGAAACTGAATATACCCACCTAAAATGGAACTAACTAGCCAGCTTCACCCTGAAATTTCTTAGTAAGAATAATTTAGGATTTTGCTAACAATGCATAACGTAAGATGAATAGAGAAGATTCATCCTTTTATGCCTTTTTTAAAGGGCTTATGAGGGCAATTTTTTTTTCCTGCAAGGGTATAAAAATTACTAACATGGTACCTACATTTTCCTATTTTAAGCACTACAGAAGACTAAAATGCTAAAGCAAGCTACTACTATTTCCCAAATGGGAAAAATTACTAATTTTTGAAGGTTACTGTGACTCTGGCTGGAAGCATAAAAAGGTAAGGCAGAAATCCTCACTTAAGCTAACAAACTGGCCTTGGAGCTCACGATTTTGTAGGTCATCTCTATCAGCTTTGACATAGTTTTTAGTATACTCACATCTTCTATGAGTGTTCCAGTTACTGTGTCTTTTGTCAAGGGTGGTACCCAGAAATAAACAATACCAGAGTACGTTTGCATGAAGAGTAAAGAAGAACTATCATTTGCTTGGTTCTGGATACTGTATTTCTATTACTGCAGTTTAATATCAAATCACCCCCTTACTTACATCAGGCTGTTAGTCAACTGATACCCAAGTACAGTTTGCTTATCCACCAAGTGACTGGCTTTTGCACAACAGTTTCACAGTACATCCAATTAAAATTCATGCCTTGGCAAAAATTACAGATAACCAACATGTTATCAACTTTGAAGAGTTATTCCCAAAGTTACAGACTGGAAAAGAAAATGTCAAATGCTTGAACAGAGCTTGCCTTTTTACGTTCACTAGGTTTGGCTCACTCAATGAAATGGATATATCCATCAGATGAACTTCACTTCTACCATCTAAGCACTGCATACCCTGTCACAATACAACCTGTTCTGTCTATAGTTCTGGTACTCACACGTGCTGTTCTAATGCTGGAGTTATTGTTTATTATAACATACAATGAGTATTCCTTATTCAAAATCCTTGGGACCAGAAGTATTTTGATTTTTTTTTCTTCAAATTCTGGAATATGTACAGATATATACTTACTAGTTGAGCATCCCAAAACCAAAAATCTGAAGTGTGAAATGCTCCAATGAGCATTTCCTTTGAGTGTTATGTCGTTGCTCAAAATGTTTTGGATTTTGGAGCATTTTGATTTTTGGATTTTCAGATTTGGGATAGTCAACCTGTAATGTAACATAAAAATATAACATAATTATTTTGTTATAAATACATAATTGTTCAATAAATATGTGATATATAATATAAAATAGGTTACAATTATATAATATAAAGATGTTTCATATAAGACATTGGCCATGATTCAATTATAGAGTATATAATATAGAAATAATAATACCACCATTAGTTTCATTTCCAAAACTTAAAGGGAGTTCGCTACTTTAAAACTTTAAGTGTCTCAGAAGTAAACTCTGAAGGTAGACAATGACTTTAAAAATTATTAGCATCCTATAGTAATGTTTTTATATATATATATATCAAGAATTTACTCTGTCTCATATTCCCTACTCATTTTCTTTATATAAAGGATAGCTTCTTGGGTTCAAACTATGTTCTGTTTTTATATTCTGAAATCCTAAAAACCCTAATGTATTAATAATCAACTAAAATGTAATAAGGCTTCTTTCTTTTCTTCATCTGAAACATGGATGAAAGACATTTTTATAACACTGGTCAAAAGAACTAGTGAAATTCTTCTCAGTAACTTTAACAAGAGGTCCAGGTACCTAATTGAATAATTGTAAAATAATATTAAAATTACATAGGAAAGGTGCAAAGGACCATTTGACCTGCTACTTTTTCATGTAACTTTTCTATATTTAAAAAATAATTGTAAACTTCTATCAGAGATAATTACAATTTAAGCTTTATTTCCTTTCAGATTCTTTATTTGGAAGATCTTAAACATTCTAGGATAATAAAAGCTTTATCAGACTAGATGTTCTTCCAGGAAAATTTCAAAATACCATGTTATAATATTTAAGCCCAAAGCTGTGGTTAAAAACAAAAGCCATTTTAATTTAGTACTCTCCATTATTACAAAATGTTAACTAATCTGAAAGCAAATTTATTGCAATTTAGAAAATATGTCCCTATTTTAAAGGCCACAACTAAATTATTAGTTGTAAAAGGCATACAGGATTAGCAATGTGCTAGGCCTTCGAATATTAGAATAGAAACTATAAAATGCAAATACATAAAAGCAAGAAAGGGTGATGATTTTGATAGAATAAAATTCTGACAGCATAAACAATACTTCAAAACTATCTGAAGTCTATTTTATATACTCTGCTAATTCAGTTAATATGAATACGGATTAAGAAAGAAACTTCCTAAGTAAATATTCTCTCTCAGCTCACAGAAATGTCAGATTTGCCTGACAGAAGATTCTAAGTCAAATGCAGAGTAGACTCAAAATCAAGCTAACCTCAGACAGAGACTTCAGCTGTCATTAAAAGGTAGGAATATTTGGAAGTTGTATCATTGGTAATTGGAAATACCATGTTAATCTTCCTATGTAAAAAAAGCTTCTGCCTGAGAAAGCAGCAAGCCTTAACATCTGTTCCTATTAGCAACCAGAAAATATTTTATAAACTTCAGGCTAGTTTTTGCCTAACTATAAAGGAAAGCAAATCTCATTCTCTTATTCTTTGCGATGTTACAACTCCAGGCCATGAATCAAGAAGAAAAGAAAATGTTACTTAAAAAAAAACAGTTTGACAGCAAATAAAAGGTTGAGACTTTAATGGAAACATAATAAGAAAAAAAGTTAAGCAAGAAAAACATGATTGTACTGAAAGTAAATGCAGACAACTGTGTAAATTAGTACATCCTTTTTGGAAGGCAATCTGTCAAAAAGTTTCTAGAGTCATTAAATTATTTATGACCTGTGATACAGTAATTTCACTTTCAGAAATGTATGCTAAGGAAATATTCTTAGAAATAAAAAAGGCTAGATATACAGTTGACCTTTGAACAACATGGGTTTGAATTGTGTAAGTCCACTTATACATGGATTTTTTCCAACAAATACATTGGAAAATTTTTTGGAGATTTGTGACAATTTGAAAAACCTTGCAGACAAATTACACAGACTGGAAATTTTGAAAAAAAATTAGGTATATCATGAATGCATATATATGTAAAATACTAGTCTATCATTTACTACCATAAAAAATACACTAACCTATTATAAAGAGTTAGAATTTATCAAAACCTACACAAACACTTGCAGACCACACACAGTACCATTTACATTCAAGAGAAGTATAAAGATGAATACTAAATCATAACTGAATAAAATTAATTATATGACATACTATACAACTAATAATTCTGTAGCCACCTCCCATTGCTATTTTGGTGAGCTCAATTTGCAAGTATCTGCTTAAATCGCTGTGTGATGCTAATCATCTCCATGTGAGCAGTTGTTATCTCCAGTAAATTGTGTGTCACAGTACAATGTGATCTCTGGTGGTTCTCGTGTATTTTTCATTGTGTTTAGTGCAATACCATAAACCCCAAATAACACCACTGGATCCATACAAAGTGCCACTAGTGATGTTGCAAGTGCTCCCAAGAAGCAAAGGAAAGTCATGACATTACAAGAAAAAGCCGAATTGCTTGATATGTACTGTAGACTGAGGTCTGCAACTGCAGCTGCCCATCTTATCAAACAGATGACTCATCTGTAAATAGATAATGTAAACTTACAGTATCAATAAATACAGTAGCATACTGTAAATGAATTTTCTCTTATGATTTTCTTAATAACATTTTCTTTTCTCTAGCTAACTTTAAGAATACAGCATTTAAGCCTGGGCACGGTGGCTCACACCTGTAATACCAGCACTTTGGGAGGCCAAGGTGGGCAGATCACTTGCACTCACAAGTTCAAGACCAGCCTGGGCAACATGGCAAAACCCCGTCTCTACAAAAACAAAAATTGGCTGGGCATGTGGTGCGCACCTGTAGTCCCAGCTACTCGGGAGGCTGAGGTGGGAGCATGGCTTGAGCCCAGGAGGTGGAGGTTGCAGTGGGCTGAGATCATGCCGCTGCACTCCAGCCTGGGTGACAAAGTCAGACCCTGTCTCAAAAAAAAAAAAAAAAAAAAAGAATACAGTATTTAATACATATAACGTACATATATTTAATTGAATGTTTATGTTGTTGTTAAGATTTCCAGTCAACAGCATGCTATTGAGTACTTAAACTTTTGGAGAATCAACAATTATATATGGCTTTTCTTCCACTATGCAGGGAATTGGTGCCCCTAACCACCATGTTGTTCAAGGGTCAACTGTATATGAATATGTCTCTTGAGCATGATCCAAATTAGGCAAAATCCATTGGAAACAACCCATTGTAATGAAGTCACATGATGGAAATTTTATGCAGGCATTAAAATAATGAATATGAAGGCTAAGGGAAAAATGTACATAGTGTTAAACAGAAAGAGCAGGAGATAAAATTAGGGATAATTCAAATGCATATACAATTATTTTTAAGGTATGTACACAAAAGGACAAATAAAAAATTTAATATACTACTATTAATTATTGTAGGAAGGTAGGGTTAATGGGTGATTTTCTTAATCTTTTTGCTTTTTTCTAAATGTTTAATGAAACTTGTGTAATAGAATTTGTGAAAACAAAAAACTTGATTTAGAAGTAATCAAGAATAAAGACAGCATAAATTATTTCTAGAATATCCTGATTAAAGTCAATATCACAGATTACAGAGTAATTCAGTTTAAAGTAGATATATTTTAAAAAATCAAATATATTTGTTTAATGTGTACAAGGGCCTTGTGGTAAATCAACTTGACGTAAGATATATTTCATTCTATGTAGCAGATGAGCAGTAATTTGGTAATTTTAAACATTTCAAAAAGAAACATATAATTTAGACACTTTTTTAAAAAGCGATTAAAAGAGCCTTCCTACTCTCTCATGTATGCAATTAAATTACTTGGCAGTTTCTGTGGTATAATTCATAATGATTTTCATATATTATTAAATTTATAAAAATACCATTTGTCTTTTCTCCTTTCTCTAGCTTATATATGAAGAGAGATTTAAAATTCTGAACCAAGAAAAGTTCTAAATTAAAATAAGTACAAAAATTAAGATTTTATCCAATATTATTTCCCATTATATAACAACTAGATACATACTTTTTGATAATTTAACTACAATTTCTTATGCCAACCCTGTAGCATCAGAACGAGCAAAAAGGCAAAGATTTATCTTTCCTGGCAAGGATTTGAGGAGGAAGAAGATGGAAATAAACAGAATATTAAAAACAGAACAAATTATTCCAAGTACAAGAACCAAAAATATATTATTAATTAGAAATTAGTAATTCCCCCAAAAATTCATGAGTAAACAAAATGAAGCCCTTAATACTATGCCTAATAAGAAAAGTTAATATTAATTCATTTACTACTCACCAGATATTTTAACTAGGCTTTTTACAAATTCATATTCTAACTTAATGTTCATTATTTGCCATAATGTGCCTTAGTACATTAAGACCATATTATATAAGAGCTATGACAAACCCACAGCCAATATCATACTGAATGGGCAAAAACTGGAAGCATTCCCTTTGAAAACTGGCACAAGACAGGGATGCCCTCTCTCACCACTCCTATTCAACATAGTGTTGGAAATTCTGGCCAGGGCAATTAGGCAGGAGAAGGAAAAAAAGGGTATTCAATTAGGAAAAGAGGAAGTCAAATTGTCCCTGTTTGCAGACGACATGATTGTGTATCTAGAAAACCCCACTGTCTCAGCCCAAAATCTCCTTAAGCTGATAAGCAACTTCAGCAGTCTCACGATACAAAATCAATTGTACAAAAATCACAAGCATTCTTATACACCAATAACAGACAAACAGAGAGCCAAATCATGAGCGAACTCCCATTCACAATTGCTTCAAAGAGAATAAAATACTTAGGAATCCAACTTACAAGGGACGTGAAGGACCTCTTCAAGGAGAACTACAAACCACTGCTCAATGAAATAAAAGAGGATACAAACAAATGGAAGAACATTCCATGCTCATGGGTAGGAAGAATCAATATCATGAAAATGGCCATACTGCCCAAGGTAATTTATAGATTCAATGCCATCCCCATCAAGCTACCAATGACTTCCTTCACAGAATTGGAAAAAACTATTTTAAAGTTCATATGGAACCAAAAAAGAGCCCGCATCGCCAAGTCAATCCTAAGCCAAAAGAACAAAGCTGGAGGCATCACGCTACCTGACTTCAAACTATACTACAAGGCTACAGTAACCAAAATAGCATGGTACTGGTACCAAAACAGAGATATAGATCAATGGAACAGAACAGAGCCCTCAGAAATAATGCTGCATATCTACAACTATCTGATCTTTGACAAACCTGAGAAAAACAAGCAATGGGGAAAGGATTCCCTATTTAATAAATGGTGCTGGGAAAACTGGCTAGCCATATGTAGAAAGCTGAAACTGGATCCCTTCCTTACACCTTATACAAAAATCAATTCAAGATGGATTAAAGACTTAAACGTTAGACCTAAAACCAGAAAAACCCTAGAAGAAAACCTAGGCATTACCATTCAGGACATAGGCATGGGCAAGGACTTCATGTCTAAAACACCAAAAGCAATGGCAACAAAAGCCAAAATTGACAAATGGGATCTAATTAAACTAAAGAGCTTCTGCACAGCAAAAGAAACTACCATCAGAGTGAACAGGCAACCTACAAAATGGGAGAAAATTTTCGCAACCTACTCATCTGACAAAAGGGCTAATATCCAGAATCTACAATGAACTCAAACAAATTTACAAGAAAAAAACAAAACCCCATCAAAAAGTGGGCAAAGGATATGAACAGACACTTCTCAAAAGAAGACATTTATGCAGCCAAAAGACACATGAAAAAATGCTCACCGTCACTGGCCATCAGAGAAATGCAAATCAAAACCACAATGAGATACCATCTCACACCAGTTAGAATGGCAATCATTAAAAAGTCAGGAAACAACAGGTGCTGGAGAGGATGTGGAGAAATAGGAACACTTTTACACTGTTGGTGGGACTGTAAACTAGTTCAACCATGGTGGAAGTCAGTGTGGCGATTCCTCAGGGAGCTAGAACTAGAAATACCATTTGACCCAGCCATCCCATTACTGGGTATATACTCAAAGGACTATAAATCATGCTGCTATAAAGACACATGCACACCTATGTTTACTGCGGCACTATTCACAATAGCAAAGACTTGGAACCAACCCAAATGTCCAACAATGATAGACTGGATTAAGAAAATGTGGCACATATACACCATGGAATACTATGCAGCCATAAAAAATGATGAGTTCATGTCCTTTGTAGGGACATGGATGAAATTGGAAATCATCATTCTCAGTAAACTATCGCAAGGACAAAAAACCAAACACCGCATGTTCTCACTCATAGATGGGAATTGAACAATGAGAACACATGGACACAGGAAGGGGAACATCACACTCTGGGGACTGTTGTGGGGTAAGGGGAGCGAGGAGGGATAGCATTAGGAGATATATCTAATGCTAAATGACGAGTTAATGGGTGCAGCACACCAGCATGGCACTTGTATACATATGTAACTAACCTGCACATTGTGCACATGTACCCTAAAACAAAGTATAATAATAAAAACAAAGAAAAAAAAAGACCATATTATAGGTACAGTTTGCACATTTACTTCTGCTATTAAGTGATAAGTTCCTTCAGATAATATTTTACTCACCACTTACTTCCACCCTCCTTGGCACAAGGTCCTATCAGGTGCTTGATACATGTTAAATGAATTGAATTCATTGCCAACAGGGTGACTATACAGCCTGATTTGTCCAGAACAGTCCTGGTTTTGTCACTGGTGCAGCATAATTAAAAATAATATATTATTTCGCTTTCAAAGTGTCCTGATTTGGAAAATAAATTACCTGATAACACTAGGTGCAGACAATTAAAATTCTTTCTAAAATCATCAATATACTTTCCAAAGTGCAAACGACAATCCAGCAGGGCACTGAGCACCGGCAAATGGAGTAGCAGAGGTGAAAAGAGCAGGGGAAGAGCAGAAATAGATGGCAGCACAGAATACTGAAGCATCTCACCATTTCTGTGGCTTGCTGATCTCAACAGAAAGCAAGTCCTGCATTTTGAGATTCTTCCAAAGGCTACCTCTCTATTTAGACCAGCACTGAAGGGGCCCTACTTTCTACTGGGGATGCAAGGATTTCAGAAAGCTTATACTCTATTAAACATTACATCTATAGCTCCGTACTGGCCACAGAAAAAATGCAATGAGGCCGGGCACGGTGGCTCATGCCTGTAATGCCAGCACTTAGGGAGACCAAGGTGGGCGGATCACTTGAAGTCAGGAGTTTGAGACCAGCCTGGCCAACATAGTGAAACCACGTCTCTATTAAAAATACAAAAATTAGCTGGGCGTGGTGGCGCACACCTGTAGTCCCAGCTACTTGGGAGACTGGGGCAGGAGAATCGCTTGAACCCGGGAGGCAGCGGTCGTAGTGAACTGAGATCACAACACTGTACTCCAGCCTGGCCAACAGAGAGAGTGAGACTCCATCTCAAAAAAAAAACAACAACAAAAAACAGCAATGACTCTGTGTACCCAGACATACCTCTGGAAACAGCATCCATTTATTTTTAATAATATAATTGGAATAGATTTCATGTATTATTCTTCTCATTCTGTTAGAAAGATTTTGTAAGATGAGACTTTAGAAAAAATAAGCCATGAATAAGGTTTTACTCACTTCTGAAATGGAGTATTTTATTAACGTATAAATATATTTAATTAAAACACACATTTTGTTATGGCCTGAAATGTGTTGCCTCCAAAACTCATATTTTAGAGTCTAACCCTAGTACATCAGAACGTAACTGGATTTGGAGAGAGAGTCTTTACAGAGTTAAAGAGTTAAAGTTAAAATGAGGTCATATGTGTGGCCCTAATCCAATGACTGGTGTCCTTATAAGAAGAGGAGATCAGGACAGCACACACAGAGGGGAGACTATGTGAAGACAGTAAGAAGACACCCATTTATAAGCCAAAGAAAAAGAACTCAGAAGAAACCAACCCTGCTGACACCTGGATCTCAGAATTCTAGCCTGCAAAACAGTGAGAAAATAAATTTATGTTGTTTAAGTTACCTAGAACGGGACGTCTTGTTATGGTAGCCCTAGAAAACTAATACATATTTCTAAATGTGTATCTGAAATTCAGAAGAAAAAAAAGATTAAAAAATGTAAAATATCTTTACTGCTGATTTCTTTCTTCAAACAGAAATTTATTTAAGGGTATTATCAATGCTCAAGAAGAGCCTAGTGGTCTAATCACAAGTAAACAGCTAAAAATAAGTATAATCTAAAATTCAGAATGTAGTACTATATCTATCTAAATTTCCAAATTTTCATAAGTTCTCATACTCTGTAATAATCTGCATAACTCAGCAAATCTGCATTTGCAAGTGATCAATGCACATTATAAAAACATACATGGTAAGAAAATTGATTCAAAGGGTAAGAAAGACCCAATTAGATTTTAATGTAACAGAGCACAAAACGCTCAATGATATGGCTTCAGATTCCACATTGCAACTAACCTTAAAGAAACTACCTCGTGTTGAGTTTTGGTGTAGTATCATAGAATATTCACCATTATCTGAAAAAGGCTATTAAAATATTCCTTTCTTTTCCAATTATACGTCACTGTGAGGCTGGCCTGTCTCCTAGTATGTCAAACAAAACATGATGTTGCAAAAGACTGAATGCGGAAACAGATATGAGAATCTAGCTATTTTCTTTTAAGTCAATCATTACTTTATAAAATTATAAAACAATGCTGTTCTTATTGTTTTTTGTTTTGAAATATATATTTTTCATAAAACCATACTACATATTGATGTAAACATGCAATAGGTTACTGTTATTTTTAATTGAACTAATGAGTTTTAAAACAAATTCTCAGTTTTAATTTCTAACATAGTAAATATTGGTAGCTGTAGCCCATATAAACAAAAACTCTTTTAAGTCCTTGTTACAGACTGAATTGTGTCCCCCCTCAAGCCCATATGTGGAAGCCCTAACTCCCAATGTGACTGTATTTGGAGACACAGCCTTTAAGGAGGTAACTGAGGTTAAATGAGGTCATAAGGATGGGACCCTAATACCATAGGACTCATGTTCTTATTAGAAGAAGAGGCACAAGAGACCTCTTGCTTTCTCTGAACATTCATAGAAAAAAGGCCATGTGAGGACACAATGAGAAGGTGGCCATCTACAGGCCAGGAAAAGAGGTCTCACCAGGGACCAACCCTGCCAGCACTTTGATGTTGGACTTTCAGAACTGTGAGAAAAACTGATGTCTGTTATTTAAGCCATCCACAGTAGTATTTTGTTGCAGCAGCACACGTAGACTAAAACAGGCCTCAGTAGTTTTTAAAAGTTTATAATGGGTCCTGAGACCAAAACTTTTGAAAACTACTAAATTAAACAGTAACCATTTGGTTGTATAAATTAAAATGTTTGTAAACAAACATACTTTATAGTTACAACTTGGAAAAGTAATTATAATTCTCATTAACTATTCAAAATGCAAAGAAAAAGGGAGAAGGCCATCTTTAAAATAACCTTACTGTTATTTGATAAATACAATTATATATCATTTGAGAATGTATTTTTAAAAAAGTGAAACAAACTATGAAAAAAAATTGATGCAGGCACTGAAGCACTTGCTTTGCGTTTTCAGGAAACTAGGCTTGTTGGGCTTGATGTGTTTGACTAGGGCACACTAACCCTTAGAGTATTTGTTAAGTCTATTAACTTTCTGAATACAAAGTCAGACATAAAACAAAAGAACAGGATTTGCTTCATGTGAGGAAAAAAGAACCAAACAAATTACAAGATGACACAAAGAAGTTAATCAATGGATTGATAAATACACTAAGTACAGTTTTAACCACACAAAACTTATCAATATAGGGAAATAATAAATGAACAGTAAGAAAACCTATTTCAATATATGCAAAAATAAATATTTTAGTTCTCCTAGTAACTGTGGTTGACAGCAAAAATGGTAACGGAGCTGTGGAAGTGGCCTAAGAATAAAAATTTTAGTAGTTATAAGTCTTTAAGTAATTATAAAGTTATAAAGTAATTACAAGTTATAAAAGCCTAGATGAGTATAAAAAATACATTAACCACAATGATGAATTTCTGAATTTCATGGACACAAGTATACTGTGTTGCTTTTAACAGCAAATAAACTGTGCGCTCAAATACAATAGTTATATGTAGAGTAGTACTATAAAAATCAAGCAAAAAGCTTAATTTCTAAGGCTCTAATCCTAGGGATAGCATTCAAAATCACATTTCAGTAAATTTCATGTCACATAACTTTGTATGGAAAGAAAATACTAATTCAACTTGAGCTAACTTTTCTCTAGGTTCAATGTTTGTATGAAAAAATAATTATGCAGTCCGTTTGGAAAAGTATAATCAATCCATGGGCATGCAAGTATCAGTTTTATCTTATGAGAATTTCTCCATGTTCCAGTTACTTCATTCCTTATTACATGCTGCAAAAAGCAGTAATAATTTTTATAGCCAAATATCACTTCGTAAGATACCAGGTGGCTTTCAATATTTACCATATAAGTCATGCATGAAATTTAAACATTACAAAAAATGACTTACCAGTTGACACTCCTGAAATATGCACATTTTCAGAATGTTCTGCAAGAGCACCATTTCCTAAAATTAAACATAATGAATAAACTAATATCCAAGATAAAATTACAAAATTTTTTCAGATCCTCCCTTTAAAAGAGAAACAACTACATAGAGTTCCTTTTAATACAGAGAAGCTAAAGTTTCTTATAATAATCTTCAAGACAATACTAGGAAGCTCAAAATCATAATAGTAATGGGGAAAACAAACATTTTGGAAATCTCAACAAGGTAGTGTTATATATAAAGGTCAAATAGATAGATCTGATCAACACCAGAAAGAATTTTCTATCAATTAATAATCAAAAGGGAAGTCAGTACTGCTACAAGAAAAAAGAGAACACAGCTTGTTAAAAATAGCATTCCCCTAAAAGCGTGTCCAAATCAGCCACAAGTCGGTGTAATATCTGTCAGGGCCACATATGTTGGTACTTAAAAAAAAAAAAAAAAAGTCTTGCATTGTCTTCTAAATCTTCAAAAAAATCTTTCAAATTTTTCTCACCAACAATTCTAACAATCTTAAGTATTGCGAATATTTACTCCCTCAAATTAATGTAAGCAATGTCTCTTCAGATATTTGTCTTAAAATTTTGTATTTTATACATCATTAGTTCTAAAGGTTTCTCTCTTTACCCATTAGTTGGATCTGGCATCACAACAGCTCAGAAACCGAACAGACAAAGAATTCTCCTCGGAGTCAGGTGGGGAAGGAAGCTAGTCAGAAAAAGCTTAGAAGGCAAAAGCAGAATTTTCTTTCATGGTTGAGAGTGGAGAAAATAGCAAATATTGTAATTAACAACTTTTTGTTTACAAGTATCACACTTCTATAATTGCTTGAATATTGTATTGCACCCCCCACCCCAATGCACTAAGCTGTAGGAGAACAGAATTTGTGTTTATTTGGCTCCCCACTGTAGGCACAGTTCCTGATACAGAGGAGGCGCACAAATAGCTGAAAGATGAATGAGGGATGTCCTGATGATTAAAATGAAATCATGCCCATTAAGCACTTGATATAGTGCCTGGCACATAGCATTGAACAGGTGTTGATTTTTGTAACTGTGTAAAGTATATTATTGTTACTAAAGAAAAAATAACAGTGATAAAACAATATTTTTGGTTCAACTACAGTTATACCCTTCAAAATGAAAACATACATTATATTTCCCTCAATTAAGAATGAAACAGTGGAAATGATGAGATAGGTGGGAAGGCCATATTAAGTATACAAATAAATGATTATATTCATTTTAAGTACTCTGCACTGATGCCAAAAAAGGCACAATTTCTTTTTCTCATTTATTGTTAAATGTCACACATACAGAATTGAAATGACCAGAAAGACTGTACCCATTTCTTTACCACACAAAAATTATAAAAACAGGCAGCAGAAACAAAACATGAAACTGATTCAATAAAACACCTAAGAAGGTTTGCCAAAGGTCAGTATAAACTGCCTAAATCCTTGCTACTCACGAGTAGACTAGCAGTACTGGCCACCTTGGGAGTGTGCTAGAAATGCAGAGACTCAGGCTCATTCCAGATTATGGAATCTGAATTTATATGCACACTTAGTGATCTATATGCACATTAAAGTTTAAGAAGCACTGGCAAGGTTTGGGCTTAAATCTTCTACTTCTATATTATACATTGCTACAAATCACAGTTACATAATTTGTGATACTAATGTTTCCAGTATCTGTAAGATAGCATATTATGCCCAGGAGAGTTTTAATATCAGATTTTACTTTTTTAAAAAAGAGACAGGGTCTGACTATGTTGCCCAGGCTGGACTAGAACTCTTGGGCTCAAGCAATCCTCCTACCTTAGCTTCCTGAGCAGCTGGGACTACAGGAGTGTACTATCACACCCAGTTTAGATATATTTTAAACATGAAATCTTTTTTCCAGTTTGGTAAACAGAGCAAAAACAGAAGGCAAAAAACCAGCATAATGTAATATTGAAGATTGTGGATTCTGAGCTATATTGCCAGGATTCTAAAACCAGCTCCATTACTTCTTGCTGTGCAATTTAGGGCAAGTTACCCAATCTCTCTGTGCCTCAATTTCATGTTTTAAAATGGAGATAATACCTACCTTATAGGGCTTAGTGAAATTCTTTATAATAGCAAAAAAAAAAAAAAAATCTAAAACTATTATCAACATGCACAGGAATAAACTGATACAGCCTTATAATAAAATATTCAATAAACAAATAATTATATATGTACTAACTTGGATAGATACACATATTAAATTAAAAATGTTTCAGATGAGCAGTAAAGTATGATTTAATTTTAACTTTAAAATTATGTATGTATAGTTTATAATATGCAGATGTTAAACATGTCATATGTATGTCTATGCATTTATATAAACACTGATGAGCCTAAGGGTATAACACTGATGTGGAGGAAAACCTCTGGAACTGGAATTAGAGAGGAAGATTTGAATTGTATACTTTAGCATTGGCCAAATTTGTTACAAACAGGCACAGATTTCTTTAAAAATTTTATTTATATTACAAAAAAGGAGAAACAGGTGAACAGAATATATAGTTCATTCCCATCATTCTGGATAAACAGAAATCTGGTAAATATCATGCTAATTATAACATATTAAAATTTCATTAAAGTATTAATGATTTTAAAAACTGGTTAACACTTTAAAACAGAAAACATGATACTGCTAATTAATTTCCCACACATTTACTCTAGCTTAAAAACAATACTATTTAGAAGTTAAAAGAAATCAATGATAATTTCTGTTAACATCAAAGTGATGTTTCTGCTTCTGAACATCACTTGAAGAAGTGGGCTACTTAATTTATGTGTACTACCATTCTAAAAAATATGTTTATGAAGATGTCACTTTCAATTATTTCTAGGTTACCAGTAGATAGCCCAAAGAAAATCGCTTTGTTAACACAAAGCAAATTACATTCTCCTTAATGCCCCCTCCCAAACCCCAAGAAAATTTCATATATATGAATATGAACACCCACCACCAATCTTACTATGACTAGTGTTCAAATGCAGCCATGTCAGATATTTTTTCAGACGTCACCCTTTAGAGGTAGCAAATACTAAAAAAAAAAAAAAGTCTGATAAAACATTACTTCTTTAACTACACATTAGCAGCTAATTATGTAATGAACCAGTTAAGTAGATAAACCCTAAAAAAGATTTTTCACGTACGAAAAAGTTTGATTATCACCTAAATCAGAAAATAGTTTGTTATAACAATTTTTTGGTCTCACTAAACACCAAGAAGTAATCAACCAACCCCATTTATTGCTTTCTGTAGTTTTGACTACAATATGAGAGAGAATCAACTAAAATAGATGCTGCTTTAGGAAAGAAACTATACAACAGTGATATGAAGTTTAAGTTCTAGAGTCAGACTCCTGTAATAAAATCCCAGCTCTACTATTTATATAGTCATGAACTTCAAATGACTCCTAAGATTCAGTTTGCTCACTTATATAATGGGGATGTTATCATAAGAGAATGTCTAAATTTATAGTCTGTGCATCCCTGTTGCTTTATTAACTTTGTCTTCTTTTATATATTTCTGTCCTTTTTATTTAAGAACTAAAGTTCTTAAGAATAGCTAATAAATACACCTAAGATTTGATAGGTATGTACCAGCCAAATCCTAAGTGCCTTACAAGCGTTCACTCAGCTAATCCTTAAAACAACAGTTCATTTTACAAATGAGAAAACCAAAGCTTCTAGTAGTTTGGTAATTTTTTTTTCCAAAGAGCTAGTAACTGCGTGGATTGAACATTCAAATACACAGTCATTAAAAAGTCTGTATTCCTCACCTCTTAAAAAGATTTCAGGTTCAATACTAATTCCCACATTAAAAAGTTTGTGTTCCTTACTTTTTTTAAAAAAGGATTCAGACATGAATATATTTCTTGCTTGTAAAAGAAATAGTGCTTAGCTCTCAGAATTAAAATCTACCTGCCACAGCATTCCAATTTGAAAGAAAAACATTGGTTTAAAAGTTAAATGACTGTCAGCTACAAGAAATGAAAATGCTCAGCTTCCTACAATTTCTTTTCTACTGCTCAGTGAGAATAGTTATCAAATATAAACACATATATAAACATATAAACCAAAAAAGCAAAGATGGTTCCTATTTTATTGTACTTAAGGGAAAAGTTCATAATCCTAATAGGGCTTGCCAAGCTCTCCACAGTCCGATTCTTCCTAACTACTTCTAAATCTTTACCTCTTGTGACCCACTTTCCCATTCTATCTCTTCTTTCCAGTAATAATGGATCTCCTTTAGAAAAGTATCAACTGTCTCTCTTGCCTTTGGATTTTCATTAAACATTATTTCTTTAGGGAGGTATCTCTTGATTCTCCCATACTAGGTTAGGTCATTCTGTTATAGACTCCTTTAGCATCTGACACTGTCACTTTTTGAAAATTTATCACATTTGTTTTATCTGTGTAATGCCTATATTCCTTACTAGATCTTAATTTTGGGGTGGGGGGAGTATTCTGATGGGACACAGCAGGGTTTTGTTTTGCAACCCCAGCGACTAGTACAAAACATAACACATAGCAGGGAATACTTAGTCCATGTAAGTAAGAGGCATGCAGAATCCCTGCTCCTGAAGAGTTGGTAGTCTGTTGACAAAATAATTGAAAATATATAAAACAGAAGCAAACAAAATATAATTAGCAAGCTTCTTATTCAAGGGGAAAGCCTAGAGGCTTTTCTACTAAAAATAGGGATGAGGACAGGAGTGGCCACTATAGTTACTAATATTAGACAGTGCGATTAGACAAGAATTGTTTTAAAAAAAAAGTAAAACTGTGTCCATGTGCAGATTATATCTACTTGGAAAACCCAAGACAGTCAATAGAAAAATAACTATAAAGAACAGGAAAATTTAGTAAGGTAGTAGGATATAAAATAAGCATACAGAAATCCAAAGCATTTGTAAATATAAACAATAGCCAGTTGGAAGACATGGCAGAAGACCCCATTTTCAGTTGCAATGAAAAAAGATTAAAAGAAAAAGCTCATGGAACTGCTGCTGGTTATAAAAGAGGAATTAGCAACAGATCAGCAATTCTGCTGTGAACAATTAAGAAAACAGAAAAATATGTAAAAAAAAAAAAATCAGACACTGGGCAACAGGCAATGTAAGACTGTGATCCCTGAGAAAAGGGAAACAAATTAAGGTGAGTCCTATTACTGCCCTTTCTGCCTGGAGACTTCCTGGACTCTGGCATATTGAGGGAGAACCCAAGCAAAGCAGGGAGATCTTGCTAAGCTGAGGAGACAGAGATGAGAGTTTAGAGGGGCTCAGGCAACAGAAACATTGAGAGTATCAGTATCAGTTTTTTAAGACAACAACACAAAAAACAAAAACCTCCAAAATTTGCATCACGGTCCTAGTCTTAGGCTGAATGTCAAGCTGCACATGTGTAAGGTGACACCATATAAGAATAGGCAAAGAACTACCACTGAAAGCTTAAATAAACACTTCCATCTCACAAATCTGGAAGACGCTAAAGTTCTGACCAGCAAGAGAGAGCTCCAAAGTGGAGAGACCTTGATAAACACATGGGTATTACCAGACCAGGAAGTCCACCCACACCTTAGGAGTAGAGCTAACTGCCAAGTAAAAGCTACTCTGTAATTATCCTAGCAAAGCTTTAAAACAAGCTTCAACTAGAACTCTCAAAAATTGCCAGTGGGAATATAAAATAGTACAACCACTTTGGAAAACAGTTCTTTCAAGATGAACATATAGATATATGACCTAACAATTCCACAACTAGGTAAGGGAAATGAAATCATATAAAAAAGACAAAAAAGAATTCCAAAAACATAGAGTAAAAGAAGTAACACAAAAGTATTCATTCTGTACGATTCTATTCTGTTCTATAAAGTTCTAGAACAGGAAACAATAATCTATAGTGACAGAGAGATCAGTGGTTGCCTGATCTCTCTGTGTGTTATTTTGTCAGGCTGTGTGCTGGCTTCCTCATCATCCTGACAAAATAACTACAGCACTTCCAAGTACCACATCCAGGGGAAGAGACAGTATTTGTATCTCATCACTTGCAACCAAAAGCCTTGATATTCATTCTGTTTAGAACAGCTTAGGTCACATGCCCAACCTTGTCAAGGAAAACAAAATGGAATACGATGATAGGCGTAAGCCTAGGAGTGAGGTGTTGAATTACATTTTCTGAAGCATTTAAGGGCATTGTTAAAAAGAGAAAAAGGATAACTGGACGGTAGGCAATCAACAAATAGCTACTATCGCATTTTCCCTTTCAAATAAAATCCAATGCCTTGTCCTTGCATTCAGGATCTACATAGTATAGGCTCCAAATATACTTTTCAATTTTAATTTCCCATACTCCTTGTGCATCAAACACATTAGTCTTCTGCCCTGTTTAAAAAACAAAAACAAACACAACCACCACAACCCAAAACCACAAAAATCCTCTTCTCCCTCTATCTTCACTTATCAAATTTTTAGAGAAATTTCAAGGCTCAATTAAATGTTACCTCAGCCATAAAGCTTCTGGAGATCACCTCAAGCAGAAGTAATTCTTTTAAACTCCTATGGTCAACATTTTGCATTCTTGAATGAATGAATGGATTCAGCCATTGACTATCAGTAACTGCTAACATCAGAAAAAAAGGACAATGAGACATCACACATCATGGGCCTCCTAATGGAAGAACACAAAGAAAGAGAAACCTGAATTTGATCAAGACTCTATCTAAAGCAGCACTGACTAACAGAACTTCCCACACGATGGAACTGTTCTATCAAGGCACTGCCCAATGTGGTAGCCATTAGCCACATGTAGCTATTAATCATTTAAAATGAGCCTAGTGTACTTTAGCAACTACGTTTTTTATTTTATTTAATTTTAATTAATTTAACCTTAAATTTAAAATAGCTCATGTGGCTGACGGCTACTGTATTAGGCTTTATAGCTCTAAATCCATTTACCAGTTTACTGAAAAAGCAAACGACAGAGGACCATTTTAAATCATATTACAGAAGAATACTCAACAAACTCCAGAATGAAAAACTCTAAATTGTTTCAACAAATATATATATTTTTAAAGTTGTGAAGAAAGTCCACAGATTGAAAAAGGCTTAAAGGAAGTACTGAATAATAACAAACTGTGGACCTCATTTAGATTCTGATTCATAAACAAACACTTAGGACATTAATGAGACGACTGTAAACACAAACCAGTTTGGTTTTATAAAACTGAGGAAAAATTAACAATCATTCCTAAGATAATGGCATGGCACTTATATTGATTTAAAAAGAAAGCATATTTGTTCTTTTAGAGATGCACTCTAAAATATTAGTGGATGAAATGATGTCTGGTATTTCTTCAAAATATGCAGAAGAATTTAACAGGCTAGCAAGGAGGCAGATTGGCTCTGGGTTAATAACTGCTGTTAGGGCCTAGGTTTTGGGTACATAGGGGGTCATTATCCTGTCCTATCTATTTTCACAAATATTTGAAATTATCCATAGGAAATTTTTTAAACAAAAAAAAACCCCTCTGATAGCATATTATACAACACACAAAATATTCTGGATTTGAGATTTGTACAAATGACTTATGAATCTTAAAACATGTAGGTGAATTAAGATCAGGGTTAATATCATAAGCATTGTTTTATTCCTCTCAGTATCTTAATCTAGTATCACATATACAAATTATGCAAAATAATATTTCCAATAATTATAGTTTTAAATTTCTTTCTTAGTTTTATGGTAAGACAGCACTGTAAAGAATCTTATAGATAATTCATGTCAAATTATGTGAGAAGATAAAAAAAAATGAGGGAGGAGGGCTCAAAACCCAGGTCCTAGAATCCTCAAATCTGATATGCTGTAGCCTGATCATCACTTTTTGTGAAGATATATATGCAGAAAACAAAGCCATGCAAATACATATTTTTTTACTACCTGTAAGGCCAAACCCTAATATAGTTTGCCAAAAAGGCAGGCTTGATAGCGGAGGCCTCATTTTGCTTGTGTTACATGTCGGCAGGCCTAACATCTAGAATCAAAGTGTGCAGAGTGGTCACTTTCTCACTGAGTGAGAACATTTTCAGTGAATTTTGGTCCTCTGCTAAATAAGGTAAGGGTGGGGGCTCTATCCAAGAAGGCTGGTGTCCTCTTATAAGAAGAGGAGATACCAGAGATCTCTGTCCACACATACTATATGAGGACACAGTAAGAGAAGAGGCCATGTGAGGACACAGTAAGGAGGACACTGCATGCTAGGAAAAGAGGCCATACCAGAAACCAACCCTGACAACACCTAAATCTTGGACTTCTAGCCTCCAGAACTGAGAGAAAACAAATTTCTGTTGTTTAAACCACCCAGTCTGTGGTATTGTTATGGTAGTCCAAATAGACTCATATACCTACTTTCCCCATGTAGGTCTAGATGAAGATTTTTGGGAATCCCTTTCAAGTGTATGACAAATTCAGTACATTCTTCTAAGGAAAGGCTCCATAATGTCTAACAAATACCTATAATGAGATGTTTACTTTTGTAAAAAAGGTTATGAAATCCCTGAGAAATAAGATATTTTCCTGATTGATTTAATTACTGGTATCCTAAAAGTATTATTTCTGTAACTTTTTAATTGTGGCCATCCATTATGTATTTATATGAACTAGCCTTGAACCTATTTCCCACTTAAAATAATAGTAATAATTATTTATAACATTACTTTTAATGAAAAGATACATTATAATTTTTAAACCCCATTCTTTTGTTGTTGTTGTTGAGACAGAGTCTCGCTCTGTCGCTAGGCTAGAGTGCTGTGGCACGATCTCAGCTCACTGCAAACTCCGACTCCCTGGTTAAAGCAATTCTCCTGCCTCAGCCTCCCGAATAGCTGGGATTACAGGCACGTGCCATCACGCCCAGCTAATTTTTGTATTTTTAGTAGAGACGGGGTTTCACCATGTTGGCCAGGATGGTCTCGATCTCCTGACCTCATGATCCACCCGCCTCAGCCTCCCAAAGTCCTGGGATTACAGGCGTGAGCCACCGCGCCCGGCCAAACCATATTCTTAATGGACCTTTGGGAGTTCAGTGTTTTTATATGTTTAGACTTCCTGTAGTATTATGTTAGTAAGATTTTATGTTTGAAATGTCTTGGAAATAAGGATATAATGACAACGAACTACTATATTGTTTAAAGTACAAATACTAAACAAGCACATGCTCCTAGTATTCAGAGAATGAATCAGATCCCTTAAAGAACATGCAGAGATCTTTATGCACCCTACTGCTGAGCATCTCAGTGAGTGTTCACACAGGTGAAAATCACCTTCTCTATTCTAAAATTAGCTTGAGCTACTGATAAAAGAGCTCACAACATAAACTGGAAAAGGAATTTTAGGACTACTAAGTTCAAAGGTTCCTACCTATGACTGTGGTTCACAAGAATAAATATGAGTTTGAAAGAATTCAGAACGCCAGGAAAAAAAATTACACACCTATATTTCTTACAGTAACAGCTTTATTGAAAGATATTTTATATCACGAACTTCATCTTTTTTCAAGTGCACAATGGGTGGTTTTTAGTATATTCAGGAAGTTGTACAACCATCACCACCACCATCTAATGCCTGAACATTTTCATCACCGCCTCAAAAAACTTTGTACCTATCAGCAGTTATTCCCCTTTTTCTCTTCCCCACATCCCCTAGCAACAGGTAATCTAGTTTTTCTGTCTGTATGGATTTGCCTATTCTGGTCATTTCAAATAAATGGAATCATACAATATGTGGTCTTTTGTGTCTGACTTCTTTCACCTAGCCTTATGTTTTCATGATTCATCCTTGTACCATGACTCAGTACTTCATTTGTTTTTATGGCTGAATAATATTCCATTATCTGGATATATCACATTTTGTTTACATATTCACTAGGTGACAGACATTTAGGTAGTTTCTACTTTTTGTGAATAGCATTGCTATGAATATTGGTATACAAGTTTTTATATAGACATATGTTTTCAATTATCTTTAGTATGTAGAGAGAGTGGAACTGGTGGGTCATATGGTATCCCTATGTTTTCCTTTCTGAGGAACTGCCAAGCTGTATTCCAAATGGCAATACCATTTTACATTCTGATCAGCAACACATAAGGGTCCATTTCTCCACATCCTTGACAACATTTGTTATTGTCCACCTTTTTCATTTTAGCCATCCTATGGGTGTGAAGTGATATATCATTATGGTTTTGATCTGCACTTCCCTAATGAGTAATAATGTGGCTCTTTTCATGTGCTTAACAGCCACTTATGCTATTCTTTGGAGAAACGTCCTTTCAAATCCTTTGCCCATTTCTTAATTGGCTGGATTGTCTTTCTGTTATTGCTGAGTTGTTTAAGAGTTCTTTAGACATTGTAGATATTGATCCCTTGGTTAGATACATAATTTGCAAATATTTTCTCCCATTCTATAAGCTGACTTTTCAGTGTCTTGATAGTGCCCTTTGAAGCACAAGTGTTTTTAATTTTCAGGACAGTCTAATTTACCTATGTCTTCTTTTGATGCTTGTGCTTTGGTCACAATTTATAATTATACAGTTGACCCCTGAACAACACAGGGGTTAGGGGTGCTAACCCTTCTGCACAGTCAAAAATCTGCATATAACTTTTGATTCCCCCAAAACATAACTTCTAGGAGCCTATTGCTGACTGGAGGCCTTACCAATAACACAAACAGTTGATTAACACATATTTTCTATGTTACATGTATTACAGACTGTATTCTTACAATAAAGTTAGCTAGAGAAAAGAACATGTCATTAAGAAAATCACAAGGAATAGAAAATGTATTTACTGTTCATTAAGTGGAAGTGAATTACTGTTTTCATGGTGAGTAGGCAGAGGAGGAGGAGGAAGTGGTAGAGAAGGAGTTTGTCTTGCAGTCTCAAGAGTGGCAGAGGTAGAATGAAGTTAGGAAAAGTTTGTGAAAGACATATTTGCGTGTGTTTATAGAACACACACAAATATATATATATATATATAAATATATATACACACACACATACACATACACCCAAAGAAGCATGCACAAAGACACTGAGTGCTGTTACTCAGGTATTTTATTCTCATTTAAGGAACTAAACTTTTATATACTTAAGTACAGGCTAACTCTTTTTATTGCACTTTGCTTTATGATACTTTGCAGATACAGTGTTGTTTTTCTGTTGTTGTTTTGTTTACCAAATTGGAGGTTTGTGGCATCCCTACATAGAGCAAGTCTATCAGTACCATTTTTCCAAGAGAATGAGGTCACTTTAGGTCTCTGTTGTCACATTTTGGCAATTCTTGTAATATTTAAAACTTTTTCATTACTATTGTATTTGTCATGGTGATCTGTGATCTGAGATCTTTGATGTTACGACTGTAATTGCTTTGAGGTGCCATAACATGAACTGTGCCTATAAAAGAGGGTAAACTTAACTGACGAATACTGTGTGTGTTCTGATTGTTCCATCAACAAGCTGTCTCTCCCTCTCCTCGGGCCTCCCTCTTCCCTGAGACACAACAATATTGAAATTAGGCCAATTAATAACCTTATAATGATCTCTAAGTGTTCAGGTAAAAGGAACACTCACACATTTCTCACTTTAAATCAAAAGCTATAAATGGGCTGGGCACAGTGGCTCACACCTGTAATTCCAGCACTTTGGGAGGCCAAGGTGGGTGGATCACCTGAGGTCAGGAGTTCAAGACCAGCCTTGACAACATGGTGAAACCCTGTTTCTACTGAAAACACAAAAATGAGCTAGGCGTGGTGGCGCATGCCTGTAATCTCAGCTACTTGGGAGGGAGAGGCAGTAGAATCACCTGAACCTGCGAGGCGGAGGTTGCAGTGAGCCGAGATCTCGCCACTGCACACAAGCCTGGGCGACAAAGTGACACTCCATCTCAAAACAAAACAAAACAACAACAACAAAAATGAAGATTAGTAAGGAAGGCCTTTATTAATTAAGGAAGGTCTAGCTGAAAGCTAAAGAGTTAGTCAAGTTGTGTATGCAAAAGAAAAAGTTTCTAAAAGAAATTAAAAGTGCAACTCCAGTGAAAACACAAATGATAAGAAAGCAAAACAACCTTACTGTTGATAGAGAGAAAGTTTTGATGGTCTGGAAAGAAGATCAAACCAGCCACAACATCGCCTTAAGCCAAAGCCTAACACAGAGCAAGGCACACAGAACACTTCAATTCTACGAAGGCTGAGAGAGGTGAGGCGGCTTCAAAAGAAAAGTTGGAATCTAGCAGAGGTTGGTTCATGATGTTTAAGGACAGAAGCACTCTACATAACATAAAAGTGCAAGGTGAGGCTGTAAGTACTGATGGAGACACTGCTGCAAGTTATCTAGAAGATCTAGCTAAGATCACTAATGAAGGTGGCTACACGAGGCAACAGATTCTCAATGTAGATGAAACAGCCTTCTATTGGAAGAAGATGTCATCTAGGACTTTTCCTAGCGAGAGAGAAGATATCAATGCCTGGCTTCAAAGCTTCAAAGGACAAGCTGACTCTCCTGTTGCAGGCTAATGCAGCTCGTGACTTTAAGTTGAAGCTAATGATTATTTACCATTCCAAAAATCCTAGGGCCCTTAGGAATTAAGCTAAATCTGCTCTGCTTGAACAAAGCCTGGGTGACAGCACATTGTAAACATCTGTTTACAGCATTGTTTACTGAATATTTTAAGCCCACTCTTGAGACCATCCGCTCAGAAAAAAAGATTCCTTTCAAAATATTCCTGCTTGCTGGCAATTCACCTGGTCACCCAATAGCGCTGATGGAGATATATAAGGAAATCCACATATTTCCATGCCTGCTAACACAACATCCACTCTGCTGCCCATGAATCAGGAGTAATTTCAACTTTCAAGCCTATTATTTAGGAAACACATTTTGTAAGGCTATGGCTGCCACAGCGAGTCCTCTGATGGGATCCAGGCAAAGTAAATTGAAACCTCTCAAAAGGATTCACCATTCTAGATGTCATTAAGAACATTCATGATTCCATTGGAGGTCAATGAACTGTAACCTAACAGGAGCTTGGATGAAGTTGATTCCAACCCTCATGTATGACCTCTGAGGTGTTTCAAGGCTTCAGTGGAGGAAGAAACTGCAGACGTGGTGGAAATCGCAACAGAACTAGAATTAGAAGTAGAGCCTGAATATGTGACTGAATTGCTACAATCTCCAGAGAAAACTTTAATGGATGAGGAGTTGTTTTTTAGGGATCAGCAAAGAAAGTGGTTTCTTCAGATGCAATCTATTCCTAGGGAAGATGCTGTCAACATTGTTGGAATGACAACAAAAGATTTAGAATATTACATAAACTTAGTTGATAAAGCAGCAGCAGGGTTTGAAAAGACTGACCCCTATTTTGAAAGACATTCTACTGTGGGCAAAAGGCTATCAAACAGCATCACATGCTACAGAGAAAGCTTTTATGAAGGTTTCTGATGTGACAAACTTCATTGCTGTCTTATTTTAAGAAATTGCTACAGCTACTGCAATCTTCAACAACCACTACCCTGACAGTCAGCAGCCATCAACACTGAGGCAAGACCTTTAACCAAGAGAAGAATTGTAACTTGTTAAAGGCTCAGATGATCATTAGAATTTCGAAGCAATAAAATATTTTTAAATTAAGGTATATATATTTTTTAGATATGTCATTGCATACTTAACAGACTACAGTATAGTATAAACATAACTTTTATATGCACTGGAAAACCAAAAAATACACGTGACTCACTTTATTGTGACATTCACTTTATTGTGGAGGTCTGGAACCAAACCATATCTCTGATGTATGCCTGTATATTACTTATGCTTCTAATTTTTCTTCTTGGTTTATTAAGTTTTATAGCTTATTACTAAACAGTGGGTAATTAGCTTGTAGATTATATTATAACACTTCTGCAAAGTAACTAAGTGACCTGCTTTACTCATATTATGTATCAAGCACAGTACCCAAATTGATAAATCCAGTACATGGTTTGCACAGTATAGGAGAAGAGTATATTGGACTAATAAAGGTAGTTTTTTCTTTCTTGTTTCCCAGTGGGCAAGATCTTTCACACTGTGGGGCTTGTAACTGGGGCTCAGAGGGGACAGTAAGAGACTAGCGATAAAAATGTTAGAAACCTTTGGTATCAACTCTATTTTATTAACAGTTGATGTAACTGGAGTACACAGAAAAGGGAAAGGCAGTTATCTTTATAAAATCAGCTTTGTTGAGGTATAACTTATATGCAAAAAATCCATCAACTTCAAGGGTTTGATAAGTGCGAACAAATATGTCCAGTCAAGCAACCAACACTACAATCAAGACACAAAACATTTCCATAACCCAAAAAAGCTCTCTGATGTTCCCTTGTAATCAATCCCGCTCCCACACCTTTAAAGCTGGACAACCACTAATCACAGTCAACATTTAATAAACATTACACATTGTACGAATTCATGATGTATTATTAAATCTACCTTCTAAAGTTGTAAGAATAGATTCCATCGTCCCCACATTATGGATGCGAAAACTCACTCAGGTTTTCTCATACAATTAACTTAGACAATTCTACAGCTAGTAAGTGGCAGAGACAGACTCAAATCCAGATTTACCCAACTCCAACATTAAAAATTGAGTTTTCACCTAAAAATACTGAATTTCGGGGCTTCTTTTGAAAAAAAATTAGTATCTGTGTACATCTATTTCTGCATACATACTTACTGAGCTGGATCTGTGGCTGACCTCTTTTAGAAGAGGCATGCCATTTTTAGGTGCCCAGTGCCCACTACCTTCCCCTGTCATTCGGAGACTGATCCCAGGCCCTCTTCATTCTTATAATTATTCTTCTTATAATTATTCTTCTTATAATTATTATTATATATATTATATAATTATATATAATTATATATTATATTTTGTATATAATATATAATTATATATCATATATAATTCTATACATTTTGTATATAATATATAATTATATATTCTGTATATAATATATAATTATAAATAATATACAATTCTATATTATATCATACTTTGTATACAATATACAATTCTATATCATAGTTTGTATATAATATATAATTCTGTTATATCATACTTTGTATATAATATACAATTCTATGTTATATCATACTTTGTATATAATATACAATTCTATGTTATATCATATTTTGTATATAATATACAATTCTGTTATATTTTGTATATAATATACAATTCTGTTATATCATATTTTGTACATAATATACAATTCTGTTATATCATATTTTGTATATAATATACAATTCTGTTATATTTTGTATATAATATACAATTCTGTTATATTTTGTATATAATATACAATTCTGTTATATTTTGTATATAATATACAATTCTGTTATATTTTGTATATAATATACAATTCTGTTATATTTTGTATATAATATATAATTCTGTTATATTTTGTATACAATATATAATTCTGTTATATTATATTTTGTATATAATATATAATTGTTATATTTTGTATATAATATATAATTACATATTATATATTAATAATTATTATATATTAATATATAATATATAATAATTATTAATATATAATATATTAATATATAATAAATATATATTAATAATTAAAATATAATATAATTCTATATTATATTTTGTATAATATAAAATCATATATTATATATAATTCTATATTATGTTATATTTTGTATATAATATATAATCATATATAATATATAATTCTATATTATATTTTGTATATAATATATAATTATATATTATATATAATTCTATATACTTTGTATATAATATATAATTCTATGTTATATTTTGTATATAATATACAATTCTGTTATATTACATTTTGTATATAATATACAATTCTGTTATATTTTGTATATAATATACAATTCAATGTTATATTTTGTATATACCATTGTTATATTTTGTATATAATATATAATTGTTATATTTTGTATATAATATATAATTGTTATATTTTGTATATAATATATAATTCTGTTATATTATATTTTGTATATAATATATAATTCTGTTATATTATATTTTGTATATAATTCTGTTATATTATATTTTGTATATAATATATAATTATAATTATATTATATATTAATAATTATTATATATAATATAATATATAATATATATATAAATATATGATATATTTATATTAATATATGATATATTTATATTAATATACGATATATATTATATTAATATATGATATATATTATATTAATATATCATATATTTATATAATATATATTATATAAATATATAATATATATTATATAAATATATAAATATATAATATATATTATATAAATATATTATATAAATATATAATATATATTATATAAATATATGATATATTAATAATTAAAATATATAATTCTATATTATATTATATTTTGTATCTAATATATAATTCTATATTATATTTTGTATCTAATATATAATTCTATATTATATTTTGTATCTAATATATAATTCTATGTTATATTTTGTATATGATATAGAATTATAATTCTATATTATATTTTGTATATAATATAGAATTATATAATTAAATTAATTATATAATTATTATATAATTAAATTAATTATATAATTATTATATAATTAATATGGGTGCAGTGGCTCACGCCTGTAATCCCAGTACTTTGGGAGGCAGGCGGATCACTTGAGGTTGGGAGTTCGAGACCAGCCTGACCAACATGGAGAAACCCCGTCTCTACTAAAAATGCAAAACTGGCTGGGTGTGGTGGTGCATGCCTGTAATCCCAGCTACTCAGGAGGCTGAGGCAAGAGAATCGCTTGAATTCAGGAGGCTGTAGAGAGCTGAGACTGCGCCATTGCACTCCAGCCTGGACAACAAGAGCAAAACTCCGTCAAAAATAAATAAATAAATAAATAAATATGAATCTCAAGTTTATCAGAGGCTTTACAATGAGTGTCAAGGACATACTAGGTCTAAGGTCACTCTGGATCCTGGAGTCATTCATTAGCCCATCTCTTTGCTTCAACTTCAGACCTTTCTTTCCTCTCTTTTGGTTCCCTTGTTTCCTCTTAAATATACATTCAAGTAATTCCTGTCCATTAAAAAACAAAAGCAAAACCACTACTTTCTTGCCAGTGCACCTCCTTCCTTACATTTTCCTATTTTGGTCTTTCTCAGCCAAAGTTTTTGAAAGAAGAATCTATACTGATTAATAGAGCTTCCTTACCTATCATTTACTCCTGAACCCTCCTCAATCTAGCTTTTACCCCTAGCACATCTGAAGCTCATGTGGAAACGGATACCAATGACCTACTTAGAAAACACTTTATCCTAAAAAACATCAACTCTGAATCCACTTTTTTTTTTTTTTTTTTTTGAGACAGAGTCTTGCTCTGTCGCCCAGGCTGGAGTGTAGTGGTACGATCTCGGCTCACCGCAAGCTCTGCCTCCCGGGTTCATGCCATTCTCCTGCCTCAGCCTCCCAAGTAGCTGGGACTACAGGCGCCTGCCACCGCACCTGGCTAATTTTTTGTATTTTTAGTAGAGATGGGGTTTCACCGTGTTAGCCAGGATGGTCTCGATCTCCTGACCTCATGATCCGCCCGCCTCGGCCTCCCAAAGTGTTGGGATTACAGGCGTGAGCCCCCGAGCCCGGCCTCCACTTTTCTTAAAGTTGGAGAAAACCATATAACTACAAAGAACAGTATCACTGTAAATTCATGGTTTCAATTCATCTGGATACTCAATGCTATTGAATAACCTTTAAATAATTGACTCAGCTCTATCTCCAATGCCCTTGAAAACTCTATCAGCCCTCCATTATTTGCGTCAAGTTTCCAACAAACTTCCTCAACCACTATTCTTAGTAAATCGCCTCTCTTTCCAACTATTCAGGGATCTTTTGGCATATTATCCTTTCCCTTTCTAGAAAGTCTGTTCTCAGCATACATGTTCAAAGGTTCAAGTACTCCATATTGATAGATCCCAAATTTCAACCCCTAATCTGAACTTTCTCCTAAACTGCAATTTTTTTATTTGACTCCCAGTAGTCACTGAGCACTTATACTGTGCCAGTCACTGTAGTCGGTACTTTTCATACATCATTACTAATTCTTACAGCACCCCTCTAAAATAGATACTATTCCAGTTTTACATGCAGAAAAAAAGACTCAAAGAAGAGACTTGTTCAAGGTAACAAAAGTGGCAAGTGGTGCTACCAGTATTTAAGCAAATTTGTCTAGCTCAAAGCCCATAATCTTGAAATAATAATAGCAGCTAACGTATGTACTATGTACCAAATGATGGTCTAAGGAATTTCCACGTTTCAGTACATTTAATTTCACAATCACCTTATGAAGGAGGTGTTAGTCCAATTTTTACAATAAATACTGTCTTTTAACTTTCTACTGTACAGTTTTGCCTTAATGTCCTAGGTATCTCAAACTAGGTAGGTGTGAGACTAAACTCTTATCTACCCTCAGTCTGCTCTTCCTCTTATATTCCTTACCTTGGTGAATGACACCAGCATCTCCCAGTTGTTCAAGTAGGAACCTGGAAGTCATTTCAGTTTCTTCCTTATCGTTCCTTCCTTCCTTCCCTTCATGCACTATATATTAAGTTCTCAGTTCTTTCCAACCCTCCTGCTATTTCTTTATTCCATGTCTTTGATATTTCTTTCCTTCTTACTGCATTAAATATAAGCTTCAAAGGGGCAGAACACAGAATAGTGCCTGGTTCATATTAGACAGTCAATGAATATTTGCTGAATGTATAAATAAATGAATTAGCTTGCAAACTGGTTTTCCTACTTTTGGTCTCACAACTCTTTGATCCTTTTTGCACTATTCTCTCATGAATCCTCTATCATTCTTTGCAATGCTACCAGAGATCTTTTTTAAAGGTACATCTGACATTAACCTTCAGCTTATAAAACTGTAACTAGTTCAATTCCTTCCATGTGTTAAGAGTCTCTAAGGCTCACCATAATCTGGCTCTTCTATCTCTCCATCCCTTAAATTTTGCTACTTCTTTTCTGCCTTTACCTTGTACTTATATATTTTGGATTCAGCACTACTAAAATACATACAGTTTCTGAAATTTTGCCATTGTTGAATATGATGTACCCTTTGCATGGAAAAGTTGAGTGCATTGCCACTGGTTACTCTCTAACTCCTTCAACCCAGTTCAGGAAATACAATTCTGTCTACCTTAGGATGAGTTAGGGGTCCTCCTTGATGCTCACATAGTACATTGTATTAGTACGTATTGAGTTATAAGCATATTACTACCACAATCCTCATCATATTTTGGGGTTATCAATATTTAAAAATAATTTCAACTTTTAGATACTGGGGGTATATGTGCAGGTTTGTTACATGGGTAGATTGTGTGATGCTGAGGTTTGGAGTATAGATCCTATCACCCAGATAGTGAGCATAGTACCCAACAGGTAGTTTTTTAACCCACATCCCTCTCCCTCCTACCTCTAGTAGTCCCCAGTGTCTACTGTTCCCATCTTTACGTCTGTGAATGTTTAGCTCCCACTTAAACGTGAGAATATGCGATATTTGGTTTTCTGTTCCTGTGCTAATCCTCTTACGATTATGGCCTCCAGCTGCATTCATGTTGCTGCAAAAGTCATGATTTTGTTCTTTATGGCTGTGTAGTATTCCATATACATATGTACCACATTTTAACTGCTAGTCTTCCACACTAAATGTTGACTACCTCAGGGCAAAGAAAGTCCTTCTCCCCTTCTTTCTTCTCTCCTTCCTTTTCTTTCTTACTCTCTTTCTCCCTGCCTTGCTATTCCCCAGCA
Organism: Homo sapiens; assembly: GCF_000001405.40. Lineage (NCBI taxonomy): Eukaryota > Metazoa > Chordata > Mammalia > Primates > Hominidae > Homo > Homo sapiens. The sequence continues at coordinate 104,551,863 of NC_000008.11, forward strand.
ACCATCTCCCAATTTATGACACAGTGAGATCTCAGTAAATGTTTGTTGTTTTAATGAATAAAAATTATCAGATTTTGGAATTAGGCATGAAACATCCTCTGCATAATTAACAATTTGGTTTCATATGATACTGTAAGTAAGAGGAGAGAAGGAAAAGGATAAAGAATGTATAAAGAGAAAGCTAGGCATTCTTCCACGAGTGAACGAAGTCAGAAAGCCACAAGTGGAAGATTTCAAACCCAACTATTCCCTTGAATTAGAGAGAAATTTATTATCACTGTCTTTCAAAATGTTTGGTAAATGACTATCAAATATTTTACATTTTGAGCAGCTTCAGTCTTTAGATTGTAAGGGACTTTGCTCTGCATTAGCTTTAGAACTTGTTGGGGATGGGGATACCAAGAAAATGGCATTTTTTAAATTTACCATTTTTGATCTTCAGTGACTCCTGGGTTCTTAACAGCTTATAGCCCATCAATCTAATAAATGTATAAATATGTCTTTTTTTTGTTGTTTTTTTTTTTTTGCCGGGCGTGGTGGTTCATGCCTGTAATCCCAGCACTTTGGGAGGCCGAGGCGGGCAGATCATCTGAGGTTGGGAGTTCGAGACCAGCCTGACCAACATGGGGAAACCCCTTCTCTACTAAAAATACAATTTTTTTTTTCTCTCAGCAAATAGCTAACTTTTCACTTACTTCTACTTAAGTCATCTCATAGCTTACCTACTCTTTCATGGAACCTTAAAGTACTATCTTCCAGTTAACCTGTCAGCTTGGCATTTTTCTACAGAAATATCACATGTGAAGCAGAGAATTATCCTTTTTCACATAATTGATAAAAGTTATCCAATGTAAGAAAAAAAATGGTGCACAGGAGGCAGGACTAACTTGCAGCTCCCACTCAGACAGACAGAGCAGTGTGTGGAGACCCATGTCATGAACTTTTGCTCCAAGAACTACCACAGAAACATACCAAGAAAGCCTAGAGAATCCACAGATCCTTTGAATGAAGCTGCTTGCTGCTGCAGGCTCTGTGAGATAGCCAAAAACTGTGAGTGCCCAAAGTGTGAGGGGGGAACGTTTGCCCCTAAATGCACATCCTCACTGGTCCAGATCATGGGAAAAGAACTTGACCTTACCTGGAGCTGAGATTAATTTAGAAAGCTGAGTGAAATATAGGGGTACAGGAAGCAGTGGGAAGAGCCCTGTGGGCACTCTAGGTCCACAGGGAAGCCATTTCTGACTTTGTCTTCCAGGGGTCCTTGGGGAGGGCTGCCAGTGAAACTGGCAAAAAACCACAGGGAGAAGGAAACTTCCAGTTGAACTTTGTAACAATTTCAACTGAATGTGAAGTTTACTGGACAGAATCCGGGGGAGGGGGAAAATGGGGAGTGCAGATACATGCACAGAAGTCTTGGCAGGGGCAGAGGCATGAAACCTGAAAGCCCTGCTTGCTTTCTCAGCAGGGAAGTTTGTAGACTGGGCCAAGTTCTCAGCCTTGCTCACCGGCTGCCTGGAAATAAACTTGGTGCTGTTGGAGAAGCACGGTGGGAGTGAAACCGGCCTTTCAGGCTGCATGGGAGCTGGGTAAGGCCTGTCATTGCTGGCTTTCCCCCACTTCCCTGGCGACCTGTATGATACAGCAGAGGCAGCCATAATCCTCCTGGGTACGTAACTCCATTGGCTTGAGAACTACACCTTCATTCCCCACAGCAGCTGCAGCAAGCCTTGCCCAAGGAGAGTTTGAGCTCGGCCACACCTAACCCTGCCCCCACCTGATGATCTTTTTCTACCTGCCTGGTAGCCAAAAAACAAAGGACATAATCTCTTGGGAGCTCTGTGGTCCCACCCACTGCCTGAGAAACCTTATCCAGGTGACCTTAGGGCAAGCTTGTATCCTCCTTACACTACCACAGCTGATGCTCTCTTGAAAGTGCCACCTCCTGGCTGGAGGCCAACAAACAAAAAACCAGTGCACTAAACAAAAATACAATCAAGGACCCTCACAGAGTCCACTTCACTCCCATGTTATGTTCACTGGAAAGATGCTGGTATCCATAGCTGAGAGACCTGAAGATGGATCACATCTCAGGACTTATTGCAGACACTCCCCAGTACCAGGCCAGAGCCTGGTAGCTCTGCTGGGTGGCTAGACCCACAAATGAAACAAGAATCACTGCAGTTCACCTCTCAGGAATACTACGGGAAGGGAGAGAACACCACATCAAGGGAGCAACCCATGGGAAAAATGACTCTGAGCAGCAGCCCTTGAGCCCGAGATCTTCCCTCTGACATAGTCTATCCAAATTAGAAAGAACCAGAAAAAAAATTCTGGCACTATAACAAAACAAAGTTCTTTAACACCCCCAAAAGATCACACTAGCTCACCAGCAATGGATCCAAACCAAGAAGAAATCTCTGACTTGCCAGAAAAAGAATTCAGATGGTCGATTATTAAGCTACTCAAAGAGGCATCAGAGAAAGGTGAATACCAACTTTAAGATTTTTTTTTTAAATGTTACAGGATATGGCCAGAAAAATCTCCAGATAAATAGATAGCATAAATAAAAAACAATCACAACTTCTGGAGATGAAGGGCACACTTAGAGAAATGGAAAATACATTGGAAAATTGAAACAACAGAACAAGTAGAAGAAAAAACTTCAGAGCTTGAAGACAAGGCTTTCAAATTAATCCAATCTGATATAAACAAGGAAAAAAGAATTAAAAATAAAATGAACAAAGACTCCAAGAAATTTGGGATTATGTTAAATGACCAAACCTAAGGATAATCGGTGTTCCTGAGGAAGAATAGAAATCTGAAAGTTTGGAAAACATATCTGAGGGAATAATCAAGGAAAACTTCCCTGACTTTGCTAGAGATCTAGACGTTGAAATACAAAGCTCAAAGAACACTCAGGTGATTCATCATAAAAAGATCATCACCTAGGCACACAGTCATCAGGTTATCTAAAGTCAAGATGAAGGAAAGAATTCTAAGGGCTGTGAGGCAAAAGCATCAGGTAACCTATAAAGTAAAACCTATCAGATTAACAGCAGATTTCTCAGCAGAAACCTTACAAGCTAGAAGGGATTGGGGTCCTATCTTTAGCCTCCTTAAACAAAACAACTATCAGCCAAGAATTCTGTATCCAGCAAAACTAAGCTTCATAAATGAAAGATACAGCCTTTTTTAGATAAACAAATGCTGAGAGAATTTGCCACTACCAAGTGAACACTACAAGAACTGTTAAAAGGAGCTCTAAATCTTGAAACCAATCCTTGAAATATACCAAAATAAAACCTCCTTAAACCATACATCTCAAAGGACCTATAAAACACAATGAAATATCACAATGAAACACAATGAAATAACACAATGAAAAATAACACAATGAAAACAAACAAGGTATTCAGGCAACAAATAGCATGATGAAAAGAATAGTACCTCGCATTTCAATACCAACATCGAAGGTAAATGGCCTAAATCCTCCACTTAGAAGACATAAAATGCCAGAATAGATAAGAATTCGCCAACCACGTATCTGCTGTCTGCAAGAGACTCATCTGAAACATAAACACTCACAAAGATATTCCATGCAAATGGAGACCAAAAGTGAGCAGAAATGGCTATTCTTATATCAGACAACATAAACTTGAAAGCAACAACAGTAAAAAAGAAATAAATAAATAAAAACACAAAGAGGGACATTATATAATGATAAAAGGACTAGTCCAAAGGAAAATATCACAATCCTAAATATATATGCACCTAACACTGGAGCTCTCAAATTTACAAAACAATTACTAATAGACCTAAGAAATGAGATAGAGAGCAACACAATATTAGTGGCAGACTTCAATACTCTACTGACAGCACTAGATAGGTCATCAAGACAGAAAGTCAACAAAGAAACAATGGACTTCAACTATACCCTAAAACAAATGGACTTAACAGATATTTACAGGATATTCCACCCAACAACTGTAGAATATACATTCTATTCATCAGCACATGAACAGTCTCCAAGATAGACCAAATGAAAGGCCACAAACGAGTCTCAATAAATTTAAGAAAATAAAAATTACATCAAGTTCTCTTTTAGACTACAGTGGAATAAAATTGGAAATCAACTCCAAAAGGAATCCTCAAACCCATGCAAATGGATGGAAATTAAATAACCTGTTCCTGAATGATAATTGGGTCAACAATGAAATCAAGATGGAAATTTAAAAATTATTTGAATGGCACAATAGTGACACAACCTATCAAAACCTCTGGAATACAGCAAAAGCAGTGCTATGAGGAAAATTCATAACATTAACTGCCTACATCAAAAAGTCTGAAAGAACACAAATAGACAACTTAAGGTCACATCTCAAGGAACTAGAGAAACAAGAACAAACCCAGCAGAAGAAAAGAAACAAAGATCAGAGCAGAACTAAATGAATTTGAAACAAATAAAAACAATACAAAATATATATAAACAAAAAGCTGGTTCTTTGAAAAGATAAATAAAATTAACAGACCATCAGTGAGATTAAGCAAGAAGAGAGAAGATCCAAATAAGCTTAATTAGAAATGAAATGGGAGATATTACAACTGATATCACAGAAATACAAAAGATCATTCAAGGCTACTACAAACACCTTTATGCACACAAATGAGAAAACCTAGAGAAGATGAATAAATTCCTGAAAAATAGGAGGAAACAGAAACTCTGAACAGATCAATAACAAGCAGCAAGGCTGAAATAATTAAAAAATTGTTCACAAAAAAAAGTCCAAGACCAGACGGATTCACAGCTGAATTCTATCACACATTCAAAGAAGAATTGGTACCAATCCCATTAACACTATTCCAAAGATAGAGAAAGAAGGAATCTTCCCTACATCATTCTATGAAGCCACCAGCATCACCCTAATAACAAAACCAGGGAAGGACATAACAAAGAAAACTACAGACCAATATCCCTGATGACCACAGATACAAAAACCCCCAACAAAATACCAGCTAACCAAATCCAATAGCATATAAAAAGATAACCCACCATGATCAAGTGGGTTTCATATCAGAAATGCAGAAATAGTTTAACATACACAAGTCAATAAATGTAATACACCACATAAACAAAAATTAAAAACAAAAATCACAATCATCTCAATAGACACAGAAAAAGCATTTGACAAAATACAGCATCCCTTTATAATTAAAACCCGCAGTGGAATCAACATAGAAGGTACATACATTAAGGCAATAAAAGCCATCTATGACAAACCCATAGCCAACATTATACTGAACGGGGAAAGTTGAAAGCATTTCCCCTGAGAACAGGAACAAGATTGCGCACTTTGACTACTTCTATTCAAGGATGCCCACTTTCACCACTTCTATTCAACATAGTACTGGAAGTCTTAGCCAGAGCAATCAGACAAGAGACAAAGGGCATCCAAATTGGTAAAAAGGGAGTCAAACTGTCGCTGTTTGCCAATGATATAATCCCATACCCAGAAAACCCTAAAAATTCATCCCGAAAGCTCCTAGAACTGATAAATGAATTCAGGAAAGTTTCAGGATACAAATTTAATCTACACAAATCAGTAGCACCACTATACACCAACAGTAACCAGGCTGATAATTAAATCAAGGACCCAATTTGCAATAGCTAAAAAAAAAAAAAATTAGGAATATACCTAACCAAGGAGGTGAAAGACCTCTACAAGGAAAACTACAAAACACTGCTGAAAGAAATCACAGACCACACAAACAAAAGGAAACACATCCCATGCTCATGGATAGGTATAATCAACATTGTGAAAATGACCATACTGCCAAAAGCAGTCTACAAATTCAAAGCAATTCCCATCAAAATACCACCATCATTTTTCACAGAACTAGAAAAAATAATCCTAAAATTCATATGAAACCAAAAAAGAGCTCACATAGCCAAAGCAAGACTAAGCAAAAAGAACAAATCTAGAGGCATCACATGACCTGACTTCAAACTATACTGTAAGGCTACAGTCACCAAAACAGCATGGTACTGATATAAAAGTAGGCATATAGGCCTAGCGCAGTGGTTCACTCCTGTAATCCCACCACTCTGGGAGGCCAAAGCGGGAGGATCACTTGAGGTCAGAAGTTCAAGACCAGCCTGGCCAACATGGTGAAACCCTGTCTCTACTAAATATACAAAAATTAGCCAGGAGTGGTGGTGCACACCTGTAGTCCCAGCTACTCAGGAGGCTGAGGCAGAAGAATTGTTTGAACCCCAGAGGCGAAGGCTGCAGTGAATTGAGATCACACCACTGCACTCCAGCTTGTGTGACAGAGTAAGACTTCATCAAAAACAAACAAACAAAAAAAAACAGAAACAAACAAACAAAAAGGCACGTAGACCAATGGAACACAATAGAGAACCCAGAAATAAAGCCCAACACTTACAGTCAATTGATCTTTGACAAAGCAAACAAAAACATGTATGAAGTGGGGAAAGCACACTCTATTCAACAAATGATGCTGGGATAATTGGGAGGTCACATGTAGAAGAATGAAACTGGATCCTCATCTTTCATTTTATGCAAAAATCAACTCAACATGGATCAAGGACTTAAATCTAAGACCTGAAACCATAAAAATTCTAGAAGATAACATTTGAAAAACCCTTCCAGACACTGGCTTAGGCAAAGACTTCATGGCAAAGAACCCAAAAGCAAATGCCACAAAAACAAAGACAAATAGATGGGACTTAATTAAACTAAAAAGCTTCTGCAAAGCAAAAGAAATAATCAGCAGAGTAAACAGACAACCCACAGAGTGGGACAAAATCTTCCCTAACTATGCATCCAACAAAGGACTAATATCTAGAATCTACAAGGAACTCAGAGCAGTAAGAAAAAAAAAAACAAATAATCCTATTGAAAAGTCTGCTAAGGACATGAATAAACAATTCTTTAAAGAAGATATACAAATGGCCAATAAACATGAAAAAAATGCTCAACATCACTAATGATCAGGGAAATGCAAATCAAAACCACAATGCAGTACCACCTTACTCCTGCAAGAGTGGCCATAATCAAGAAATCATAAAATAACAGATATTGGCATGGAATGTGGTGAACAGGGAACACTTTTACATTGCCAGTGGGAATGTAAACTAGTACAAGCACTATGGAAAACTGTGTGGAGATTACTTAAAGAACTACAAGTAGATCTACCATTTGATACAGCAATCCCACTACTAGGTATCTACCCAGAGGAAAAGAAGTCATATGAAAAAGATACTTGCACATGCATATTTATAGCAGTACAATTCACAATTGCAAAAATGAGGAACCAGTGCAAAGTCCCATCAATCAACAAGTGGATAAAGAAAATGTGGTATACATATACCATGGAATACTACTCAGCCATAAAAAAGAACAAAATAATGGCATTTGCAGCAACCTGGATGGAATTAGAGACCATTATTCTATGTGAAGTAACTCAGGAATGGAGAAATCAAACATTTTATGTTCTCATTCATAAATGGGAGCTAAGCTATGAGGGCTCAAAGGCATAAGAATGATACAATGGACTTTGGGGACTCGGGGGAAAAGAGTGAGGAGGGGTGAGCGATAAAAGACTACACACTGGGTAATTTGGCATAGCATACACTGCTTGGGACGGGTGCACCAAAATCCCAGAAATCACCACTAAACAACTTATTCATGTAACCAAACACCATCTGTTCCCCAAAAGCCTATTGAAATAAAAACTTTTTTAATTAAAAAAAAATAGTTTAGAGAGAAAGGACCTCTTAACAATATTGTACATGCCTATCCAAAAAAAAGGATATCTCTCTATTTAGTATCCTCTTTATGTTACAGGAATTTTCTTCACATAAGTTCTGCATAATTCTTGTTAATCATACCATTTGATATTCAAAAAAAGTTTTTTAAGTTATCCATTGTAAATATGTCTAGCTACACTATACAGGTATATTTCCCCAAATGAAAAAAAAGAAAAAATATTTAATTAGCATGTATCTGTTGCTATACTATGTACTTTCCCAAATTTTAATTTACTTAGTTATTAGAACAAATATTTGAGGTAGATATTGTCTCCAGTTTACCAATGAAGAAACTAAACTTCAGATAAGTAAATAACTTGCTCAAGGACACGACTAAGACATACAACTAATATAGAAACTTAGGTCTGTCTTATTATAAAGATCATGCATCAATTCCCTCACTATACCTTCCAAAATATTTATGGGTCTCATTTGGGTTAATAATTTCATTATTTACAGAACAAACGTATCCTTTAATTTTGAAACAATTCCAGGAGTAACTGATATTCCCCCTTTAAAGGCCCAGGATGTTGAGACTAAAAAATTAACCTGTCAGGACTAAATCTCACAGTTACTGAAGAACAGAATCAAGTATCAAATATGAGGCTCTTCTACCACCAAGACCAGAAGATACAGATCCAGTCTTGATGGATGTCCCTCTGTCAATCGTGCTTAGATATAGTGGAAACAGGAGTAAGCACACAACGGTGTGCTTACATTGACAAAGAAACCAAGGAATTAGGGCATTTAAAAGAGAGGTTGGTAGCTGTTGTGCACAGCAACCTAGGAGGCAACACTAAAACCTACCATAGATAGTAATGATGGCATGATGATACAGTATAAAGTATATGAGCCTTGACATCAAAGAATCTTGAGATCAATTTGTCTTTGCTGTATTTTTCTTTTTGTGAAGTATGTTGAAGCAAATGCCACATATCATTTTACCTCCATATACTTCAACATACATATCTCTCAAAATATGTTATCCAGCTATCTATAATGCTACTACTTAAAATTCATAATAAATCTTGATGACATTTAATATAGCCAGGCAATAATCAGATTTTCCTGGTTGTCTCCTGTTTTTTCAGTTTGCTTATTTGAAGCAGGATCAAAACAGTCTCGAGATTTCATTTGGTTGTTGCGCTTAAGTCTCTCTTAGCCTAGAGTGATACTCCCTCATTTTCCATACCACTGACTAGTTAAAGAAGCCACATCAGCTGTCCCGTAGAAGGCCCATATTTTGTGGTGTTGCTTCTTTCTGATGTCACTTAACTTTGGTTCATCTAGCTCAAGGATCAGGAAGCCTTTTCTGTGAAAGGACAAGCTAGTATATTTTAGGCTCTGTGGGCCATACGGTTTCTGTTGCAACTACTCAACTCTGTCACTGCAGCACAAAAGCAGCTACAGACAATATGTAAATTATTCAGAGTGGCTGTGTTTAAAAAACAAAACAAAACAACGTTATTTGAAAACAGTCATTAGGTAGAATTTGACTGAAAGGCCGTGTTTTGCCAAACCCTGCTACAGAAGCTTGATCTTAATTTGACACAGGCTCAACATTTTTGGCTGGAAAACTTCAGAGCTTATGCTGTATGTTTCATACGTATGACAGAAGAAGACATACACTGTCTCCTTACCCTACTTTTCATAAGACTCAGATTAAGCAATAGGTCCAGGTAGGGCAGACTGATTCCTCCATTGAGAAGTTCTCACATGACCATATGTCTAATGCTTTCATCCACTGATGATCACAGCCTGAATAAATCATTTCATTAGGGTTGGCAAAATGATATTCTAATCCTGTCATTACTTCCACATTCATTAACAAAAATTCTGCAAAGAAGTTTCCCTCTTTCTTCATAATTGCTTGTTATCAGAGTATGGAGTTAGTGCCTATTTGTTTTTACTGTATCCAGTAATTCACTGTTGTTGTAGTGGTGGTGTGTATTTGTGTTCCTTATTACACATCTATTGTTATAAACCAAGGAGTTTTTATAAATTCAGTACATTTCAACCAACTGCCTTCGTTATATTCTTTCATCATGTTCAAGTTCTCTCATCTTTTGGTCACTGGGAGTCCCCTTTTTATTGGCCATTGTGTCCTTTTGGCTGGAACTACTAGTCTTTGGTAGCTTCCTTGCTTTCTGATACAAGAGAACATCCCTGGTTTCGCTTGTACTTTCTGCCCTAGAATGGAAATCAGTCATTCATCCAATGACCCTTGGATCCTTTCAGTGAGGAATGGTATTTAGAGACCATAATTTAGAGGTTCTAGTTGTGCTCACTGCTATTGTGCAATTATCACAACATTTTACTGCAGAGGTCTTAAGAGGGTATATAATCTCAAATTCTACGAGCAGAAGCGTAAAGTAGTATAATCTTTCTGGAAAACAAATCCTGGCTCTAACTGTGTGACTTTAAGAAAATTATTTTAATTCCACTGTGGCTCAGTTTCCTGTAAAACAGAGTTAAAATAGGGCCCATCTTATATTTTTGATGTAAAGATTAAATGAGTTCATACATATGTAAAGCATTTAGAGCAATGACTACACATGGTAAGCATTCAATACAAATTAGGTATTATTTTTAATGAGAGCCTGGAAAACACTCCAACCTTTGACCTAGTAATTCTACTTTTATAAACCATAATAAACATTCAAACAAAGATAAAAGCATGTTAATTACAGCATTATGTGACCAAAACTGCAAACAATTTAATGTTCAAAATTAGGAAATAGTTTATGAAAAAAAGTGATAAGGAAAAGAAGGCCATGATATGTCAAATAATACCAACAAACCCATCAGCAAAGATCAACATTTCTACTTATCAAGTATGAATGCTCATTTCATTAAACACTAATCACATTTTATTTTTATGTCTTTATTGAATATTTGATAAAACAGTTTCATTTTTATATATTTACTAAATTAACACGTGGTATTTGTATTTCTCTGACTGCTTTTGAAGTTAATCTTTGTTCTAATTTTATTAGCCATCCAATTACTGTTTCTATAAATTGTCTTTTGTCCATCTACTGGAGATGGGAGAAAATTAACATTTAATGTAGAAAGTATTTGCATAAGTTATTTAATAACCTTATTTCAAACCTTGAGGGTAGGTAGTGTAAAATCCAATAATCTAGCTTCTTGCCATTTAGAAATCTCAATTAATAGCAAACCAAAAGTAATTCAGAAAGAATTAATGATCTGGCATGTCTGGCTCATCTATCAGCACCACAAGCAGATGAGTTCTAGTAATAAATTTTAAAAGGTAAATGTATAAGGAATTAATCAGCTTGCTTTTGAGCTGCATTTTGTTTACGGAGATCTCCAAGTACAACTATAAAAGAACAATATAGTGTAATGGTTAAGAGCACAGATTTTAGGTTATGCTATCTTGGTTCAAATCCTAGATCTTCCATTTACTAATTACGTGACCTTGGCTAAGATACTTAACCTTTTTGTTCCTCAGCTTCCTTATTTGTAAAATGGAAATAGTATCGAAGCTGATGTATGTATATGTATTTATTTACACAGATTCATTTGCTTAACAAATGATAACCAAATTAATGTACTTTCCCAAATTTTAATTTACTTAGTTATTAGAACAAATATTTGAGGTACATATTGTCTCCAGTTTACAAATGAAGAAACTAAACTTCAGATATGGTAAATAAGTTGCTCAAGGACACAACTAAGACATACAACTAATATCCAAACTTAGGTCTGTCTTACTATATTATATATTTGTTAATAATGATATGTCATTATATATCATTATTAACAAATGATAAGCAAATGAATCTGTGTAAATAAATACATATACATACATACATTCGCAGAGTCTGAATATTTGTATCCTTCCCCAAATTCATATGGTTGAAATCCTAACTCCTAAGGTTATAGTATTAGGAGGTGGAGTCTTTGTACCTCATGAGGTGATTACGTCATGAGGGCTCTGTCCTCAAGAATGGGATTAGTGTCCTTATAAAAGGGACCCCAGAGAACTAGCTAGCCTCTTTTGCCATGTGAGGACACAGCAAAAAGACATTGTCTATGAATCAGAAAGTGAGCCCTTACCAGACATCAAATCTGCCAGTGCCTCGATGCTGGACTTCCCAGCCGCCAGAACTGTGAGAAATTTCTATTCTTTATAAGCCACTCAGTCTATGGTATTTTGTTACAGTGCTCCAAATGGACTAAGACACATATATACAAACACATATACATAAACAAAAACACAATGATTAGAATGCTGCCTGGCTCATAGTAACTACTATGTAACTGTTTGCTATTGTTACAAGAATGAGTGTATACATCAGTCCCTGCTTGCCTCCTGCTACTTCATATAGCATAGCTTGCTATTCAGATACTATACTATATTGTAACTACTTCAAAATATTTCTACTTTACAATTTTGGTGATCAAGTCATGATTTTTTTTTAAAAGTGCTGTAGATGATACTCCAGATATGTAAAAGGTAACACAACAGGAAAAGAATATATATCACATACATCACAGAAGTTTCTAACCTCCTACAGCAATGCTTCTCAAACCTGAATATCAAATAAATCACAAGGGATCTGTTAAAATGAAGATTCCAATTTGGTATCTGGCACAGGCCCTGAGATTCAGCATTTCTAACCAGCTACCAGACAGGACCAATGTAGCTGTTTCTATAAGAGCACTTTGAAAAGCAAGGATCTAGAGGTCATAAATGAGCTTTTAGACATTCTAGAATCGCGCATTATGTACAAAATTTTCTGTGAATGTGCGCAGGGGCATTACTTTCTGAGGAAAGGACCTACAATTCTTATATTCTCAGGTGTAGGGATGAGAGTAGGGGACAGGGCAGGGAGGGAGTAATCAGGGGAGATAAGAAAGACACAAATCAGCACCGCATAGCTAACTAAAAAAACAAAACTATCATTATGAAAAAAAAAAGAAAATTAGGCTGGGTGCAGTGGCTCACACCTGTAATTCCAGCACTTTGGGAGGCCGAGGCGGGCAGATCACTTGAGGTCAGGAGTTTGAGGCCAGCCTTGCCAACACGGTGAAACCCTATCTCTACCAAAAAAATCCAAAAATTAGCTGGGCATGGTGGCACACGCCTGTAGTCCCAGCTACTAGGGAGGCTGAGGCAGAAGAATCACTTGAACCTGGGAAGTCGAGGTTGCAGTGAGCCTAGATCGCACCACTGCACTCCAGCCTGGGTAACAGAGTGAGACTCTGTCAAAGAAAAAAAAAAAATCATAAATAGACGTATTACAGACAAATTATAATTTAGAAGACTAAACTGAAGAATCTTTAAATTATAGAATAAAAAGATAAGGATATTAAAACCTAAGAGACAAAAAAAAGCTAGGTACTTCTATTAAGTGTAATATAATATTCACTTAATAGTTCTAAATGGATGAAACCTTCAGGATAAAATGGATTTAAAACACATATACAAGTGTAGACATATATATGTGCACACATATCCATAATAAATACATATGTGTGCATATATCCACACAACTAGACATATACACACAATAAGTATTTTAGAATAATATCGATATGCTCAGATAAAATGGTCCGCCAAATAGCAAACGGTAATAATGACTGTGAAAACTGTAAACTCACAGACACATACTTGTGAAAACTGTAAACTCCAAATAGAAATAGGAAATTACAAGCTTCTAAGAGGACAACTCTTTGGTATGAGAACCAAAATGTTTAACGTAAAAGTTACAAAAGGATAAAATAACATACACAGAATTCTGAAAGAAAATATTGAAGCCTGGAATTCCATATCCAGCCAAACCATTACTCAAACGTGAGGGCAAAATAAAAAAAACAGTTTTAGCTGTGTACCCATAAAAATATATACAACCCAGGCCGGGCGCGGTGGCTCACGCCTGTAATCCCAGCACTTTGGGAGGCCAAGGCGGGTGGATCAACGAGGTCAGGAGATCAAGACCACCCTGGCTAACACGGTGAAACTCCGTCTTTACTAAAAATACAAAAAAATTAGCCAGGTGTGGTGGTGGGCGCCTGTAGTCCCAGCTACTCGGGAGGCTGAGGCAGGAGAGTGGCGTGAACTCGGGAGGCAGAGCTTGCAGTGAACCGAGATCGCACCACTGCACTCCAGCCTCAGCGACAGAGCAAGACTCCATCTCAAAAAAAAAAAAAATACACACACACACACCCCATACATGTTACTTGGTTGTGGGGGAAGAATGGAAAGACGGAGGGGGAGAAAGGCTGGGGCAGGGAGAGAGAGGGAGAGGGGGCGACGGGGAGAGGGGGAGATGCGGGGAGAGGGAGAGGACGCAGCAAAATAAAATTCAGCCTGATTAAAGACTTCAAAAAAAATGGCAGGTCATTGGCTTGTTGGCACTGTCATAGTGGGTGTGCTGAAGACCACTGGCCTTGTGGGATTGGCTATATGCAAGAGTCCATAAGAGAGGCTGAGAATATTGTACACAAAGATTCTTGATGTTCTTGAGCAAATCCCTGAAAATGCAGCACATAGAAAGTATACAGAACAGATTACAAATGAGAAGCTGGCTATAGTTAAAGTAGAACCAGATGTTAAAAAATTAGGAGACCAACATTAAGGTGATCAAGTAGAAGAGGTGATTCCTCAGGTTGAAGATTAACTAAGTCTGGTGAGGAAAATGACGCAGTGAAAACCATGGGAGCCTTAGGGGAAGAGCCTCCTGCCAATCAGTGGAAATGGCCAATACAATTACTAAATGCCTTTGGTGGGTTGATAGGAAATTGATTTAATATTCTGTTATATTAAGAGTGTGTCCATACTATTGACATTTTATAATCAAGAGAAGTGATATACAAAATATTTAGGAGACTTTTAAAAATTAGTGATTATGGTAATATGGTCTTGTGAATCAACTTGTGATTTGTAAAGTACTCACACAAATTATTTCAAAGATGTTATTTCTTTGAACAGAGAGGTTGTGGGAAGATCTGACAATTAGAAAAATTCCTACAGCTCTTTAATGCAGAGGCCATAATCAAAAAGTAGAGTTTCCTTAGTAGTATCTTCAATACGTTATTTAATTTTTTATTGTCCCAAAGAAGAAAAGGCCCTTAATTATTATTGTTTAAACAAAGTTATAGATCACTGTTTGATGTAAATAATAAGAGTGAATATTTTCAAATATAAAATAGCACAAGCGGCTGGTGATAAAATGTGAAATTATGGGTAACCTCCTTGGCTGTGATCTTATGTATGTAAAGCAAAATGTAAATATATAATTATATACTGATTACAAAATCCGTAATAAATGTCATTTTATTTAAAAAAAAAACAAAAATGACAGGACAAAAAAAGTGGTAAGAGAGCAGGAAAATTAAAGGTGTTTACAAATAAAAACAAGGATATCCACTCTTGCCACTTCCATTCAACACCATACCAGAGGTTTTGGCCAGGAGAATTAGGTAAGGAAAAAAAGCCATTTAGATTGGAAGGTGTATTAGTCTGTTTTCATGCTGCTGATAAAGACACACCTGAGACTGGGAAGAAAAAGAGGTTTAATTGGATTTAGTTCCACATGGCTGTGGAGACCTCAGAATCATGGCGGGAGGCAAAAGGCACTTCTTACATGGCAGCAGCAAGAAAAAATGAGGACGAACCAAAAGTGGAAACCCCTCATAAACACATCAGATCTCAGGAGACTTACTCACTATCACGAGAATAGCACGGGAAAGACTGGCCCCCCATGATTTAATGACCTCCCCCGGGTACCTCCCATAACACGAGGGAATTCTGGGAGATACAATTCAAGTGGAGATTTGGTGGGGATGCAGCCAAACCAAATCAGAAAGGAAGAAGTAAAACCATCCCTATTTGCATATGATAAAATTTTGTATATGAAAAATCATAAGGTATTCACAGAAACAAAAACTTATTAGAGCTAGTAAGTTCAACAAGTCATAGGATACAAGAAAAAGTATATTCATATGCACCAACAATGATAATCTGAAAACTAAGAAAACAATTCCACTTACAATAGCATGAAAAGGAATAAAATAGTTTAACAACAAAACATTATTGAAAGAGATTAAAATCTACATGAATCAAAAGACATATCCCATGTTTATCAGTCAGAAGGATTAAGATTGGTAAGACAATTCTTGACAAATATGCTCTACAGATTCCATGCAATCCCTATCAAAATCCTAGCTACCTTCCCCTGTGCCTAGAAATGGATAAACTAATCCTAAAATTCATATGAAAATTCAAGAAATCCAGAATAGCAAAAACAATCTTGAAAAATGAAAACAAATTGGAATACTCACACTTTCTGATTTCAAAACTTACTACAAAGCGACACTAATGAAGACAGTGTGGTACTAGCATAGGGATAGACAATATAGGTCATAAAATACAGATCTGAGAGGTAAACTCTCATTAATTTCAGCCAGTTGATTTTCAACAAGGGTGCCAGGAGGATTAAATGGGAGAAAGACTGGTTTTTTCAACAAATAATGCTGGAACAAAGGAAACCATGTGCAAAAGAATGAATTTGACCCCTACCTCACATCATATGCAAAAAACAGGTCAAAATGGATCAGAAACCTATATATAACAGCAAAATTATAAAACTCTTAGGGGAATTAAAAAACCACACCAGAGTAAACCCCTATGACCTTGGGTTAGCAAATGGATTCTTAGATATAATATCAAAGACACAAGTAACAAAAACTAGGTAAACTGGACTGTCTCAAAATTGAAAACACTTGTGCCTCAAAGAACACCATTAAGAAAGTAAAAGAACAAACTACAAAACAGGATACAATATTTGAAAATCATATATCAGATAACGGGGTTAATAACCACAATTTTTAAAGAACTCTTACAACTCAACAACAAAGACAGATACTCTAACCAATTAAGAAATGGGCAAAAGATTTGAATAGACATTTCTTCAGAGTATAAACACAAAAGGCCAATAAACATATGAGAAGAACCTCAACATCAGTACCCATTAGGGAGATGAAAATCAAAACCACCATGACATACAACTTCACACCAATTAAAACAGCTGTAATGAAAAAGACAGACAATAAAGTGTTGGCAAGGATGTGGAGAGACTGGAACCCTCACATACTGCTAGTGGGAATGTAAAATAGTGCTGCCCTTTGGAAAAGAGTTTGGAGTTCCTCAAAAAGGTAAACACAGAATTACTATATGAGTCAGTAATTCCACTCCTCTGTATATACCCAAGAGAACTGAAACTATGTGTCCACACAAAAACTTTCACACAAATATTCATAGCATTATTCATAATAGTCCCAAAGTGCAAATTACTCAAATGTCTGTCAACTAATGAACAGATACACAAAGTAGAATATCCATACAATGGAATTTTTGGGAATAAAGTACTGAGCCATGTTACAGTCATGCTATGACATGAATAAGCCATGAAAACATTATGCTAGATGAAAGAAGCCAGACACAAAAGACCAAATATTGTATGATTTCATTTATATGAATGCCCAGAATAGGCAAATCCATAGTGACAGAAAGTTGATTTGTAGTTTCCAGGGGCTAGAGAGTAGGAAGAATGGGTAGTGATTGTTAATAGGTACAGAGTTTCCTTTTGGGCCAATGCAAATATTTTGGAATTAGATAGTGGTGACAGTTGTGTAACTTTGTGAATATGCTAAACACTGAATTGTACACTTTTAAAAGCTGAAGTTCATCATTTAAAATTGTTATTTTTTAAAAAGCATAATACACTACAACCAAGTGGTTTATCCTCAGAATGAAAGGCTAGTTATATATTTGAAAAAAGTCAATCAATGTAATCCATTATACTAACAGTCAAAAAAGAAAAATCACATAATGACATGAGTAGATACAGAAAAGGGATTTTTCTAAATACAACATAATAATGTTCATAATAAAGATTCATAATAAAACTCTTAGCAAACTAGGAATACAAAAGAACATCCTCAACTTGGTAAAAAGGCATCTACAAAAACCTTACAGCTAACATACTTAATGGTGGAATCTGAAATACTTTCCGCCCATGATGGAAAACAGGCAAGCACTCTCACCACTCCTACTCAGTGTACTAAAAGTCTTAGCCAATGCAATAAGGCAAGAAAATAAATAAATTAAAAAAAGGTGTATAGTTGGGAAACACAAAAATAATACTGTCCATATTCACAGAAGACATAATTATGCAGAAAATTTGAGAGAAATCTACACAAATACTCCTAGAACTAATAAGTGAGTTTAGACACAGGGTCAACACAAAAATCAATCACATTTCATATACATGCAAAAAACAATTAAAAATCAACATTTAAAAGCAATATTATTTCCTATAACTCCCCCCAAATGAAATATGTATAATCTAACAAAACATACAAAGGATCTGTGTGTTGAGAACTATGAAACACTAATGAAAGAAATCAAAGACCTAAATTAACAGAGCAACTCTGCATTCATGGATTAGAAAACTCAACATAGTAAAGGTATCAATTCTTCCTAAAGTAATCTATAAATTTAACATAGTATCAATCAAAATCCCTGCAGGACATTTTGTAGATAAAAGCAAGCTGATTCTAAAATGTATATGGAAGAGAAAAGGAATTAGAATAGTTAATTTTTACAAAGAATAAAACTGAAAGGATTGCATACGCTACCCAATTTTAAGACTTAGGATAAAGCTACAGTAATTAAGAAAGTGTGTTAATGACAAAATGATAGACACAGAACAATGGAACAGAATATAATCCAGAAATAGACTCATGCAAATATAGCCACTTGATCTTTGATAAACGTGCAAAGGCAGCTCAATGGGAAAGAATAATCTTTTCAACAAGTAGTGTTGGAACAATTGGTGGTTATCCATATGCAAAAACTGAACCTCTTTTTTAAACCTCATACCTTTTAAAAAGATAAATTATAATGAATTTTAGACCTAAATGTGTAACATAAAACTCTAAAACTTTCAGAAAAAAAGCAGAAGGAAACCTTTCTAATCTGGGATTAGGTAAAGAGCTTTTAGAAATGACACAAAAAACAACTCATTAAAAAACTGACAAGTTGAACTTCATCAAATTTTAAAACTTTTCCTTTGCCAATGGCACTGTCTAGAGAAAAAAAAGACAAGCTACAGATTCAGAGGGGGGAAAAATATATAAGAACTCCCAAAACTCAACAGCAAAAAACCACCAACCCAATTAAAAATGAGTAATGAACTCAAGCATTTCACACAAGATGGCAAAGAAGTATATGAGAAGATGTTCAATATCATTAGCCATTAAAAAATACAAATGCAAACCAGACGAGCTACCACCATATCCCTTCTAGAATGACAAAAATAAAAATATTAACAATACCAAGTACTGACAAAGATGCAGAGCAACTGAAACACTCCCACACTGCTAGTCAGAATGCAAACTGATATAGTCACTCTGGAAAACGGTTTGGTAGTTTCTGAAAAAGTTAAGCATGTATGTGTAACTTAGGACCCAGCAATTCTTCTCCTAAGTATTTATCCTAAAGCAGGAGTCCCTAACCCCCAGGCTGCAGACCAGTAATGGGCCGTGGCCTATTAGGAAGTGGGCAGCACAGCAGCAAGTGAGTGGTGGGTGAGCAAGCACTACCACCTGATAAGGTCTGCCTATGTCCCCACCCAAAATCTCATCTTGAATTATAATCCCCATAATCTTTATAATCCCCATGTGTTAAGGGAGAGATCAGGTGGAGGTAACTGAATCATGGGGGTGGTTTCCTCCATGATGTTCTCGTAATTGTGAGTGAGTTCTCATGAGATCTGATGATTTATAATTGTTTGGTAGTTCCTCCTGTGTTCATTCTCCTTCCTGTCACCTTGTGAAGAAGGTGCCTTACTTCCCTTTCACCTTCCACCATAAGTTTCCTGAGGCCTCCCCAGCCATGCTGAACTATGAGTCAACCAAATCTCTTTCCTTTATAAATGACCTGGTCTCAGGCAGTTCTTTACAGCAGTGTGAAAACAGACTAATGCACCACCTGAGGTCCACCTCCTGGTGGCAGACTGCAAACCCTATTGTGAACTGCACATGCAAGGGATCTAGGTTGGGAGCTCCTTATGAGAATCTAATGCCTGATGATCTGAGGTGGAACAGTTTCATTCCAACACCATCCTCCCTTCCCACCAGGTCTGCAGAAAAATTGTCTTCCACAAAACTGGTCCCTGGTGTCAGAAAGGCTGGGGACCACTGACCTAGAGAAATAAAAACTTATGTCCACACAGAAACTTGTACTGGATATTTGTAGAAGTTTTATTTATAATAGCTAAAAACTGAAAACAATGGAAATGTCCTTCAATAGGTGAACTGATAAACTGTGGTATATCCATAAAATGGCAAGGAATAAAACTAGTGATTGATGCAACAATGTGCATGAATCTCCAAGATATTATGCTGAGTAAAAGCAGTCAGTCTCAAATGGTTATGTGTTGGACAATTCCATTTATATGACATTCTTAAAAAGACAAAACTATGGTTAGGAACATCTCAGTGGCTATCACAGATTATGGGTGAGGACATGGTTGTGACTATAAAGGAAGAGCAGGCAAGAGTTTTCTGGGGGTGATGAACTGTTCTACATCCTGATTTTAGTGGCAGCTACATGAATGTGTACATGTGTTAACAGTCACATAACTGCACCAGAAAAAAAGAGAGTCAGTTTTACTGTATAATGTATAAAACAAAATTTAAAAATAAACAACCAGCTAAAAAATCAACAAAATAAAGAAATAGTGAAAGAAAATTAATAAAACAGAAAACAAGGAAAGCAGTACAGCATGAAACCAAGAGCTGGTTCTTTGAGAAGAACGTCTAAAATAAAGAAACCTTTGATAAGTCTGTTCAAGAAAAGAATGACAGACAAGAGACAGATGGGTATTAGGAATGACTATGGTGATATAATCACGGATGTAGAAAATATTTTAAAAATAATATTATTTATAAATTTAAAGCAAATATGGAAATACAGGTAAAATAATGTTCTAGAACATATAACTTAATATAAATTAGCAAAACTGACTCAAGGATGAAGGAATTGAAAATTAGAGTTATTTCCCCAAAGGCATCATGGACATATGCTTTTAGAGTAGAGTTCAAATAAACCTTTAAAAAACATAATTTCTATTTATCGTAGCTAGCCCCCTACTTAGATCAGGGAATAAAAGAATTAATAAAATAAAGACCAGAGATAAATCATGTATTCTAATTCTCTCTAACCCACCCACACAAAGCAATCAAATCAAACACTCAGATTCTTATTCTTACGTAGTAGAAAAAATAATGTTAAGTTGAATCGTATACAAATGTAATTTATGCAATTTCTTAATACTCGATTGTATTTTTCATATGGCTCCTAGCCCCTGTGCAGTGATCCACTCCAGCAGCACCGATAGTAGTAGGTTCTCCTTAATCTCCCATCCTTTGTACCTGGGCAAATACTTTTACATACAAGTAATCATGTTAGTACACTACTAGGTCATAGTTTAGATAGCACTGGAGCCATATTTTGGTTAACTTTATGTCTGCTACTTTTTGAGCAAATTAGTTTGGTCTTAAAGTGTCATCCACACAAACCGGATGTACCCTACTGACAGAATACAGGAGTCCTACCCCCTGACTTGAGCTCAGTCCTCATTTAGCATCTCCATTTTACCTCCCACACAGCTCCTGCCTTCAGATGTGAGTTCCACTTCTAATGGAACTGATCTATCTCCACTGAGGTCTCTTACTGGCTTACTTAATCCTATAGCTGATGCGTAAGAAGGGATCTACTTCTTACAGGCTCATCTGTATTATCTTGGTTAGTGAAATAAAGTCTAAACATACTAGGAATGAAAACATTTCTCCCCTCGGCATTTATTAGTACAAAATTTTTAATTTTTGCTTTCCTGTTACAGTACCTATATAGTTCATAAACAATCACTTACTTCTCTTTTTCTAATCTTAAAAGGCAAAATAATAATAACTGGAACACTAGAATCTTTTATACTACTTCTAAACACTGAACTCAACAAAAAAAAGATCGTAAGTGCATCTAAAAGAATGGATTAACAGATATGAAAATCAAGCAGAAGAAGAGGGAGGTTAGGTTACAGGAAGGAAAAAAAGAGGTAGAGGGCAGAAGAAAGCTAAGACTGACTATGGACTGATGTCATAAATATAAATGCAAAGTATAAAAATTATCAGTAAATGTATTCTAGCAGATTAAAATATATCATTAGCAAGGTGGTATGCCCTATGAATGAATGCAAAAATGATTCAACATTAGGAATCACATAAATGTAATTTACTCCATTTATAGATAGATGAATTCATTTATTCAACAAGTATTGTCTGGCATTATACTAAATATGTTTTACATATAAATCTGACCCTATGGTAATTGCAAAAACTAAGACAATGCCACTATTCTCAAAAAATTTTTGTTTCTGTTGGAAAATATAGTTGTCATCTTACATATTTTTATTTAACATGTTATTTACGGTAATATGTAATAGGTTTCTTATTGTCATTTTAAACGAATTAATGTTTTAATAATTACTCAATTTTAATTCCTAATATTCTTAAAAACATATATAGCTCCTATACAAAAACCATTCTTTGGATTCCTCAATAACTGTGGAGTCCTGCGACCCGAAAGTTTGGAAACTGCTGCTAAACAGAATTATCTTATGCTAATATACCATAATTTATTCATCTATTCTATTGCTGATGGCCATAGGGTTGTTTCTAGTCTGGGATTATAACCAATAAGGATGCTATGAATATTCTTGTACATGTCTTTTGTCACACATTATATACCTGTTGAGTTCATATCTAGAGGCAGAATTCCTGGGCCACAGGACATGTTTACATACAGCTTTAATAGACACTGTTTTCCAAGTGGCTTTCAGCATTTAAAATGTGGTTAGTTGAATTGAGATGGGCTGTAAGTATAAAATTTACAACGGATTTTGAAGACTGAGCATGAAAAACATAATGTAGAGCTTCTCATTAATAATTACTTTCTACTGATCACGTGTTGAAATGATAGTATTTTAGATATATTAGTTTTAAAATATTAACATTAATTTCACCTGTTTCTTTTTTTTAAATGTGGTTAATAGAAAATTCAAAACTACATATGTGATTTACACTTGAGGCTCACATTATATCTGAGATGCTTCTAAGAAGGGCACTTAGTTTTGAGGAACCAGGAAGACTCCCCAAAGGAGGCAGCAATGGGAAGAAAGCTGAAGGACAGCAGGAGTTAACCTAGAGAAGAAAGTGGTGGAGAAAGAAATAAGGCAGGCAGAGGGAACAGCGTGTATAAAGACTGGAAGTCACAAGTATGGCAGGAACATGGTGTGGGAGAGGGGGAAGGGCAGGGGTGAAGGGGAATGACCAAGATGAGGCAGAAAGATAAAAACTAGCCAGATCCCCTGCCCCTGAGTGATCATTCCTGCTTGCAGGGCACAGAGAAGGAATCCAGATCCACCAGTGCCCTGCCCCCAAGCCAACATCAGCTTCAGTGTGACTAGAGCCCCAAGCCAACATCACCTCCAGTTACCAGCAGCAGGTCCCTGACACCCTGACCAGCTGCATTGCCTCCACCACTGTGGTGAACACCCACAGGAAGGCAGGCACCCTGGCACTGCTAGTGCTCTGCCACAGGTGCTGCAAGTTGGTCCCCCAATCCAGCGCAGTGGATTTCGAAGCCTTGAAGAACCAGAGAACAAAGTCGGGGCCCAATACAAGTCCCCCAGAGTTAAGAGCAAGCCGTCCAGGAGTCGGGAGCTGAGCACTGGCCCCCTAAAATCTTCCAGAAATGAAGTCAGTCAGCTGGATCCACCTTATACCACAAACACTCGAAGTTATCAAATAGGATAAAAGGGAAAAAAAAATCCAAAGATCAGAAACCTCAAAGATTGAGGGTAGCAGGCCCACAAGATGAGTAAGAACCAGAGCAAGAACTCTGAAAACTCAAAAAGCCAGAGTGCCTTTTTCCCTCCAAATGACCACATCACCTCTCCAGCAAGGGTTCTGAACTGGGCTAAGATGACTGAATGACAGAAATAGAAATTTGAATATGAATAGTAACAAAGATCACTGGGCTACAGGAGTACGTTGAAACCCAATCCAAAGAAGCTAAAAATCATGATAAAACAACGCTGGAACTGACAGACAACAGCCACTACAGAAAAGAATGTAACAGACCTGATAGAGCTGAAAAACACACTTTAAGAATTTCATAATGCAATCATAAGTATTAATAGCAGAACAGACCAAGCAGAGGAAAGAATCTCAGAGCTTGAAGACTGGCGTTCTGAAACAAGATAGTCAGACAAGAACAGAAAAAAGAATGAATAGGAACAAACAAAACCTCTGAGAAATAAGGGATTATGTAAAGAGATCAAATCCACAACTCATTGGTGTCTCTGAAAGAGATGGGGAAAATGGAACCAACTTGGTAAACATATTTCAGGATATCATCCATGAGAACTTCCCCAACCTAGCTAGAGAAGCCAACGTTCAAATTGAGAAAATGCAGAGAACTCAAGTAAGACATTTCAAAAGATCATCCCCAAGGTGTGTAATCATCAGATTCTCCAAGGTCAAAATGAAAGAAAAAATATTAAAGGTAGCTAGAGAGAAAAAGCAGGTCACCTACAAAGGGAAGTCCATCAGACTAACAGCACACCTCTCAGCAGCAACTCTACAAGCCAGAAGAGACTGGGGGCCAATATTCAAAATTCTTAAAGAAATTCCAGCCCAGAATTTCATATCTTGCCAAAGCGTCATAAGCAAAGGAGAAATAAGATCCTTTTCAGACATGCGAATGCTGAAGGAATTCGTTACCACCAGACGTGCTGTGCAAGGGCTCCTGAATGAAGCACTAAACATGGGAAGGAAGGACCATTACCAGCCACTACAAAAGCACACTGAAGTATACAGACCAATGACACTATAAAGCAACTGCATAAACAAGTCTGCAAAATAACCAGGAAACATCATGATGACAGGATCAAATCCACACATATCAATACTAAGCTTGAATGTAAATGGAATAAATGCCCCAAGTAAAAGACACAGAATGGCAAGCTGGATAAAGAACCAAGATGCATAGGTATGGTATCTTCAAGAGACTCATCTCACATCCAATGACACACATAGGTTTAAAATAAAGAGAGAAAAATCTACCAAGCAAATGGAAAAAAGAAAAAAGCAATCCTAGTTTCAGATAAAATGGACTTTAAAACACAGATCGAAAAAGACAAAGAAGAACATTACATAATGGTAATGGGTTCAATTCAACAGGAAGATTTTAAATATATATGCACTCAACACAGGAGCACCCAGATTCATAAGGCAAGTTCTTAGAGACCTTCAAAGAGACTTAGACTCCCACATAATAATAGTGGGAGACTTTAACACCTCACTGACAGTATTAGATCATCAAAACAGAAAATTAACAAAGATATTCAGGACCTGAATTCAGCACTAGATCAAACAGACCTGACAGATATCTACAGAATTATCCGCCCTAAAACAGAATATACATGTTTCTCATTGCCAGATGGCACGTACTCTAAAATTGATTACATAATCAGAAGCAAAACACTCCTCAGCAAATACAAAAGAAATGAAATAGTAAAAAACAATCTCTTGAACCATAGTGCAATCAAATTAGGAATCAAGACTAAGAGACTCACTAAAAACCATACAATTACATGAAAATTAAATAATCTGCTCCTGAATGACTTTTGGGTAAATAATAAAATTCAGGCAGAAATCAAGAAGTTCTTGGAAACAGGCCGGGAGCAGTGGCTCACGCCTGTAATCCCACCACTTTGGGAGGCCAAGGCAGGCAGATCACGAGGTCAGGAGATTGAGACCATCCTAGCTAACAAGGTGAAACCCTGTCTCTACTGAAAATGCAAAAAAATTAGCTGGGCGTGGTGGTGGGCACCTGTAGTCTCAGCTACTCGGGAGGGGGAGGCAGGGGAATGGCATGAACCAGGGAGGCGGAGCTTGCAGTGAGCCAAGACTGCGCCACTGTGCTCCAGCCTGGGTAACAGAACGAGACTCCATCTCAAAAAAAAAAAAAAAAAGAAAAAGAAAGTTCTTGGAAACCAATGGAACAAAGATACAACATCCCAGAATCTCTGGGACACAGCTAAGGCAGTATTAAAAGGGAAATTTATAGCACTAAATGCCCACATCAAAAAGTTAGAAAGATTGCAAATTAACAACTTAACATCACAACTAAAAGAACTAGAGAACCAAGAGCAAACAAATCCCAAAGCTAGTAAAGACAAGAAATAACCAAAATCAGAGATGAACTGAAGGAGACTGAGATGCAAAAAACCATTCAAAACATCAACAAATCCAGGAGCTGGTTTTTTTTTTGAAAAAATTAATAAAACAGACCACTAGCTAGGCTAATAAAGAAGAGAGAAAATTCAAATGAGCACAATCAGAAACAACAAAGGGGATACTACCACAGACCCCACAGAAATACAATCATCAGAGAATGTTGCAAACACCTGTATGCACATAAACTAGAAAAATCTAGAAGAAATGGATAAATTACTGGACACATACACCTTCCTAAGACTAAACCAGGAAAAAAACTGAATCCCTGAACAAGCTAATAACAAACTCTGAAATTAAGTCAGTAATAAACAGCCTACCAACCAAAAAATGCCCAGATGGATTCACAGCTGAATTCTACCAGATGTACAAAGAAGAGCTGGTACTGTTCCTGCTGTAACTATTCAAAAAAATTGAAGAGGAAGGGCTCCCTCCTAACTCATTCTATGAGGTCAGCATCATCCTGATACCAAAACCTGATGGCGGTTTTGGTATTAAAAAAACAAACAAGCAAAAACAAAAAACTTACTGGCAACAAAAGAAAACATCAGGCCAATATTCTTCATGAACACTGATGCAAAAATCCTCAAAAAATACTTGCAAACCAAATCCAGTAGCACATCAAAAAGCTTATCCACCGTGATCAAGTAGGCTTTATCCCTGGGATGCAAGGTTGATTCAACATATGCAAATCAATAAATGTGATTCATCGCATAAAGAGAGCTAAAGACAAAAACCACATGATTATCTTGACAGATGCAGAAAGGGCTTTTGATGAAACTCCACACCCCTTCATATTAAAAACTCTCAGTAAACAAGGTATTAAGAAATATACCTCAAAATAATAAGAGCCGTCTATGACAAACAAACCCACAACCAACATCATAATGAATGGGCAAAAGCTGGAAGCATGACCCCTGAAAACCGACACAAGACAAGGATGCCCTCTCTCACCACTGCTATTCAACATAGTACTGGAAGTCTCGGTTAGGGTAATCAAGCAAAAGAAATAAATAAAGCGCATCTAAATAGGAAGAGAGGATGTCAAATTATCCCTGTTTGCAAATGACATGATCCTATATGTAGAAAACCCCATAGTCTCGGGCCCAAAGCTTCTTAAGCTGGTAACTACTTCAGCAAATTCACAGGATATAAAATCAATGTGCAAATATCACTAACATTCCTATACACCAACAACAGTCAAGCTGAAGCCAAATCAGGAATGTAATTCCATTCACAACTGCCATAAAAAGAATAAAATACCCAGGAACACAGCTAACCAGGGAGGTGAAAGATCTCTAGAAGGAGAACTATAAAACTACGCTTACAGAAATCAGAAATGACACAAACAAATGAAAAAACATTCTATGTTTATGGGTAAGAAGAATCAATACTGTTAAAATGGCCATACTGCCCAAACCAATTTACAGATTCAATGCTATTCCTATTAAATGACCATTGACATTCTTCACAGAACTAGAAGAAACTATTTTAAAATTCATATAGAACCAAAAAAGAGCCCAAATAGCAGAGGTAATCCTAAGCAAACAGAAGAAAGCTGAAGAAATCATGCTACCCAACTTCAAACTACACTACAGGTCTACAGTAACCAAAACTGCATGGTACTCGTACAAAAACAGACACATAGACCAATGGAACACAATAGAGAACCCAGAAATAAGGCAGCACATCTACAACTAACTGATCTTCAACAAACTTGACAAAAATGAGCCATAGGAAAAGGATTCCTTATTCAATAAATGGTGCTGGGGTAACCGGCTAGTCATATGCAGAGGACTGAAACTGGACCCCTCCTTACACCATATACAAAAATTAACTCAAGACGGATTGAAGACTTAAATATAAAACCCAAAACTATAAAAACCCTGGAAGACAAGCTAGGCAATACCATTCTAGACACAAAAATAGGCAAAGATCTCAGGATAAAGATGCCAAAAGCAATTGCAACAAATGCAAAAATTGACAAATGGAATCTAATTAAACTGACGAGCTTCTGTCCAGCAAAGGAAACGGTCAACAGAGTGAATAGGCTACCTACAGAATGGGAGAAAATTTTTGCAAACTACGCATCTGACAAAGATTCATAATTTGCAAAATATCCAGCATCTATTAAGAACTAATCTAGGCTGGGTGCGGTGGCTCACGCCTGTAATCCCAGCACTTTGGGAGGCCCAGGCAGGTGGATCACGAGGTCAGGAGATTGAGACCATCAGGACTAACACAGTGAAACCCTGTCTCTACTAAAAATAAAAAAAAAAAAAAAAAAAAAATTAGCCGGGCATGGTGGTGGGTGCTTGTAGTCCCAGCTACTCGGGAGGCTGAGGCAGGAGAATGGCATGAACCCGCGAGGCGGGGCTTGCAGAGAGCCAAGATTGTGCCACTGCACTCCAGCCTGGGCGACAGAGCAAGACTCCGTTTCAAAAAAAAAACAAAACAAACAAACAAAAAATTAATCTAAATCTATAAAGAACTTAAAACACATTTACAAGAAAAAAACCCATTGAAAACTGGGTAAAGGACATGAACACTTTTCAAAAAAAGACATACATACAGCCAACAATCATATGAAATATAGCTCAACATCACCAATCAGAGAAATGCAAATCAAAACCACAATGAGATACCATCTCACACCAGTCAGAATGGCTAATTATTAAAAGGTCAAAAAAATAACAAATGCTTGCGAGGTTGTGGTGAAAAAGGAATGCTTGTACACTGTTGGGAGAAGTGTAATTAGTTCAATCATTGTGGAAGACAACGTGGCGACTCCTCAAAGACCTAAAAACAGAAATATCATTGACCCAGCAATCCCATTACTGGGAATACACCCAAAGGAATATAAATTGTTCTATTATAAAGACACATGCATGTGTTATGTTCCTTGTAGCACTGATTCACAATAACAAAGACATGGAATTAACCTAAATGCCCATCAATGACAGACTGGATAAAGAAAACGTGGTACACATATACCATAGAATACTATGTAGTCATAAAAAAGAACAAGAACATGTCCTTTACAGGAACTTGGATGGAGGTGGGGGCCATTATCCTTAGCAAACAAATGCAGGAACAGAAAACCAAATGCTGCATGTTCTCACTTATAAGTGGGAGCTAAATGATGAGAACACATGGACACATAGAGGAAGGGGAACAACACATACTGGGGCCTGTCAGAAGGTGGCGGGTGGGACAAAGGAGAGGATCAGAAAAAATAACTACTGGGTACTATATACGATATGATGTACAGATATCACTAGATATGATGTAACATATCACTAGGTGATGAAATAATCTGTACAACAAACAGATTAATAATTATGTACAACAAACCCCCATGTAATAATTGTGTACAACAAACCCCCATGACACAAGTTTACTTATATAACAAACCTGCACATGTACTCCTGAACTTAAAAGTGAAAAAAAAAAAACTAGCCAGATCATGAAAGCTCTGCTGAGTTTAATTTATATTTTAAGAACAGGGAACTGCTGTTGGGTTTTAAGCAAGAAAGTTACATTATCAGATCTGTACTTTAGATAAGTCACTCTGGCTACTGCTAAGTGTGATATGATTCAATCAGGACAAGACTAGAGCTAAGACTAGTTGGTGGCTGTTACAATAATGTAGACAAAAAAAAAATAATGGGCCTCTACACGAAGAGCACAGCAGTAGACAGACATGAACCTTAGGCAAAACTACTATTCTCAAAGCTTCAGTTTCTTCTAATAATACCTACCTCACACAATGATTTTGAGAATTAATCATGGCATTTTTTGTATAGGTGTTCTGTATTCTCTTAGCAAAACTTTCACAAGCAATAATAATTTCACGAAACAATTCTACTTCAAAATATATCAGATACAAAGATTATTCTTATGTTTTCTCCAATATATGTAAAAAGATGCCTTAACTATTAATGAAATTAAGTCAGATTATGAAAGGTTTACTCACTTATATTTGAAAAAGTAAATTCCAACTACTAAACATCCTATTGTGCTCCATTTAATCCTAATATTAAAAGATTGGCATCATTTTTAATTTCTCTAAAAACTGAAATGTAAGTGAATTAAAGGTAGGTATCAAGTTAGTCTCACTCAATGACAAAACATGAGCATAAAACAATTTCACATCTTCACCAAACTGATACCAGCAAGTAAATGAGTTATTAACTATTTAAGAGGAAAACTAGAAAACTCTTTTGTCAGTTTTATTTACTTTGAAGTTTTGGGACCTACTAAAGTTATATCTTCTGTAAAGCTACACAATAAAAAAAAAAGATAAAAGCTCAATTTTTCCAAATCTGCTCTGAAATTCACCAATCTTTTAATACATTCTTGCCTCTACCAAAGACAATCTGATTTCTAAAGCAATCTTTATTGATAGCTTAGCAGAAAGCATTTAACTTTGGCAAAAAGGTATTGGAAATCCAGCTTTTGCTCCACCCTTTGCTTCTTGCCTGAAATACACTTAAAACATTGTAAAAAGTTATGTTCTATACTTATTTCATTGACAAAATGACTGCCCTCAGAACTGAGTTCTCCACAGAACCCTTCTTAAGGTTCCTCCCCTTGTAATTTAAGTCCATCTCTTCCTGTCATCTGCTGTACAACTATTCATAATATATGTGCTTGTATAGTGTTCATAGCCTTCTCTATTCTAGATTAAATAACAGAAATCTAACTTGCTAAGCGTCCAAACCATTCTACTGAATTGAGGGAACAAAAATCACCCTCAACTTCTCATTCCTCCTCTTCACTGATGATCTTATGTCATATTACTTTGAGAAAATAAGAACGATCAGATGTAATGTCCACCTTCCCACCCCAAAACCTACAGACCTAAGTACACTTGCACCAATATTTTCTTCTTTACCTCTTACGGCAAGAGGAAAAATCCCCTTATCTCTATCAACAGGGCAACCTACACTCCTTTATCTCCACTACTACTACCTTGGTCCAAGCTCCTGTTATCTCTCACCTGGATTACAGCCAAAATCTCCTAACTGATCATCCCATCTCTACTGTTTCCCACTTCACAACAATACTCCACATAGTAGCAAATGTGACTGTTTCAAAACATAAATCACATTATGTCACTTAAATAGTTAAAATAAAACCCAAACTCTTTACCATGGATTCTAAATCCTAGAGTTTCTAAGTATTGCTCTAATCTCATCCTGTCACTCTCCCTTACAACCATTATGTTCCAGTTACAGTGTTTTTAGTAATTTATCTGCAACATACCAGCTCTTTCCTGATCCTGGGCCTTTCATGCATTGTTCTCATATGTAAAGCTTTCTTACCCAACCATAACACAGTTAGCTATGCTTTAGGTCTCATAAACGTCCCTTCATGAAAAAGTCTTCCCCTAATTACTCTGTGCCTGTTACTCACTATCTCTGCCCCATGTCTGTTTCTTTGAGAGCACTTATTACAACTTATTCATTAGACTATAAGCTCCATGAGGGCAGAAACTATGTGCATCAGGTTTTATCTAACACAGTGCTAGACATAAGCAAGGGCTCAATAAATATTTGCTAAATGAACTAAGTGAAGAGACAGCCAGGGTTAGGCTACAATCCTGACTCTACTACTTCATACTGGTTTGACTTCAGTTAAGTCACAATATTTCTGTGTTTCAATGTTCTCTTCCATAAAACAAAAGAAAGAGTACATATCTGACAGGATTGCCAAATAAGACCTACTAAAGATTAATTGGCAATAAATAAAGACTAATCACGCATCTTTCAATGTAAGTATTAAGTACTTGTAAGTAAATAAGTGCTATTAAACTTAATTTAATGTTAGTTTCCTTCCTTCCCTTCTATAACTTAGACAGTAAGAATTCCCTAAGCTAATACAGTATTGAAATAATATATTTATATATACTTAAAAAGAAGAGACTCTGATAACATGTATTTGAATAGATACATTGGTAATTTGTATTTGCAGGATCTAATCCTAAATTTTAGAAAATGGGAATAAATAATGTACATCTATTACTTAACTCTCTCAAAAAGCAGGGAGTGATAAGGAGAAAAGAAGAAAAACAGAAAAGAAAGGTAACCTTAGAAATTAGAGATCATCAACTTCCAATTCCTAAATTTAGAACAACCTTCCTCTTCTTATAAAGACTTGCAGTAAGAACAGGATTAATATCTAAAATAAAAATATTCTATGTTTACTTAAATCTATATAATTCTCACTTATATTTCATATATATTTTTACTGAACTTTCACCCCTTAAATTGTGGTATCACTGGTAAAGTGGGGAAAAAAAAAAGGAACAACATCTCATATCAGAAACACAAAAAGGCCCTCTTGTTCCCTTAATATTTTAATAAGCTTTAAATTTTCTAATTACAAAAGTAAATCTCAACATTTTCTTTAACTGCTGCTCACTTTTCAGGCTAAAATCCCTTTTATGTTCTTCAAAAGAAATTTTACTTTCTAGGAACCTTATAAATCATTTACCATACATCATTCAAATCTCCTCCATACTCTATCTAGAATACAGTTAACAGTGCTTGTTTAATACTTTCTGCCCTGATAACCACCTAGAATTTTGTGGAATGTGCTGCCCACCTTCATATTCTCCCAAGGATATGGATATAATTTAGATTCTGAACTCAAGGAAGGGTTTATGTTAAGCAATTAATTCAATTTTATTCAACACATTTTATGTAATCAAACTTGACTTTGTAAGAAGTAATTGGTATCTGGTTTAGATTTTTCCCTCATGTTCCAGTTACTTCTACAACCTTTCTAAAATTGGAATTTCTTGTCTACCCTTAAACCAGTTATTAAGTGCTACTGAACATTCCATAAAATTCATGGGAAAAGATTCATCCATTACATATATGCAAAGTAAAAAGATTATTTTAGGCTACCACAACATCTAGAATACTACTGTGAACAGTAAAGACTCTTGACTGTAATAAGCTGAAAACCAGTTTAAAAATGAATTTTATCACAAGTCAATCAGTATATGCTGTGAACAGTTCTACGACTATCAAATGCTCTGGCAGCAAGTAACCAAAAATTAACCATCTGCAACTCTTGAAGTTTATTGTAAAATGATATACAAACAAGAAACATTCTAAATTACATTTATTTATTTATTTATTTTTTGAGACAGAGTTTCACTCGTCACCCAGGCTAGAATACAATCGTGCAATCTTGGCTCACTGTAACCTCCACCTTCCTGGTTCAAGTGATTCTCCTGCCTCAGCCTCCTGAGTAGCTGGGATTACAGGCATGTACCAGCACACCTGGCTAATTTTTGTATTTTTAATAGAGACGGGGTTTCGCCATGTTGGCCAGGCTGGTCTCAAACTCCTGACTTCAGGAGACTCACCCGCCTCAGCCTCCCAAAGTGCTGGGATTACAGGCTTGAGTCACCACGCCTGGCCTCTAAACTATATTTTAAGGCTTCATCTTGGGTAGTGTTTTTCAAGCTAAGGACTGCAATTTATTAGTGGATCCAAAATTTATTTAATGAGTCCAGACCAGCAAATGAAGAAGGGAAGGGTGAGAAAGAGGAGGAATAAATAGAAAACATCTGAGTGCACAGGTAGTTAAGAGTACGATTTCATTAACTTTTTTCTCTATGTACATAGTACCCGAAGCAATGTGTATTTTAAGGGTGGGTTTGAGTAAAAGTTAGGAAACACTAATCTGGGAGACAAACAGAAGTGGAAAGGATAAAGCAACGGAACTGTCAGAATTACCAAATTGTGGTTTAGGAGGTGAGCAAGACTAACAGCTTCTATTGACTAGGAGACAGAGGTTTTGGAAACTCCCATAGATTTGTAAAAGCGAGACATCCCTATGTGAAAAATGACAAAGCACTTTTTCCTCTTACAGTAAGCCTAGGACAATGCGTAGCAAAGCTTGTGGTTGTCACCACTGATATTTTTATCCCTTCAAACTTTCAAAGGTGGCAGAGGTCAACCTTTACTCTCTCCTAACTCTTAGGCACATTGAATGCGGTTAAGATACAGTAGCCCCTGAAAGATAATTACAGGTCCTTGAACAACTACTTCTAGAAAACATTATATTCTAGATTACAATTTAGAGTTTCAGGTAAGACTCTGGCATTCAGAAAAGTTAATTTGGAAGTACAACAGTCACATATCAGAGCCCATAAAATCGTCATCTGGAAAGTAGCACCAAAATAAACAACAAAAAATTTTTTTATGTATGTGAAATGTTTCAAAAATCTGAAGCACACCTTAGAGTCATTTCATTTAAGAGTCACTCTGTGAAGAATTAATATTGGAGTTCCCTAAATATTGGCCAATCAACCTGCTTTTCTTTGTTAACAGTGATTGTGAATATTCAGTTTCATTAACAGAGCTAATTATTTTTGAAGCCTTTTAAAACACACACACACTTTTTACTGTATAGAGGACAGTTTCATAAATTACAGCTAGTATCTGTTCTAACAGGCTCAAGGCGACAGCTATTTCTCAGGATGCATCCACCACCCATTACAACTACTATATATTCTAAGTTACTCAATTCCCACTATTGTTATAGAACCACATCCACCCCATACTATTGTTACAGCCCTTTTTCACTATTATAAACCCACATATGGTTAGAGACAGAAGAGGACAAAAAACATGCAGCCATAAAGAGGATTTCTCAGTTCCAGGGTGAAGGGTTCCCTTTAATCTCTGCTGATATAGTTTAATGTTCTGCCTGGTTCACTACCTCCTTTTTTTTTTTACACTTTGAAACCTGCTGTGGCTTGAGACATCAACCTTTGGCATAATCACCTGCTGGTTTTATAATCTGCGGCCCACACTGTTGGAAAAAGGAGTTTCAGTCTTTGCTTACTAACAATTTGTGTTCCTCACTGAACACAAATTCCAAAAAGATAAAAGCTTTGATAGGCACCTACCAGAAAGTCACTTTGTGTACAAGTACTAAAGAATGCACCAAAACAAATTGAGGGGTTCACAGCCTCTTATCCCTCGAGGCAAAAGACTTCTAGTTCAAACACTGATGACACAGGTTTTAATGAAAGAAGAGCCCATTTATTTATCTATTCTGATCGGACATCACAGAAATTCAATGCTTATTATAGTAGAGGACAAAGCTGGACAATCCTAATCACCCTAAATTAAAGATACCTCTCAATTTCTTCTCTCTCCTGGGCCATTACACCAAACCTAGAGCAGAACTATACCCACCTTCAGGGCAGAAGAAACAACGTAATAGCTTATTGATCTCTGGTGTAGACCCAAACCCACAAGTCATCAGGCAAGCAGGGATTACAGCCACTTGATGCAGCTAACAATCAAAAGTCGTGTACTGGGTTTTTGGTCCCACACAAGCACACCTCTGGCAATTACCCCTACATAAAAAATGGACCAAACTACTCTCCTCACCAAAACAAACAAAAATACTACTAATCAGGTACGGGAGCAACACATCCTTAATTGTACCAAAAAGAATTTCTTGGCTGTCAGTAAATGCCCAATTACGTTCATTAATTCTTCATTTAGCGTCACTTGCCAGGTTTCAAAAGCCACCATCACATTCAATTCCGTAGATAAATGCCTTCAAAAGAGATAACACTTGCTGACAAATTGGCTGTTGACTAAACCTCACCACCACCACCATTATACTAGTCAAATCAATGTTTGTGGCAAATGAATTAGACTTTTTATAAGTAAAATTTACCAAAGTAATGATATCTTCTAATTCTTTTTCTGGAGAAATCAGAGCAACACTCCAAAAAGGAAAGGTTAAAACTGAGCTCTCTGAAATACCTATTCAGTGTGTTTAACTGATGAACTAAGAACGGTGAAGTCAGAAGTGTAACTTAATTATCTTAAGAGATAGATGTTCTTTGCAATTAATTCCATTCAGCTCTTGCTCAGACCCCAACGCAATATAAAGCTGTCCGCACAGTCTTCAGCCTTCTCTTAACCCGAAAGGAGTTATCTCTAACCCGATCCATCGACTGGAATAAAGTAACAGTGACCACAGCGGCGGACGAGGATGGATGAAATTACAATTGAACTAGGAGTCAGGACAGATGTGTACACCCTAACAGGAGAGACTGAGGTGGGGCTGGAAACTATTTTCTGGCCTTCTCCCGCGTGCTGCTCCCGGGGAACCAACAGGACCCTGCACGCCCGGATTCGGCAGAGCCCTTGCCCCCGAGGTGGAGTGGGGAGAAGTCAGCGGGAAGCCTTTTCAGGGAATCGAGTAGGACAAGGGCTGGCGCGGTGGGAATCTCGCCGGTGAGAGAACTTCCTAACCCCGGGTTGAGGGGGCGGGGGGAAGGACCGTCCCGGCAGCGGCGGGGGCGAGCTCCTCTGCTTTCTCACAGTCAAGCATCTTTGTGTGTGGATTGTGCCAGGCTACGGGTCCTGGAGCAACTGGCCGCGGGGGCCCTCGAACCCAGGTCGGGAAGTCCGCCCGCCACCCCCTCGCTCCGCCGGGGCCCTCCCGGCCGGGCCCCCCAGCCCCTCTCCACCACCCGAGGGTCTGGAGGTGGACGAGTGGAGAAAAGCATCTCCGTGTGGGGACACCCGTTCCGCCACATCCACCCCCTCACCGGTCTTTGTCCCGCCGGTAGCCAGGGTCTCCGCGGGAGTCTCCAGGGGAACCCCCGTCCTGGAGGCCTCGGGGCCCGGGTCGCCTCAGCTTTGTTCGGTCAGCGGGGCGCGGGGACGCGGACACTTACCGTACACCCCAGCGAGGAAAAGCAAGAGCAACGCAGACCTCCACCGCGGAGACTCTTTTGTGCTCCAGCGACAGGCCATAACCACAGCAGATGGAGAGAGAGAGGAGGAGACGGAGGAGGAGGGAGGAGAAGCTGGAGGTAGACGACGCCGACGCCGCCGCCGCCGCCGCCGCCGCCGCCGAGCCACCGGCTGCTCCCTGCGCTCTCCGCGGCTGCGGGAGGGGGAAGGGAGGGGCCGCCGCCGCCCGCGCGCGCTCCCTCCTCCCTCCTCCCTCCGGCTCGCCTGCTCCCACCCCGGGCGGTGCGAGAGCCCCACGCGGGGCGGCCCTCCTGGGGGCAAGGGCAAGGAGCTCGCGCGCCAGCGCGAGACGAGAGGGTGGCGGACGCCGGACTCCGGCCTCGCGCCGCTCGGGCTAGCCGGCGCCGCCACTCGCCAGACTGAGCGCGCGCCCATCCGTGCGATCGGCAATCCCCTGGCCCGCCTGCCTCGGTTCCCTCCCCGCGCTCCGCTGGACTTTCCAAGTTTCGGGCCGATTTCCACGCGACGGGAGCCCAAGGAGCAAGGCAGCGCCAATCGATGACAGAGCGTGCGAACGCCGGCTGCTGGATGCCCAGGGGCTGGAGCGCGGGGTGTGTGGAGGAGCACGGTCGCTGTCCGAGGGCTGGGCTCTGGCCCAGCGGGTGGGGGGAGGGGGGGTGGGATACCAGCTGGGAGGCTGAAGGTGGTTCCGTGTTGGGGGAGGCGTGGATGGTCTGAAGCTGACAACTTGGGAGTTCCTTCCTCTATCCGGTACCCCCAAGTCTCCACTTGCTGTCGGCGCGGAGCTTCGAGTGGGGGTGGGCTCAAGTTAGTGCGGCCAACCTGGCAGCTGGTCGGTCAAGGGGCAGTGTGGACTCCCACGCTCAAGGTGCCCGGAATGAGTCGGGCAAGGCTTGTGCAGAGCCCCTCCAGTCTGGCGTGGAAGCGCCAAGAGGTCATTTGACATCTCACGCTGGGTCGGGTGCAGCTGGGCCAGGATGTTCGGCAGGGCTGGAGCCGACTTTCAGGGTAGATATATTGAAAGGAGGATTCGCCCATCACGCTGCAGTTTCCCTAAAGCTCTTTTCTCACTCCCAGCAAATGGGAGTCCTCCTTTACTTAGATCCCCAGAACACTTTTCTAAGTACGTCTGTAGTGACGCTGGCACATCAGACCTTACCCCCTGTGTTTTTAAAGCGTTTGTCTACAACGTCTTATTTATATTAGATTTTATCGTTGCCCTTTGCAAGCACTCTCCATGCTATTCATTGAAGACCTACACTGCATCATGCTGTCCTATTGACATAGGTTGTCACTTTTTAATCCCAAACATCCTTGTGAGATAAATATTACCCATGTTTTATAGAAAAGAGAGAAATTAAATTACTCATGGCAAGTAAGTTGTTTGAAACAGTTTTTCTCATTCCAAAGTAAAGATTGTTGCCCCTATACCACAGCAAACTCTCTAGCACAATGCTTAGCGCCTAGTAATGTGTCGGAGTTGGTGCCTGCCAGGGGGTTCGTGGTCTCCCTGACTTCAAGAATGAAGCTGCAGACCTTCCCGGTGACTGTTAACAGCTCTTAAAGATGGCACGGACTCAAAGAGTGAGCGGTAGCAAGGTTTATTGCGAAGAGCAAAAGGACAGCTTCCACAGCATGGAAGAGAACCCCAGGTGCTGGCTGGTGGTGGCCAGCTTTTATTCCCTTGTGGTCCCCTCCCATGTTCCATTTCTGTCCTATCGGAGTGCCCCTCTTTCAATCCTCCCTGCGATTGGCTACTTTTGGAATCCTGCTGATTGGTGCGTTTTACAGAGTGCTGATTGGTGCATTTTACAGAGCGCTGATTGGTGCATTTTACAATCCTCTTGTAAGACAGGAAAGTTCCTCAAGTCCCCACTGGACCCAGGAAGTTCAGCTGGCCTCACCTCTCAGTAAGTAAATGTTAAAATTTAAAACATACTTTCTGGGGAATA
The DNA here is from genome assembly GCF_000001405.40 of Homo sapiens. Taxonomy (NCBI): domain Eukaryota; kingdom Metazoa; phylum Chordata; class Mammalia; order Primates; family Hominidae; genus Homo; species Homo sapiens. Next base: position 104,590,811 of record NC_000008.11, read on the forward strand.
CATTTAGGCTTTTCCTCAGTCTCCTGCCGATTTGCCCCCTTTTAAGTTTTTTTTTTTAAAACCAGGAAATGCTATTCCAAAAGATAAGAGAAAAATGTATTAATAAGTATTACAAAAATCTAATAATTAACAAATCTTATATCATCTGGTAAAAAAAGCAACCAGCACTCCAAAAATGTTTTCCATTCTTGTTGGAAAGAAGCAACTTCAGTGTTTTTCACTAAACAAATTGCAGTTGTCTTTCCTAATTTTGGGATTCTAAACTCTACTTTCTTGTTTCTTAAGATTGCTTTCTCTAAATTGCGCTTCCATGAGAGCTGTGTTAAGAACAGGCCACAAGCAGAGTGAAGGAGTAGACTGGACTGCATCCTCCCCTGTCCACTTTTAGTACCATTCAAGGAATCCTGTCCCGAACACGAGACACACAGTGCCCTCATCAGTTCCTGTCACACCCCTCCCACCCCTACACTTGCTCATCCACCCAGATGTGTCTTCTCAGACTTGCCAGGTTATCAAACTTTTGGGTATCTGGACCCCCCATAACACTTACAATTTGGTGAGGACACCAAAGAACTTTTATTTATGTGGGTCATAGCTATTGATATTTAGCATTTAGAAATTAAAATAGAAAAAAAAGAATTTATTTTAAATTCATTTAAAATAAAACATGCATTACAAGTTTACATAACTCTGCTTTCCAAAACAAACACAAAAAGTTAAGAAGAGTGGCTTTGTTTTTGCACTTTTATAAATCTCCCTAATGGCTGGTTTAATAGAAGACAGCTGGATTCTCATATCTGCTTCTGCATCCAATCTGTTGCAATATGTTGTTTTGGTTGAAGTATATGAAGAAAATCTAGACTCATGTAATATATAAATTGGCAAAGGGAGAACCTCATGTACTTTCCTGAAATAGTCTTAGTGACACCCCGCTAACCCCCCACCACCCCCAGAAAAACTTTGAGAAATGTAGATCTAGGTGTCTGCCTTAATGCCTTCAAAATCTAAGTATTTTGTTTTTTATTAGAAGGGCTCTAATAAGTACTCAATGTTCACCAGTGAAGGGTATTTATATTTTTTGAGGGAACATTTTTATTTATTGAAAACAGTTATAGTAGGATATCAGACATTAATAAGCATCACATCACAGAATAGGTACTCAACGTTACTCCCTTTCTCTCACCTAATCTACCTAGCTGGCCATCTGGGCTGATACATCAAATTGTTCATCTGTGAGAAAGCACTTTGAAATCCAGAAAACTATAGCTATGCAGTGGTTAATATTGGTAACAATTCCATTGCAGTTGTACTACTAGTTGATTTTGCTTGGCCAGTGTTCTGGACTGCATGATTTAAAGCATAAATCATGCCCCTGAGACCCATATCATTCTTAATCTGAGTCCTCTGGATCCACCGATGGGCTTCAAAGAATCTTAAGCCTTCTGAAATTATATGAAGATTTTGTGTTCATGTACTTTTATAGAGAGAAGACATTATTTTCAGCAGATTCTTAAAATATTGTGTCAACCGTTTTCTTAAAAGTTTGAGAAAAACTGAATGAGGCAACCATTTGAGTTGCTGCTTAATCCTTTTCCAAGTGGTTCTGGAGCTCCTCAGGTACATGCAATTGGGAGTGGAGCAGTACAGGGACTGCTTCTTTTTCCCTTGACATATTTTGAAAAGGGCTACAATCTTCCACTTTATGGAAACATGCCCTTAAATAATCCTTTTGTTTGATTTTAAACTTCTCTTTTTTCCTTGTTTGGCTATCATCACATATAATGGTCTAATTTTTGTCACCAATTAAAATTTGCTCCATCCTAATGTAGACTCTGCTTCATTTAGTAGCATTTGAAAATCTCATCAACACTGAGGTTAGACTGGGGAGCATTATCACTCCCACTCTGAGAATCATCTTTTATTGGAAAGAAAATTGATGATAGTGGGTTTTCTATTCAGCCTGCTGCCAGAGAAAGTTACATCTTTTAACTCCCCCTCAAAGGAATATTGTGTTTAAAAAAGAAAAACAAACTTGAGAAAAAACATATAACTAACTAAAAAAAGACAGTTTTTTAAGATTGAAGTTAAGTAAATGAGATCCCTTTACAAATGAATTCTAATTTCCATTGGTGTTGAATAATATAGGCTAGCAAATGAGATCCATCAATCTAGGTAACTTCTAAACCAGTTCACTAGCACATTTATTGTGGTTAAATATTCTGGGCTGTGACAGCATACCCACCATTGTACCAAGTAGTCAAATATATAATCCTGGCTCTAAATTAACTAATCCAAATCCGAATAGATTTAGTTTTTCCCTCATAAGTTCAACTTAATTGTAAAACCAGACCATAGAGCATGCAATAACTTATAGTGGTAATAACATCTATCTCTTGTAAACGTAGAAAACAATTGCCCTCACCAAGAAAAAAGAAGTAAAGGGAGCATTAACTACAGACATTGGCATATATAAAGAGATACTCTGAGCTTTTTTGTTGTCGTTTAACTGCGAAGTTTCAAAATGCACATAACTTTGTGTTTAAGTTCTGATGATTGACTGAGGATATGAGCTAGAAATGTATGTAGGATGAAATCTCATTCCATGTCTCTCCATGAGCCCATCAGAAATGAATTTGGCTGCTGTGATGGCAATCCGATGGCTCTTTATAGGGAAATACTGCTAATTTCAGGCATATATAACTTATTTGTTTTTATTCTGCCTAAATCCAAAAAAGATTTGAGGTTCCCCAGTATATTTGGCAAATATAGTTACCCCTTGGTATATGCAGGGGATGGGTTCCAGGACACCTCCCCCTCCCATATAGCAAAATCCATGTATACTTAAGTCCAGTGGACTCTACGGGACCAGAACCCACCTATATAACAGCAGCCTTCCTATATGCAGGTTTCATACCATCAATATTTGATCTATGTTTGGTTGAAAAAAAAATCCACATAATAAGTGGATCCAAGCACTTCAAACCTGTGCTGTTCAAGGGTCAACTCTATAGTATACTGTAACAGATAAAGGCTGACATGGTTTGGATTCATGACCCGCCCAAACCTCATGTCCAGTTGTAATCCCCAGTGTTGGAGGAGAGGCCTGGAGGGAGGTGATTGGATCACTGGGGTGGATTTCCCCCTTGCTGTCCTCGCAATAGTGAGTTCTCATGAGATCCGGTTGTTTGAAAGCATGTAGTGTCTCCCCCTTTACTCTCTTCCTCCTGCTCCAGCCATTTAGGGTGTGTCTGCTTCCCCTTCACCTTCTGCCATGATTGTTAGTTTCCTGAGGCCTCCCCTGCCGTGCTTCCTGTACAGCCTGTGGAACTGTGAGTCAATTAAACCTCTTTTCTTTATAAATTACCCAGTCTCAAGTAGTTCTTTATAGCAATGCAAGAACAGACTATTACAAGGTATAAGCCTAAGAGTTTAACTGTGCTGGGTTTGATCTAGGTGTTCAACCTTAGTAAAGAACCTAACTTCTTTTACCTCATATTTCCTCCTATAAAACAGGAAAAAAACGGGGGCTTCTTTGATCATCTACATACCTTTGAAATAATAATTGCTACAATATATTGAATGCCTAGGGTATGCTATGCATTTAGTCCTCAAACAATCCTGTGATTTTGATACTATGATTATCCCCATTTTTCAAAAGAACAGGCACAGAGATATTCAGTAATTATCTCAAGATCACAGTAAATGGACACCATTTAGACTCAGGCAGTTTGACTCTAGAGCATGCTCTCTTAAATCATTTTACCAAGTTGTATGTAAAGCACTTAATATACCACCAGGCACCTACGAGGTACTCAATAAATAGCAGCTACTGTTATTAAACATATAAATGACATAAGCAAAATGATCCTATTTTCTCATATCATACAATTTAAAATAAAATCTATATAGTTATTTTTCTGTCTCCTGTTTCCCAGAAATAACCCATACTAACTCAAATTCTGTTTAAGCTAAATAGACATAAACCTCATTTAGATTTATTTTTTAAAGTCTTATTTCCTTGAATTTTTGAAAATAGCAAGTGAATATAAATTAGAAGAGCCATAAGTCTGGCTTTTTGCTGCTTGTAGTAATTTTTTTTGTTGACCTTGGAGTCAGTATTTATAGTTTCCTTTGAAGATCAGAGAACCCTAGGTTGCTTATTGCCCTAATCTTCAGAAAAGATCTATGACAGATTTTTTCTGATCTCAAAGAATACATCAAATCATATGAAACTGCTCAGTTATCAGCCATGAAAACACAGGTCATTTCTACCAAAGAATAGATTACTCCAGCTTCATCATGAAAAGAATATTCTCCTTGGAAATACCCAGGCTGGTTTGCATTTTGAATACATACCAGCTGTGATGGAAAAGAACAGTCTAAGCCTTTCAATTCCCAGAGTCCACTGCCTCACTTGCACAGCACAGGACATGAAAGAAATTGTGTCAAAAGCAGTTCAATTTAAAAATTTTATTCTTGTACTCAATAAAGCAAATTAAGTGAAAAAAGTTAAGCACTTTAGAACATTATGTTGACTGGCTCTAGTCACCACTGCACTTTACTCCAGTCACGACAACGTTTTTTCCTATGTAATTAGTAGCTCTGTTTAAGTACAGACACTCCTCAGATGGTAACTCCAATTTATAAATACCCATATATACACAATTTCACAAAATACTTCCAGCTTTTAAATGCATGACTTAAAGGCAATTAATGGCAATGAACAGGTAGAGACCTGTTATTTGGAGGTTGCCTCAACTGGCCTGTGAGTGGGGAAGAAAGGTCAAGTCCTAGAGCAGCTGTGCTGACTGTGTTCCTTCTGGATTAGATTCTCAGCAGTTCTAATCTTCAGCACTCCAGAGACTGGGATATATAGGCACCAGGCTCCTCTGGACATTTTGTGCTTTTTCATTGCCTCAGACAGGCAGAAGCAGTCACCCAGGCTGCCTACCATGCACACTTATTCTTCCCCACTCACATCCCATCTTCCTGTTCAGTGGATGATGTCTTTCAAGAAGTCTGTTCTCATAGCATTGGCCACACTCATCAGAATAGTTAACCAATTTCCCCACAAGCCTCCTCCTGGTACAGGCTCCTCTTGCTGGCAAGGCACTTCATGGACATTCCTTATAACTCTGAACAAATAGTGTTAAGAATTGAGACATGGACCTCTCTCTGAAGATGAGAGAAGTACTCTCAATTCACAATCCCATCTATAGCTTATTGATTGGTGCATTTGCAGATATGGGGAGTAGAATTAGAATATTCAGATTCTCCTATCTTCATTGAGGAAGAGAAATAAGGAAAGTGAGGAGGAGAGAAAGCTCCAGATCGACAGGGACTTTTGTGTTTTGTTCACTGGAAGCACCTGAAAGAGGGCCTGTCACCAAATAGATGCTCAGTAAACATTTATTCAGTGAATGAATAAAGAAGCTCAAGACTTAAATAGATTCTTGGGGAAAATGAGAAGCCAAGTTATTAGGCAGGGATAATGCAGTGGAGAGAGAGAGAGATATGACAGATACTTGTCTGGACATTAGTGCCCGAGTGGCCTTCCAGTGAAAACTGCTAGGTTTGGAGCCCAGGCACAAAGGGAGTGAATCTTTGATGCCTGGTCTTAGAAACAGCCAATAAATATCACTGCAGGATGAGACCCACATATTCTCATGTGCTGATATTCAACATATTGCCTAATGAGATTTTTTCAAATACAAATCTGGTATTGAAGCCATAGTTTTCTATTATTTTATTGTCAATGTTTAATATTTCCTCTATACTAGTTGTGGGCTTTTTATAGCCTCAGTTGCCTTATGTGACCTATAAGTTGGATACTACTTATTTTATTGACTATTAAAATAAACAGGACTTTTGTTCTGTAACTCAGCAGAAGCCCTTAGAAAAGAAGTCTTTTCAAAACATTCTTCAGAAAGCTGTGAGCTAACACTTTGCTTCAGATGTGCAGACAGATTCCAATTCTGTTGTCTATCAAGTTAAACTGTTCCTTAGAATTAGTCGAAGAGGTGATGAAATTAATGCCCAGTGTGAAGTCAGGATCAGGGAACAGAGAAGGGAACCCAAATAGCCAGACCTTTGAAGTGTGAATTCAAGATGTGTTCAATGCATTATGAATATCTGGGCCATCAGTCACTAACATATGAGAATGATAAGTTTAAAGAGCGCTTTCCAACTTTGAAACTCCAAAATAAATTATCTTTATTATTCATCATTTGCTATTACCAATATTGTCTTCTGTCCATCAATGTGTATTTGCTAAAGTTGATGGTTCAGCAAAATAAAATCAATTCTCTAAAAATTAACTAGAATGTTATTGAGATTTTACTCATAATCCACTCTATATTTTTGAATACTTGAAATATGCTAAAGATTGTAGACAGCGTAGATGTTCACATTACCTGACTCAATCACCAAACCGTGGAGGTTCTACTCTGTCAGGCTAGTCCTTGTAGATACAACAGAACTTATAATCTAGTGGGGGAAACAGATATATCAATAAATATAAACAACACTCATTCATTCAGTAAGTATTTATTGAGCACCTAGTATGTGCCAGTGATTGTTCCAGGTGCTGGGACTGTTCAGTGAACAAACATGGTAACAGTAGAGATACATATGTGTGAGATACAGCAGAACCACAGGGGAGAATTAGAGAAGTTTTCACAGAGGAGAAACACTTGATTTGAGAAATGAAGAATGAGTAGGAGACGGCCAGTAAAGAAGGAGATTTGCGAGGGGTAATACAAAAACATTGAAGGCAGAGGAATGTCAAGTAGAGATAGGAGAAGAGAACAGGGTGTGTTCTGGGAATATAAAGTAGTTTGGTATTGCTGATTCAATAGGGGTAGAGGAAGGTGAGGAAATCAAACTATAATCAGGAATTACATCACCAAGGATTATAAGTGACATGCAAATAAGTGTAGTTTTATGTTGTATGATGCAGGATTTGGGGAGCCTTGAAAGAATTTTGAGCAGAGGAGTCAGGCTCCATTTTGATAGAGCCCAGCATGGGAGGAAATGGAAAGGTGGAGAGCAGTCAGAAGGGGGTTACAGACAGCAGCAAGGAGATTAGATGGACTGAGGAGTGCCCAGGAGCGGTAGGAATGGGGAGTAGAGAACACAGTCAGTGGTTGTGTGGCAGATAGAATTTAAGACTCTCAGATTTCTAGTTTGAGCAACTAGATGGAGTGAAGTAGGGAGAAGAGGACAGAGAAAATAATGAGTGTAACTTAGAACCAGCACATTCAGGTAGAGAAATTCAACAGGCAATTGGGTATACTGCGCATTTCAGAGGAGAAAAATGGGCCCAAGGTAGAAGATGATTGGCATTGATAAGATTGCTTCTGGAGAGGATGAAGTTTCCCTTAGAGAATATAGAAAACATCAGTATTGCAGGGGTCAGAGATGGTAGAGGAAGAGGAACCTACAATAAGAGGAGAGAGAGAGAAGGTATGGCCAGTGGGTGGGAAGAGACGAAGAAAAGTCTGGTATTGTAGACACCAAGTAAAGAAAATTTTACAAAAAAAGGAAAGGTAAAGTGCGTCTGTGGCAGAGAGAGCTCAAGTAATAAAAGGTCAAGAGGTGAAGAGGAACTAACAGAATTGCCTACAAGAAAGTCTAATGTTCTTATCCAGAGGCCTCTACAGAAAATTCTTTGGCCTTTGAATTAGATCACAGCTGAATTCTTGGTGATCTTTATTTATTTATTTTTTCTGATTTCATCAAGAATTTTGTCCTTTTTTATTTTTTCCCCTCAGCCTGTTAGGTTACAGCATTATCCATTTCGAAGTTAAACTTAGGGATTTCTAAATTCGGCATGGACCCTGGATACAACATTGAAGTATGTAAAGTTTGTCTTCACCACCCAGTGGTTCCTTTTTTATTTCCCCTCTGTTCTCCCCAGCCTTGCTTACATTCTCTTCCTTCGACTTCAGGCTCCCAATGTGTTGATGCTTTCTTACCCTCTCCCTTCCTCCATCAGAAATGATTCCTGGCAAAAAAAAAAAAACACAAAAAAAAAACTTTATAAACAAATCCACCTTGAAGCCAAGTATGGTTACTCTTCTAGAGTATTTATAATTTAATGGGTCATTAGTGGAAGTGTCAGGGTGGAGAGATTTGAGGTCAGGGATGTTTCCCCAATTCCCTTCTAAGGTGACCCCTTACTGCACAGCAATCCTTCCTTGAGATAGAAGACAAGTTGGTGCAAGAATGCCTAATTATTCCTCCTAGAGCCATACTACACCTTTAGAAGACTTAAAGGTCACAAACATTTATTATATCAGTAATGTTCTTTTTGGCAATTATATTTTTGGCTGATAGTATTTCAGTGTACTCAGTTGCTAACATAATAGCCAAAGAACACGTATCCTTTATCTTGTTTAATGCCAATTACTCTGTCACTATTTTGCTTGGCACTGTTGGAATAACTTCAAATGTGGTATGGGACAGACAAGTTCAGCTCTACAGAAGCCAAATATATCTATGTCTACTGAATCAGCTGTTCCCTATTACATTTTTTAATCAGTATTAATAACTGATTTCTGTACAGCCAAGTAGTTTGATCGTGCTTTTAATTTAATTCAGTTGTTTAGAAAGGGAAAACAATCTCATTATTCGTTTTTAAGATTCATTTTATGTGTGCAGTAAGTATAGATACCGCGTTTCCTAAAACAGTCTCTGCCGAAGTTCTCTGATTGGAAAAAAATAATAGCTCAGTGAGTGAAAAATTTTATTGTTATGAACTTCGTTTTTAAAAGTAAAGGTAAATGACAAAGAGGATTTGCCTATTCTCATATGCAATGGAAAACTATATTAACTTTTGTTCAGTGTATCATTTAAAATGTGTTATGCTGTCATGGATATGTTTGTATCTCATGTAAATTATTTATGCTCTTAATCCTTTGTTAACATTTAAGCCTCAGGGAGCAAGGTTCCTAATAAATGCACTGTGTAAAAATATTCTTTTACCAAAAGAGAGGAGAAAGTGTACAAGCCCAAAGATATCCTAACCATCAAAGGCCCATTATCAGAGGCGTGTGTGGACCAGCGAGCTCATCCTGCCCAGAATGCTCAGTCTTAACGCTCCTCATGGGCAGGAAGCAGTGGATTAGCAATGCTTTCCCTTTAATTTGTGTTATGTAAGAAATGCGAAGGAAAATCTCTAGTACGTCCCTTAATAGTCTCACTAGAATAGACTGGGTGAACTGATAATGACTACAGTATTTAAAGAAAAGTACTCTCTAAGAAATAGAAGCATTACTCCAAATGAATGATGAGAACTTTATTATCAGAAAAGAGAGCTAGGCACAGAAATGTAGGAATAGAAATAATCTACTCAGGACCTGGTGTGATTGTATTTTCTCTGAGGTGTTGTCAAGGACCATTAAGCAGAAGAGGCATTTATAGAATCATAAGACTGTCAGAACGGAAAGGGTCATCTTTAGTCCAATCTTCTAATTTTACAGGTGAGAAAACCCAGGCCCATTTTTATAAGGGTAATAACACCCTGTGAATTCTGTTGAGGGACAGGCATTCTTGGGGAAATGGGGACCTAGAAGTAGACCTTGGGCAGAGGTGAGGGAGGAAAGACAGGCTGGTTTTCAGAAAGGAAGTCCAAACTCCCGGAAAGAGCATGGCACAAAGCTGGGCGCAGTGGCTCATGCCTGCAATCCTAGTACTTTGAGAGGCTGAGGCAGGCAGATTGCCTGAGCTCAGGAGTTTGAGACCAGCCTGAGAAACATGGCAAAATGCCATCTCTACTAAAAATACAACAAATTAGCTGGGCATGGTGGCAGGCGCCTGTAGTCCCAGATACTCGGGAGGCTGATTCAGGAGAATCGCTTGAACCCAGGAGGCGGAGGTTGCAGCGGGCTGAGATCGCATCACTGCACTCCAGCCTGGGCGACAGAGTGAGACTCTGTCTCCAAAAAAAGAAGAGCATGGCACATGAAGGGCTGAGATGGCAGGAGTATTCCAACAGATGGATAGCACATAGCTGTTACTGGGAGGCCAATCTGTTGGCACGTGTACATCTAGGTAGGTAGTGAACCCTGAGCTGGTAGCTGGGGCCTTAGTTATTCATCTTCAATCCAGAGGCAGATGTCTTGCCCCTAGAAAGAAGGAAAGTCTAACAAGAGCAAGACAAGGCTTCAATCCCAGAAAGACTGGGATGGCAATTAGGTTAAAAATAGATAATCAGCATCATTAGACTGGATGTTCAAGGTGAGTATTACAGCTTTGGAGCAAGAGAGATTCGTAGTACTGGGGCACAGGGTCAGAGCTCACAGAAACAAAGTAGAAAAATGGTGTGTTCCAAGATGCTAAGGTAGAAGCCCCTACATTCTTCTTAAGAGAAGGATTTTTCTAAGAAACCCTAGTATGTGGAAATTCAGTGGTTCCAGCTGTGAGAATAGGGCTTCAAATCCTGTGAAACTACATTTAGACACTACTAATATCCCGGACTCAACTTGATTTAAAGCAATTTTTGTGCATTATCAGGTTACTTTTCACATTTAATAGATGTCTTAGTCCATTCAATTTGCTATAAAAATACTATAGACTAAGTGGCTAGTAAACAATTTATTTCTCACAGTTCTGAAGGCTGCAAAGCCCAAGATTAAGATGCTGACAGATTCAGTTTCTGGTGAGGGATTGCTTCCTGGTTCACAGACAGCAGTCTTTTTGCTGCAACTTCACACGGTAGGAGGAAGTGAAGGAGGTCTCTGGGGTCTCTTTTATAAGGACAGTAATCCCATTTATGAGGGCTCTTCTCTCAAGACCTAATTACCTCCCACAGGCCCCACCTCCAAATACCATCACATGGTCATTAGTGTTTAACATTTTAATCGTGGGTGTTGGGAAGGAGACACAAACATTCAGTCTAAGACAATAGATGAACCTGATCTAGGGATTTTACTGTAGCAGTTCTCAAATATAACTTGTATTAGCAACATAGGAATAAAGAAGTAGAAGAAAGCTTGTTCTTTCATTCCTCATTAATAATATTATTTGTTCTCATGCATGAATTTAATAACAGAACTTTGAATAGTGCCTCTTGCTTTTATTTCCAGCAAAAAGAGAAAAGTGAAGAAAATGAAAATATAATTAGAATACGATACCAGATTTCAGATGAGTAGAATAATCTGTGTTCTTTGAAAATTAATGTTATGCATTTCAGCATTTGCTTAGACCCTACCCTGTGAAGGAGCTTTGGACTGAAGTTTAACATGGTGTGATGGTTAATGTTATATGTCAGCCCGACTAGGCTATGTGGTACCCAGTTGTTTGGTCGGACACTAGTATAAATGTTACTGTAAGGATTTTTTTAAAAAAAATATAATTAACATTTAAATCAGTAGACTTTGTGTAAAGCAGATTACCCTCCATGATGTGAATGGGCCTCTTCCAATCAGGTAAAGGTCGTAAGAACAAAGACTGAGGTTTCCTGAAAAAGGAATTCTCCTTGATACTGCAACATAGAAACTGCGTCAGTCTCCATCCTGTGGAATTTGGACTCAAGACTGCAACATCAACTCTTGCCTGAAATTCCAGCTGCTGATTTGTCCTACAAATTTCAGACTTGATAATCTTTACAATCACATGAGACAATTTCTTAAAATCAATCTCTATCTATATATTTATCATCTATCTATCCTTTTGGTTCTGTTTCTCTGGAAAACTTGGCTCATGCACATGGCCTGTTTTCACACTGAAAGTCAGTCAAATGCAGAAAAATCTTCAACATCACAAGTATAAGAGCTTTGTCTGATTAGGCCAGAAGCATTTGGATTTCTTTTTTAAGTGTTACCAGGAAAACAACACATCTCAATACATTGTACTTCAATTTCCCATGCCAAGACTTGATTGGTTTCATCTAAATTTGAGTCACAATAAATCTTGCATCTACTGAATCTCTGCCATTTTTCCTTTCAGGAGTTCTTTAAGCCAAGTTTTAGTGGGAACATGTGAAAATAACTGTGAGGCCGTGGCAAATAGGAAAATCTGATAATTTGAAGGGCACTTTGATGAGTAGCTTAGATCATGAATTACGCCAAGCATTTATTTTAAAAATGGTATCAAGTTGAGCAACTGATTTGTTGTTTGCCATCAATTACAAAACATTTAATTAAACCAGGGATTTAAAAAATACCCTTTCCATTCGTATTTTTGTGACGTCTTAAAAGTTCAATGTAACCTAAAAGGATCTCCAATTCTCACTTACTGGTTTTGCAAATTGGGTACAGAAAAATTAAATGATTGTGAGTAGTGATTTTTTCTCAGCCCACAGCCAGATTAAAGTTTTGTAAACATGTCAAATCATGTCAACCTACTCAGAAATGTCCAAGGACTTCCTAACTCATTCTGAGAGAAACTAAAGGCCTTTCAAGTTGTACAAGCCATCCCTTGAGCTGCAACTTCCTTCTATGACCCCGGTTGTCACTTTGACTTCATCTCCTAGCATTGTCTTCCTAGTGAGAAAGAGACAGAGAGAACCAAAGAGAGAGAAAGAGAGAAATTTTTAATGAATTGGCTCATGCAGTTGTGGGGGCCAGCAAGTCTGAAATCTGCAGGCCAAGCTGGCAGGCTGGAGACTCAGGAAATAGTTGGTATTGAAGCTCAAATTCAAAGATAGTCTGGAGGCAAAATTCTTTCTACCTGGGGGAACTTCAGTTTTTGCTCTGAAGGCCTTCCACTGATTGAATTAGGTTCACCTACATTATGGAGGCTAATTTGCTTTACTCTAAGTCTACTGATTTAAATGTTAATCTCATCTAAGAAATACCTTCAAAAAATCTAGCTACATCTAGATTAATGTTTGACAAAATATCTAGGTTCCATGGCCCAGCCAAGTTGACACAAAATTAACCATCACAGTGGTATTATGTGAAGAAATGAGAATCAAACTTAAGTGGAAATGGAAAGGAGAAGAAAGGAAGAATGGTGTGGAAGCAGTAATGGGAAACAAGGGGACATGTACTCCACATCGTCTGACTTAATGCTGGGTCAATTTGCTACTTAACTAGAGAGTTTTACTGTCCTGTTACATAGGAATGAGATTGGCTCCTGAATCAGGAACCAAAGTAACCAGATAGGTGTAACACAGTCTTCAGTTGTTAGAGCAAGTTACGGCATGATAGTCCAGATCATTGACATTCTAGCCATATATGTTGAATATACTTGCTTAATTGTTACAACACTTTGCCTCATTTTTCCTAATACCACATATAAAACACTAGATGAGATATTTATCACATGTGTTAGAACATGGGCATTCTCTGTGCTTGTGTTTACTCGACATATATTTTTATATTTTCCCTACTTGCTGTTTTTAAACTATAAAAATGGTTCTAGAATATCATATGATAATGAGTACTGGGCATTTGGCTTTAATAATAGCAACATTGGTAATGATTATGAACTGTCTTCTCATGTCACCATGAATATCATTCATGGACTGATTCATGTGCCATTTCTAGGCACGTGATCCTAGAAATGTTAGTATTCTATCAACTTCACTACAGCAAATAGGACTAAATATGTCATTATATAATCTATGATATGCTAGCCTAGCATATCAAACTGGTCCAACAAGAAGTTACCATCCCAATTTTTAGTGTTACATTATCCTACATATACATTACCCATTTTTAGCTCCAGATCTATGAATATTTTTGTTATGATTATGGTGAAGACCACCCATTGACTAAGTCTGATTTTCTTAGAAGGAAATATGTGTATTTCCTATTACACGGTTGCTATTTAACAAACCTACCAAGCAGAAGTTGATATTTGACAAACCTTCTGAGCAGAAGTGTACAGCTGTGAATCCAAAGACCTTTCTCTTCATTTTGTGAAATTTCTGACAAATTCATCAGTAAAGGATTTTGTTATGGTCATATATTTGTTCTGTTTCACTGTTGTTTTTATTGTTTTCCTGTTTCTTTAGAATATGCTTTCTTCTTGCTTCTCCTGGTCAGGCTTGAGATAGGAGCTTCTTATAAATATTATTTGAGCAGTGATTTTTTACAAAAGTTACTTTTGCATAATGCTCGCAATAACCACCATTTCTTGAATACCCACACTGCCCTTTATGCATATGAATATTGTTAATATCCATAATTTTGACAATTGAGGTAACCGAAGCTTAGAGAGGTGGAGTAACTTATGTAAGATGTCAAAACTAATAAATGGCAGGGAATGATTTGAACCCATCTGTTAGACTCTGAAGCCCTTGTTCTTTCTACTGCGTCATGCTGCATACACTAGCTCATTTTATCTTTTTAGCAATAATAAGTGCTGACATTTTTTGAACACTTAATATGTACCTGTTTTACACATTTGACATATATTCTCTCTTTAATCCTTAAATAGCCTTATAAGGTAGGGACTATTATCTTTCCTTTGAAAAAGAAGAAACGGAGGCACCAGAAGGATAAGTAATGTGCCAAAAATCAGATAACTAGTTACTGGTGGAGGTTGGGTAAGTAAAGGAGATGTCATTATGATTCCCATTTTACAGAAGAAGAGACAGATTCAGAGAGATCAATGATTGGTTCATGTTTACAAGGCTGGTAAGTGGCAAAATTGAGTCTCGTTGCTTTTCTGGTTCCAAATTTCATGGCTTTAACAAGGGTAGTATAAGATTATTTTTTTAAAAATTGAGTTTTTAATGGATATTGAAAGATATAAGAGCTGTATAATGAGAACTCTAAGCATTTCCTGTACATAAAACTTAAATGAAGTGAATGCAAGTAAGGGATGCAGAGGAAACATATTAAAAGCACTAAATAACCCTTTCACACCATGAAGGATAACTGTGGGCCATTAAGGAAAAACAACAAAAGACAGCCCAACCAAGCATACAGAAATCAGAAATTAGATTACTCTTTAGAAACAGATGTAACTAGCAATTGTAAAGATATTTTTAAATCTATGCATTGAGGATAACCATTTAACTCTACATCTTTCTTTTCCCTTTTCACCATGTTTAATAGCCAAATCACTTTGGTCACTTCTTTCAACATTTGAAATGCAAGCAATCATGGCTTCATCAGTATAATGCTGTGAAGTTTGTAAAACAAAACTCGAGACCCTGAAAGAATCAATTTCTAAACTCCAAATTCCTCCTCGCTCCTTTCTTTTAAGGAGTGAGTATAACTATTTACTACCAACAGTAAGTATCAGCAATAAATGAGTTTTCATTTAGGCAGAAATTGTTCTCAGTTCTGATTATGTGAGTAATGTGCTATGATCTCTAGTAGTCGTGGCAAACTTGCCAAACTTTCCAGCCTGGCAGACTCTGCACTCATTCAATCACATGTCCTATGGGACAACAACAACAAAACTTGAGACAAAGGAAAAATAATAACACAGAAATTTATACTCGTGTAGGAAGTCGGATTTTAATTTTAAAACACTTTAAATATTATAAACAATAAAATCGGATTATGAGTCTGGTGGAGGTTAGGTGAAACAATGCGATTACTCATCTGAAGGAATCTGTGTTACTAAATTTATATCATTACTGAATCACTCTATGTGGCATGGAGTGTATTTTTTAAATTTTTATTTGAGGTTCAGAAGCATATGTGCAGGTTTTGTCATATAGGTTGATATGATTTGGCTGTGTCCCCACCCAAATCTCATCTTGAATTGTAGCTCCCATAATCCCCACATGTCCTGGGAGGGACCTGGTCAGAGGTAATTGAATCATGGGGTCAGGTTTTTCCCGTGCTGTTCTCATGATAGTGAGTAAGTATCATGAGATCTGATGGTTTTATAAAGGACAGTTTCCCTGCACACAGTCTCTTGCCTGCTGCCATGTAAGATGTGCCTTTGCTCCTCCTTCACCTTCCGCCATGATTGTAAGGCCTCCCCAGCCATGTGGAACTGTGAGTCCATTTAACCTCCTTTTCTTTATAAATTACCCAGTCTCAGGCGTTTCTTCATAGCAGTATGAAAATGGACTAATTCAGTAAATTGGTACTGCAGAGAGTGGGGCGCTGCTGTAAAGATACCTGAAAATGTGGAAGTGACTTTGAACCTGGGTAACAGGCAGAGGTCGGAACAGTTTGGAGGGCTCAGAAGATGATGGGAAGATGTGGGAATGTTTGGGACTTCCTAGAGACTTGTTGAATGACTTTGACCAAAATGCTGATAGTGACATGGACAATAAAGTCCAGACTGAGATGGTCTCAGATGGAGATGAGAAACTTTTTGGGAATTGGAGTACAGGTCACTCTTGCTATGCAAAGAGACTGGCAGCATTTTGCCTCTGTCCTAGAGATCTGTGGAATCTTGAACTTGAGAGAGATGATTTGGGGTATCTGGCAGAAGGAATCTCTAAGCAGCAAAGTGTTCAAGAGGAAGCAGAGCATAAAAGTTTGGAAAATTTGCAGCCTGATGATGTGATAGAAAAGAAAAACCCATCTTCTGGGGAGAAATTCAAGCCAGCTGCAGAAATTTGTATAAGTAATGAGGAGCAGAACATTAATCACCAAGACAATGGGGAAAATGTCTCCAGGGCATGTTAGAGACCTTCCCGGCAGCCCCTCCCATCACAGGCCCAGATGCCTAGGAGGGAAAAAGGGTTTCCTGGGCTGGCTACAGGCCCCCCTGCCAATGTGTGCAGTCTTAGGACTTGGTGTCCTGTGTCCCAGCTGCATCAGCTGTGGCAGAAGGGCCCAAGGGACAGCTCAGGCCACGGCTTCAGAGGGTACAAGCCCCAAACCTTGGCAGCTTCCACATGGTGTTGGTCCTGCAGGTGCACAGAAGAGAAGAATTGAGGTGTGGGAACCTCTCCCTAGATTTCAGAGGATGTATGGAAACACCTGGATTTCCAGGCAGAAGTTTGCTGCAGGGGTGGAGCCCTCACGGAGAACCTATGCTAGGGCAGAAGGGAAATACGGGGTCAGAGCCCCCACACAGAGTCCCCACTGGGGCATCACCTAGTGGAGCTGTGAGAAGAAGGCCACTGTCCTCCAGAACTCAGAATGGTAGATGCACTGACAGCTTGCACCATGTGCCTAGAAAAGCTGCAGATACTCAGTGCTAGTCCATGAAAGCAGCCTGAAGCGGGGCTATACCCTGCAAAGCCACAGGGGCAGAGCTGCCCAAGACCATGGGAATCCACCTCTTGCATCAGCATGACCTGGATGTGAGACATGGAGTCAAAGGAGACCATTTTGGAGCTTTAAGATTTGACTGCCCCACTGGATTTTGAACTTGCATGGGGCCTGTAGCCCCTTCATTTTGGCCAATTTCTCCCATTTGGAATGGGTGTATTTGCCCAATGCCTGTACCCCCATTGTATCTAGGAAGTAATTAACTTGCTTTTGATTTTACAGGCTCATAGGCAGAAGCGACCTGCCTTGTCTCAGATGAGTCTTTGGACTGTGGACTTTTGAGTTAATGCTGAAATGAGTTAAGACTTTGGGGGACTGTTGGGAAGGGATGGTTTTGAAATGTGAGGGCATGAGATTTGGGAGGGGCCAGGGACAGAATGATGTGGTTTGGCTGTGTCCCCACCTAAATTTCATCTTGAATTGTAGCTCCCATAATTCCCACATGTGGGGGAGGGGCCTGGTGGGAGGTAATTGAATCATGGGGTTGCGTTTTTCCCCATGCTGTCCTCATGAGGGTGAATAAGTCTGATGAGATTTGATGGTTTTATAAAGGGCAGTTCCCCTGCACAGAGTCTCTTGCTTGCTGCCATGTAAGATGTGCCTTTGCTCCTCCTTCGCCTTCTGCCATGGTTGTAAGGCTTCCTCAGCCTTGTGGAAGTGTGAGCCCATTAAACTTCTTTCCATAAATTACCCAGTCTTGGGTATGTCCTTATAGCTGTGTGAGAACAGATTAATACATAGGTAAACTGCATGTCATGGAGGTCTGGTGTACAGATAATTTTGTCAAATGAGTAATAAGCATAGTACTCGATAGGTATTTTTTCTGATCCTCCCCCTCCTAGCATCCATATGTTCTCACCTATCTATAAGAACATGTGATATTTGGTTTTCTGTTCCTGTGTTAGTTTGCTTAGGATAATGGCCTTCAGCTCCATCCATGTTGCTGCAAAGGACATGATCTTGTTCTTTCTTTATGGCTACATAGCATTTGTGGTATATATGTACCACGTTTTCTTTATCCAGTCTACTGTTGATGGGCTTTAGATTGGTTCTATGTCTTTGCTATTGTGAATAGTGCTGCAATGAACATACACATGTATGTGTCTTTATGGTAGAATAATTTATATTCCTTTGGGTATATACCCAATAATGGGATTGCTGGGTTGAATGATATTTCTGTTTTAACTTCTTTGAAGAATTGCCACATTGCTTTCCACAATAGCTGAGCTAATTTACAATCCTACCAGCAGTGTATAAGCATTCCCTTTTCTTTGCAACCTCACCAGCATCTATTATTTTCTGACTTTTTAGTAATAGTCATCTGACTGGTATGAGATGATATCTCATTGTGGTTTTTATTTGCATTTCTCTAATGATTAATGATATTGAGTATTTTAAAATATGCTTGTTTCTGCTTGTATGTCTTTCTTGAAATGTGTCTGTTCATACTCTTTGCCCATTTTTTTTTTTTTGAGACAGGATCTGGCTCTGTCATACAGGCTGGAGTGCAGTGGCACAATCATGGCTTACTGCAACCTCTGCCTCCTTGGCTCAAGAGATTTTCCTGCCTCAGCCTCCCAAGTAGCTGGAACTACGGGCTCATGCCACTGTGCCCAGCTAATTTTTCTTTATTTTTTCAAGACAGGGTTTCACCATGTTGCCCAGGCTGGCCTTGGACTCCTGAGCTCAGGTGATCTGCCTGCCTCAGCCTCCAGCCTCCCAAAGTGCTGGGATTACAGGCATTAGCCACTGCACTTGGCCGTTTGCCCACTTTTTAATAAGGTTTTTTGGTTTTTGCTTGTAAATTTGTTTAAGTTCCTTATGTAGTCTTTGTCAGATGTGTAGATTGCAAATATTTTCTCTCACTCTGTATATGTCTGTTTACTCTGTTGATAGTTTCCTTCCTGAAACTAAAGAGCTATGCAGAAGCTCTTTAGTTTAATTAGATCCCATTTGTCAGTATTTGCTTTTGTTGCAATTGGTTTTGGTGTCTTCATTATGAAATTTTTGCCAATTCCTATGTTCAGAATGGTATTTCCTAGGTTATCTTCCAAGGTTCTTATAGTTTTAGGTTTTACATTTAGGTCTTTAGTCCATCTTGAGTTGATTTTTGTATATGGTGTAAGGTACGAGTCCAGTTTCAATCTTCTGCATATGGCTACCCAGTTATTCCAGTACCATTTATTGAATGGGGAATCCTTTCTCCATTGCTTGCTTTTATTACTTTTTTGTCAAAGATCAGATGGTCATGGGTGTGCAGCCTTATTTCTGGGCTCTCTATTATGTTCAGTTGTCTATGTGTCTGTTTTTGTACCTGTACCATGCTGTTTTAATTACTGTAGCCCTGTAGTATAGTTTGAAGTTGGGTAATGTGATGTCTCCAGCTTTGTTCTTTTTGCTTAGGATTGCCTTGGCTATTTGGGCTCTTTTTTGGTTCCATATAAATTTTTAAATACTTTTATTTTTCTAATTATGTGAAGAATGTCATCTGTAGTTTGATAGGAAAAGCATTGAATTTGTAAATTGCTTTGGGCAGGCAGTATGGCCATTTTAACAATATTGATTCTTCCTATCTATGAAAATGAAATGTTTTACCATTTGTTACAAGTGTCATTTCTGATTTCTTTGAATAGTGTTTTGTAATTCTTGCTGTAGAGCTCTTTCACCTCCCTGGTTAGCTGTATTCCTGGGTATTTTATTCTTTTTGTGGCAATTGTGAATGGGATTCTTTTCATTTTGTTTCCTTTTGCCTGATTCCTCTCACCAGGATGTCCAATACTATGTTGAATAGGAGTAGTGAGAAAGGGCATCCTTGTCTTGTTTTAAGTTTTAAAGGGGAATGCTTCCAGCTTTTGCCCATTGATTATTATGTTGGCTCTGGGTTTGTCATGGATGGGTCTTATTATTTTGAAGTATGTTTCTTCAGTGTCTAGTTTACTGAGGATTTTTTTACATGAAGGAATGTTGAATTTTATTGAAAGCCTTTTCACATCTATTGAGATTGTCATGTGGTTTTTGTTTTTAGTTTTGTTTATGTGATGAATTAAATTTATTGATTTGTGTATGTTGAACCAATTTTGCATCCCAGGGATAAAGCCTACTTGATTATGGTGGATTAGCTCTTTGATGTGCTGCTGGATTTGATTTGCTAGTATTTTGTTGAGGATTTTTGCATCTATGTTCATCAAGGATATTGCCCTGAAATTTTCCTTTTTTGTTGTGTCTCTGCCAGGTTTTGGTATCAAGATAATACTGGCCTCAGAGTGAGTTGGGGAGGAGTCGTTTCTCCTCAATTTTTTCGAATAGTTTCAGTAGAAATGACATCAGCTCTTCCTTATACATCTGGTAGAATTAGGCTTTGAATTCATCTGGTCCTAAGCTGTTTTTTGGTTAGTAGGCTTTTTAATACAGACTGAATTTTGGAACTCATTATGTTCCAAATGTTCCATTATGGTCTGTTCAGGGATTCAGTTTCTTCCTAGTTCAGTCTTGGGAGGGTGTGTGCATCCAGGAATTTATCCATTTCTTCTAAATTTTCTGGTTTGTGTTCATAGAGGTGTTCATAAATAGTCTCTGATGGTTTTTTTTTTTAATTTCTGTGAGGTCAGTGGTAATGTCCCCTTTATAATTTCCAGCTGTGTTTATTTGCATCTTCTTTTTTTTTTCTTTATTAGTCTAGTTAGCAGTCTTTCTATCTTGTTAATGTTTTCAAAGAACCAAGTCCTGGATTAATTGATTTTTTTTTGTATTGTTTTTCATGCCTCAATTTCATTCAGTTCAGCTCTGATTTTGTTTATCTCTTGTCTTCTGCTAGTTTGGGATTGGTTTTCTCTTGACTCTCTAGTTCTTTTAGTTGTGATATTAGGTTGTTAATTTGAGATCTTTCTAACTTTTGGATTTGGACATTTAGTGCTATAGACTTCCCTCTTACTGCCTTAGCTGTATCCCAGAGGTCCTGGTATGTCGTATCTTTGTTCAAACAATTTCTTGATTTCTGCCTCAATTTTATTGTTACCCAAAAGTCATTCAGGAGCAGATCATTTATTTTTCATGCAATTGTATGGTTTTGAGTGATTTTCCTAGTCTTGATTTCTATTTTTATTGTGCTGTGGTCCAAGAGTGTGGTTGGTATGATTTTGGGTTTTTTGGAATTTTCTGAGTACTTTTTAAATTTTGAATTATCTCGCCAATTTTGGAGTACTGCAATGTGGTGATGAGAAGAATACATATTCTGTTGTTTTGGGATGGAGAGTTCTGTAGATGTCTATTAAGTCCATTTGGTCAAGTGCTGAGTTCAGGTCCTGAATATCTTTGTTAATTTTCTGCCTCAATAATCTGTCTAATACTGTCAGTGGGATGTTGAAATCTCCCACTATTATTGTGTGGCAATCTAAGTGTCTTTGTAGGTCTCTAAGAACTTGCTTTATGAATCTGGGTGCTCCTGTGTTGGGTGCATATATGGTTAGGACAGTTAGATCTTCTTGTTGAATTGAACCCTTTACCATGCCCTTTTTTGTCCTTTATGATCTTTGTTGGTTTAAAGTTCATTTTATCTGGAATTAGGATTGCAACCCCTGCTTTTTTCTGTTTTCCATTTGCTTGGTAGATTTTTATCCATCCCTTTATTTTGAGCCTATGGATGCCACTGCATGTGAGATGAGTCTCTTGAAGATAGCATAACATTGGGTCTTGGTTCTTTATCCAGCTTGCCACTCTATGTCTTTTAATTGGGGTATTTAGCCTGTTTGCATTCAAGGTTAGTATTGATATGTGCAGATTTGATCTTTTCATCGTGTTGCTAGCTGGTTATTATGCAGACTTGTTTGTGTGGTTCCTTATAGTGTCACTCGTCTGTGGGCTTAAGTGTGCTTTTGTAGTGGCTGATAATGGTCTTTCCATATTTATCATTCCTTTCAGGACTTCTTGTAAGACAGGTCTGGTGGTAATAAATTCCCTCAGTATTTGTTTGTCTGAAAGGGATCTTATTTCTGCTTCACTTCTGAATCTTAGTTTGGCTGGGTATGAAATTCTTGTTTGGAAACTTTTTCACTTAAGAATGCTGAATACAGACTCCAAATCTATTCTAGCTTTTAGGGTTTCTGTTGAAAAACTGCTATTAGCCTGATGGGGTTCTCTTTGTAGGTGACCTGCCCCTTCTCTCTAGCTGGCTCTAAAATTTTTCTCTTTCATTTCAACATTGGACAGTCTGATAATTATGTATCTTGGGGATGGTCTTTTTGTGTAATATCTCACAGGGATTCTCTGCATTTCCTGGATTTGAATGTTGGCCTCTCTAGTGAGGTTGGGGAAGTTCTCATGGAAAACATCCTAATATGTGTTTTCCAAGTTGCTTGCTTTCTCCTTGTCTCTTTCGTGGACACCAACAGGTCATAGATTTGGTCTCTTTACATAATCCCATATTTCTTGGAAGCTTTGTTCATTCTTTCTTCTTTATTTTTGTCTGATTTATTTCAGAGAGCTGATCTTTGAGCTCTGATATTCTTTCCTCAGTTTGGTCTATTCTACTGTTTATACTTGCAATTGCATTATGCAATTTTTGTAGTGTGTATTTCAGCTCTATCAGATCAGTTTGGTTCTTTTTTATAATGGCTGTTTCATCTATCAGCTCTTGTATTGTTTTATTTTGATTCTTGGGTTCCTTGAATTGGGTTTCAACATTCTCCTGAATCTCAGTGATCTTTGTTCTTGTCCATATTCTGAATTCTAGTTCTTTCATTTCAGCCATTTCAGCCTGGTTAAGAACCTTTGCTGAATAACTATTACAGTCATTTGGAGGAGAGAAGGCATTCTGGCCTTTGGGTTGCCAGATTTCTTGTGCTGGTTCTGTTTCATTTGTGTGGGGTTCCTTCAATCTTTGAAGTTGCTCTTTGGATGTTTTTTTTTTTCTTTTTTCTTCTCTGATGCCGTTTGGCTTGATTATTGTATAAGATGGGTTCAGTTGACTGACTTCAATTCTAGTCGGCTCTTGGGTCTTGGAGGAGTCTGTGTACTATCTCCATGCCTGCATTTCTTTTGTTGGGTGTTCTGGTCCATGGGGCTCCCTCAGGCAGGAGCTGTAGTTGGCAGACAAGCTGTACCCTGGCCAGGTTGGCCCTAGTCTGCTGTCCTTGTGCTTCCTGGGGAAACTTGGGGTTGCACCTGCCTGCAGAATTCAGGTGGAAGCAGGACCACTGGGTTGGAAGCTGTCTGGGTGTGGCCCATCTGGTTATGAGAGGCAGGGAGATGCAGTTGCCCCCCTGCCACCTGGGTGTTTCCAGGGCAACAGGAGGATATGCCCCTCAGCAAATTCAGGCAGAAATAGGACCACTGATCTGGAAGCTCTAGCACAGCAGTCCCCAACCTTTTTGGCACCAGGGACCAGTTTCATGGAAGATAAGTTTTCCACAGATTGGAGTGGGGAGGGCAGGGGATGGTTACAGGGTGCCTAAAGCACATTACATTTATTGTGCACTCTATTTCTCTTATTATTACATTGTAATATATAATGAAATAATTATAAAACTCACCATAATTTAGAATCAGGGGAACCCTGAGCTTGTTTTCCTGCAACTAGATGGTCCCTTCTGGGGATGATGGGAGACAGTGACAGATCATCAGCCATTTGATTCTTACAAGGAGTGCACAGCCTACATCCCTCACATGTGCAGTTCACCATAGGGTTGTGCTCCTATGAGAATCTAATGCTGCCTTTTTATCCAGGAGACAGGAGGCAGAGCTCAGGCAGTAATGTGAGTGATGGGGAGTGGCTGTAAATACAGAAGAAACTTTGCTTGCTCGCCTACTGTTCACCTCCTGCTGTACGGCCTGGTCCCTAACAGGCCATGAACCAGTACTGGTCAGTGGCCCAGGGGTGGGGACTCCTGCTCTAGCAGGCATGGCTTTCCTGGCTACCAGTGGTGGGGGTCAGTGGGGACACCTGCCCTGCCATCCAGATGCTTCTTGGGATAACAGGAGGCTGCGCCCACTGGCTGAATTGCCACGGAAGCAATACCTCTGGGCCAGAAGCTCTAGCAGGCTTGTTAGTACCAGTGGTGGGGGTGGGTGAAGGGACCAGCTGAATTTGGGACAAGGTGGGACTCCTGGGCCAGAACTGGCACCAAGCCCCATCCAGCAAGGGGGTGTGGAGCAAACTTACTGTTCCCAGGCACTGTAACTAAAGCCTCTATTGGGGCGATGGTGGCAGTGCTGATCTGCTAAGGGACCCAAGGCTTGTACAGGTCCCCTTGAACTTGAGAGATGCCCCTGTAAAATGTCCAGGTGGCTCTCTGCCTCAGTCTAGAAGGTAGGATGGTGCATGAGGGACCAGGGGAATTCTTCTATTTTCAGTCTTGCACAGTTCCTGTGGAGAGAATGAATCTCCCTGGGAGCTGTCACTCATTCACTCTTTCCTATGTTGGAGAGGTTTTCCTGGCTCCACACTGAGCCCAGACAGGCTGGTGCCCAGTTTCATTCCTCTCTGCTCTCTGTGTCCCCCGGCTTCCTTGATGGATCCATGTGGTTTCTTAGATGATTGGCCCACAGGGTCAGTGATCACTAACCCGTTTGTTTCCTCTCCATGACAGTGGTGCACATTAGCGTCTTCAAGTCCGCCATCTTGCCCTGCCTGGAGTATATTTAAAAATCTCTGATCCTTCAATTTCTACATGGAGTCAATTATTTAGAACTCAAAATACAAACATGACAAAAATAAACAAAATTCCTCCTGTTGATCTTTTCCAAACTTGGTATCTTTTAAAATATCTTTTAAGTGGTGTGTTTAAAAATATCTTTTAAAGTTCTGTCAGCCAGGCATGGTGGCTCGCACTTGTAATCCCAACACCTTGGGAGGCTCAGATAGGAGGATCACTTGAGGCAAGGAGTTTGAAACCATCCTGGGCACCATAGAGAGACACTGTCTCTACAAAAAATTAAAACATTAGCTGGGCATGATGGCACATGTCTGTAGTTGTAACTACTTGGGAGACTGAGGCAGGAGGATTGCCTGAGCTCAGGAGATTGAGGCTACAGTGCACTGTGATAGCATCACTGTATTCCAGCCTGAGCGACAGAGTGAGACCCTGTCTCAAAAACAAAACAAAATAATGTTGTTATACTTACATAAAAGATGTTTTGTTTCCTTATGTGCTTCATATCCCAGGACATTAATTTTTAGTAAGATTATTCCTCCTATAAATGCACCTCTTTTTCACATACACTAATAACATACATTTTATCAGTGATTTTTGTTGTACATTTATAGGAAACAAGAGCTTAGCTACTACTGCATCAGCATGTTAGTAGGAAAGGTGTTGGAATCAGTCCATTCTGGATATTTAGTGATTGGAGAAATAATAACATTTAAGACCTCTGATGAGATATTATTATACCCCAACTCTTCAGAGTGTATTGACATTCTAAGAGTTAAAGGTCAAGTGGAGGAAAAGAAGCCTCGCAAGGAAACTGAAAATGTGTACCTAAAGAGAGTGCAGGAGCTTATCATCGAAACAAAACAAAATTGAGTCACAGTAGAAAGGGGACCATAGTTTGAAACCACAGTCCTATTATTTAAGTATATTGGAGAAGGGGTAAGTACACCAAGTAATTATCTGCACAGAGAAACATTCACAGTCGAAGAAATTCCCTAGGAAAAAATCATAACAGTTATCCATCAATATCTTTAAAAAAATTATTGTGGAGCATAATGGAGTTGTTGAGTTTGAAGAGTACACAAAGCTTCTTCAAATGGTGAACTGTTGAACCAGTGAAAATATATCAGGAAAGAAAAAAGTGGCCGATGGCTTTGTAGGGTCAATTGTAAGATAGTAATAGTAGCGTGAATAGTAACCACATCCTATGTGCCAGGCACTGAGCCAGGTGTTTAATGCACCTTAACTCTAATCTTTACTGACACTCTTGAAGTTTCAGGGTGCTCGGCCCATAAGCACAGAGTTTTGGAGTCTGACAGCTGGGTTATTGTTGTGACTCCGCCACTGTATGTTCTTGGGGGCTAGGCCAAATCTTGGTATGTCTTGCCTCCGATTCTGACAGGTCTACTCTCCCATCTCTACTTCTGAAGCTCTACCCAGCATATACCTCCTTGGATCAGGTAATCTTTTATTTCAAGGAACTGGATCTGAGACTGGACTGCATCAACAAATACCTCCTTGTAAATCTTGATCTCTGACCTCTGGTACTGGGGACCCCTATTCTGGCTCTGTTCTTATTATTCTCACCAAATTTTAGTGAATTTCCTCTTACCTAGGTACTGTCTCCCATTGCTTCTAGGATGTGTTCCATGTCCTCCAGGAACTAATGATGAGAAGGAACTAAAGTTTAGATTTAAAAAATGGGTCAGATCCAGGTAGTCAAATAATTCAGGAAGGAAGAGAAAGTTAAGTAAGGCAAGGTCAGGAGTGTTGGATAACATCTTCAGTAGGAGCCCAGCATGGGCTTGGCCCCAGACCAAGGATATCATTTAAAGTACAGAGTGTTGATGTAAAACAATGAAGCTCCTGTTCTTTGACCTCTGCACTCTTATGCATCAGTAGCACATAGAGGGCTCAGGATCCACAGGTGTGTAACTGTAGCTGGAAGAAACATTTAGAAGTGCAGAGGCACACTGCTTCTATGTGGGGCAGGAGCAGAGGGGCTGAGGTTAATGGAAAGGTCTTACTAGATTGTACAGCAAATCTCCAGGCAATCATGAAAACCCACGCTTTCTATGTGCCTTGGAAAATATTATTCAATGAACATTTAATATTTCATTATTGTTATAGTTAGGATTTCAGTTTGAAGGCAGAACCAGATTTTGAGGTAGAGTTGAGTGTTGATGTAGTGAATTTTTAATGTGCTCTATTGTCTTTCATGTCTTTCAAGAGGACTGTCTTTCATGATAGTATTTTTATTTTTTGACAATGTAAGGGCTATTCACTCATTCAGCAAGCGACATTATTGTCAATTATGTGCTGCACACTGTGTTTGTGCTGGGAGGAGAAAGATAAGTAAGTTTCAGTTCCTGACATCAAGAAACCCTAAAATAGAGCAAACGGAACTTAGAATATAGTAGAATTATCTTTAGATGCAATACACTGTTAGGATGGCATGACACATGTCAGTACTGAATGTCATGGGATTAAAGGATGACTCATTGATTTTATGGGGTTGGGAGGGTCAAGAAATCTCCACAGAGAAGGTTATTCTTGAAATGTGCCTGGAAAGTGAGTAAATGCTCTGTGAGTAAACAAGGACTAAGACACTCCAGGCCAAAGAATGCAGATGAACAGACATAAAAGTATAAGAAATGGGGCATAGAGAAAAAACTGTAATTTGAGAAAAAAAATTCTGACAACATGGTGGATGGATAAAAAGAATGTTAGACTGGAGGCAGAGAGAGCCTGAGAGTATGATTTCTATGAGACTGAGTGAGGCAATAGCCACAAGTTGAAAACAAGGAGATCAATAGGAAAAATGATTTTGAAAAGGCAGAGTTAATAGGACTTGGTTGTGAATTGGAATGAAGAAGAGGGAGGAGTCTAAGATGATACCCAGATTCTCAGCTGGGATAACTGGGTAGATAGTGGGCCATTCACTAAGATGAGGAAAGTTCAGAAGAGGAGCAAACATAGAGTAGAGATTGGAGACGGGTTTGAGACATCTGTGTTTAATCCAGTCAATATAGGCACTTTGAGATTACAGGAGAAATCTGACCTAGGGGCACGAATTTGAGTGATACTGATATGTAGGTGTTAACTGAAGATATAGGAATGGATAAGATAACATAGGAGAATGTTAATATTGGAAATAAATAAAGACAGTATCCCTGGCAATTACCAACATTAAAGGACCAGGGAGGAGAGGGATCTGGCAGGTAGAAGGAGCGGCAGCAATATTAGTAGCATGGGACTGAAGAGAGTCATTCTCTGTTAACCAAAGGAAGAATTATTCCAAGCAGAGAGATAACAGTATGGTCAGTTGATGCAGAGAAGCCAAGATTTTGAATAAAAAGAGACTGGTAAATTAGGATGCCAAAGATGGCTTTTACCAGAGCAGTATCACAAGAGTAGTAAGAGCAGAATCTTGACGGCAGTTCACTGAAGAGGCAATAATGGAAGAAAGACTAGTCTTTGGATGAGCTTGCTGAGAAGAGATGGAGATAGCTAGTGGAGAATTAAAAGCCAATGAGTGTGTATTTTGAAATAGGAAGCTAAGCTTGTTTAAGCTTTTGAGAAGGAGCCTATGGAGAGGGCAAGATGTTGAAAAACAGGAGAAAGAAGAAATAACATTTAAAGTAAAGTACTTGAGGACATGGGAGGAAATGGATTCAGGAACCCAGGTGGAGAGGCTAGCTTAGAACAAGAAAGATACTTCTTCCTTTGAAACTTGGTGGAAGGAGGTGAGATTTGGCATAACCGCAGTTCTGCCAAGCACGCTCCAAAACATCCTTCAAACATTCTCTTCCTTATGTTTTATTAGGACAGATGAAATCATTTGAATGTTTTCTTCAGGTTTTCATTCTTCCTCTGATATTTAATCAAACATGGGTGCTTGTTTATTAGTTGTGTTTTCATGTTTTTGATTTTTTTGAAGATGCAGTCTTTCTGGTACAAGCATTTGCAAATTAAGAGTTATTAAATCCGTAAGAGCTGAAAAACCCTGATTGCCAGCCTTAATTACCAGCTTTAATTCTCTCGGTTGTGTGAATGTTGATGTCACAAGGCAAATTCCAAATGTTTGCTTACAGAAGTTCTTCTGACACAGTGTTTAAGAACTGCAAAAACTGAAGCTACTGTCCTTATGTAATATCCTCTGAAGTTTCCCTGAAAATAAAACCTTTAGTTTCTGGTTACCTACAGCCTGTCTCTCCTTTCTTTCCTGCGTCTCTCCCTTCCTACCTGCATCTTGTTCTTGTCTTCCTTCCTCCCAGCATTTTATTCAGTGCCACCATGCGCCAGGCCTGGGAAACATAGGAGAATGTTAATATTGGAAATAAATAAAGACAGTATCCCTGGCAATTACCAACATTAAAGGACCAGGGAGGAGGGGGATCTGGCTGTAGAAGGAGTGGCAATATTAGTAGCACGGGACTGAAGAGAGTCATTCTGTTAACCAAAGGAAGAATTATTTCAAGCAGAGAGATAACAGTGTAGCAATGGACCACCAGACATGGCTGTGTCCTTTTGGAGGTTGTATTCCAGTGGAGGAGATGGAGAATAAATATATATATATATATAAATATAAATATAAACACAATGATTATAATTTGTGTTGTAAAGTGCTGTAAAATAAAGATAATTCTGTGGTAGAGAATGAGGTACATGTAAGGGGTCAGGCTTCTTTAGATAAGGTGGCCAGGGGATATTTCTCTAAGGAACATTTACTATCCAAGCAGAAGATGAAGAAGCAACTATGCAAAGAATAAGGAAAGAGTCTTCTTAGAAAAGGGAACAGGTCTGGCAGGGTCTAGGAATTATAGAGAGGCCAGTGTGGCTGCATCCCAGGGAGCAATGGGTTGAATAGGCTAAGAGAAAATGTTTTGTGGGGCCTTGCAGAGTTTGGGTTATATTCCAAATGCTCTGGGAAGTAAATGATTTTTTTTTCTTACATAGGAACTGACATAAATCTACATATACTTTTAAAAGAGTACTTGACTGCTGGATGAAGAGTAGATTGGAGAGGGACACATAAGAAGCAGAGAGATCAGTCAGATATTGAATGGATTAGTCCAGGTGAGACATGATGGTGGCTCAAACTAGGGTAGTGGCAGAGGAGACAGAGACAGTGGAGAGTATTCTAAGTATATTTTGGAGGTAGAAATGACTGATGGACTGAAGGCAGAAGGATTGTGAATGTGGGTAAGGAAAGGATCAGGGTTGACTTGTATGTTTCTGGCTTGTGAAACTGCCCCTTACCATGATTGGGAACATCAGGAAAAGAAGAGTTTTGGGAGGTGTGGATGGAGAAGAAGCAAAAGATCTGTACTGGATTTGTTAAATCTGAGATACCTATGAAACATCCAAATGGAGATATCAAATAAGCAGTTGGATATATATGTCTGTTTCCTGGATCTTTTAAATATAAATTTGGATGTCACAAAAAATAGAAAGTATTTGAAGGTACAGGAATGGCTTGGGGAAAAGTGTACAAAAAAAGAAAAGAGAAGCTCTGGGACATTTAGAGGTCAAGTATTGGAGAAGGAGTATTGGAGAAGGAGAAGGAGATAGTGACCGAAAAGAAATAGTCAGTGAGACAGGAGGAAACTAAGCCAAAGCCAGAAGAGTATGTCAAGAAAAAGAAGTACCTTTCTATGTGGAAAGGTGAGAGAAGTTGCTTAAGATGAGGGAAGAAAAATGCCCACTGAATTTTCAACACAAAGATTGTTGGTGAACTTGACAAAAATAGTTTCCATGGAATATGTAAGCCATATTGGAGTAGGTTGATAAACACTATAACACTTCTTATTTTAGAATTCAAATTCAAATTATTTTGAAAAGACAAATGAATTCTAAAATAAGAATTCAAATGAATGAGAGCTAACTCACAAATATGTAAACACATGATTTTACCATTTTAGGAATATTCCTAGGAGCTAATAATGTCCTTGTGGTTTTCACATAGATCTCTTCTCTGACTACAGCCAGCTCTCAACTTTTTCACTAAATTCAGATTCAGTACTAGTTATGTTTTATGAATGACTTAAGTAAATTGACTAATAATATTGGCTGTCGATAACAAATCAAGTAGAATGATCTTCCCTTTGAACATACAGATTAAAATATAAGTTTCCATGAGAACAGAAGTAGAATGTAAGATTAATATGGGCGAATTCAGAAGATATTGAAATCCGTATCTCTAGCCCTTACTCTTACATGTGAGTATCAGACACATACTTCTACCTTGAATCCCCTGCCTGAATGACCCAGAATCAACTCAAATTCAACACAGTCTACCATGGAAATTATTACATGATTCCTTAAATTGCTCATCTTTCTCATGCAATTGACCAAACTAGGAACTAGAAAATGATCCTAGATTTCGCACTGTGCTCCACTTATTACAAATCACAGATTTCTCCCTTTCTATGTTGTAAATAATTCAATAAAGCAATATAAACATTGCCAATTTCTTATTTTATACCCTCATCATTTCTTGCTTTAATTGTGGCAGCAGCAATCTCCCAACTCGTACTGCTACCATAAGTCTTAACCCTCTTCAATCAGCTTTCTATATAGCCACCAACGTAATGTTTTAAAAACACTAATGTGCAACATGGAGACTATGTTTGACCTTGACAAGTATAGTTTTAGTGAAGTGGTAGCAACAAGAGCCACAAAGTACTGGGTTGATGAATTGTCTTACTCTGTTTCTTTAGAGTCTGATATGACTCTCATTGGCAATAACATAGAGACCAAATGCATTTAAGTTTTATACTCTATCTCCAATTTATTTTTCAAGACTTGATTCCCTGCTCTGTATCTTATCTTTTCTACATTTGTGTGTAGTGAAATTCTACACTTTTGCTATGCTGGAGTAGTTTTTTTTCCCAGAACATTTTATGTTTTCTCACACCCTCATGTTACCTTTTCCTGAAATGCCCTCCATCCTTTTTCCATCTTATTCTTTAGGGTGCAGTTTAAATACCATCTCTGTTGACATCTGCCATAGTATATTGTTGCAATTTTCATGTCATTGCGTTGTCATTACAGGAGATACCAGCTGCTATTTTAAAGTAAGAAAAGCAGGGTTGGGGGAGGGATTCCTGTGGTTTCTACTCTGCCTTACTCTTAAGATAAAAACTTTGCTAACCCCATTTGAAGGAAGCGAGTCGTTATCTCAGGGTCCCATTGCAGTTGTTTATTTGTCTACTTCCCTTGCAATATCTGAGCTTCTTAATGGCAGGGTCAGGGTCTTATTAATTTTTGTATTCCCAGCACTTAGCTCATAGAAGATACACACAGATGTAGAATAAATAACATTTAAATGAATACATAGGTGATCCCTAAGGATTAGCCTTGTTCATGCATGGCAAGGGATAAAAAGGAGGCAAGTAGATCAATGAATTCTAATAAGCATTGTTGTGCTGTTGTATTTTGAAAGATACAGCAAAGTGTCTAATAATATGAGGAAGTGATGGTTTCTCACACTAGTCAAATTTCACTATTGACCTAGTTTTTGCTGAAGTGCACATGTGGTTTTAGGGCTCACGAGTCAAGTATAGCTCAGCAGTTTTAAAGACTTGAAGAAGAGGCTTGTAAAAGACTGTGTCTATTCAGCTTACTATGGGAATAATCATTCTCTTAATTATATATTTTAAGGTCTTTTAAAACAGACACCACTTAGAAATGTGTGTGTGTGTTGGTGGGGGTGGAGTTTTAGCAAAGCTTTTATTCACCAAAAGAAGACTGGCTGTGTAGTATTCCTGGTGTATATGCACCATATTTTCTTTATCCATTTCAGAACTGATGGGCACCTGGGTTGATTCCATGTCTCTGCTACTGTGAATAGGGCTGTAATGAACAAATGGCTCATGTGTCTTTTGGTAGAATGACTTATTTTCCTTTGGGTATATATCCAGTAATGGGATTGCTGGATTGAATGGTAGTTCAACTCTTAGCTCTTTGGGAAATCTCCAAACTGCTCTCAACAGTGGTTGGACTAATTTAAATTCTCACAAGCACTGTATAAGTATTTCCCTTTACAGCCTCACCGGCATCTGCTGTTTTTAGATGTTTTGGACTTTTTTAAACCAAGGTCATGACCGTTATGAGCTGGTATCTCATTGCGGTTTTGATTTACATTTCTCTGATGATTAGTGATGATGAGCATTTTCTCATATAAACATGCAAAAAATATTGACTGAACCAGGAACTATATAAACTGACTAATAATATTGGTTATGATAAAAGCAAGAAATGATGAGGGTATGAAAGAAGAAATTGGCAATGTTATATTGCTTTATAGAATTATTTACAACATATAAAGGAGATAAATCTGTGATTTTTTAAAAAAAGAAGGATAGTAAGAAACCTAGAATCATTCTATATTTGGCTGCTTGTATGTCTTCTTTTGAGAAGTGTCTGTTCATGTCCGTTGCCCATCTTTTAATGGGGTCATACTATGCTGTCATAAAAAAGAATAAAATCTTGTCCTTTGCAGCAACTTGGATGCTGGAGGCCGTTATCCTAAGCAAACTAACACAGAAAAAGAAAACCAAATATTGCATGTTCTCACTTATAAATGAAAGCTAGTTGGGCATGGGGGCTCACGCCTATAATCCCAGCACTTTGGGAGGGCGAGTGGGGCAGATCACCTGAGTTCAGGAGTTTGAGACCAGCCCAACATAGTGAAACCCCATCTCTACTAAAAATACAAAAATTAGCCAGGTGTGGTGGCATGCGCTTGTAGTTCCAGTTACTTGGGAGGCTGAGGCAGGAAAATCGCTTGAACCTGGGAGGTGGAGGTTGTAGCCAGCCAAGATTGTGCCACTGCTCTCCAGCCTGGGTGACAGAGAGAGACTCCATCTCAATAAATAAATAAATAAATAAATAAAAAATGGGAGCTAAACCTCGAGTACACAGGGATATAAAGATGAGAATAATAAATGCAGGGGAATACAAGAGAGGGAAAGGAAGGAGTGGGAGAAGGGCTCAAAAATGAACTATTGTTTACTATCCTCACTACCTGGGAGACAGATTTATTTGTACTCCAAACCTCGGTATTATGCAGTATGCCTTTGTAACAAACCTGCACATATACCCTCTGAACCTATAATGAAATTTGAAAAACAACAACAAAAAAGATGATTGGCTAAAATTCCTGGACTTGGTTGTTTCAATATTGGTAAAATGAAATATTACATAGCTCAGAAATCAAGTAGACAAAAATGTTTTTAAAAGTTATTATTTAGCAATAATCACTACAATTTATAAGTGCTTATCATAGATCTGTCACTATACCTTCTGTTGTGGAGGAAACTAGATAAATTTGATATAAAAGCATACAAAATTTTAAACAACTTTTGCAAACTTACTGAAATATTAAAAACACAAAGAGACACTTCAAAAAAGTAATATAAATGGTGATGAGGCAAGCCTACCGTATTTGGAAACAAATTTTAAAATGCAGCATTGAAAACTATATAATACTTACCTTATCATAGGTAATTGGATTAGAGAAACACAATATATAGAAACAGATCCCATTGTATATAAGAATTTAATACATAATGAAAGAAGTGTTATAAAGCAGTGGAGAAAAAATTGATTATTTGTTCTTCAACTTGCACTATACACAACAAAAGTACATTTCAGATAGAAAAGGGGTTAAATATAAAGTCAAGCCATAAATAATCTAAAAGAAACTAGAATTTACTCTATAGTGTTCTTGTAGAAGAGGAGTGGCGGGCTTTCTAAGTTTAGAAACAAAAGGAGCACCAAGGAAAAGATCAGTACTTTGTCTTATTTGTATAGATGAAAGTTTTGCACAGCCCCTTTAAAAAGACAGAGACCTAAATCCAACCTAAAAAAACTGGCAAACAATAGAGTAAGATAAATCGTTTTAAGCAAATTTAAGAAACAAAAGTGTGATATCTTTGCTCTAGGAGAAATACATACAAGTCTCTCTAAAAAAATAAACTTTGCACATGTACAAAAGAAATAAGGCTGATAAGTAAACATGGGAAAATATTTATTTTCATTAGCAAGCAAAGAAATATAAATTAAAACAATATTGAAAAACTATTTTTGCATATCAAAATA
The DNA here is from genome assembly GCF_000001405.40 of Homo sapiens. Lineage (NCBI taxonomy): Eukaryota > Metazoa > Chordata > Mammalia > Primates > Hominidae > Homo > Homo sapiens. The sequence goes on from NC_000008.11 coordinate 104,625,705, forward strand.
GCATACATTCAAATTAATGAAAATATTTAGTGATGAAGATGGTGTGGTGAATAGATACACTCTTACGTTATTGGTGTTTATAGAAATTGTTTTATGAAACTGATTCAGTAATCTTCATTATACCTAAAATAAGGGTCATACATTTTGATTCACAACTCCACTTTTAGGAATCTATCCAAAGGAATTAACGCTAAAACACCAAAACAATTCTTAAGGGAAAAGATATATATCAGTGTTTGTATTGGTTTTCTGTAGCTGCTGTAATAAATTATCATAAACTTGGTGGCTTAAAACAACAGAAATTTATTCTCTCACAATTTTGGAGTCCAAAAATCCAAAATCAGTATCACTGGGGTGAGGCGTGGTGGCTCACACCTTCTAATCCCAGCACTTTGGGAGGCCAAGGTGGGCAGATCACTTGAGGTCAGGAGTTCGAGACCAGCCTGGCCAACATGGCAAAACCCTATCTCTACTGAAAGTACAAAAATTAGCAGGGCGTGGTGGCATGTGCCTGTAATCCCAGCTACTTGGGAGGCTGGGGCACAAGAATATCTTGAACCTGGGACACGGAGTTTGCAGTGAACTGAAATTGCATCACTGAACTTCAGCCTGGGTGACAGACAGAGACTCCAATTCAAAAAAAAAAAAAAGAAAAGAAAAGAAAAAAGAAATCAATATCACTGGGCTGAAATCAAGGTTTGGCAGGGCTTGTCCCTCTGGAGTCTGCAGAGGGGGAGAATCTAGAATCTTCCACTTTCTGGTGGCTCCTGGTATTCTCTGGCTTGTGGCTGCATCATTCCAATCACTACCTGTGTGGTCTTGTGGCTTTCTTCTCTTCTGCCTGTAGTCAAGTCTCCCCCTGCTTCTCTCTTAGAAGGACGCTTGTAATTGCATTTAGGGCCCATCTGGATAATCCAGGATAATCTTCCCATCTCAAGATCCTTAACTGAATCACATCTACAAGGAACCCTTTTCCCCCCACAAGGTAACATTTACAGGTTCAAGAGATTAGGATCAAGAACATCATACCTGCCCTCAAAGAGCTTACAGTTTGGTGGGGAAGCCATATGATAAATCAGTAATTGCAGTTCACAGCAAAGACATTAAGGGAATCTGATTTTTATTTATTTATTTATTTATTTATTATTATTATTATACTTTAAGTTTTAGGGTACATGTGCACAATGTGCAGGTTAGTTGCATATGTATACATGTGCCATGCTGGTGCGCTGCACCCACTAACTCGTCATCTAGCATTAGGTATATCTCCCAATGTTATCACTCCCCACTCCCCCCACCCCACAACAGTCCCCAGAGTGTGATGTTCCCCTTCCTGTGTCCATGTGTTCTCATTGTTCAGTTCCCACCTATGAGTGAGAATATGTGGTGTTTGGTTTTTTGTTCTTGCGACAGTTTACTGAGAATGATGATTTCCAATTTCATCCATGTCCCTACAAAGGACATGAACTCACCATTTTTTATGGCTGCATAGTATTCCATGGTGTATATGTGCCACATTTTCTTAATCCAGTCTATCATTGTTGGACATTTGGGTTGGTTCCAAGTCTTTGCTATTGTGAATAATGCCGTAATAAACATACGTGTGCATGTGTCTTTATAGCAGCATGATTTATAGTCCTTTGGGTATATACCCAGTAATGGGATGGCTGGGTCAAATGGTATTTCTAGTTCTAGCTCCCTGAGGAATCGCCACACTGACTTCCACAATGGTTGAACTAGTTTACAGTCCCACCAACAGTGTAGAAGTGTTCCTATTTCTCCACATCCTCTCCAGCACCTGTTGTTTCCTGACTTTTTAATGATTGCCATTCTAACTGGTGTGAGATGGTATCTCATTGTGGTTTTGATTTGCATTTCTCTGATGGCCAGTGATGGTGAGCATTTTTTCATGTGTCTTTTGGCTGCATAAATGTCTTCTTTTGAGAAGTGTCTGTTCATATCCTTTGCCCACTTTTTGATGGGGTTTTGTTTTTTTCTTGTAAATTTGTTTGAGTTCATTGTAGATTCTGGATATTAGCCCTTTGTCAGATGAGTAGGTTGCGAAAATTTTCTCCCATTTTGTAGGTTGCCTGTTCACTCTGATGGTAGTTTCTTTTGCTGTGCAGAAGCTCTTTAGTTTAATTAGATCCCATTTGTCAATTTTGGCTTTTGTTGCCATTGCTTTTGGTGTTTTAGACATGAAGTCCTTGCCCATGCCTATGTCCTGAATGGTAATGCCTAGGTTTTCTTCTAGGGTTTTTATGGTTTTAGGTCTAACATTTAAGTCTTTAATCCATCTTGAATTGATTTTTGTATAAGGTGTAAGGAAGGGATCCAGTTTCAACTTTCTACATATGGCTAGCCAGTTTTCCCAGCACCATTTATTAAATAGGGAACCCTTTCCCCATTGCTTGTTTTTCTCAGGTTTGTCAAAGATCAGATAGTTGTAGATATGCGGCGTTATTTCTGAGGGCTCTGTTCTGTTCCATTGATCTATATCTCTGTTTTGGTACCAGTACCATGCTGTTTTGGTTACTGTAGCCTTGTAGTATAGTTTGAAGTCAGGTAGTGTGATGCCTCCAGCTTTGTTCTTTTGGCTTAGGATTGACTTGGTGATGCGGGCTCTTTTTTGGTTCCATATGAACTTTAAAGTAGTTTTTTCCAATTCTGTGAAGAAAGTCATTGGTAGCTTGATGGGGATGGCATTGAATCTGTAAATTACCTTGGGCAGTATGGGAATCTGATTTTTAGAGTGTTAGGAAAGGGAGGCTATTACATGCCATTTGCAATGTAAATGATAAGTAGGAGCTGGCTAAGGGATAGCATAGGGAGGAAGACCACCACTCACACTGAAATTTGAATTCTTACACATAATACATTCTCTTACTCTTGGATCTTTGTTCCTTCGTGCGTTTACATGTGCTGTTATCCCTTCATGGAACACCTTGCTAACTCCTTCTAATTCCTCAGGTTTTAGCCTACACGGTGATGCTTCTCTATGCAGTAAAGCTTCTCCCAAGCCTGCCCCCATGGCACTCTGTACTTCCCCTTCACAACCCTTACACTCACCTCTAACTGCCAGCTTATTTGTTCATATCCTCTACTAATTTGTTAGTTCCATGAGATCATGATTTTTGAATGCCTTCGTTATTTTTGCGTCTTAGTTTCCTATCTGTTAATAGAGTACCTGGCACCTAGTTGATGCCAATAAGTACTTGTTGAGTGATTGAATGAATGAATGTAAAAATGAACTTCCAATTGAGCAGGATTTACTTACCAAGCCTCCTTTTTACATTGAAATTCCATTAAATATGCAATTTATCAAATCAGGCTAACTACCAGATTTGACATCGGTCAGACAGATGCAGGTTCAAGATTGGTTTTTTTATTTCCAGTTGTGACTATGTGTCACCTAACATCCCTCAGTCTTATTTTTGGTTCTCTTTGGTCTATAACATTTACAGATTGGACAAAAGTACCACTAAGATCGCTTTTTGCCAAAACCATTTCTTTGTTCATGCATCTCTCTGTGTTTGCCTTTTCTCTTCTTGTCTCCCTTGGAGAATTCCTGATGACCCCTTAAGGCACAGCTCAACATCTGCTTCTCTTACTCCTACCCCAAAGCTGTTAGGAGTTCCCAGTCCTCACCAGAACACTTTGCAAATATCGTTATTGTAATATGCACCACACTGTTTCATGATTGTTTGTGTTTCCTATCGCATTCCCCTTTCCACCACTTTACTCACAACTAGAATGGCAGTTTCATGAAACAGGTATCATGTTTTCAGGCTTTAAATCCCTTTGTATCCCTACTATTGAGTGCAATTTCTGCAACAATTAACAGTGAACACAGCCAGGTGCGGTGGCTCACGCCTGTAATCCCAGCACTTTGGGAGGCGGAGGTGAATGGATCACCTGAGGTCAGGAGTTCGAGACCAGCCTGGCCAACATGGTGAAACCCCGTCTCTACTAAAAATACAAAAATTAGCCAGGCATGATGGCACGCGCCTGTAATCCCAGCTACTTGGGAGGCTGAGGTGGGAGAATCTCTTGAACCTGGGAGGCGGAGGTTTCAATGAGCCGAGATTGTGCCACTACACTCTAGCCTGGGTGACAGAGCAAGACCCCATCTACAAAACAAACAAACAAAACAGTGAATGCAACTGAGTTCTTCTTCCATTGTTGTTGTTGTTGTTGTTGTTTTCATGTTACATATGACCATTTTAGAATATGGGGTAGGAAGAAAAGAAGAGTGATGTCAATATTAGGGCAAGTCAGTTGCATCTGGGTACCAGTAGTGCAGTGTAATCTTACAGTTTATGGAACTGCTTTCTTCAGCTATGTAAGTTCAGTCCAAATGGTTACTCTTTAAATATCATTCTCAGTACATTATAAGCAATAGATGGTTTTGCCTGCCATTGCTCAGAGCAGGCAAAGGAGGCATAGCTTACCTCTTAGTAGGAAGTAGCGGGTATTAACCTTTTTGAGCTACCTGGATCCATTTGATAATTTACTCATGGTAAATTGCTTAAATAGAACCTTAGTGGCCTAGAAAGTTAGCACATCTGCCTGAAAGTAAGCAGTTTACTCTCTTGTAAATTATTGGATTAGTCCTTAATGGCCTCTTTAAATCTTAATGACTTCCTCTGAATGTGGAATGGGTAGTCTTTTATGGTATTCTAACTAAGCATTTCAAATCAAATCACATATATTTGTTGAGCTCTGTGAAAAGCGTGGTGCTTAGCTGGGGGGCATACAAAGATGAATAACAGTTGCTATCATCAAGGAGGGTACTATCTTTCTGTGTACACAAGATGGATGTATGATAAGTTAAATAATAATACATGATTTAAATAACAATTTGAGGTACTTACAGAAAAGATTTTATGAAGAAGCAAATGATTAATTGGTAGATTCATTATTCAGCTTACATATAGTAGGCACTCCAGAGAGCTGGGAGAACCCTTCAGGTTATGTAAAGTTTATGAAAAAGAAAGTATTTGAGTCAGGTCTTCAAGAATATCTGGTAAGGAAGAAGAAATTTGTGTTATTTGGGGACATAATGGAAATGACCTGTTACCTGATGAGATGGGTAACACTATCAGGAAGTGGTAGGCGGTGGTATCAAACAGACTAATTTTCACGAGGGAATTCTGTCTGAAACATAGTACCTAGAAGGAAACAAACAGCCAACAACATGTGTCATGACCTAGGCAGGAAGTCAGTATCAAGAGATTCAGCATACGGTGTGCTGCATGGTGGCTCATTCCTATAATCCAGCACTTTGGGAGGCTGAGGTGGGAGGACTGTTTGAGCCCATGTTTGAGACCAGCCCAGGCAACATAGTGAGACCCCATCTCTACAAAGAAATTAGCTGAGCATGGTGGCATATGCCTATGGTCCCAGCTACTCAGGAGGCTGAGGTGGGAGGATTGCTTGAGCCTGGGAGGTCAAGACTATGGTGAGCCATGATCATGCCACTGCACTCCAGCCTGGGTGATAGAATAAGACCATGTCTAAAAAAAAAGAAAAAAAAAAAACCCAGCATAAAGGAGAAAGGTGTCAAAATAATTGGTTGTTCATAAGAAATTGTTAATTATAGTAACACTGGCAAACAGCAGCAACAATGGTGGCAGCAGCAATCAAGTTTTTTTTTAAATTTAACATCTTTGCCATTTTTAAGTGTATAGTTCGGTGGCAATAAATACATTTATATCATTTTGTTCACCTTCATCCCCAATCAACAATTTTTTAGTGTTTTCTAAGTGCCAGTCACTTATATATTATCGTATTTCACATATTAATTCTTCTAACCATTACTAATTTATAGGTTAGGTACTATTATAATTCCCATTTTATAGATAAGGATATTGAGACATCAGTCCAGAAATAGATGGTACTGACCAAACAGCATAAGAAATTTCTGCCCACAAATGGTACCAGCATCTGGGCAAAGACCGTCTTGGCAAACTTTCTGTCCTGAGAATTGAACAAGAGTTGTTAGAAGACAGATTGATTCACAAGGGCTTTAAGCTGGCGTACATCTCCATGTACTCATCAGCTCATGAATTTCAGCTGCAACCATTCAGTGTTATTGGTGCCACTTAGCCTAGAGTGACCAGGTACTTTATGTGGACTCTATTTCTGCCTGCTCTATCCTTCTAGCTCTGAGACTGTGTCCGGAATTGGTGGGTTCTTGGTCTCGCTGACTTCAAGAATGAAGCCACGGACCCCCATGGTGAGTGTTACGGTTCTTAAAGATGGTGAAAGATGGTGTGTCCAGAGTTTCTTCCTACTGGTGGGTTTGTGGTCTCGCTGACTTCAGGAGTGAAGCTGCAGACCTTTGCAGTGAGTGTTACAGTTCTTAAAGGTGGCACGTCTGGAGTTGTGCATTCCTCCCGTCCGGAGTTGTTCATTGCTCTCTGTGGGTTCATGGTCTTGCTGGTCTCAGGAGTGAAGCTGCAGACCTTCACGGTCAGTGCTACAGCTCAAAAAGGCAGTGCGGACCCAAAGAGTGAGCAGCAGCAAGATTTATTGCAAAGAGCAAAAGAACAAAGCTCCCACAACGTGGAAGGGGACATAAAGGGGTTGCTGCTGCTGACTCAGGCAGCCTGCTTTTATTCCTTTATCTGGCCCCACCCACATCCTGCTGATTGGCCCATTTTACAGAGAGCTGATTGGTCCATTTTATAGAGAGCTGATTGGTCCATTTTGACAGGGTGCTCATTGGTGCATTTACAATCCCTGAGCTAGACACAGAGTGCTGATTGGTGCATTTACAATCCTCTAGCTAGACATAAAAGTTCTCCAAGTCCCCACTAGATTAGCTAGACACAGAGCACTGACTGGTGCGTTCACAAACCTTGAGCTAGACACAGGGTGCTGATTGGTGCATTTACAAACCTTGAGCTAGACACAGAGTGCTGACTGGTGCATTTACAATTCTCCAGCTAGACATAAAAGTTTTCCAAGTCTCCACCAGATTAGCTAGATACAGAGTGCTGATTGGTGCATCCATGAACCTTGAGCTAGACACAGAGTGCTGATTGGTGCATATACAATCCTCCAGCTAGACTTAAAAGCTCTCCAAGTCCCCACCTGACTCAGGAGTCCAGCTGGCTTCACCCGGTGGACGCTGCGCTGGGGCCATGAGCGGAGCTGCCCACCAGTCCCGTGCAGTGCCTGTACACCTCAGCCCTTGGGTGGTCATCCACTGGGCTCCGCAGAGCAGGTGTGGCGCCTACTGGGGAGGCTCAGGCCGCGCAGGAGCCCATGGGGTGGGGGGACTCAGGCATGGCGGGCTGCAGGTCCTGAGCCCTGCCCTGTGGGGAGGCGGCTGAGGCCCGGCAAGAATTCAAGCACGGAGTGGATGGGCAGGCAGTGCTTGGGGACCCGGCGCACCCTCCACAGCTGCTGGCCCGGGTGCTAAGCCCCTCACTGCCTGGGGCCAGTGGCGCCCGCCGGCCGCTCCCAGTGCTGGGCCCTCCGAGCCCATGCCCACCCTGAACTCGCACTGGTCTGCGAGTGCCGTGCACAGCCCCGGCTCCCGCCCGCGCCTCTCCCTCCACACCTCCCCGCAAGCATAGGGAGCTGGCTCCGGCCTCTGCCAGCCCAGAGATGGGCTTCCACAGTGTGGCGGCAGGCTGAAGGGCTCCTCAAGCATGGCCAGAGTAGACACCGAGGCCAAGGAGGCACCGAGAGCGAGCGAGGGCTGTTGGCATGTTGTCACCTCTCAACACCTCTGCCTTGATTCCTGCCTCCAACTTTTGCATTGGTCTTTGGACGTAGTGTCTTCAGTCTTAAAACTTGGTATTCACCAGTGGACTTTGACTTGACTATTGTCTTGATTCCCAGCTGGATTATCTTTAGGGGGAAGTTCTAGTTTCCATTCCAACACCCAGACCCTGTCTTGTGGGACCCAACAGTGTCCTCACCCAATATTCCACACCAGTCAACCTTAGTTAAGCTTCTGAGCTCCTTCCTCGCTATTCCTCTAAGTAGGGATAGGGTGGGTGAGTATATGCATTGGTTTAGACATGAACAGAATTTGGCCCATGTTTGGGCATCAATGAGTTTGAGTAGAGCAGAGTTCTTCAAGGGAAGAGAGGAATACAAGCCTCATACAGTCCTTTGGGGTGAAGACAGGGAGAACCTTTTATTTTAAAATACTTAAAATGTAGCATTTCTAAAAGTGACTTTTATTTAATGCAAAGATAATTATAAAACCAATACAGCAATGTGTCCCTGATGCTCCAACTCTGGGCTATGTCTGCAAAATTGAAATCATACATGGGTTCTATATTAGGTAGATTTTTTCTTTCCAGTTTCAAGGAATATATACAACCTCAGGATAGCTTAGATTTGTGTTTCTTAAGGGCTGATTTATTGGACTATCAGGCTCAGATATGTAAAATGAAGATTCCTAGGTCATGGACCACATCCTCTAGATCTGAACCTTTTCAGGGCTTCAGGTAGTAGATTTTTAATTCACATCCTAGGTGATTATTATCTACACCAAATTTTTATTGAGAGGAAGACTAAGAAACACAACAGCCAAACAAGCTGGTCTCACAGAAAACTGTAAGGACTTTGTGATTCAGTGTTTCTGGCGATGGGTTTTATCTCTTTAATGCTATTGTTACTTAACATGCCATCAGTGTAATGACTCTGCTTTTTTATTTTCAGTCACAACCTTTGAGCTCACAAAACTACCATTCTCTACTCTCCTACTTGCTACATCCTGGTTTCTGCTTATTGTGGTTTCTCTCACCTTGCAGATTCTCCTGCCTCATGGCTTGGACCTCCTGCCTTTTTCTGAATTTCTGACTGCTTGGCTTTTCTACCCAACAGATGGTTTTGTTGTTGTCTGGGTAGAAGTTAGAGTATACGTTAGTTTTAAACCACAGATTAGTAGATCTTTGCACAAGATAATGCTCATGGTTTTTATTTGATTTTATTTTCTATCCTCATGAATAATTTTAATATTTTCAGGATTATAGAAGAGATAAAACTATGGTTTATATATCTCAAATTATATAGTCAAAAATAACATATTCTATGTTTTCCTTTTCTCCTACCTTCCTCTAATGGTACCTATGTCCTACATTTAAAGAAAGATAACCTAATTTGTTTAGTTGGTCACTTTCCCAAGAAGAGTAGCCCTGTTGGCAGAGGTCTCATGCCATTTCACAGGTCACTGGCCAGCCTTGAGTCAAGCACCCATCCCTGGTCCAGTTAACTGTGATCAGAGTAGTAAGGTCACATGGTCAGCTCTCCTTAAAAAACAGAAACCATGGAACAGTAACGCATTTAGAACACAAAACTTTCCTCTCTGTTATATAGCCACATTTGTAGTTGGCGATTTGGGGCTTTGGGGTTAGCCCCATTGTAAAATATAATCTGATATATCATCGCCTGCCTCAGGTGTCTGGATTCACCTGGGGATGGCTCTAGACATGCACAAAACCCACATCCTCCTACCCCACTGGGTATTTGTCACTGTGGCCTTACAGTAGAAATGCAGATAGGACTGGGCATATTCCAAGCGTACACACCACTACTACTCTATTCCAGAGAGGCTGGATATATAATAAAGATTCATGAACCTTTATTTCAAGTGCTAGCTAAAAACAAGACAATAAAGTCAGTTGAGGGATTCTATAGATATCAAAAAATCACAGTCCTAGAGCTTCTTTAGACCAGGGATTCAATTACCTGCTGGGTTCCTTGAGAAACCATGCATTATTATTTACAGAAGGATGTCAATTGATTGTTATGGTCTGCACTTTAAAGAACATGAAGCCTTGATTTACAGGCACCTGTTTTCTCACAGTGGATATGAAATGCTGGTATTCACTGTGTTCATGAGACGGGAAAAATTATTATTCAACATATGTCATGATGGTCATCTTACAGGAAAATCTAAATGAATAATTATTTTTCTGAACGCTAGCTGTTAAACATATTACATGGATCATGAAACTCCTATTCAAAAAGTATTGCTCCTTGCAAAGAGAAGATTCAAAGTTTATATTCTGTAAAGTCTTTTCTACTGGCATTATTGTGAACATATACTATATATATACAAGGAGTTCCCAACCATTCATTTAACAAATATTTATGAGAGTCTGTTGTGTTCCAGACACTATCCTAGCTAGGGGCAAGAAAAAGTCACTGTCTTCATGGAGCTTACCTTTCAGTGGAGGAGCCCAGAAACAAATAAGGTGATTTCACAGAGCAGGAAGGGGACCAAGAAAATAAATTGGAGTAATGGACTAAAGAATAAGGGAAGATGGGGTGGAATACATAAACTAGGATGGCCAGAAAAGGACGCTCCAAGGAGATAAAATTGGAGCTGAGACCTGAATGAATAACAACAGAACACTTATTTAATGCTGGTGAGAGGTACATTAATACTACACTTTGGTGTAATATAAGGAGAGTTGAAGACACACATGTTCTATGACTCAGGAGTTCCAGATATACACTCAACAGAAATGCTCACAAGTGTGTGCCAAGAATTATGTAGAAGAATCACCTGTCTCCTTATGTAGTTAGTAATGGTGCTCACGTTTGTGCCAATATCACAGTGCTCAACACTGAGGATGTGGAATTGGAATGTGTTGTATATTTCTGACTGCTACTGATTTACTGAAAAAGTTATTGCTCCAAAGACCTATAAGAATTTCATAGTTTCATAGTGTCAACTGTCTCAACAACCCAAATGTCCATCAACAATAGAATGAATATGAAAATTATGTTATTCTATACAGTGGAATACTTTATAGCTATGAAAATGAATGAATTACATTTATGTACTCATAATGGATGAATCTCAAAAACACAATGTGAAGTGCAAGAAGCCAGGCAAAACAGAATACGTGATATATAATTTTATTTATATAAAGCTCAAAAAGGAGGCAAAACTAAACTGCAGGGTTTAGGAAATGCAAGCCTAGGTGGTCAATCTAAGAACAAGCAGGGTGGTGATTGGTGTGTAAGTCAGGATAGTACTTACCTCTGCAGGGAGGGGATTTTAATGTTTGGAAGTGGACAGGTAGGAGGCTGTATTAGTCAGTTCTTGCATTGCTATAAAGAAATACCTGAGACTGAGTAATTTATCCTAACTATTGCAAGGACAGTACCAAGAGGGATGGTGCTAAACCATTCATGAGAAATCTGCCCCCAGGTTCCAATCACCTGCTACCAGGCCCCACTTCCAACACTGGGGATTACATTTCAGTATGTGATTTGGGCGGGGACACACACCCAAACTATATCAGAGGCTTTCAGTTACTGACAGTGTCTATTGACCTGCAGAATAATCCCCCATCCTGCTAGCATCTTCTGACCCTGGTTATACCTAGCTAGTTCTTTCCTTTGTGACACTTTGTTGAACTCCACATTGTTACTTTGTGCATATAACTATTTGCTATATTTCACAGAAGAAAAAAATTCATAAAAGCACCACCCATGTTGTATTAGTCAGGATTCTCTAGAGGGGCAGAAGTAATAGGATAGACGTATATGTGAATGGGGAGTTTATTAGGAGAATTGACTCACATGATCAGAAGGTGAAGTCCCATGATTGGCCAGCTGCAAGCTGAGAAGCAAGCTCCGAGTCCCAAAACCTCAGAAGTAGCTAAGCTGATAGTGCAGCCTTCAGTCTGTGGCCAACGTCCCGAGAGCCCCTCGGCAAATCACGGGTGTAAATCCAAGAGTTCAGAAGCTGAAGAACTTGAAGTCTGATATTCGAGGGCAGGAAGCATCGAGTACAGGAGAAAGATGGAGGCCAGAAGACTTAGCAAGTCAAGCCCTTCTAACTTCTGCCTGCTGTATTTTAGCTGCATTGGCAGCTGATTAGATGGTGCCCACCCAGATTGAGGGCAGGTCTGTCTCTCCCAGTCCACTGACTCAAATGTTAATCTCCTTTGGCAACACCCTTGCAGACACACCCAGAAACAATACTTTGCATCGTTCAGTCCAATCAAGTTGACACTCAATATTGACCATCACCCATGTATAATTTGTGTACTACTTGTCCAATAAAATAAAAGCAAAGTCAATGCTTACACTTCAAAATGTAGAAAATGAAAGAAAACATTTATGAAGAAAAAATTTTAAAAATTATTGACATCTTTATGTCATGTTTATATCATTTAAATTATTAAACACAAATGTAATTTTTATCTGCAGTAGAAAAAATTTTATATTTTATTAAATTTCTATTTGCTACTTCATTACTGTTTACCTGTGAAAGATGATGAGTGATTTTTTTCTTATTTAAACCATATTAGAAGGTGTTCTAGCTATTAGATTATCATAGGGATAGAAAATAATATTTTATATAAAAGCTTTTATACCGAGAATGCCTTGAGGCACTTTACAGAGTAAACATTGGTAGTAAATAACCTTGAGCAAATTTTGCCTTTGTTATGCATAGAAAACCCTATACGTATCAAATAAGGAAATGTTGGTGAGAATGTAAGGCTTTTGTAATTATTAATATTTATTTCCAAGACTACTAGGGACACGTATATAATAAAATAACTTGCTGAGATAATAAAGGTCAACAATCATAAAAAAAGATTTACCTGTCTACTGATCTACTTGGTAATGATGATCACATTTCTGCTAACATTGCAATGCTCACTACCAAGGTTGGGACTTGGGGACGCGTTGTACAATGTGACTGACAACTATTGATTTACTGAATAACTTAATGCTCAATCCACTATTAGGCAGGGAACTGCCAAGGTGCAGAGCAATCTCATTACAAAGGAAAGCCTTGCATGATTTTTTTCTTTGTTCTGCTATAAAATCTGTAATTTCCTTTTTCCTATGTATGTGTCTATGTGTGTGTATGTGTACACATTTGTTCTCCAAAAATGCATTGTATCTGTTAACTAGAGTTTATTACCTAAAGTGATAAAATCTACTGACAGCCCTTAGTCACACTTGGTCTCTTTCTGGCACCTTAAACATGGAATTTGAAGATTGCTAAAACAAGGAAGAATTAAATTGTGTTAGGAATCCAGGGACCCTCTAGGACAGAAGGATCCCTGGATTTGGACAGAAGGGTCCAAATTCAATGTTATACAAATCTACTAAGGCAGCCTACTTGTCCTGTGTAAGGCTCAATGGCAAGGTAGGCATAAACAGTTCAGCAATAGGCTGGTGCAGTGGCTCACACCTGTAATCCCAGCACTTTGGGGGGCTGAGGTGGGCAGATCACCTGAGGTCAGAAGTTCAAGACCAGCCCGGGCAACGTGGTGAAACACCGTCTCTACTAAAAATACAAAAATTAGCCAGGTGTGGTGGTGCAAGCCTGTAATCCCAGCTACTCCAAGGCTGAGGCACAAGAACTGCTTGAACCTGTGAGGCAGAGGTTGCAGCGAGCTGAGATGGCACCACTGCACTTCACCCTGGGCAACAGAGTGAGACTCTGTCTCAAAAAAAAAAAAAAAAAAAACTTCAGTGATACAATTCTGAGATAAAATTACCATAAGCCAAAGTTTAAGCAAAAGTTAGATGATTAAAGATCAAGGGTTTTTCTGGGGTCTGTGAGGCAGTAGGTATGAGAACCCATCTACCTGCATCCAGGTGGCAGTCTTGAGTTCTAAGGAGGTGTCTGAGTGGCTGATTCTAAGAACTAGGATACCAGGAACCCAGGCCAGAGAAGGATCTTCCTCTCTCACTCCATGAGAAGTAGTACAGTTCAGCCAGGAGTCTCTACCACAGGAGTGGTTCAGTCCAGCTCTCTTGCTTTAGGTTAGACCAGCAGAGTTTATGTCCTTAGAACAGCAGCTGCAGAAACAAATGGAGGGTTTCTTCAGATAGCCTTGGGAAGGGCCTTCTCCTAGGCTGCTGTTCTGGGAAGTGTGGACCCAGAATAGCAGCATCAGCATCACCTGGAAACTTGATAGAAGTGTGTGTTCTTAGGACTCACTGCACACCCACTCAATCAAAGTCTCTGAGAGTGGGGATGAGCAATTTGTATTTTATCAAGTCCTCTGAGTCGCTCTGATGCAGGCTAAAGTTTGAGAACTGCTATCCTAGAACAACCAGCCCTCAGTAGAGGTGGACTCCTTCAGCTGCATGGCTTTAACAAGGTGAGAATCAATGGGACTGGCCTGTTAGTCTCCACAAGTGGTAACTTTGAGCTTAAGTACAAATCGCAGCATCAGCAATTAGTGACAAGTCAGGGGCCAGCGATATCTACATAATGGTGGCAAAAGCAGCACGATTTTGTTTGTTTGTTTTGAGACAGTCTCACTCTGTCGCCCAGGCTGGAGTGCAGTGGCACAATCTTGGCTCACTGCAATCTCCATCTCCTGAGTTCAGGTGATTCTCATGCCTCAGTCTCCTGAGTAGTTGGGACTACAGGTGTGTGCCACCACGCCCTGCTAATTTTTTTTTTAATTTAAATTTTTTCTTTTTAATTCTTAGTGGAGACAGGATTTCGCCATGTTGTCTAGACTGGTCTCAAACTCCTAAGCTCAGGCAATTTGCCTGCCTCGTCCTCCCAAAGTGCTAGGATTACAGGCGTGAGCCACTGTGCGCTGCCAAAAGCAGCATGATATTAACTTCTGAAGAAGCCCAGCCTTCATTCCTGCTGAGCTTCCACCCATCTCAAGGGAGCTTCTATGAATTCTGGCCTCAATGGGATTTGAGATTAGATTCACCGGAGCTTTGGACTCCAGAAAGCATTCTGGGGGCTTTTTGAATATTCAGGAGAGGTGGACCCAGTGGGAGGAGAGGTGGACCTAGGAGGAGGAGAGGCGGACCCAGGAGGAGGAGAGGTTGAATGAACTCTTTCTAACCTGTGATGGGGGCTCCAGTGTTGCAATGGGCGGTGCACTGGGGGCTGTCATTTGCACCTAAAATTATAAGGAGGGATACTGTAATTATGCAAAAAGGTATTTTCACTTATTAGTTTACATTTTTAATCAGTTTTGTTTAGAATTTTAAAATGTTAAACATCTTTATACATTCATTCAAGGATCAACATCCAGACTTAAGAGTATTCCTAACTTCACTTTGGCGTCTTTAAGATGGTCTTCTGTGTAGTAGATGCTAGCAAGGAAGGAATTGGTGCTCCCATCTGTAGGCAGCCAAACTGGAAGAGTTTGACACAGCATTCAGCTGAAACATGCTGCTTTTATTCTGTCAGGAAAATAGAACAACATCACCCTCAGCCAGGAAACTTAATACTCACTGCAAGAGAGGACAGGACCTCTGTCATGCTTATCTATGGCTTATGTTATAAGAGTTAACATTTTTTAAAAATTTGATGCAGCATGAAGACATTATTAAGATCTAGTGTAAAACAGTGCAAAGCTGAAACTGGAGAAGATTGAGGAAACTAAAGGTATTTATGGAAGGTCACTTCTGCCTTTATTTTTAAATACTTTGTGAAATTTCTTTCTCCTCCAGGGAAACATTGAAGAAAATAATCCTCATACTTCAATGATAAAGACATATCAGATGTTGAAGAAAATGTTGCTACCACAAAGGCTGGCACCATTATTTTGTATTTTACATTCTCCTTAATTTCTCTCACTTTCCCCCACTAAAGAATACATTACATCATCTCCATATTAAAGGGCTGCAGGAAGCTATAGATTTCTCTGCAAAGTTTTTGAAACTGTGGAAATAGCCATACTCATAAATTGATGATGCTTAAAATGATCATGAGCTGTAAAATCTTACTCTAATGATTCTGAGCATATAAATGAGAGCAGAATTTGTTCTAAGCCAGTTATTGCTCTACTGGCATTTCACCAGTGGGGCTGTTGGATTCTGTGACTATATATGATTGGTTACATGTGTGAAATAAGTTAACAGTATTTTTTTTATCCAGTCAACCTCTAGATAGTCTTGCATGGTTACATGTGTGAAATAAGTTAACAGTATTTTTTTTATCCAGTCAACCTCTAGATAGTCTTGCAAATAGTAATACTGACTTTTATCAAAATAACACATTGTGAATAATTCTGATTTGAAATGTGATGGGGACCTGAAATCTAGAAAATTTAAGAATAATGTGGGAAACTTGACATGTATGCATGAAGATATCTATATCTTCACCTATGGAGATTTTGATTTAGTAGGTCTAGGTGGAAATCTGAGAATCTGCATTTTTAAAAGATTAGCAGATGTTTCTGTTATTAACCAGGCTTGACAACCACTGAAGTATTGTCTGTCATCTGTCATCTTCCTCCTTCTCTCCCTCCATCCCTTCTTCCCCCTTCCCTCCCTCCTTCCCTTCCCCTTCCCTCCTTCCCTTCCTTCCCTTCCCTTCCTTCCCTTCCTTCCCTTCCCTTCCTTCCCTTCCTTCCCTTCCTTCCCTTCCTTCCCTTCCTTCCCTTCCTTCCCTTCCCTTCCTTCCCTTCCTTCCCTTCCCCTCCCTTCCCTTCCCTTCCCTCCCCTCCCCTCGCTTCCCCTCCCCGCTCCTCTCCTCTCCTTTCCCTCCCTCCCTCCCTCCCTTCCTTCCTTCCTTCCTTCCTTCCTTCCTTCCTTCCTTCCTTCCTTTCCTTCCTTTCTCACTCTCTCTCAATCTATGGATCTACATAGATATAGGGATTGCATCTCAAACTTGTTCATAAATTTCTAGTTTACAAAATGTATTCTGAGGTAATTACATGAACCTCACAATATCTATTGAGGCAAGCAGGGAAATTTAAGGACAAGGACTTGAAGCTCAAAGAGGTCCTCAAGCTGAAGGTCTCTTGGTTGATAGGAATAGAATTCAAATCCATATTCTTTTGTTTCAGACCTCTTTTCCTGTATCATGAGGGGCTACAGTAAATTCTTGCCGACAGTTTAATGCTGTCTTTCTCCTTCAAGAAGATGCAAACCCAACCTCCTGAGACTGGGGATGGGAGGAAACAGAAGAAGCCACCACATTCTCCATTTCACAGAATAACCCAGTAGCCTAACCATTCAGTGAGGTGAGAACCAAGAATATATAGTAGTTATGTTTAGACAAGGGGTTCTTGACCTGGTGGTGGGCAGGGCTCAACAATCCTAGAAGATACATATATAGGCTGTATATAGAGTGAGAGAGAGTCTGTGAGCCTTCCAAAATTATATGTAAAATTTTGTATTTACATGTGGTTGAAACATCAGATATTTTTGGTACTCTAGTATGCTGAATTCTACATTATTTTAGTAATAGCATCATCCTGGTTTTCTCTGGGAGCATAGCTTCTTCCTCATTGAATCCACTCTGGGAAGCTATTCACAAAGGTGCCTGTGCTTCAGTAGCCTGTGTCTAGGCATATGACCCACGCTAAGCGAATTGAACAGCCACCATTTGGAATTTAAATCATGAATCAAGTGATACAAGAATGAAATCAGTTGGAGTTTATTCATCCCAGCAGAGATGATCTGAGCATCCTATGACCAAAACCCTTTAGAATTACATAATTCTTTTTTTTTCCAGTCTGTTAGCCTCTTCTTTGTATTTGTGAACTTCTCTGTGTGAGTCAGAGTTCTCCAGAAAATGAGGGAGATTTTAAGGAACTGACTCACATGAATGTGGGCGGAGTCTGGCAAGTCCAAAATCTGCAGGATAGGTCAGCAGGCTGGAGACCCAAGAAAGAGTTGATGCTGCAGTCCAAGTCTGAAAGCAGTCTGCTGGCAAGTTCTCTCCATCTCTCTCTCTCTCTCTCCCCACCCCCGCAAATATCTAGGTACCATGGTGTAAAATAGTTGACACGTAAAATTAACTATCACATCTCTCATTTGCTTCCATAAATTATTTTTGCTTGTGGAAGCCAAAGATGGTTCTGTGGTTTGCAACCAAAACAGCTCTAGAGAATGTGTACATTTTTCTGGGAAGAAAGTACAAATTTTTATTAGATCTTCAATTCAGTCAGTGACCCAAAGAATGTTAAGCCTCACTGGCCTAGAGCAACTGGGAAGGAATTTGGTAGGAAGTGGCAGTGGGCAAACAGCCAGAGTGCGCTATCTTTAGAATTTGAATGATGGTAGCAATGTCCCACAATACCCCTTCGTGATTCTTCACTGCATCTCCATTTTAGGGATGATGTTGACAGCCCAGTTTACATGAAAGTGGACCAGCCCTTTGCAGAGTCATTTTTTCTCTTCATATCTCTTGTTGGCATCTGAATGAATCTACTCCCCTTCCTTGCATAAGAAATGTTTAATTAAACAAGTCTTTCTCCAGATGTAATTATGGGTCCAACCATATTAGAATCACCTAGGGTGCACATGAAAAATCCATATTCCTGTACCTTTCCTCTTGCTACCATAGACGAACTCGACTTGTTTCAATGTAAGGCAGTTCTTCCACTTGTGTACTCAGTCCTATCACCTCTAATTCACTCGAGGACTTTGCATCACAATTACCCTCCCTTCAAGCCCACTCCCATCTCCTGCATCATTAAATTCTCTCTATTGGATCATTCCCTTCAGTACACAAACATACTGTATTATTCCTAGTTTTAAAACAACTCTCTAGACCCTTTATTCCCATGTAGCTACTGCCCATATCTCTGCTTCCCTTTTAGCAAAACCTCTTGAAAAAACTCTATATACTTGTCTCTTACTTTGCTTTCTTGCTCCAGCCAACTTTAATCAGGCTTTTGTTCCCACTACTCCAAGAAGCTGATCTTTTCGATTACTAAGGTTACTAACAGCCTCAGTTTTGTCAAACCTAATGGCCAATTCTCAATTTCCCAGCAGCCTTTTACCCAGTTGATCGCTTTCTGATTCTTGGAAGATTCTCTTCACTTGTCTTCAGAGACAGCACACTGACTTGGATTTTTTCCTACTGCAGTAGCTTATTTTTCCTTGATTTCCCCCTTTCCTTATCTGTAAATTTTGAAGAACTGAAGGGCTAGTTTCTCTGCTTTCATAATCTATTCTCACTTCCTAGGTGAACTTTTGCACTGAGTCCCCCGGTCTTTCCCCATGAATGCCAATCTTTCATATTCAATTGCCTCCTCAGCATTTCCACTTGAATATCTAATATGCATTTCAAACTTAACTCTTGTATCCATGGCTTTTGAAAAATATGCTCCTTCCTTAGGGCACCCCAATTCAGTCAGTGGCACCACTATGTATTTAATTGCTCATATCTGAACCTCAAGAGTCATCCTTGACCTTTTTCTTTCTTTTTACACACCCCACAGCCAATCCATCAACAAATCCTATTGGCTTATATTTTACAACATTTAAGATCTAGTAACTTTTCATCTCCTGGATGGTCTCCCTGCTCCTGATAGCCTGCTCTATCAATTTTCCATGTAATAACCAGAGTGATAATTTCAAAAGTATATCATATCACATAAGCTACTACTCAAAATCTTTCAGTAGTTTCCATCATACTCAAAATGCAATTCTAACTCCTTACCATTGTCTGTGCTGCCCTGTGAGCTGCTCTGAGCCTCTGTCTGACCTCATCTTCAACCACATTTCTCATTCACCTTGTGCTATTCTTATGGGCCTTCTTGCTGTTCCTGGAACATGTCAAGATTTTTCCAAATTCAGAGACTCTCTACCCTTACTGCTCCTTCTATCGGGAATGTGATTCCCCTCAGATCTTCAAGTCTAATTCAGGTTTTTCATCCAGTGTTAGCTCTCAGAGAGGCCTTCCCTGATTATGCTGTCTAAATTAGTCTCCCCAGCCTCCTAGCATCCCAGTAGTGTTCTATTTCTTAACCTGAGTGGTGGTTACAGACATTGTGACTTTATAAAAATATGACATATTATAAAATGTATGGTTTTTAATTTATAGTATATTTCATAGTAAAAAAAATTTTAAACAGAGGTGAAGCAACTATTAATGAAATGATTTTTAAAATTTCCCTGGAATTGAAGGTCATGAATTTTGAGACTGATGGGTGAAAAAAGACCAAGGTCAAGGCACACTGATCAGGCCACAATGTGGAGACTGGAATGGAGTGGATGTCGGGAGACAAGAGAGGAGATTTTTGATGGATGTGGGGAGATGTGATAGGAGTGGTTCAGAAGACAGGTGACAGAAGCTTGGACCAAGTTTTTCAAAATGGAGATGCTTTCTGGGCTTTTCTGATCTTCAGCAATCTCTTAATTCCTGTCTTGTTGACTCTCACTCTGCTTTTTCCACTGCAATCATTCAAAAGTTTTCTTTCACCCCAGGATTCCCAGGCTTCTTTCTGGTTTCTAGCATCTCCTTAGGACAAGGCCTTCTACTGGAGTGAAAAAGCCAAGGTCATCTGACATAAACTTGGTTCTATCTCTTCACTTTAAGATTTCTCTATCTCTACTCCTTCTTTGCTGTTTCTATCCTGTTTCTGATATAAAATTTCTTTGCTTTTATTTGCCAAGAAATATTTTCACTCTTGATTCCATTTATTTCCCACCATCCCTTAAACCAAACTTGAATATTATTCTATCCCTGCTGATATGGTTTGGATCTGTGTCCCTACCCAAATCTCATGTTGAGTTGTAATCCCCAATGTTGGAGGTGGGGCCTTGTGGGAGGTGATTGGATCATGAGGGTGGATTGCCCCCGTTGGTGCTATTCTCGTGACAGAATTCTCATGAGATCCAGTTGATTAAAAGTGTGTGGCACCACCTCCTTCCTCCTGCTCCAGCCATGTAAGATGTGCCTGTTTCCCCTTTGCCTTATGCAGTGATTGTAAGTTTCCTGAGGCCTCCCCAGAAGCAGAAGCTGCTAGGCTTCCTGTGCAGCCTGTGGAACCATGAGCCAGTTAAACCTCTTTTCTTTATAAATTACCCAGTCTCAGGTATTTCTTTACAGCAGTGTGAGAATGGACTACTATACCTACCTAGCTTTTCTTCATAGTATTTATCACAACCTGAAATTATATTAGTTGTTTATTTAACGCCTGCATTTCTACCCCTAAAGACAGCAGGTTCTTTGTCTCCTTCCCTGCTTTGTTTCCACCTCCTAGAACAGTGGTTGGAACATAGTAAGTGTTCAATAAATAATGGTTTAACGAACAAATGAATCTTAAGATCTCTGCACCATTAGGTTCAACGTGTTTCCTATCATTTTCTTCTAAAGAAGTAGCACAGGAAAATGGGCAAAATTTAATCATTTTTCTCTGTCAAGGGACCTCCTCTTTCTATTTTACACATATGGTATTTTGCTTTTTTCCCTTTAGATATGTTACATTTATAATAAGCAATAAAGACAATCCCATTTAAAATAAGTAAAACAGGCCGGGGATTGTGGTTCATGCCTGTAGTCCCAGCACTTTGGAGGAGGCCAAGGCAGGAGGATCACTTGAGCCCAGGAGTTTGAGACCAGCCTGGACAACATAGTGAGACCCATCTCTCAAAAAAAAAAAATGCAGCCAGGTGTGGTGGCTCATGCCTGTAGTTCAAGCTACTCAGGAGGCTGAGGTGGGAGGGTTGCTTGAGCCTGTGAGGTTGAGGCTGCGGTGAGCCATGATAATGCCGTTGTACTCCAGCCTGGGTGACACAGTGAGATTATCTCAAAAATATTAACAATAATGACAGTAATAAATAAATTAGGTAAAAGAGTACCATCCAGTACTCTCTGCCTAATTAGAATGCTTATTTTTCTTTTACAGCACTCGCTGCCTGAAACGATACATTTATTTATTTGTGGTCTGCCTCACTGTCTAGAGTGTCAGCTCCGTGAGGGCAGAGACTGTGTCTTCACAGTTGCACCCCCTCTGCCTGGAACAGTGATTGGCACACAGAAAATACTCAAATATAAATTTTACTTTTCTCCCCAAACATGCTGCTGAATCAAAGTCTCCTGATGATACCCAGGAATCTGAGTTTTTAATAAGTTCCATAGATGATTCTTATGAGCTTTAAATTTGAGAACTATCTGTCAAAATGATCATTACTAGGTAATAAATATAGGGCTACAAAGTATTGCTAAATCTAGGGATTATCCTTTCATTCTATTCTGTTAGCCCAAGTAGCCCTGCTGAAGAATAGACTGAGAAATTAGGCAACCTTTAAAGGTGTGAGAATAAAAATGCTTTCTTCTCATGTCCCAATAGTACTGTTAAAAACAGGTAGAAGAAACAGCCTCTCTTCAGCTTTTCTATAAGTATTTACAACTAGTGTGTTTATTGTTTCTCTCTTCTAATCAGGATTTTAAAAAATAACTGTTGAGTGTTGTAGGTATTGTAAATTACATTGGTCTAACCTACTGAAGCTGTGTGAATTTCAAATATATCTCATCTTACATGGTAGATGTGTAAAGTGTATCATACTGGGACAGAAATAAATGTTGTTAAAATTCTGTCAGGTAAGCTTTTTACCTAGTTTTGCCCACTTTAGGATCCAGGTATCTATATACATAATAGCTAGAGATGTTCTTTATCAACTTTTGGAAGTGTAAATGCTTTTTTGGTAATTATTCAACCCGTAGTCTATAATGACAACTATTTACAACTTCCCATACATATGTATATACCTCATAGTAAAATGATTCTGCTAGCAGTCTTCAGGTTCTTCTCACTTTGGAAATTGCATTAGTCTTTATCCCATAATACAACGGGAACAGATTCTTTTCTTACTGCTCTTGAGATGTTGGCTTTTTGAAACGGACCCTGATGACCTGGTCTCAGCTTTGGTCTCCATATTTATTTTTCAGTCCAGCCTCTTAAGAACTGAGTGTTTATCAGAGAGCATATATGGGAGGTTTTACTCCTTTTCAGTGTATTCTGGATATTGTTGGTTATTGTTATATTTCATCACTTCCTGCCTGGTGTGCCAAAATGAAAATGGATAACTCTTGTATTGGTCAAAAACATGAAAGTGATTGTGATCGTTTTTAAAAAGACATCTGAAAATTCTTTGACATATCTCCCATCAAGAAGTGGACTCTAAATCTCTTCCCTTTGTGAATGGACTGGCCATAGTGACTCACTTCTAAAACAGAATGTGGCAGAAGTGACACTATGTGAATAACCAGTTTAGGGTAGAAAAGGCCTTTTTTTCTGGGAATACTGACTTTGAAACCCAGCACTGCTTGGAGGAAGCCCAGACCACATAACAAGGCCTGGTAGACAGCCCCCACTGAGGTCCCAACAAATAACCAGCAACAACCACCAGGCATATGAGTGAGAGGTCCTTTGAGATGCCACCACACCAATCCTCCTTTGAATTCAATGGCACTAGAGACTGGAACCATGTAGCTGAATCTGGTCAACCCTCTGAATTGTGAAGAGATAATACTGACAATTGCTATAGTTTTATGCCACTAAATTTGGGGTGGTATGTGATGTAGCAACAGATAACCACAATAGATATGACATTCCCTTGGTTAAACTTACACTTGCTCTGGGCATTTGATCCTTTTACTTTGTTAAGTCTATGTCTTTTTTCTCCATTAAATTTGTGATGCAAAATGCTGACTCATGTTGAGTGCCATTTTTAGAGAAAGTGAACTTAAGAGAGATATTTAGGGACCAAAGGAAACAATAGAGTGGAACCATTTTTGTTTCAACATAAAAAGATGTCACTTGGTAATTGCAGAGAATTAAGATGAATAGAGAACTCAGGGGAAAACTGTGATGGAAGGAGAGTTGATTACTCAGTTGAGTTCATTGTTCAACATGTGGTCTCTCACTTCTGTCTCACCCAACTTCAATCCAGTGTCTGAATACTTTTTCTAAAGCAGCAATCCTGTCATTCACCAACTTGCCTTAAATGCTTCTGATGCATTGTCTTTGGTATAAAACCCAATTTCCTTTGCATAACACAACAGAATCTTTATGAGCCCCTGAAGCTGCCCCATCACCTGTCTTTGCAGCCTCAGGATTCCTCCAACCTCCTCTTACACTCTGTGCTTTGATTGTTTCAATCACGGCTGTAGCTGCCTGTGCATAATTTTGAACTTGGTCTTCCATCTCCCTGGAATGCCTTTCCCCCTCCTTCTTTTCATGGCCAATTCCTACTCATTCTTCAAGTTCAACCATTAATGTTGGCTTTTTCAATGCTGGCTGAGTGCTGAGTTATACACACATTCTGTGTATTCTTTTGGCCCCAGGTGGTTACTTTCTGTCTGGAATTATCCTTGTCCATCTCCTTTCCAGGTTGTGAGCTCCTTGAAGCTAGGGGTTGTGTCTATTGAATCCCCAGAGCCTATCATCCCAGTAAGTGGCTCATAGTAAATACTCATATATGCTCCATAATGCATGAGTTATGGCAGACAGTAAGTGGGAGGAAATTGGAGAATGGTAAGCTACTGTTGTTCCTAGTAACTAGGAAGAAAGTATTATTGTGGTCTTTAACACTTACAATCTTACTACTTAAAAGTTTAGAATAAAGTGGAACAGATGGGATTTAAGCTGTGAAATAGCTTTGGGGCAGACTCTTAAATGGAAATAGGATGAAGAAATCAAACGATTACAAAATAAACTTCATCACGGTAAACTGAAAGAATACATTCTTTATACCTACAATTTTTTGCTTCCATATTATAGTACACAGAGCATATATTTTGAAGGTGAATTTTACTATTGGTAACTTATTCTATATGCTCTACAACTGTGTGTATGTGTATGTATGTAAAAAATACAAAAATATTTTTGTGAAATTATGTAGCCAATGGTATGTTAGAGATGCTAATAGAGTTTTGTAAGAACCAATTGTTAAATTTTTAGGAATTTTGGAAGCTGGTTATTAAACATGATTAGCTTGGAATTGGCCATGTTGGTAGTATTTATTTATTTATTGCCATTTATTTATTTTTCAGATTGAGTCTCACTCTGTTGCCCAGGCTGGAGTACAGTGGTGTGGTCTCTGCTCACTGCAACATTTGCCTCCTGGGTTCCAGCAGTTCTCCTGCCTCAGCCTCTCGAGTAGCTGGGATTATAGGCATGCACCACCATGTCCAGCTAATTTTTGTATTTTTTTGTAGAGACGGGGTTTCACCATGTTGGTCAGGCTGGTCTCAAACTCCTGACCTCAAGCGATCCACCTGCCTCAGCCTCCCAAAGTGCTGGGATTACAGGCATGAGACACCACATCTGGCCCAATGTTGGTACTATTTACACTACAGGAATAGGCAAATGCCACAGTACATACTTATTTTCCCCCAATACCTAACTGGTTATTAAATGTTTAGTGGCACATCACTGGATATAGTTTTGTTATACTCAGTAGAATGTTTATGTCAAAAGGCTGTACAAACTATTTGTCTTTCATAACTTGATGAGAAATGAAAGATGATCAAATGAAACCTATCATGTATGTAGGCAGATGATTGAAAGAACTAGACTGTCTCTTTAGAATACGCCCCAAACTTGAAACTTTCAAACATAGTGGAAATAAACACCATCCTTCTTCTATGGCACGAAGTTATTCTTTATATATTTCTCTTTTTTCTTTTTTGCCTTTTTACTGAGATGACCAAAAAGGAAAAAGTGTTATGGTTTTCTGAAGTGAAACTTTTGTCATTATTACAATCAAAGCAATTCTTTTCCTTTTTTTCTTTTTTCTTTTGAATCTGTGAGTAAATGCTAAATGATTCAACTGTAAGCTTATTATTAAAAAAAACTTATTTACTCGCTGAGTTATTTGTTCATTCCATAAATATTGTTGGAATACTTATGATCTGTAGAAGAGGATATGGTGGTAAATATGGCAAACCCAGATTTGCCTTTATGGAGCTCACAGTCAAATTAGGGAGGCAGAAAATAATCGCCCATGTTGTTACATGTTATAAAGAAGTTCAGAGGGAAGAGAAGGAAGTTAACATGAAGCTAATGAACCTTAAGTTTTAGGATACAGTCCCTATTCCCCGTGTATGTGTGAGGGCCCTCAGGTAAAGTGGACTTTGTCATGTTTGCAAAACTAAAAGGTAGCCAAGGCACTAGACTAGCAAACGAAAGAGCAACTGGCATGAGATGAGGCTGGAAAGTTAGCTAGGGACAAGCTCATGGATGGCCCTTCCTATGGTTGAAAGATTCTGGACTTTCTCCTAAGTATAATAGAAGGGTAATAAAGGGTTTTAAGCTGAGGAATGACATGTTTTAGAAAGATTGTTCTGAACTCTTGTGTGGAGAATAGATTGGAGGGGGAGCAAGAGCACATAAAACATAATGAAAAATGGTCCTGTTGTGAATTGACAGAGGAAGAGGTTATCTAAGGAGAATGCTAGTGAGATTATTATTATTAGGCTACTTACATTGGATATCATTTTTAATGACCTGGAAGAAGTGATAAAAATAATTTGATTATTCTTGCAGGCAGTAATAGGAAATTATCCATAAAAGTGGAAAGGACATAATTTTAAAAGCTCTGGAAAAATCACAAGCAGCCAAGAAATAAAACCATAGTAATCCTGAATATCTGTGTGCACAAACATAAAGCAACTAAGAATTTCTCAGTTCTCATGGAAGAATGCATTGTGAACAATAACACGTCTTGTCCAATGTTGCTTTGATTCTGAGAGCTCTATATTGTTTGGTTCAACTAACTGTTTCCAATTAGCTCCTAGTGCTTTTAAGTTCTACTTCTGCCAAAATGACTACAGACAATTCATTTAAAGAGCTTGCAGAAGGATGTCCATTCATGTTAAATATTGAGCACAGCCTTACTCCTGCCATAAAGCATCACAGAATCCTCTAACACCATAATCAGTAGGAAACTCTATAAACAAGATGCCATCAATAGTCTGCACAGAACAGAAAGTAAAAATAATCATTAATAACCTAATTGGCCTTGAAATTTTTATACAATGTTTGCTGCTTCTTATCACAGATGAAGCATGGAAGAGTGATAAAATGCAACAATTCAATGTTCAAGTCAGAAAAGTGTGAATATTCAGCTTTCATTAAGTCCACTGGAGACAAAACCATCCAAATGAAAAATCCACGTGAATTGTCACAAAACAAGCATTAATTTAAGTTATATCCTTGGAGAATATTCTGTTCACTTCCTCTAAATGAAAGATCATTTACCTTCTGTTACATAAGCTTAAGTTGTACTAACGATAAACTTACTGTTTCTTCTCTTAATTCCACTTTACAAATCAAGCAGAGCAGATGGTCGTTTTAATGCAGATCATTTCAGAGTCACCAACAAATAAGGCAACATGTCTAGTTCTGCATACAGAGAAGTTAATGTGCTGATGACTTGTCATCAGATGTGCAACTTGTTTATTAATTTTGATTTTTATGATTATTACATTCATTACCAGGTATCTTAGTCAGCTGGAGCTGCTATAACAAAATACCATAGACTGGGTGGCTTAAGTAATAGACATTTATTTCTCACAGTTCTGGCTGCAGACTGCCGCCCTCTTGCTGTTTGCTCAGAGAGAGAGAGAGAGAAAAAAAAAAAGAAAGAGAGAGAGAGATCTGTCTACCTCTTCTCATAAGAGCATTAACCCCATCATGTGGGTCCCACCCTCATGACTTAATCTAAACCTAATTACCTCCCAAATGCCTCACCTCCAAATACCATCACATTAGGGGTTAAGGCTTCAAGGTATGAATTTGGGGGAGGTGCAAACATTCAATCCATAACACAGGGAGAGAAGGATAATTGCCATAGTGAACAGTGTCCATCCCACCCTTACCAAAATTAAAAATGTTATTAGAACTGCTACATTTTCTTTTCCTAAGCAGAGAGATGTAAAACACTGGGAATTAAAAAAGGTAGATTATGTTTGAAGATAAGAAATATAAACAATTTGTGATGCTGATGGTTTGTTTGTGATATGATGTAATTAGATGCTGATTAGAAATATGTCTAATGCTGTAGAGTCACCTGATTTACAATCTAACTGAGCAGAGTGAAAGATTTCTCAAATGATGTAATGAATTAGCCTTTTTAAAAAATAGTTTTATTCAGGCTTTTTGATGGAAGGCCATGAAACTACTAACTGGTGTTCCTGCAGGAGTTGGCTGGCCAGGACCCAGGCTGATGCCTAATAGTGTAACCCAGGAAGTAAGCTAGTGTCATGACTTTGGTACTGTGGAGGTCACTTTTCAGGTAATACTCAGTCTGAATTTATAATCCTTGAGGAAGGTGTAGGAAGGAATAAGGGAGGGGGAAATGGAGACAGAAGGAGAAAACGGGGCAGGAGGTGGGAGAAAGAATTCCTAGCTATAGGCAGCAGCAGTAACAGCAGCAGCAATAACAACTTTGGCAAATGAATATTGGGGGAGAATGAAGGCACTGTAAATCCCATATTATGTGCATCTGAGTAGTAGCAGATAAATTGATATATAGATATAGCTATGAAAATAATATGAGAGATAATAAACTGAAATGCATACAGGAGCCAAGCAACTAACATAAATGTAAACAGGGACCAAGAGGATTGCATAAAAGCACGAAGTGGGCTGCAAGTAAGATATTGGTGTCTTTATTGCCACTAAGCACAACACCCATGATGTTATGATACCTTTTAAGGTACAATTTGAACTAAAAGAAAAAATGACCTTATAAAACACACTGAGGTTGATTTATGAACCCTGAGATACTATGCTTAGGGTTTGAAGTTTGAGCAATTGTATGCAGTGAAATAATTTTCTGCAATGACTATGAAAGCCCTGAAAAAAGAAATTGTTTCTTATAATGGAGATAAAATAAAACATTTCAGAATCATATTTTAAAAGTATGTATGGCTAAAACTTTTGTTTCAATAAGTTCCTGAGTGTGGAGGAATTAAAGTTAATATCAAAGGTTCAATTTATATTATGTATTCTATGTGTGTGTGTGTGTGTGTGTGTGTGTGTGTATGTGTGTGTGGTATATATTTGCTTAAGTTAGTAACTTTAGTGCACTTTTCACAATTCATCTCTTAGAATTAGTCATTGTCAACTCAGTACTTTCTTTGTGCAGTGTAATATTTCCAAGTTTAGTTTGTTCACCATTGCCTCTGGTTTGAATTGTTATAATTTTGCTCTCCCCAGTTTTTTTGCCTCCAGTTCCCACTACCCCTAACTCATCATTTCCAGTCATTTCCTTAGGGAGCACCTGGGACTAGCCCAGCTGGGATTTGCATCAAGGCCAGCAGTGGGTATTGAGTATGAGGAGGCAAGACCAGCCTAGACTCTCCTGTTCAAAGTGGCCTACGAGTGGAGGAAGTCAACAGACATGTTGAAATCAGAGTCCACTGGAGAACATGGAGAGTTAAACACTGGAGGGTTCAAATACCAAAGGCTAAAGGGCCAAAGATAGGTTTGTAAACTACAGATAAAATCCTAAGCCCTCCACCAACTGAACAGACCCCTGCTTGGCCAAGGGGACCCTCAGAGAAACCCGAAACAGAGTTCCTGTCCATGACAGGAAGGGAGGTCAGATGTGCCTCATTATACTCCCCCCACTTGGAGTTTAGTCACAACTGACCAACATTAATGTTAAAAATAGAGATTGTAAGACTGACAAAACAGACTCTTTGTGGCAATAAGATACCAAATTATAAGTAAGACCTAAGGCCATGTGAGGCAAAGGTTAAGTCACACTTGCAGGCTGTCAATCTTAACAGGTTGCTTGAACCCAATATTTTGTGGCTGACACTGACATAACTTAAACATTCCTTTCTGCTGACTCCAAGTTTCAGACAGAGCCTTACTCCAACTGCAAATTAAAAAATCTCCAAATCCATCTATATATAATCTGTATATATATATAACCTGTAAACCCCTGCTTTTGGGCCAAACCAATGTACACCTTCTATGTACTGACTTACGACTTTGCCTGTAACTACTGCCTCCCTAAGCTGTATAAAACCAAACTGTAATCTGACCGCCTCAGGATCACTTACTCAAGGCTTCTTGAGTTTATGTTTCCCCTGGGCCACAGTCACTCATATTGGCTCAGGATAAACCTCTTTAAAATATTTTACAGAGTTTTGTTTTTCTGTTAAGGGGTTCTTAGCTGGGGGATGAACGAAGAATTTTGAGTTGGGTAGAGTTAGGTTAGGCTGAGAGTAGGTGAGGAACCTACAAGAATGGTCCATGGTTTATGTCTGTTGGTCAGTGGGTGTGTACATGGTGATTGGCATCCCAGACTGGAATCTGGGACTGGGTAGATATTGTTCTCTGTGCTGTTGTTAAAGGGGACTTTAGAAAATATGAATCAAATTATGTTACTCCATTTCTAACAATCACGTTTAGAATTCTACTTAGAACCTCACTACTTGCCATAACAATCTCCGATATAAAGTCAGAATATCCTAGTGTGTTACAATCAACTAGGTGTGTGTGCAGTCACATTTAGGTGTGTCTCATGCAATTTGTTGCTCATAATGACGTACTAAAGTTTGTGAAGTTTTTTTCCCGATACAAATGAGAGCAAATCTATTCTCTAAATCATACTTTGTCAGTCTCTCATTTGAGGTGCTTTCTTGATTGGAAATGATAGGTACAGTGTTACAAGTAATTCTTGGGGAATTGCATATAATCCGAGGCCTATCATAGGCCAATGTTGAAATCTTTTGCAAGCTACTCCCATTCCAAATGTGTTGATAGTTACTACCAAAGGTGATTATGTATTATTACAGTGTTGGACTTTATCAAACTGTGGTGTGCTCATAGGAGTGTGTTATGAAATAAATCATTATCTGTCATTTCTCTTTTTGAGAAAAACATGTTTTGAGATTTGCTAGCAAAATTTGCAAGCTTGTTAGTTTGTGCTGTCCTGTACAGCTTCATCTTTTCCTGTCCTCTACATGTGTGCCAATCTCATACTGCTCAGAGGTTCACCTCTCCATGTTTTTCCCTTGCTGTTCCTTTTTCCTGGAATGGCTAATATTGGGCTGCTGTGTTATATAATTCCAGACAGCACCATTCCTATTGTATTCTTAAGTTGTTTTCCTAGGAGATGGAAGAGGGTGGCATTCACAGAGCTAAGAGTTGTCCCTGAAGTTGTAAAGGGGAAGTTTTTTTATTATGCTCCCTTTCCTCATGGGTATATTTATTGAACTTTATTTTTCCTTTAAAATTTGTTATTGAAGTTCTCTTCCAAAATTATATTAATTACATGTGATGACTTAACTGTTGAAATAAATCAAAGATTACTAAATTTTTAAAAAAATCATAGGAATATATCCTCACCATGTCCCTATTTCCATCCTTAACATCTGAGGTTATCAAGAAAAACACCCCAGTGAAAAAAATTTTTGTAACTTTCTTCAAATTCTTAAAAATATCTATCTGTCTATCTATCTACAGCTGTATCTATATCCTTGGCCACTGTTTGTTTTTCTAAAATGACATCCTATAATACAATTCCCTGCAACATTCTAGACTTTCCTGTAGCTCCATATATATGCATGTGACTCACTCTTTTTAAGGGCTACTTTTAGAGTCCATTGGGGGAATAGTGAGAGTTAAATATGAGGGTGACCTAATAGCAAAGGCCAAAAGGCCAAAAATAGGTTCAAGGTGAGGGGATGAGCTAGGAATTTGGAGTGGTAGAGCCAGGTCAGGGTGAGACTGGCTGAGGAATGTAGAAGGATGGTCCATGGCTCATTCATCAGTAGGTGTTTACAGGGTATTTAGAGCATCAAGCTGCCCTAAGGGACCAGACTTTCCATGCAGCTTAAGTTATTGATCTAGCTAATTCTTTTAAAGAGCTGCATTCTTAGCTTGAATGTACTATGATTCATTCAACTTCTCTCCTATGCAGGTTGTTGTAAGTTTTGCCAACTTTCTCAGTGCTATAACAAACATACTTATATATATACTTGTAGGTTCTGAAGTTTTTGTCTCTATAAAGTACCAGAAGCAGGACTGAGAGGTTAAAGTCCATGTATATATAAAATTTATTTCTGTTGACAGGCTACACTCCAGGTAGCTGCAGAAATTCTCATCCCCTAGAGAGTTTCTCAATAATAGGATACACTTTTAAATTACATAGGCCACAATCTCATCTTTTTACACTCCACTTACTCTTAGAGTTTGTGAATCAAGAGCCTAAATTTGAAGCTTTTTACTAGAAGAATGCCTAAAGACATTTTTTTCTTTCTGTTGATGAATATATTCATTAAACCAAAGGAAGATTACAGTGATTATCTTGGAACTTGAAAAGGTCAATTTCATTAACTTCAGCAAAACAGGATAGACTGGCAGATACTAGAGTCTGGAAAGCCCACGTAGGTAGGAGTGAGCAAGAGAACAAACCCAGCAAATTCTAGGAAAAAAAAAAAAACTGGTCCAGGTGATAGGTTATTGTATTAGTCCATTCTTGCATTGCTATCAGGAACTACCCGAGACTGGGTAATTTATGAAGAAAAGAGGTTTAATTGACTCACAGTTCCACAGGCTGTACAGGAAACATTGCTGGGGAGGCCTCAGGAAACATACAATCATGGTGGAAAGCGAAGGGGAAGCAGGCACATCCTCACATGGCAGAGCAGAAGAGAGACCAAAGGGGAAGATACCACACACTTTTGAATAGCCAGATCTTGTGAGAACTCTATCATGAGACAACACTAGGGGATTAGAAACCACCTCCATGATCCAATCACCACCCACCAGGCCCTACCTCCTACACTGAGGATTACAATTGAACATGAGATTTGGGTGCAGACACAGAGCCAAACCAAGTCAGTCATGGAAAGAGGAGGCTTATTCAATAGAACAGTTGTAGTCAGAGCAGGTGGCACCAGGAAGACCCAAAGCTGGGTCCAATAAGGGGGAGTTCAGGAGCAAAGGATATTTGGAGACTCAAGAAAATAGGAGGGAGGAGGTTGATATCTGGGACATTTGTTGGAAAGTGGCAAGGACCAAGTCACTTATGGGAAGCAGCAGGGAGACATGAATCCCTTGGAGAAGGTCAGCCTTTCTAAGTCAGACAGATCTGCCTTCAAAGTCTGGCTCTGCTGCCTGCTAATCTTTGACCTGGAGAAAGCTGTTAAATCACCATGGATCTTGATTTCTTTATCCATATGGCATGTCAAGGAGCTGGCTTAGTGCATAGCACATACAATACATACAGTGTTTGTTGTTATACACATGCAGCCTAGCATTTCTAGGATTGCTGAATTTTTCCTTTGACAAAGGGTATATTTGTAGATGTATAGTGTAAAATGAGTTGACAGTTGTATACTCAGACTCCAGTATGCCATATTTACCTTGTCTTCTGGAATAGTTGCCTCACCTTTCCCCAAACCTCCTACCAAAGTCCTCTGTAGTGTGGCTGGTTAAAAAAACTATAGAAAACCTTGAGGCTGTCGTTTCCTGACAAGTAACAGCAGTGCCTGCAATGCCTTGATGCTGGGGCTATTTGCGGGATTATCTCTTCTTGGATATCCTTCAAGTCCCCCTTGCTTTCTAGTACTTAGTCCTAGTTCTGTTTTCATAAAGTCTCAAAAAGACTTGCCTATTCATCTGTTTTCGTAAAGTGTCAAAAAGCTCTCCAATCAAGCATACAGAAGTTAACAAATGCTGATGCTAAATTTCAGAGCATTGAGCCCATACACCTGGAAAACCTTTTGCCTAATTGTCTTGTTTGGTCCTCTGGTAGAGGTGGTTGAGCCTATCCCTTAGGGGGCCATAGATGTAGGGAACCATTTGGAGCTTGGCAATGTCAATGTTTAGAACTGGGCATTTATTGCCTGAAGGTGTATGTTATATACCAAGTTCTTCTTGAACAGAGTTGATCCTAATATCCTGAGAACAAGAAAGTACTTCTCGGGAAAGTACTTTATGAATTTCTGTGATTTGTTATGTTAACAGCAAACAAAAAATGACATAACAATAAAGTAAGAACCGTGCAGGGTGCATACCAGCTATTTTTAGCTGCTCAGAATCCATTTTTCTTCCTTTGGGAAATGGTATCTCAGTTTTCCTTTGGGCTCCCACCCTCATCCCCAACTCTAAGTCCATGTGATGGGCAGATGACTGAAGTCTTGCCAGTCAACATTTTTTATTTGCTAGTCATGACACTTAGTTTAACAGTGACTGAGCCAATGAAATTCAACCCCAAGACTTTGCTGAACTATTAGGAAAGAGACCGTTATGGTCATTCAGCTGGTAGAACACAAGCCTGGAAGTGGTGGTGGTCATCTTGCCAACATATGAGGAGAGCTTATTTAGAGCCAAGTCGTGCCTAAAACCACAATCCTCTGGACTACTTAGTCACGTGAGCCATTTAAATGGTTTTTGCTTATGTCAGTTTGGTTGTATTTCTGTCACTTGCAATTGAAAGATTCCTGACTAATTTAGCTGGGTTTCTGAAGTTGTTGAAATCCAAAGCTAAATGTAATGCTATTGAACTGAAGACTTCTCTAAATTGTTGAAAATCCAAATAGCAAATCTGAGGACTGAATGTGATTTCTGTTTATCATTAAGATAAAAAAAATTCTGAGCAAAAAATATCACCACACGCCTTCCAAAACTAAAAATAATACACTAGGTAGCAAAAAGGATACCAGCTTGCAATTTTCAGTGGCATTACTATTACCTCTGAGCATTACAGGTAAATACCATACATTTATCTGAGATCAGATGTTTAATCTAGATTATTTCTAGAGTTCCTTCTGATTCTTTAGTTCTAGACAACTATGTAGAAAATCAGGTATGATTTGACTTTTTTTGCCATAGTGTCATTTTATGGTGACATTGAAAGGGAGCCATGGACAATAAGAGTAGCAGGATATTATACAACATACATGGATTTTGGAACCAGACAGACGTTTCAGAATTCTGGCTAAATGACCTTGGAAAATTAACATAACCACTCAGTTTCAGTTTTGTCATTTCATGTAACATGGGAATAATGATACTTACTCCACCCTTAAAGACCAAGTGAAATGCTGTATACTAAATCTAATGTTGTGCTTGATGCATAGAATCCTAGTTTTTAAGTTCTATAAAGGAGACTTAGTTATAAATGAAGTTTCTAAAGTCACCTGTTATGTATTTGTGTAAATGATGCCCTCATTCATGCCTAGAAAACCCAGAATAAATCTGCTACATGTTTTACACATGAGACACCCTTCTCTCCCTAAACAGATATATTTTTAAGTAGTTATCCGAGTTTAGATTTGTTTCAGCAAAACAAGCGGCAATTATGGGAAACAGATTTCTCTAAGACTAGTTTGGGGAAATAATGCATAACCCTGGCTTAGGTTGAGAATACAATCATTTGAAATGCAGACACAAAGACCATTGGAAAGAAAGCTGGGTATTTGTAATACATAATGATAAAATACTATATACTATGTTGATTTTACTAGTGAGTGGATATTTTATTTTTGATATGCTCTATGTTTTTAAAGGTTTTGTAATCTGAATTATAGATGATACCAAGTATTCGCTAAGTTCCAAATAGCATCTGTTTCTTGCCATTTGATTTTTATTTTTTCTGGAAATGCATATTTTGATGATGCTAAAACCATAAATCTTTCTCGACAGTGCTCTCTTAGTTTTAATAAGTAGTAGCTAGGGCCAATTTCCATTTACAGTTGTTGAATGTTAAACAGCATTGGAGAATGTTAAGTTGTTAGATAACTGACTAGTTTTCTCAAACCTCCTCTGGTAATTAACCATGCCTCCTACTCCCTTTGCCACACTCCAAAGGGAATATGCTAATCCACTATTAGCTTTACAGCAATGGCTTAATATTCCATTTCAAGAACTTGTGCACAAGCATTGTGTAAATTGATTTCATTCCATTGGGAATTCACACCCAGAAGCACTGCCCTGACATGAGAGTAGGAGTGAAGAGGACCTCACAACTCTCCCAGCTATAGGGCCCTGCATGATACATGGTACATGAAAAGGGATCAGTGCATGTTTGTGGACTGAATGAAAAAATAACCACTGTAATTCTCTACTATAATGTTTTTGCTCACAAAACATCCAAATTGATTTAATCCAAAGGAGATGGAAAGTAATGCTGTGTGTGGGAAAACATGAATTCAGGCCTGTTAGTTTTTCTAGTAAGGTTCCTTGATGTGCCTTTCAGGAACAAGGCCTATGGGACTCTGTGACTCAGGAACACAGTACTTTTCCTGATGGCAAGGCAGCATCAAGATCCTCTGGGGCTTGCATTCATTCCTCTGGAGGCTGGATGTCACTCTTTTTTATTCTCCCATTCCTTCCTCACCTTGTAATACTCATCTGTTTTGCTTTTTTTTTTTTTTCCTAGGCAGACTCTTGCTCTGTCGCCCAGGCTGGAGTGCAGTGGCACGATCTCAGCTCACCGCAACCTCTGCCTCCTGGGTTCAAGTGACTCTTGTGCCTCAGCCTCCCGAGTAGCTGGGATTACAGGCGTACACTACCAGGCTCAACTAATTTTTTGTATGTTTAGTAGAGACAGAGTTTCACTATGTTGGCCAGGCTGGTCTTGAACTCCTGGCCTCAAGTGATCTGCCCTCCTCAGCCTCCCAAAGTGCTGGGATTACAGGAGTGAGCCACTGTGCCTGGCCTGCTTTGCTTTTTCTTATTTGGTTCTATGGTTCTTATATTTTTGTTAGTGCAAAGATCTCACATATTTAAACTTTTATGAAAAAAATCCTACACAGCTACATTAAAAAACATCACTCTGAATCTCTCTCATGTCTATTCAAAGTCACACAGATTTGCCATTTTTTTTTCAGGTGGATTGGAAGCATATGCTCTGTAGATGGTTCTGTGTCTATGGTCTCTTTTAGTCCT
Source organism: Homo sapiens (assembly GCF_000001405.40). NCBI lineage: Eukaryota > Metazoa > Chordata > Mammalia > Primates > Hominidae > Homo > Homo sapiens. Next base: position 104,662,292 of record NC_000008.11, read on the forward strand.
CACTACAAGTCATGAAACAATTCTGAGGCATTGTTATTTCCATTTGATGGATGAGGATACAGAGGCTTAAAGAGGTAAAAGTCATTTTCACTTAAGGATAGTATCTTGGTCTTGAACAGAGATGGCAGGAAATAGAAGCAGACAGGCAGGATGCTATGTCTGGACAAAATACTTTAGAAGTGGACATACCTTTATGGTTAATCTTCCTCTTATGATGCAAGAGGTTTCGTTGTGAATATGTTAAAAAATGCATTTATTTTACAGTCTTAATATCTCTGAGACACTCCAGGGTCTTGTGTACTAGCTTTTATGTAATACGATCTTTTAATGACTGCCTCCCTTACTTCCTATGTCACCACTTACTTTCTAAAGTATTTTAAGTCCCAGCTCAGATGTTACCCCTCAGAGATGCCTTCTAAGATTACTCTGGACCCTCCAATCACTCTCTATCCCAATGTCCCATTTCATTTCTTTCATAACTTCTTTTGCTGTTGAAAAATCATATTTTTTATTGTGTGTATCTCTACTGGGAATGGGAGCTGCCTAGGAGAATGGTCCTTGTTTGTCTTACTTGCCTCTCCATCCCCAGTCCTTAGAATAGTGCCTGGATAAATTATTGCATATGCTTCAAGATGCATACTAAGGTAAATGGCATGACTCTGATCCTTAAATACTGAGGGATTGGCAAGGGCAAGGCACTGGTGTGGCCCAGTCACAGACAGATGGAAGATGAATGGCAGTACTTCCTTTCTTTGCCAGCCGTTGGATTGTTCTGGCTGAGTGCACTAAGGTGGGTATAATTATCTCTTATGGCCTGCCCAAACAAGTGCCCAAATCCCAGTATAAAGCGATCTTTATCTAGGTCTCTATAGGCATTGACTGGGTTGTTTGAAGCCAAAGCAGCCTCAGTACATACTCATAACTCCTGGGACATTAAATAGATCCTAACTAATCCTAGGGATTTCTGTTTCAATATAGGATATGTGTAGATTGCTTTGAAAATGACCAAACTCCTGGATCCCTGCAAATGACTGTACGTAGTGATTCAGATAAAACCCTATTCTTCACCAGGTGCTATGAGAATTGCTTTAATACCACTTAATTTCATCTTTAAACACATATACGATTATTAGAGACATATACTATTATTATCCCCATTTTTAGATGAGGAATCTGAAGCTTAGAGAGAGTAAATGACTTGCCTAGGTCCCACTGCTAGTTGAGGAGGGGTACAAACCTAGCTGACTCTTCTCAAAATTGATACTTACTGCCTAATTGGCAAAGATCTGATGTCCCATTCTGCTGTGGCCTAAAACCTTTAAGAAAATTATGTTTATCAGCTATGAATGAATGCTCACAGTTCGAGGATGGGCCTAAGAGACATTGGCAGACACTTGGTTTAGAAGTTAACAAATAAGTCAAATGAAATCATAATTTTTAAGTCCTTAAAAATAGAAGTCTTATGCAAATCAATTTTTGAAAATTGGCTATATTAATTGATTTGAACTATATATGTACTCTGGAAACAGACAGACTTGAGTTCAAAGCCCAGCAGTTACTTAATGCTATGTAACCTTCAATAAGTTTCTTATTCTTTTTAGATTGAATATGGATTCCAATACCTATCTCACAAAATTTATGCAAGGAGAGCAGCCAGTTCAGTGCTTGGAGCACATAGAAGGGGGAACAAAACATTATTTTCTTTCCTTTAAGTATTATGGTTGGGAATTTTTTGGTTGTGAAGTTTTGTTTTCCTAAATTTCATGTTCTCCCAGTCATGTTAAAATTTTATGTCTATTCATTTCATTTCTTTCCTCAAGTATAGTTTAAAGATCACAATTCATTTCTTAAGACTTGTGCATCATTGCTCTGGTAAATCTCTTGGTCTTCATAGTAGTTGATAAGGTTTACTTTTCTTCTTCATTGAATCCTCCCACACCTCATCCCTGACCAGAGTGTTTCTTTTTGGCTTTCATTTTACCTCTGTTTATCATTCATGAACGTATGCCACAGCTTCTTTTGACATTATACTTAAAAAGTCCCCCCAAAGCATGCTTTTTAAAAGTTGGGGCACAGCGACCTTGCGAGAACATTCTTCTTGAAGGGGTAGTATTAGACCCTGACCAAATGATATCACCTTAAAAAGCTGGATTTTTTTAAAAGTCATTTTTTATGGTCATTGTCTAGAAACACTTGTGGTAAGAAGTAAAAATTCAAGCATGAAGTAGCTTAGTCATGACCTATATCAGCAGCAAAAACAAGGGCCATTAACTTGATTGGAACATATGAATCTGAAAGTGCAGCTATTCAAATAAAAATAGCCAGCTCTATGAGTCCAAGCAGGGCAAAAAACTACCTCCAACAGGAGAGAGACAATGTAAAGGCAATAAAATGTAAATTGTCTATAATATTGCTCTCAGAATAATGTCAATTTGTTTACACTTGACAGGCTACATTTAATAAACTTATCCACAATTTTTGTTCTGTTTATAAGACAAAACAAGCTGGATAGCTTGCATATTTGTCACAGACATTTCAGGGCATATGTGCAAAATTATAATAAACATACTCTTTTTGCAAACTCCTACTATTACTTTGTTCCTGAAAGCTCTGGGCTGCCAGGCTATTTTTGCATTGCCTAAGTCACTCCAAGGCGAGCCAGGTGCCATGGTGCACACCTGTAGTTCTAGCTACTCAGGAGGCTGAGGCAGGAGGATTGCTTGAGCACAGGAATTCGAGATCAGCCTGAGCAACATGGTGAGACCCCACCTCTACAAAAAGATAAAACAAAAAAACCCAAAAACTTACCAGGGTGCAAAAAGGCTGCCATCAGTGCTAGAACCCTAGTACTACAATCCTTCTGACTCCATACTGTCTAAAGGTAGATTACTCAGTTTTCTCTCTGTATTCTTGTCTTAGGTGCTATTGTGCTTAGAGTTGACTGTGAGGCAAGCCTCTGCATCTGTACAGGAATAGAACTACGATACCAAAAAGTACTTCTGATCTCCTTTTATTGGTTGTGAATAAGCACTAGTATCCTCATTTTACAGATGAAGAAACTAAATCTCAAAGGTGCTAAGTAAGTTACTGAGAGATGCTGAGTCACACTGATACTAAGTGAGTCATGCTGTTAGTGGGATTGTGAGTAGCAGTCACACTATCTGTAAGTTGCAAACTAACTGGACTCAGGGTGACCAATTTTCCCAGTTTGCTTAGGACGGAGGGGTTTCCTGGGAAGCAGGACTTTCCATACTAAAACTAGGACAGTCCCAGGCAAACCAGGATGGTTGGTAACCCTAGATGTCTGATTTTAGAAACACTACACTCTTTATCTTTCTGCTTCAGGCTCTAAAATATTTGGCTCTCCTTAAAATCTTTTGCCGTCATATCCTGCTGTAATCTTCACCCACCCACCACTTCTTCTGCTAGTTTAGTCGGCAGACTGTGCTTACCATTGCATTTGCTGTGAGACTCTTACTACAAATTGCAGCCCATTTACCCTCTTTTCTGGGCCACAGGAAATCGCGGGCTGACAACTCAGTGTCTATGTGGTTTTCTGAGCCTTTAGCTCTATTGGATTTCTAGCCAGAAAATTATTATTCTTCCTTTTTGGTGACAACTATGTTAAAAAGAAAAACTCAACAATTCTCTTGATTTCAAAGATGACAAGGTCTATAAAGAGGGAAAAAGCTAAAGACCTCTGGGCATTGAAATTCTTCCATCCAGATACTCTGATGCTATAATGATGGTTCCTGTTAACCATCAAATCATCTGTCAGGGATGCCTCAGCTGCACTTGGCAATTTCTCTCAGCAGAGGAGCATCCTGATGGTGAAAGGCTCCTGGCACCTGCTCTTATTGGCCTTGCTCTTCTTAGCAAGAATCCTCCCTTTAGGTTCCTCCCTTTAGTTGATCCTATTATTTTTGACAGCTTTGAGAGATAGCAACTGCTTCTAGTGGCTTCTTTCACTGATGGCAACAATCCTCTTAACAGCAGCTTTTCTGAGACTTTGCTGGGGTCTTTTGTTTTTTTCAGAAAGCCCCATGCTTCCTCTATAGCTGATAACTTAGTTTGATACTTAGTAGGTACTAGAGTGCTTATTAAGCCCTGTAGTGACAAACCATGGTGCTTTACCACGCTCTATGGCAGTGTTGTTCAAACTGTAGGTCCTTACTCCTTAGTGAGTCATAAATCAATATAGCAGGTCGAAAGCAGTCATTTTGTTACATGTGGCAGATATCTGAGTTACCCCAAGTTTCTGGCGTCACATCCATATGGGTCTGCAGTAACATCTGTCCCTGCCTCCTCAGAAGCAACAATTCAACAGAGGGGCATAAAGCAGAAAAAGAGACAGAGGCAAATTTCAGAGCGGGAGTGAAAGTTTAATTAAAAAAGCTTTAGAACAGGAAAGAAAGGAAAGTTCACTTGGAAGAGATCCAAGAGGGCACCTGGAGGTCAAAGAGAGAAGGGAGTGTTTAGCCTTGATCCTAGGGCTATATAGGCCCCTCTTTCCCATGATTATTCCCTTAGGGTGGGCTCTCCTTACCCTTAGGAACTGAGCACACACAGTGTGTGTAGGAAGTTGCATGCATGCCCATCTGAAGCTTTCTTCCCTTTTTCCAGTGGAGTGCACCCGGAAGGTCATGTTTCACCATTTTGTCTTTAAGTGCACATGCCCAGAAGGTTTTTCTCCCCAGTAGCTGCATTCAGTCAACACTTTAATGTTAATAGCTGTGGATCATCAGGAAATGGCCTCTCCCTGGCACCCTTGGTGGGCTGTGAAATTATCATTTTTAGAGAGGCAGTGTGATAATGATACAGGAGGTAAGAAGAAATTACTTAGGTTGGCTAATGAGGGTACAGAAGTCCTCAGTAAGGTTTTCTTTTTAATGAAAAGCAGCCCCAAATCATTTTCCTTTCTAACAAAGAGCAGCCTGTAAAATCGAGCCACAGTCATAGATGCCAGCAGTTGTGCCAATCGTGTTCAAAATGGCGGCCCCATCTTCCCTTCTCTTTATCAGCCACATGTACAGTAAGGAGCAGACTCCGGTTAACAGGAGGGTTCATTTGCATGGTAAGATTAGGGTGGGGTGGTCAGCCTTCCCACATGCTATGTAAATGTCATACCTGATGGAACCAATCTGTGAGCCCTTTGTAAATCAGACACTGCCTCCTCAAACCTGACTATAAAATCCAGCACATCTGCTGCCCACCAGTCCTTTCTGCTGGGAGACCTCTCTCTATAGAGAGAGAGCTGTTTCTCTTTCTCTTCTCTTCTGCCTATTAAACCTCTGCTCATAAACTCTTCGTGTGTGTCCATGTCCTAAATTTTCCTGGCGCAAGACGATGAACCCCAGGGTATATACCCCAGACTACGTAGCCACTTAAGTAATTGTTGAACCTGACATTCCTAGTGGGTGGGGGGAGAGCCCTCTCCTGCCCAGCTGACGCCTATCTGACTACCTGTAACAATTTAGGAAAAAAAAATTTTTAAGACATAGGATAGAAAACTAGGAATACATTAAATATAGTAAGGATTCGTGTAGTTTCATAAAATTTTTATTTCATTATTGTATACGTGTGTGTGATTGTACACATGCAAAAAATCTTTTAGAAAGATATTTGTAGGAAGACATTCATCATACTGTTTCTGAAAGTAGCAACACATTGAAAACACCTAAATGTTCACTGGGAGGGGATCATAAGCTCCATGCATGCCACATCTAAAATATTCATTAAATTTTTTATTTTTTTTTCTGTACAGTAAACAAGTCATTTTCATAATTAAGAACTTATTTTATTCTTTTGGCACTGCATTAGATAAGTAAACTTACTGAAAACCGCATGGTATCCCAGATTAAACTGCCCCACTTGGCCTTTCTTGGAACCTCAAGGTAAGGAAAAATTCCATTGATTCACCCGAGTTCCAAAGGAATGTCCCTACACACACAAAGGGCATACTCATTTACTCAACAAAAATGTATTAACCTCCTTTTTTGTGAGAGCCATTAAGCCAGATTCAAGGGATTCAGAGATGAATGGAGCATGATCTCTCTCTTTTACGAGTTCATAGCCTGCTAAGGAAGAAAATAAATAATTCTTGCACTATATAATAAGTGCTCAAGTAAAGATATGACACTATGCTGTGGCTCATGAATTCTGACCTCATCACTCCCTTTTTGCTATATCTTAAACTTTAATAATTTAGGGGCTGGGAAAATACTCTAAATTTATCTTTCCAGTTTCCTTGTTTGCCTGAGGCCTGGGAAAAAGCCTTGCAAATCAAGTCCCAGTAACAAAGGTGATCATTCCACAGCCCTTTAAGTAGAGATGTTAATTAGAGGCAGTATAATGGAGTGATTAAGAACATGGGTTTGGGATTCAGCATATGATGATATAGTTTATAATTTCACTGCTCTGTGACCTATGTAAGTCATTCAATTTATCTGAGTTTCATTATTCATATTTGTACTTTATAAGGTTATCAGCCCTTTACTGTATTGAGATTAAAGTACTTAGCATAGTCCCCGGCACAGAGTAGGGCTCATCAGATGCTAGTAACAGTTGTTTTTCTGGGCTCTGATGGTTCCAAATTGTTGTCTGGACATATAAAACTAAGTTGATGTTTCTCTTCTGAGCATTTACTATATTAATATGGGCACCAAGAAAGTTCAAATTTTGTATAAATTAGTTTTTAATACACTAAATGACTTTTGCCAGAGAGGTTGTATAGATTAATAGATTGAGAATTGAGAAAAATCATTAAGTGAGAAACTGAAAACTGTGAAAAATCTCATATATATTTTAAGTAAGTCTTAGTAAAGATTTTTGGGGAAGTTGACTGACTGATGACTTGTCTGCTGGATGGAGGTCACTGAGGGCAGTCATTTAGAGAAAGGAGGGGCCATTCCAGTAATCACCAGTTCATTTTTTCCTTTGCTTCTCTTGGAAGATTCCAGCTTATGTCACTTTTCTACAGTTCTCAAAGTTCGTGTCTTTATAGCTCTGATCTGGGAAGATTAATGTTTGTATACCTCAAAACAAACAAAAATAAAACAATATTGTCCAATAATGGCAATTTTGCATTTTGTAAACAAGAGTTTCATTCTTTGAATAGCTGTAAATTTATGATAGAAAGTTTATTTTCCTCCTATTCTGATTCTGACTCATTTCTACAAGTAGCTGAATAAGTCAGAATCCTTTCAGTTGCAAGTGGTACATCCAGAGGTAGTTGAGCTTCAGGCACAACTTGATCTGATAGACCAAACGATGCCACCAGGGAGTCTTCTCTCTGGCCCTGTTAGTTCTTTTCTTCTGTGTGAACATCATCCCAATGCAAGCTTTCCCCAAGGGGTGCAGAAGACTGAGCAACAGCTTTAGGCTTACACAACTTCCAGCTTAGCAGCTGAAGCTAAAAGTGAACTATCTTTCTCGATAGGATAAGTCTGGGCTGATTTTATTGACACAGATTGGGATCTACACGTGTCCTTATCCATGAAAGCCGAGGTGTTATTTCTGCCCGGATCCTCAAATGAGATCAGAAGCCAGGCAGGCAGAAACCAAGCCAGACAAACAAACAAAACCAGAATAAAAACAAGAACAAATGCTCACTATATTATTAACTCAATTAGCTTATTTGAGCTAAATGTAAAATTTAGGATAATGGCTCTGTTAAAATCTTTAGACAAATTAAATTTAACAGAGTTTAATTGAGCAAGGAATGATTTGAGAATGGGGCAGCACTCAGAACCAGCAGGGGTTCTGCTCCATAATGTGGGCAGACAGCACTGATGGAAAGAAAACAGAGGTGAGGAAGAGAAACAGCTTGATTGGTTACAGCTCAGCGTTTGCCTCATTTGAGCATAGCTTCATCAGTTGACTGCCTGTGACTGACTGAAGCTCAGCTGCTGTGATAGGCTAAGACTCAGCTGTTTGTTATAACAGTACACTCCTAAATTAGGCTTTCAGTTAGTTTATGCTAAGTTAGGTTGCAATTTGTTATGTAAAGACTCAAAGTACCAAAGCATCCTCGGGCCAAATTTAGTTGAATTTAACAGCAACTCATTAAGCATCTTTCTCTTCCATTTATGATTTTATCCATTGACATATCGTCTATTATTTATTCTATGCAGATAACTCCCATATCCCTGTCTTCACACTGAACATCTCTCCTTCACTCTAGAGCCAAATACCCTCCTTCCTGTTTGGCATCTCTATCTGAATGTCACATCCTCATCTCATTCGTAAATAAATATCTTTCTCTCTCACACACACATTCACAGACACACAGAACATTTAAATATGGTTTCTGTGTGTGTGTGTGGGCACATATGTGAAAGACAGAGATGGTTTGCAAGAGTACTTGGTATTTTTAAAAGTACGTTGTTGACATGTATCTACTTAAGCAAAGCAATATTACCATATCAACTGACTCACTGGCAAAAACAAAAAATTAGCAAGCTAACATGTGGGCCAATCAATGTGATCCTTTCACCAAAACAATAATTAAAGGAATCGTTATAGTTTGATGCTAAGAAGCAGTGAGAAACAGTATACTTTTCTGCTGGGTCTTCATAAGAAAATCTGTTAATGTATAACTGGACTTCTTTTCAAACTGAATGCACTGCTGATTCCATTGATTGAAAGGATACATGTTGTGGTCCTGGCCCGAGCATTGGCATGTGAACTTGCTGGACAACCATACCTTATCAGGTCCCACAAATGAGTCAGTTGAGAAGGAAATGCCAGTTAGAACAGATATATACTACTGTTTTTATTCATCAGCTTAAGGAGCTGTCATGATTGTCACAGTGTACATATTTAAGTTGGTGAGTTTTAAGGTTTTAAATATGAAAATGTCTTATTTTCTGCAAATATTGGAGAGTGCGGTTCTAGTGAGGGAGATGCCAGGCTACAGACCTTAAGAACAAGAGATGAAATGAAGATTTTTGTCATAGGAGTTCTCTATAAAAATTGCACTTTTGAATGGAATTATTTTATACCATTTTTACTTAATTTCTTAAAATGCAAACTAAAAACATGTTTTTATAGGTCTTATGCGTTTTGACTTTTATTACGTATTTTGTTAAACACTTTCCTAAAACTGAACAGAGAATGAGGAAAGACAATTCACCAAAATATGGATATTTTCCTTCCTTCCAAAACAACATTGCCTAAGGCCAAACTCATCATCTTCTGCCCAAAGCAGCTCTTTTTTCTTGGTTTCTTCTTTCTGCTCATAGCTCAATGATTTTCAAATGTTGTTTGCCTCTGTCTCAACATAGTGGTATAATATTGATCATGCTTTTGTTTGTGAGTATGTGATGTGAGAATTAATTATGTCTGTGCTTAAAATGGAAAGACATTCACTTTTTAATGTTTGATTTCTTCTACTCAGAGTTTTTACACTTAGGAAAATCTTGTTGCTGGGAAAATATCTGGTAATGGTATACTTAGAGACCCTTTGGGTTTCTAAGGTGGAGGGTGGAGTGGAAGGACAAAAAGAGTGAGAAAAGATAGTTGCTTATCTTCCTAGCCTGAGTTTGAGAGAGAAAGAAGTTTTAATCCAAAACAATTTAAGTTCACAGAAAGATGTCTAGAGAAAGAATATAGCTGTACATATATTTTTGATTCTGCTGCTTTTGTTTCAAGAGGTGCTTCCAAGAATCAGGTAATAAACAATTTCTATTCACCTTTATAAATGCATAATGCTAATAGTATTGTAGTAAAAGGGTAGTTTCCCTTTGTAATGGTTTTTAATATTGATCTATTACATTCTCTGAGCACTTTCCTTGCAATAGTTTCATTTATTCTTTAGCTCTTTGGGCCATCAAAGGCCTCTGCTCTGGCTGTAAAGAATGGTAGCTAAATGTGCCCTGAGCTCTCGCTATAGTTTATCATTTACATTTTCTGTATCTTGTTAACTCTCAGCCTCTTTCTTATTTATAAGTCCTCTTGCCTAGTATTACTGTTGTCACTGCTGCTACAGAATTTTGCTGATGTTAGAAATCACCACTGTTAGGCCTGGTAAAGACTATAGGTTGAATTTCCAACAGTTCAGATAGACATCTTATCAAAGTGATAGAATTATATCCAAAATGTTTGCTGAAATATGTGGGTTACAACAAGGGACAGAGTTTTCAGTTCAAGGAAGAACTGTTTACGTCACTTAGTTATGAGGAGTTTGACAGTATCAGTCCCAAATAAGATTATGGGGCACTCAAGGAGTTGATGACTGTCCAGGTGATTGCCCACAATAAGCTGGGTAACTGGTGCAATACTATCGCAGGCCTGAAGGTTTTCTTCACATCTGTTCACAAGATTTCACAGGGTCGATCAACAAAGTGACTGGTGGTTCATTTTCGGATAGTGCTTAGATGGCTTTGCATTTTGGTTCTTATTGCTATAGTTTTGCACAGTCTCTCATTATGACGTATCTGCACCAATATAAGCTTTGCAAATGGTTTCCTTGCCTTCTAACCGACCCTAATCAAATTCATGGTTTGCATGGTTGACCACGTTATCTTTTAAAAATATATTATCTTATTAATTCAATAACTCAGGATTTACTTAACTTTAATGAATACCTATGATGTGCCAGACAAACTGTGACAAGTCTAGTGGGAGACAGACTTGTACACAGAAAATTATAAGACAATGTGCTGTGTGTTTTATCTGAGATACAACCACTCCTTGATTAAAACTCTTCCATGGTTCCCTATTGTTAATAAGAAAATAGTTTAAGTTCTTCCCTGAAATAAAAGATCCTCCACAATTTGAATCCACTTTACCGGCACAGCCTCATGGCTAGGCCCTTCCCCCACGTGCACTCAATGTGTCAACCACACAAATTGTGCTGATGTTCCCAGGAACTGCATCATTCCCCACAACTGGTGAATTCCTATACATTCTTCAACATTTAGCTTAAGCGTTATTATTTCCTTTGTGACTCTGACTCCAGACCTCTAAAGCATAGCTAGTCATTCACTTCTTTTGGCTCTTATGGAAATTTTTTATATATCTCTTTTTTGTGGCTCATAATATCCTTTATTTCATTATTATAGCCACTAAATTATGTGATTCTTGAAGGCAGGAAGTATATCCCATACTTTTCATTTTTCTGATGTTTGGTTTCATGACTGGCACACATTTGATGCACGAGGTGTTGTTTTAAGGATAAGTGAATGAATGAATAAGTGAGTAAAATATGAAACCAGCATGTGGAGTTAACATTGGATTTTTTTTTAATCAATGCTGTTGAAGTACTCTTTACTGTTAAGCAATTATCTTCTGGTAGAACACCTGGTACAAATCTATAACTATGTTGGCCAACAACTCAAAGTGATTACTGCAACCAATTTACGGCAATTAGAAGGAGGACCACACTCCATAGAATTTAAAAGGTGCATTGACTGCACACCTGTATGACATAAAAGAAACTATGACCGCTTCAATAATCATAAAAGCATATTATTGTCTCATTAATTGTTAAATAGGCCAATGACATAGTTATTTTATAAAATGAAGTTAAAGCAAAAAAGAAAAAGGTGAAAAGCAGCCTGTACAAGATTTAAAAAGAAATAGCAAGACAAAGAATTTTTAAAAGAAGATAATGTAATTCCACATATGTATTCACTTATATCTGTATAATAATTTTTATATCTTTTGGATATTTTTAGAGTTACTAGAGGAAGTGGATTAGAGAAGGCCAAATACCATGGAAAGCAATGTGCGTATGGCTTCCTTCTGGCATGGAATCTGTAGTGCAGTGGTTAAGAGCCTGGGTTCTTGTAGCAGGCTGCTGGGTATGAGCCTTGCTCCATCCCATTCTAGCTATGTAATATTAGGAAAGTCACTTAACCTGTCTGTTTCTCAGAGAATAATAATAGTACCTATCTGATAGGCACTACAAAATGAGAATAATAATAATACCTGGAAAACAAGAATAATAATAGTACCTATATGATAGGATTGTGAAAGGGTGTAAAATGGTAAGCTCTCAAAAATACTAGCTTTTATTACTATTTGTTAATTTCCTCTTTGGGCTCATATCATATCCTATCTTTTCCATTTTTTAGCTTGTGTCCTTACTGGCACTTGTGTCTTCCACATGTTTTCCATTTTGTATGTTTTTAATATGTTCATGTCAAGTCTCTATATCCCAAATATTGGCATTTTGTTTTATGTAGGACATGGTAATAATCATTAGTGGATGCAGAAGAAGCTCCAAATCCATTAATAACCAAGGCAACAGTATGATTCCATTCTTTTCCTTTGATTTTCTGCTACATATTGTTCAGAAATCCTTGATGTTGCCTACGAAGACTCCAAATCATCTATTATCATTGAATTTAGGGCTAAAATAAGTACATTTAATTGTAACCCAGTTAATAAAAAGTAAGTGCTGAGAAAAATTATTAAAAGCTTCTGTGTAATGATAATTGTATTCCTGAGCCTAACAATTGGGTTAGGATACAACAATTTTTGTATTGGTTAGAGCTATACCCTGCTTTGGTTTGACAGTCAGAGCCAAAGACACAGCAATCTTCCCTCAAATATTGGAAGGACTTTGTCCTCCTGAATGACTCTTTCAAATAATTTCTTTTATGACCAAACTTAGAAAGTAAATATCTATTCAGATGATGAAAAATACTAATGTTTGAAGAGCTATAAATATAAAATCATGAATGCCAACAAAACAAGGCATTGTACATATTATGAAATATAACTTAAGATTTTGGATCTCAATACTTGGAAACATTGAACTATGAACTATGTACTATTATTATCTTAGAAAGCTTTACTCCATTTTAGACGGACTATACCACTTCAAATGGGCTGTTGATGCAAAATGAGCAAAAAAAAGTGCATCAGTGGAACTTATTTTAGTGAAATATTAACTGGCCACATTTCAAAATTATATTCTATACTGTCCTGTGACCAAAGATGCTAAAGAACTTCCTATTTAAGAGTACCATGAAAGGGTATGGCTGGAGGGTGAAATAAGAAAAGACACAGAATGTATTGTATTTGTAGGAATTAAGAATAAAAATGTGCTTCAAACGGAATGTTGAATATCATCATAGCAACTACTTTTTTGATCAACAAGAATCATGAAAAACCAGAAGCTATGTCAGCTATGCTTTGGATAAAGTTACTGCTTTTTAAAAATCAAGTTAATGATTCACAACAGTAAAGACATAGAATCAACCTAGGTGCCCATCAACAGTGGACTGGATAAAGAAAATGTGGTACATATATACTATGGAATACTATGCAGTCATAAAAAAGAATGAAATCTTGTCCTTTGCAGCATGGATGCAGCTGGAGACCATTATCCTAAGCGAATTAACATGGGAACAGAAAACCAAATACCACATATTCTCAGTTATAAGTGGGATTTAAACACTGGGTATTCCTGGATATAAGGATGGCAACAGTAGATCCTGGGGACTACTAGAGTGGTAGGTAGGGAGGGTGACAAGGGTTGAAGAACTAACAATTGGGTACTATGCTCAGTAACTGGGTGATGTGATCATTTGTACCCCAAACCTCAACATCACACAATATACCTAGGTAACAAACGAGCACATGTACCCCCTGAATCTAAAATAAATATTGAAACAAAATCAAGTGAATAAATAAAAAATAAATAATAAAATTAATGTGATATAGGCATACTTCTATGATTCTCTATTGAACAGACCTTATTGAGAAAACAGTCAATCAAAAGTTGCCGATAAAGGTAAAGGATTGAACACACACATCTACAGTCTGCCCCTGAATTTCTAATTAATAACTGTAAAGGGATTTTTAAAGACTGTATGAGTTAGCTTTTCCTGCATAACAATATATGCCTGAAATAAAGTGGCTTTAAACAACAACCATTTATTTAGTTCAGATTCTGTGGATTTGCAATGTGAGCTGGGCTCAGATAAATGATTTTTTTGGTTTCAGTAGGGCTCCTTCATGTATTTGCAGTCAGCTGCAGGTCAAGTGCAGATTTGCTAATCTTGACTGAACTCCCATATCTCCCCAGCCTCATTTGGGACCTCTGAGTTGACTCAGGCTACCATCCAACACCAGGCCAGATCAAGCTTATCCATATGGAGAAGAAGGGGATCTTGAGAAAGTGAATGGAGTGTTTAGGGTCTCTTGAGATCTACCCTTTGATCAGATACATTGTCACTTCTACCTTATTCTGCTGGCTGAAGCAAGTCACAAGGCCTGTCCAGATTTAAGGGATGGAAAAATTGGCTTTGCCACTTTTTTAGTGGAGCTGCAAATTTACATTGCAAGGGGCATGAATATGAGGAGGAAATTACGGATATTTCTATATTTAATCTACCCGAATTGTATAAACCCACAAGGGCAAAGAGAACAGAGGAGAAAACAATAGAAATGAAATTTTGGAAGCTAGAAGGAAAATTAACGAGTAGCAATTGACTTTGAGACACTTGAGAAAGCTGAATCCTAAACTTGCAGTGGGGAGAGACAAGAAGCAATCCAGTGTACTAATGTAATCCATAGAATCTTCTAAAGTCTCAGAAATTGATATACCTGGTATACATGCCAGGTATTTATGGAAATGGGAAGATGAAGGTGGAGATAGAAACAGGAAGATTCATTGAAATTCTCTTTACGTAGTATTGCAGTTAGACATTCAGATTCTATCCCCCAGTCTGCCCAGTCATTAACTGCCATTGTCTCCCTATACTACCCCAGAGAAAACAGGAGGTTTAGTTTATGAAGTAGGTAAAAACAAGGGTTTCTGGACTTATTGACACCCTAAACACAATTGAGGATTGAGGTGTTGTGGTAGGGAAAATAATGGCTACCAAAGATGTCCACATCCTAATCCTCAGAACCTATGGATATGTTAGGTTACATGGCAAAGGGAAATTAAGGTTGCATGTGGAATTAAACTTGTGTCAGCTGACTTGAGATGAAAACTTAGCCTGTATTATCCTGGTGGGCCCAGTGTAATCACAAGGATCCTTATAGGAAGAGATGTGTGACAGGTCTACTGAATATTCTATCTTCCCTCTTAATATCACATTTTGTGTCATACCCATTTATCCCTGGGATCCCTAAGAAGCAAAAACTCAGTCTCATGGCATTTCTGCAGCTAGATAACCTATGAAGTTTACACTTCTTTTTTGGATTAACTTTCCTACTTTTTCCTTTAAAATTTTTTCACCAGAGGGAGCATCCTATTTGGAAAGAAGAAAAAAGACTCCTTCTCTGGCAGTGTATTTGACACTGATTCAAAGCAAAGCAAAACTTGCTTTTGGCAAATGCAAGAAAACCCAAACCTTAAAACTCTAAAAAAGGGACTACTAACACAAGGAGGGGAGAAAACCTAAATCATGCTGTTAACTGTCCAACTGAGCAATTAAGCACAGTGGAGTTTTAAGTGGTCTGCAAACAGTGCCTGAAGAATCTAGTTAATATATGGCAATGGCTCCTCACTAATTGTGACTCTCAAATGAAGTAACTCTCCATGCCCTTCTCTGGAGAACATGATGGAGAAAAAAACCAAACAAAATTGTTCCTTCTGAGTCATTCTGCTTGTTCCTAAAACAGCAATAACAGCAGCAGCAAAACTCTGGTTTTAGCCTGTTGGATTCCTTGCTGCAAGAGTTGCTGAAGGGCTCCAGGATCTGTAGCCTGCTTGAAGCTGTCAGCTTCATCCCCCACATCTTGTCAGCAAATAACGATTAAACTTTAACTTGCCTACTCTTTATTTCTATGGCAGTCTAACTTTTCTTTAGGAGCGTCTGTCTTTTTGGAGATGCAGTGACAACTTAACCGAAAATGTGTTGTGAGTGTCTAGCACATTGAGTGGTACAGAGTTGGCCACTCAATAAATATTGGTAGAAGTGAATTGAATAAGATTTAAAAAGTAATTGAAAGGGTGGATTAGTAAAATCTTATTTATAGAATGCATTCTAAGCCTCTTTTAATTGCAGGCATAGTTGTGATGTCCAAGTACTTTCTGATTATATATTGATTCAATTTAACAAATATTTACTGAGCCCTACTAGCCACACTGCACCAAGAGCTTGAGAGAGGGGAGAGACAGTAATGCAAAAACTATATCCACCACATCCCTTGTTCTCACAGAATTTATAATCTAGTAGGACAGATGGACTAGAATAATAGTCTGTTTTTAAAAGTTGGGTAAAGAAGTAGTTGGAATGTCCTTAAGAAAAATCTTACTTAACTCAAAGAGTGCTAGATAAATTAATGGGGAACAAGATTCCTAGCCTGGAAAAAGAAGAAAAAGAAAAAAACCGGGGTTGGGTGTATAGTGTTTTCCGAAGGTAAATAAAATGTTTCTAGAGCCATGGTTTCTTACTGCAGACTTAGGGCTTGTTCCCTTTCTTTACAGTGTCACCCTGATTCCCTACATATTTCCCCATCTTTTCCCAAGTAACTTCACTAGGCTTTGATATAAACTGGTCAACATTAGGGAGTTCCCACCCAATAAAGATGTTCATACTCCCCGAACTCTGTGCTTCACAGATGCCCTCTACTGGTTTGGCTTGCTCATAAGCTATGCTTTTAGGGAATCGGATTCAAAAGTTGAGATTGGTAAAGGATTCTTGAACAAGAAAACACTTACATTGGCCTTGGAGGAATCAATTTTTCTGGGCACTCAATGTTTCTTGGGACTGTGCCAGGAGCATGCGGGCCACTGCCAGGAATTGAATGGAACTACCAAACCAAAGAGGCCTTGGGGGGTAACCTGTGGAGGACCCCACCTATTTTATGCTTTCTAGGGAGACGATGATCTGCTGTTATCTCTCAAACTTCTTCCAAATGGTTTAGAATTATGCTATGTTGAGAAGAGTAATGACTCTAGTTTGTCTGTCCAGAGCCTTGTGGGAACTCTCTGTTGGGAACTGCTTTTCCTTCTGCTCTAGCTATGTGATTCTGGGGAGAGCCACCTTGTTCTTATTTGACATCACTATATTGCCATAGGTACTGTAATTGGTGCATGGGTGCACAAATTACCCAAAGTGAGAAAACCAAAGTAATCCCTGAGGTGTTCCTAACTGGAACTGGGGAATGAGAGTAAGTCCTTCTCAGGTTGTGGGAAGCTTGGGATAGGAAGTTTGCCAGCTCTTGGCAGTTATGTTTTCTATCATATGGTGTCAGCGCATCTGCAGTGGGATATGATGTATGTGATGCGGAAAGAAAAGCAAAGACAAGAAATACACAAAGAGTCCCAATGGTGTTGAATCCCTGGTTTCTATTGTTTGAGAGGCACAGTTTAACTCTGGATGGACTTGGTTATTTAATCGTTCCTCTAGTTAGTAGAAATACACTAGCATGCTTCCAAATAATTCCCTTTTTGTGTATCCTTCTTCACATGGGGTTTCTGTCATTTGCAATCTTTAAGAGTCCTGATTAATAAAAGAATCTGCTCTGATGCTTTCCCCTTTTCTCCCTGTTTCCTATAATCTTCCCTTTGCTTTCATAAACCACAAGCTATTTCCATTCTTTACTGTGTAATTCTCTGTTTATTTCTTCTCCATTTCTACCTGGTCCTTCCTTTCTTCCTTCCCTTTCCATTTTCTTTTTCTTTTTCCTTCCTTTCTTTCCCTCTCTTTCCGTTTCTCCCCTCCCTCCCTCCCTCCCTTCCTTCCTTCCTCCTTCTTTTTTTCTTTTTCTTTTCTTTTTTTTGAGACAGAGTTTCGCTCTTATCGCCCCAGGCTGGAGTACAGTGGCGCAATCTTGGCTCACTGCAACCCCTGCCTCCTGGGTTCAAGTGATTCTCCTGCCTCAGCCTCCCAAGTAGCTGGGATTACAGGCTCCCACCGCCATGCCTGGCTAATTTTCTTGTATTTCTTAGGAGAGACAGGGTTTCACCATGTTGGCCAGGCTGGTCTCGAACTCCTGACCTAAAGTGATCCACCCATCTCGGCCTCCCAAAGTGCTGGGATTACAGGTGTGAGCCACTGTGATCGGCCTCTTCTTCTTCTTCTTCTTTTTTTTTTTTTTTGAAGCAGGGTCTGGCTCTGTCACCCAGGCTGGAGTATAGTGGCACGATCTTGGTTCACTGCAACCTCCGCCTCCTGGGTTCAAGTAATTCTCATGCCTCGGTCTCCCGAGCACCTGGGATTACAGGTGCCCGCCATGACACCCGGCTAATTTTTGTATTTTTTGTAGAGACTGGTTTCACCATGTTGGTCAGGCTGGTCTTGAACTCCTGACCTCAAGTGATCTGCCCACCTCGGCCTCCCAAAGTGTTGGGATTATAGGCGTGAGCCACTGTGCCCGGCCCCTTCTTCTCTTTTTTGCCTTTCCTTCATTCACTGCACAGGGGCCTATTGTTCTTCCTTCACCATTCATTTTACATGAAGATCCAGTTTAAAAGCTCTTTTGAAAGTGATTCTTTGGCAGCTGGTATTTGGGATTATGCTAACGATAAAGACATAAAAAATAGAAATAAATGTGTGGTTCCAAGTCAGGCACGGTGGCTCATGCCTGTAATCCCAGGACTTTGGGAGGCCGAGGTGGGCGGATCACCTGAGGTCAGGAGACCAGCCTGGCAAACATAGTGAAACCTCGTCTCTACTAAAAATACGAAAATTAGCTGGGTGTGGCAGCATGCGCCTGTAGTCCCAGCTACTCAGAAGACTGAGGTAGGAGAATCGATTGAACCTGTGAGATGAAGGTTGCAGTAAACCATGATCACGCCACGGCGCTCCAGCCTGGGTGACAGAGCAAAACTCTGTCAAAAAAAAAAAAAAAGGCAGTAAATGTGTGTGGTTTTTGTTGATTACCTCTGGGTTATATAATTACTGATAAATTTTATGTTTTGCTTTTCTGTGTTTCAGAAAATTCCTATAATAAACAAAGATTTTCCTTTTATAAAAATATTTTGTTACTGATCATT
Source organism: Homo sapiens (assembly GCF_000001405.40). Lineage (NCBI taxonomy): Eukaryota > Metazoa > Chordata > Mammalia > Primates > Hominidae > Homo > Homo sapiens. Next base: position 104,681,199 of record NC_000008.11, read on the forward strand.
TTAAACTATACCTACCTGTTCCTTACTTGTGCTTGTTGAGAAAGTACTTAATATTAAAAGACCTGGCTGGGTGTGGTGGCTCATGCCTGTAATCCCAGCACTTTGGGAGGCCGAGGTGAGTGGATCACCTGAGGTCAGGAGTTCGAGACCAGCCTGGTCAACATGGCAAAACCCTGTCTCTGCTAAAAAAATACAAAAATAAAAAAAATTAGCTGGGCGTGGTGGCTTACGCTTATAATCCCAGCTACTTGGGAGGCCGAGGCAGGAGAATTGCTTGAACCTGGGAGGCGGAGGTTGCAGTGAGCTGAGATTGCGCCACTGCACTCCAGCCTGGGCAATGGAGTGAGACTCCCTCTCTCCTTCTCTCTGTCTCTCTCTATATATCTATATCTATATCTATATCTATATCTATATCTATATCTATATCTATATCTATCTATATGTCTATATCTATATATCTATGTATCTATATCTATCTATATATCTATCTATAACTATATCTATATCTATCTATATATCTATCTATAACTATATCTATATCTAGATATAGATATATATAGAGAGAGACCTGCATAAGGATGACTCTCAAAAAATCACCTTTAGAGAGTTGAGACTTATAGCTTACATGCTTACATGTCCTTAGCAAATATGGGTGGATAAATGAATAATGAATAGACAGGTGAATGAATAAGTGTTTCTCCTAAACACAAAGTAAGTACCAGTATGGCAAAGCCTGATTCCATATAAAGCCCTCCGATAATTTACCAGACTGTCAATTTTACCAGGAAATATGTCTGTACTCTTTGCCCGAGGATGAATACTCAGTAGACTCTCTGGGCTCAACCTGGATATGGTATATTTGACAGCTTTAAATAGAGAAAGAAAGCTACACTCCTGCATTCATCCCAGCTGGTAAAGGAAAGGCAGATGCTCAATACAAATATTTTAGCAAGTTACAAAGACAGCGAGGAAGAAAAAGGTCAGACTGAAAATAATGCTCTCTCAGAGGAAACATTTGGCCAAGGAAAGTCACAGATGCAGTATCCTTGGTCTAAAGGGAACTATAACCCATATGACTTCAGCCTGAGTTGCCACACAGATGGCAAGTTAGGGGAAAATAAGGCAGTTAAGGAGAAACTGAGGTAGTTTAAAGAGAATGATAATACCCAGGATATGGAGAAATTGGCACATCATATAGATATAGTACACATGGAAATGTATATCAGAGCTGCATTTATGCAAAATACTCTGATCGTATGTCTCATGCCTTCTAAACAAGCAAATCCACTTGGGAGAATTCATACTAAGGAAAGTTTCAGGAGTTTGTACTTAGATGTGTGTAAGAATGTTGAGCTGAGTGTTTGGTTGCTTTTATAAAAAGAAAGAAATGGAAACAAACATTAATGAGAGGTACCTGGTTAAATTATAGCACATCTGTAAAATAAATATTATGCAGTAATTAAAAATGACACTGATTAATATTCATGGATATGAGAATATACCCAATATATTCCCACATACTTTTAAGTGAAAAAGCGTATTTTAAAGTAGTGTGCATAAAGTGATCCTGCTTCTTGTTGAAAATATTAATGGAGATATGGCTATAAATACATGTGTATTTTAGATATTCTGAAAGGTTATGCCATGATATTTGCAGTAGTTGTATTTGGATGGCAGAAATTACAGACATTTAAAGTGTGTTTGCCTATCTTAATTTTCTGTCTTTCTATAAGGAATATATGTTAAAAGTATATTAATATAAGTTAAATTAACTTTAAAAGGGAAGATGGGGACATTGACAAGTCAACTACATCCTCCCTTCTCACATTTCATTCTTAAAGACCCCACTCTCAGTTCCTGGAAGAAGTGGTAGACGTATTATGTGTCATGGAACCCCATCTATCCTAGACATCCCCCGGGGCATCTGGAATTGAGATACTGACAAGCAGAGGCAGATGATGAGTGCTTGAACTGAAAGGTCATATAGAGCAGAATCCAGAGTTGTCACTGCTGTAAGTCAAACCACATGCAACTGAAATATGGGAGAATACAGAGGCCCTAAATAAACCCAGAAAGCCAGCTTGCAGAGAAGAAACAGAGATGAAGGCAGATGTCCAGAGAGGAACAGAACTGAGAGACCAAGGGGCCCACTGAGGAATGGAAGGCACAGCCTTGCTATCAAACCCTCCAGTTCTGATTCCTACATGGCCCAATTCTATTTCATTTCTGGCTCTTAGAACATTTATAAAATTGTGTGTGTGTGTGTGTGTGTGTGTGTGTGTGTGTGTATTTAAATAGAAATCCCATTTACCCAAATAAATTGGAGTGAGATCCTGTTCATTGAGGGACTTGATGAAGACAGAAATGTATATCCCAAAACAAACATCAGGGTAGGGCAGTAGTAGTGGGCTTTGAGTGAGCTACCATCCTCAATGCGCCATCATCCACAGATTGTGGGAGGCTTCCCATCATATCAAACACTATCTTAGTTTGTTCCTGCTGCTATAAGAAAATACCTTAGATTGGTTAATTCATAACAACAGAAATCTATTTCTCATAGTTCTGGAGGCTGGGAAGTCCATGATCAAGGGGCCGGCAGATTTGTTGTCTGGTGAGGGCTTGCGCTATGCTTCCAAGATGGTGCCTTGTTGCTGTGTCCTCACATGGCAGAAGGACAAAAGGGATGAATTCGCTCCCATAAGCCCTTTTATAGGGGTCTAATCCCATCCATGAGAGCAGAGTCCTTATGGCCTTGTCACCTCCTAAAGATCCCACCTCTCAATACTGTTGCATTAGACATTAAGTTTCAGTATGCATTTTGGAGGGACACAAATATTCAAACCATAGAAAACACCAAACTGGGATTTTTACTTTTCTGTTCTTGGCCATGAAAGCCATGAAACTGGTGACAGCATTCTCTTTCAGTAACCAATTGAAAAAAAAATGAGAAGTAAAACCTTGACAAATGTTTCTCCCAAGGCAGGTGTTAATTCCTAACTGATATCTACCAAAAATGTGATTTTGTGAATGTCCTTAAAGGCCTTTAAAGGTGAGGAATTTTACAGTGAAGCTCTCCTATTAAGTATTTTGAATTTGTTGTGCAGAACTTAGCCTAATGTGCTTGACAGCCTTGGCGAAAAATGCACGATATAAATGCATCATCAATATAATAATATAAATTGAATTAGAATGCTCATTCTGTTCTGCTGAGTTTCTTTCCTGAGCTGATTATGTCTGAAATGGCTCTTGTTAGAAGCTTTCTCATTATGAGGAACTCACTGTTCTGTTACCAGCTCTCTGTCAAGTGCCACCTGTTTGGCACTTTTTACTCTTATATTTTTAAAGTCAAGTAGCCCATCATGTTAATATTTGAAGTTTAGAGTCATGGCATTAGAATTGCAGCATGCAGCTTCCCTTGGTTATGTTTTTTGCTAATAGTGTCTTAGTCTGTTTTGTATTGCTATAACAGAGTACCACCCACCAGGTAATTTATAATGAACAGTAACTTATTTTGCTCGCAGTTCGGGAGATTTGAAAGTCCAAGAGCATGGCCCTGGCATCTTGTGAGGGCCTTCTTGCTGTGTCATCCTATGGCTGAAGGCAGAGGGCAAGAGAGTACTAGAGAGAGCAAGAGAGGGCTGATATTGCTTTTATTAATAACTAATGCATGTGGGGCTTAATACCTAGGTGATGGGTTGATAGGTGCAGCAAACCGCAATGGCACACGTTTACCTGTATAAAAAACCTGCACATCCTGCACATGTATCCCGGAACTTAAAATTAAATTAAATTAAAAAAAATCCACTCCAGTGATATTGATCCATCTGTAAGGCCAGAGTCTTCATGATCTTATCACCTCTTAAAAGTTTCACCTCTCAACACTACTGCATTGGGGATTAAGTTTCCAATACATGAACTTTGGGAAAAGTATTTTACAACTAATAATAGTAAGTTTCAGTTGCATTTTGAAGAGTAAAGGATGACAGTTTGGCTATTTGCTTGTTGACAAGGTCAAATGGTGGCCTGACAAATAATGATCCCAACATTTTCTCTAGTAACCTTCTAGTTGCATAATTTATCTTTGTGAAAAAGTTTGGACTATTGGCCATGTCCTAAATCACTTTCCATTTGAGTGAACTGAAGTGTCTAAATTATTTATTGCTAGAGATAGGTCTTTTAAAAATAACTGATAGACTTTATTTTTTAGAGTAGTTTTGGAATTACAGAAAATTGAGCAGGAGGTAGTACAAAGAGTTCCCATACGCCTCTCTTCCAACTCCTGCACCAAGTTTTCCCTATTATTAATAACTTACATTAATATGGTACATTCGTTGCAATTAATGAACCAGCATTGTTACATTATTATTAGCTAAAGTCCACAGTTTATTCAGATTTCTTTAGTTTTTACCTAAAGCCTTTTTATCTGTCCCAGGATCCCATCGAGGATGCCACATCACATTTACTTGTCATGTCTTCTTAGGCTCCTCTTGGCTGTGTAAAACAAACCAAAATGAGTAAGAGTCCAAAGAGCACACTCTAGGACAAGAAACACAGTTCCTGAGATTCACCTACTCCTTGTGACTCTTCCGTGAGGCATGCACCCCTCTTCCTTTACATTTGTTTATCCCTAAGTATTGATAATCCAGCTGTAATTTTCACAAATGACTATTAAAAAGCGAGGCATAAGAAAAATTCAAAATGTATAGAAAAAACAAATAGTTCAAGGACGATACACTCTGTGAATTATAGCATTTGTATCTACCATCCCAGTACAAGTATCAACAGCTTTATCAAACCCCACTGTTCTTTATTCTAATATAAAGCTGGTATGGTTTTTTTTTTCTCCCTCCTAGTGTCCTAGGTGACTTGGAGACCTAGTCTGATTACTATCGATGTTCCTGGCCTTCTGATGTTTCTTTTATGCCCAGTCAAGTACCAAAGTCCTTTCTTTATTAAAAAAGTCAAACCTCTTCTGAGTTTGAAGTTTCTAGATAATTTTTTCCTACTCAGTTTTAGTTTCTAGTTTGAGATACCTGCTGAAGTGGAGAGACCAAGCTTTAGAATGCCTGCAAAGTCTATGGTTTTCTTTTAGAGGGCTACCTTCCTTCCTTCCTGAAGGAAGGCTGCAGGCAGTTCTTTAAGCAGATAATGTTCCTGTTGGCGCCATGAGACCCTGTCTTCTTGGGCAAGGCTGATTAAACCAGATGTAGATTTCTGGCTAAAGACAAGCTATAAGCTATGAGGTCATGGAATAAGAGGTTTGTTCAACCAGAACAATGGGTATTAAATGAGACAAATCAGAATTTCTGAAAAGAAATCTAGAGGATGAAGGCAGCAAGGCCATAAGGGAGAAGGGTCTTAAAGGTTTGTGAGTAACAGAAGTTGTGAGTGAGCAGAAGTCACAAGTAGACCAAAGTGATGAGTAAGTGGACACCAGATGGCATAGGTGTTATTTGTAGCAGTAGGAGAGGTAGAAGGAGCTGACTCGTTACATTAGCAGAACTCTCTGAACTCCTGGGTCTGAGAGGGAGTGACAAGGTAACAGAGGCCTAGAATTGCCTCTGTTCCCAAGCCAGCTTCCAGTTCCTGAGCTTCATTCCTTCTCTTGGTGTGTGTGTGTGTGTGTGTGTGTGTGTGTGTGTGTGTGTGTCGTGGGGGTGGGGGGTCTTTTATTTCCTTCTCTTGGAGATCCAATCTTTCAAATATTTTGAGTGTGCTGTCATCATTTCCAACCTTACACTGTATAGATTTTGTTCCTCAAGGTAAAATAAGGGAGGTTTAAATAGCACATGTGCCTGTCTCCATTCAAGCTGGCAGGAGTTGTGATTAAGGCTGCAAGTCACCTAGCCCTCTCTGGCTCAGCTTCTTTGCTTTGCACATCAGAGAGAAGTTCCAGGTAGTTTTATAGAGTATTGGTCTTCACCCCCAATATAGGGAGATAGCCTTATAAAAGTCTAATTAGACCATCCTGGCTAACATGTTGAAACCCTGTCTCTACTAAAAATACAAAAAATTAGCTGGGTGTGGTGACATGCACTTGTAGTACCAGCTACTCGGGAGGCTGAGGCAGGAGAATCGCTTGAACCCAGGAGGTGGAGGTTGCAGTGAGACGAGATCATGCCACTGCACTCCAGCCTGGGCAACAGAGCGAGACTCTGTCTCAAAAAAAAAAGTCTAATTAATGCAATAAAAATTATGTCATGGGTAAAAAAGTTTATATTCCCCTCCCCAAATTTCCTTTGCCAACTCTCATCCATTTACATTGAGTTCTTCTGTTAACTGACTTAGCAGAATCAAGTTAGTTACTCTGTTGAATTTTTGACTGGTTATGTCTGGGTTCTCTCATAAGCCTTCTCTTCTAATAATGAGCTGTTAATATTTATATATGCAAGGTAATGTTCTAAAAAATGTACATGTATTAATTCATTTAATCTTCACATCAACCCTGGAAGGAAGGTACACTCATCATTCCTCTTTTGTATGTAAGGACATTAAGGCTTAGAGAGGTTAAATAATTGGTCAGAGTTCATATAGCTATTAAGTGGGATTTGAAGTATTATCTGTTTGATATTAGAACCTTTGCTCTTAACTAAGGGCCACGTTCTCTGGTGCCCACCAACTCTATCTCCAAGTCCTTTCCATCTCTGGTGGTTGGCACTGAGACCAACATCCAGCTAACTGCTTGCCTGGATCTCGCTGAGATCTGGATTCCCAACTACAGTGCTCAGCCTGCCTGTAGACAAGTCTCTGATAAACATCCCTTAAGGGTGAGTATTGAGGAAATCAGTTAAAATGGCACTTCACTTTAGAGCCACAAAAGTCCAATTCCCAATGTCTGTTTTCTCAATATAATCTGTTTGGACTAGGTTGCCTCGATATCCTGTCATTTTCACAGTGGACTGAACACACAGAACAATATGATTTCCTAGGGACTTGATATATTTTTTCTATTTTACCAACGGTTGCTACTGTTTTTGTTTTGTTTTGTTTTGTTTTGTTTTGTTTTGGTCTCCAAACATTAAAGCTTACCAGGCAATGGAGTGGTTAATGCTGTGTGCTGATATCCACTCTCTCCATAAGGTGCTTCCATGGCTGCTGGATGTTGACAAGCACCTATCCTCCTATAGTGGTGACTTTCTTTTGAGTTCCTCTTCTCTGGAGCTGTCTGCTCTGCCCAAGCTACATGGCTGCCCATGTGACAGGCTCCAGCACATGTTGTGTTGGAAGCGGCCTGCTCTGCTTCTGGACCCTCCATTACAGAAATTGCTATTGCCCAAGGAGGTTGATCTCTCTGTTACTCTGATCTCTTGTTAATGGTGGGAGGACCCCTTTTTCAGTCCCCTAATGCTTTTTTCTAACATAGGCAGAAGGGCAGGGACTGACTCCAAAGTTTAAATCTTCTTATGCCAACCTCAAGTTGCCCAATAGCATCACTTTCTCTCTTTGCAAATCCCTACCTCCAGGGGGAGACCCAGAATTATAGGACTGATAGCTCCCTATGCTTTCTGAGCAGTGTGTGGTGAGAGAACTAGCTTAATATTATGGACTGCTGGCACTATTTGTTGTCTTCCCAGGAGCTTCCTTTTCTCTTTCCTTATTGGAGAGGGCTTTCTCTTATTACAGAAAATGCCAGTTACTCTTTTCCTAGCCTCCCTTACAACTAGTGCAAAGGCAAGTAACTCAGCATTGGCTCATGGAACCCAAAGGGGTGTCTGCTAAGGGCTTTGGGGAAAGGCTTCTCTTCCTAGAAAAGAGAAGGCATCCTTTTTCTTTCCTTTTCTAGATTTTATTTGTATGTGACCCCCAGAACCACTGTAGCCCTTTTGGGCTCATAAGAGGAGGCATCAGCGTCACACTGTGAATGCAAAGCACAAAGGAAAAAAGCACCCAGATCCCTGAGCTGTTGTACCAACCTTGAGAGTGCCCTGCCTTGACTTTTTTGTTATAATGTTACTAATAATTATTATTATAACTACTGATAATAACAGCTAACACTTCTATACAACTTACTGTGCTCCAGACACATCTAGTTATTATGAGAGACTTTAAATATCTATGTTGTTGAAATCATACCTTCTAGTTGAGTGTTCTATTATTTGTAGCTGAAAACACCCTAACTGAAACATTTGCAAAGCTGATTCTTGTTCTCGCTAAGCCACAGAGGTTAGAGAAAGGCCTCTCTGGGAAGCAGGCTTCAGCATGTGCCCTCCAAAATACATGATCCTCTCATCATGAGATGACTCCTCTTTTCCCAGTTTCCTTCATGAAATTCCTTCTCCCATGCAAGCATCTTGAGTTCTACATGTAAAGGGTCTTGGAAAACCAGGTGTGAACTTGCCATGGCATTTATCACATCCTGGTGATCTCCGAGTTACACAGATGACAATAATTAGTACATAATGTTCCTCGAGGACCTCTCACCAAAACATCTGAAAATGAGGGCTAGGAGTGAGGATGGGGGAAGATATTTCTGAGGATACTGCATTACTCTCGTTTCCTTCCTGACTATGCAATTTCAAGAAGTCACTCAGATTATTACCATAGGGGCTTGGGGTCCTCTGAGGACCTGTAATTAGTCCACTGCAGCGAATGTTTATCTGGATGTGACTGCCCACAGCAATCATTTCCTGGCTCACACACTCTGCTTGACAATACACCACCTGTGTGGCATGCCTTTCTATAGGAAAATAAACACTATCACCAAAGAGCTCCAAAAACTGTAAAATATTATACACATGTAACTTATGGTGATCACAAAGATTTATTCATGACCTGCCTTCAATATTACCAGCCCTGGGTCCTAGGGATATATTTAATATATGCTAGTCTGTTTTATCACCTTACTCAACTGCCAATATAACCTGGTTTTCCACCAAATATGTGGATTGTGTCAGAACAGGTCATGTGTTCTTTCATTGCTATCGAATACATCTCACATCTTACTAATAATTATAACTAATGTTGATCAACATTTTACAATTCACAGTTTGCTTTTTTCACATATGCTATTTCCTCGTTACCACCCCCATGGAAGTGAGAATATGGAAGCTCAGATTTGCCTAAGATGACTCAGCTAAAACATGTGATCAAGGCAGGAAAAAAGGGTTCTTTTGAAGCCAAGGAAAGTTTTTTCTGCTGTAATGCACCGAGTCCCCTTTAGGTGATGCGTGGCTTTAAGACTGAAGCAGGGACTGGGGGCAGTGGCTCACGCCTGTAATCCCAGCACTTTGGGAGGATGAGGTGGGAGGATCACTTGAGGCCAGGAGTTCGAGACCAGCCTGGGCAACATAGTGAGACCCTGTTTCTACAAAGTAAGAAAAAAAAAAAAAGGAACCCAGGGGCCAGGTCTTCAAGTAAAGCGGCAGGAACAGGGGCCAGTTCTTAAAGTAAAGAAGCAGAGATTTGGGGAAATTGGTGATAAACTGAATGACCACATGGTGAACTTCTGTGGCTCGAGGGCAAGTTACTTGGGTAAACTGTTTGCTTCAGTTTCCTCATCTGTAAGAGTTCCCAATAGCATCCACCTCATAACATCATTGGTTACATTAGAAGAGTGCTTGCCACATAATAAGCACCTTACTAGAATTTGCTACTTTGGTTTTATCCTGTATGAACATTTAGGAGGCGAGAGCTGGGGCAAATCAGCTGTTTTGCTCTCCTAACAGACTCTTCCGTTTTCTCTGTCTCTGGAAAAGTTCAGAATAATGTACGGATTACAGAGCCTCTGTCTGAATGACCTCAGGGATCAGCTAACCTTGAGTGAAAGCACCTGGTAGTAAAGCGAATCCTGCGCCTAAGTGAAAACTGTACTATTCAGCTCTGTTCACTGTTTAAAGAATTCCTTTAAAGAGCTTAATAAAAAGGATCAGCAGGATTTTAGGGTATTAACACATCTTCCAATGCAATATTTTAATGAGGTAAGTATAATACAGAAACCCCTTGGATTAATCTTCCCTTAAACTACCCATGAGCCCAAGATGCAGGTAAAAATATCTTTGGAAAATTGTAGGGAATTTCAGTGAACCCATGCGTCAAAAGAAAGAAAATGATGGGTGTGTGACTTCTGACCCCCATCAGGGCTGGTTGGCTTTGTCTCTCATGAAAGTTCCAAGGCAAAAATGACCACAACACAGGGAACTCAACAGTTTTCCTTCTTTGTTCATTCCTTTCTAGATTGCGAGCAGCAATCTCTGGCTGAGTTTATCTTGGAGGGTGGTTGGAGGGCTGGGGGCAGTGTACCCACCATAATTGTTTGCAGTTGCTGGTTGTGGGGGACAGTGTGAATACCTTCTTTGCAGAAGTCCTCAGTGTACGCCCGCCCTGCAAAGACCATGTTTTCCTCTGACGGGCTCACAGTTTATTTTTAACAACTGGTACCAAGACCTTGTGCTGTTTGTCTGCATCAGAGTGTGGCAGTTAGGAAGCACATACGCAATTTCTGAGCATGGGAGTGTTTCTCTGGTGTTAGTCATTAGGGAGCGGCTGCTATCTCCTTTGTCAGTGCTTAGAACTGGGGCCGTTTAAGTTCCTTGTCCTTGTGCATTTAATTTTTAGATTTTAATTTTGTCGTTTGAAAAATTCCTTTATAAATTACATCATCTTGTGATTTATTTTTCTTTTCCAAAAAGGAAAGGACTAGTATATATAATCTCTAAAATAAGAGAGAAAGGACGGGGATAGAACAAGGAAGGGAGGGAGAGGGAAGAGAGAGCAAGAACAAGAAAGAGAGAGGGACAGAGAGAGAGAGAGAGAGAGAGAGATGTAGCTATGCTCTTCTTTTTTGCCTTATTTTGGACATTGTGAAATGAGTACAAATTACCTCACCAGACTTCAAAGGGCGGATGGAGTAGATGATTTCTGTGAGTTTGATTTGACAGGCACATGGATTGTCCAATTGTCATATAATATCTTCACTTTTTGCTCTGATCTATTCCCTTGAGTTAAGCATTCCCTTTCACTAACAAAATAAAAGGCAAATCCCTTTGAGAACATTCACCATAAAGTTTTTAACACTTGGTGAGAATGATAATCTTGGATTGGTGGTTTCCAAATTTGGCTGATCATCTCAAGCCCCTGGGGGTGATTGTTAAGCATACAGACTCCAGGGCCTCAACCCAGATGTAGGGAAGAATCAGAATATCTAAGGAGGTACAGCTTTTACATTTATAAAAATACCTCTTAGGCATTTGAATGATTTAGGAATTCCTTGCAGATCTGCAGACCTGGAAGGCTTGTCCTCCTAGGAAGAAAGAAAGGGCAGGTAGCAGAACTCCTGGGCCTTTGGAGAGAATGGAAGATCTCGATAGGAAGGAGTGAAGGCAGGAGAGTCTCTGAACAGGCAGTGAAGGACTCCAGAGACAGTTTTCTTACCTCCAGGTTTTGCTCTAGGTTAGCTATGTCAGTGGAGAATGTGCCTTAATCAAAAGCCATCTGTATTAATAAATGCCATAAAACCATCACAGAGTTTCTTGTTTTCATGTCACACTTCAAACATTGATGCCAGTCTACAAGTTGACACTGATTTTCTGGCCTTGACATTTTTATTAGTTTGGCTGGAAGAGCCAATTTGTGTCAAAGAGGAGATAACTTATTTATAAACACACCTCCACCCCCCACATCCCCACCCCCCCCCACACATATACACACACACACTCACACACACATATATTTTTTTATATCAGTGGGTTATTTCAATTTATCTTTAGGTGTGATAGATAGTCCTGTTGATGAAACATCATCATTTTGGCTTCTGTCCCTTTTTTCTTTTGATTTTCTTATTTCTAAAATAAAATAAAGAGATTAGAATAAATTCTATACTTGGGGCACATGAAGGTGATAATAGGAGTTCATATGCTATTTTTAGTATCTGAAAAGGAAAACAGGATTAAACATTGCATATTTATGTTGCAAAGAAGTACATAAGCTCATTGTGCAACTCCCACTTATGAGTGAGAACGTGAGGTGTTTTGTTTTCTGTTCCTGTGTTAGTTTGCTGAGAATGATGGGGCACAGGGAGGGGAACATCACACACTGGGATGTATCGGGGGCGGGGGTGGGGGGCAAGGGGAGCATTAGGACAAATACCTAATACACGCTGGGCTTAAAACCTAGATGATGGATTGATAGGTACAGCAAACCACCATGGCACATGTATACCTGTGTAACAAACCTGCACGTTCTGCACATGTATCCCAGAACTGAACACAAAATAAAATAGAAATAAAATAAGAAGAGAAAGAGAGGCCAGAGACCTCTCTCTCTCTGATGCACACGCAGGGGTAGGGCTATGGGTGGACACAGTCGTAGTCCGCAAGCCAGGAAGAGAGCCCTTACCAGAAACCGAACATTGCATAAAAAAAAAAAAAGAAAAAGAAAAAGTACATAAGCTAACAAAAATCAATTTCTTTAAGGCTTTTAAAAATAATAATTACATTAGCTTATTTGTTATCACTGATTTACTCATGTTGAGCTGAAGTTATGATGGGAGTTTATAAATAAATAAATAACAAAATAATACAATAAACTAAAAACAAAATATTTGAAAACATGGGGTCCATTTGTTTATTCCTTCAGCAGTTTCAGCTAATACTAGATTAAAATATTGCTCCAAGAAGGATTTAGTTAACAGAACTTAAAATATTTCAAGGTCTTCAAAACAGAAAGCAACCGAAGAAATATTTTAAATAGGGGTACCTTCCATAGACCCACAAAATGTAAATTTCTATCACATTAGAAGACCTCTGTTTTATAGTGGGGCTCTTCAGGAAATAGATTCTTAGATGGATATTTGCATGCAGGAAGTTGACTGGGGAGGGCTGGTAGGAGCAAGCCCTGCGAGGGAGGGAAGTGCTTTTGGGCAATGCAGAAGTTCTCAATCAATCTCAAAGAGAGCTCAGGAGCTAGGATGACCTTTCAGAATGGTCATAATTTCCAGAAAGGCATTCAGCTAAGCTGTCAGCCTCGATAATCCAGCGAGTATCTGAAAATGCATCACAACACAGACCCAGGGCTGGCCCTGCTTTTGTGCAATCACCGATGTTCTGTATCCTCTGATATATATGAATACCTGTTCCCCACCCCCAGGATCTGGGTTCTCACATAAAATGTAAAATGCCTCTTTCTTCAGACTTCCTAGTTACTAAGGAGTGTTAACAGAGCACATTGAACAACTTTAAGAGCCCATTCTTTGCATGGTTTCATAGGAGGTGGGTCTCAACATTGAGAGCTCACAAATATCCTTACTGGTAATAAGACTTTACCTGTGAAGGAGAGCGTGAGGGAGGGAAGAGAAAGGAAGAAAAACTGGTAAGTACAAGCACATAACATATGCCACGTCCTGTTCTAGACTCTAGAGATAAAAATAAAAAAAAGAATAAGACATAACAGAAATGTACAGACTTGCAAATTAGGAATTGCAACAATGTATAACGGGTGCTCTCAATGAAGTAAGATTAGGGCCCAATGGAGGTATAACAAAGAGTATGGTTAGTTTACCAAGAAGAATATTCAAGAAAAAGCTTTCCATGAAATTTGAAAGTTCTATGAAATGTGAAATTTGAAGTGAATCTTGAAAGACAATTAAATATTAGCCAGGGAAAAAGTGCAAGGAAAGACATTCCAGATACAGGAAGCAGGGTATGCAAAGGTCTGGAGGCCTGGACTTGCTTGGGAAACTCCAATCATTTTGACGTCATCAAAACTTGGGTTTGGGGGAATGTCATGCTGAGTGGTGAAGCTTGAACGTAGGCAGATCACAGAGTTTTTTATATCTTGCTGAGCAATTTGCCTGTATCTTGAAGGCAAAGGGAGACCTCCGAAAGATGTGTGCGTGTGTGCATCTTTTTTCCATTTTAAACACAGGAGTGATATGATCAGATGGGCATTTTCAAGAACTCACTTTGGCAGCACATGTCAGTACTAAGATAAGCAAATGGTAAACTCTTGGAGAGGCAGGCCTTTTTCATCAACATTTTATATAAATGCCATGTATGCTCAGGAAATTAAAACCAAAAATGATTGGTACTTCAAAATCTGCTGACTTTGCTTCATATTTGCTTTTTCATTAAATGAAAGTAAAGATTGTATTCAACCTTGAGTAGTATATTTTATTTTAAAAACAAACAAAAGTAAATGTGAGGATTCATTTTTATCAGCCCTATCCAACATTGTGGTCTTTCAAATTAGACAAACCAATTTACCTTTGCCAGCCTACTTTAGAAACTCATGCTCGTTGTTTCTGTTTATCCAGAAACAATCTCATAACATTTAGACAGATAATTTCTTTGGAATGTGTTTGGAAAAGAAAGAAATATTCTTAGATATACAGAAAACATACAGCAAGAATACATTCGCATATCCATTGATTAATCCATCCATCCGTCCGTTCATCCATCCATCCATCCATCCATCCATCCATCCATCCATCCACATTTATGCTGGCCCGCTGTAGGCATTTTATGAGACACCAGGGCTGCAAAGATGAAGAAACTCAGCCTTTGGTCAAAGAGCTTACGGTCTAAGTTCAGAGAAACACGCGTAAACAAATGATGACAATACAATATGGTAATGTACATGCTATTATAAAACTGTATTTTCAAATAAAATAGACATATAATTTGTCTTGGTTAGCATGGTGACAAAGAAAGGGTAAAGCATTTGAAATTAAAATACCAGGGTTTAAGTTCCAGATATGGGATTTACTATCTTGGTAAATTTGGTCATGTTATTTGAGCACACAGACTTATACGTTTTAAAAATATATATTCAAAGGAAATAATGGTTGTACCTTATTCAAAATAATGAGTTCAATAAATTTTCTCCATACAAGACAAGAACATAAAACCCAACAGCATTCATGTATACCTTTTGTGAGAGGTGATCTGCCGTCAGCCCTAAGTGGCTGTGCATATTCTTGCTGTATGTAACAAGAAGACAAGATCCCGACCTGATCATTCTTTGCTCTGGTCATTTCTCAGGGTGGATTTGCAGCAAGCTACTTTGAGGAATTAGGTAATATTTCCAGCGAAGCGAAGGGTAGGCTTGCTTTTGCTCACTATTCAAGCGGAGAACACCCCAAGCTCAGGGTTCTTCCATAAATGCAGCCTGCTGCATGTATAAGCATCCATAACAGCCACTTTGCTTTGTCCCTGTAGGAAGATGAGACATCCTCATGTATATTGTTACCGCTTTGCTGTGAATAATAAAGATCTTTCTCTTTGGAGGAGCCTCATGAGATCTTTCTCTGAGGAGCCTCGTGTTTCCTGCCAGAATTCATGAGAAAACAGTAACAAGCTGGCTTATTAGTTTATAATTAGTGTAAAATCTCAGACCCTGTATGATCCTTGACAATAACTACAATAGATATGTAATACCATAACAAGAAAGATCTTTCATCAGCAGCAGTAAAAATATAGATTACTTACGAATAATCTATTGAAAAAGTACTTTTGACCTATATGAAGAAAAATGCAATATTTTATTGAGATTAAAGGAGACTAGAGCAAACAATGTCATGTCCTCACAGGAGAAGATTAAATATTTATTAAAAAATCAATTCTTCCCAAATATTTTTATAGGTTAAATGCAACTCCAATCAAAATCCAAATAAGATGCTTAAGAACATTATTTCTTAATTCTAAATTTAATAGGAAAGAACACTTCAGGGGGTTTATCAATGATATTCTAGAAAAGAGAAGAGAGGGAAGTAGCACAGAGATTAAGGGTGTGAAGGTGGCAGTATGGCGGAGTGAATAATAATGTGGCTTTGCCATCAGACTGATCTGAGTTTGAGCCTTGGCTCTGTCATGTGTAATTGTAGGACTCGGCCAAGGTACTTGACTACTAAGCCTCAGCTTCCTCATGTGTGTAATGGGGCCTATAATAGCAACTACTTTGAAATGTATGGATTAAAGTACTTAGCAACATGCTTGGCACTTAGCACTCAATAATGTTGGCTATTATTAGTTTTAACAGATATTAAAATGAATCACAAAGCCATTTGTAAATGGCATAAGAACTTAGACAACTGAATCTGAATCTATTATCTTTGATCCATTGCATCTATGTTTACCCACATAGAAAATGTAATTTATAACAAAGTAAATATCACAGATATCTAGAAAGGGAACATACACACACAAATGTGTACATGTATATATTTATACACATATACATATTTATAGTTTTATAAACACATTTATAATACAGAAAATATCATATGTCATAGAGAAGGAAATATATGTATATATGGTATGTTTATACACAAATACATGTATAATAAACCATCAACTTCAAATAGTTGAGATTCAATGCTGCACTTGATGAAATGACAGCCCCCAATAAGATTAATCATTCAAAAGGAAATTCCTTAAAGCACACTAAACCTTATTTGATATGTAATCCTACCCACTAGGAAATACTTTACACAAAATTCCCATTGAATAAGCTCTTCTTTTCTCCTCTTTTTTTTCAGGGGGCTGCCAAAATCAAATACAGGCTCTGGTGCAAAGGTTAATCACATCCCTTTAAGGGGAAACTCCTCTAAAATCTGATTGCCAAGTATGAAGGGAAAATTGTAAATATGTAGCAAGTTCTGAATTAAATTTAAGGTTATTTTAATTATAAAAGCATTAATGACAGCAGGAAATTTAATGAAATAGTGGGCCATGAAATCAGTGTTATCATTTTAATACATAACAGAATATGACAAACTCTATAAGATTCCTGTTCTCTTTCATGTCTATTACAATTTCCTTCTATTAGTTTCTACAAATAGAAAATTACATATAAAATTGAGTTTAACCAAATCTCTGCTAAAATCAGACAATCTGATTTGGTATTATATAACCACACTGAAATTTCATTTAATTTAGAAAGGGCTTCTCCTGGTGCCTTGAATACTAACTATTCTTCTAACAACACGTGTGTGGAGCTCTGGGTTTGACAGGAGAATAATCCTAGTGCTGAACAATAGATCAAGATTTTAACAGAGAGAATGAAGATGAATAGAAATGGAGAGCTTGACCCAAGCCCATATAGGAGAGATTTCAAAAGTATTTCTTGAAATAGTCTGAAAATATTTACTCTTGCTTATCATCTCATGAAAGAATTCTTTCTGAGAAAAAGTTGAAGATTCAGATGTCAGGCCTGACTGTCTTCCAATACAGCATGTCTGAAACTCCCCTGGTCTTTATTAAGAATAAAAGGCCTTAGAAAATAGGTCTTAGGTGCTTCAACTATACTTACAGCATTGTTATTATAGCTGACTATTGTAAATTGGTAATTATTTGAGGTCTTCCTCATCTTTCACGCACATGAAAGGTACTTCAAAGGTAATATTTTAATAGGGGATTAATTCGTTTATTCTAGAGAGAAGGATCAAATCAAGAAGTGAGGAGAGGGGTGATTCTTGGGGAAAGAGTACCGATTTAAAAGAAAGATGAGGCGGGCTCTGGGGTACTGATATAACTCTATAACCAGTTCCTTTGACCTAGGTCCTGTTTATATAAAGTCTGTGATTGTGAAAATTAATTGAGCCATATAATTATTTGTGCACATTTCTGTATGTATATTATACTTTGTAGTGTTTTAATTTTTCAAAGTAACTGTTTTTACATTCTCTGATAGAACTACAGATGGCTGAAATAATGTAAAAATCTCAAATAGTAAAAATGTCTAAGTTAGCATTTAGTGGAAATTTCTAGGTTTGGCTTTATCTTGCCATCACAAATTGCACACCATAAAGATAAGATTAGAAGCAAATAACAGGATTCTTATTTTTTTGAATCTGGCTAGTCCACTGTGATTTGTCCAATCCTAACTCCCAAGATCCACACATTGAAAGTATCCTTAGCCATGAAATCCTACAGAATCCTAAAATGATTGCCTAAAATGAATGCCTAAGCCAGTGGTCTTATTTTGCTTGGTCTTCAAGTTTGCAATTCTCCACCAGCCAGGACTTGAATTGAATCCCTAGCACCTAACAGATATTGAATCACTCACTCATTTGGGCAGGTTGTCTTCAGAGGATCTCGAATGTAACTCACTGTAGCCCTTAAGAGTTTCCACATCCAGCCAACTCCCTTCTCCCCTTTGGCTAACTGTACCCAGAGTGGTGTGTCAGGTAGTTCTCTCCCATGACTCTAAATTTCTTAAAGAGATTATTGCAAGGTCAGGCTGGGAAGCAATGCAGAATAATAACAGTAGCAGAAAACTAAGCATCAGAATGAGGATCCATTTCAACCCAAGCTTTATTTTTCAATAGCTGTATGACCTTGGGCAACCTCTTTGTAAAATAGGGGTCAAACATCTGCTCCTCACATATTCATTATGAGGATCAGATCAGGTAATATATGTGAATGTATTTTGTATGCCATAAACAGCAGTACCAGAGTTATTACAGTCACACAGTTTATTTATTGTAGGCTGCGGGTATGTGCTTAGAAGTAAGGAGTTACTATCACTTTGAAAATATTTTTAACAGTTCTCCTGTAGAGCAGTATTCACAACTACATCCAAGGCACAGGAGTGCTGAACTCTTTTTGTTCCACTTCTGGCCACTTCATTAGGCACCTTTCAAAGGCACCGTGACTTAGCTAAGCTTGAAGTGCAGATGCCAAATTACAGTGCCAACCCCATGGGGTGGGACAGTCCTCTTGCCTTCCAGACAACTTTCTGAAAGAATTTTGTATTTGTCCTCAATTTGCTGTGTTGGGAGTTTCCCAGATAACCAACCAAAAGCAGACGGACTGTGACAGCAGCATCTGGGTCATCCGAGGCATCTTGGAGCAAGTCTATGCAGAAAATATTATATGAGTTAAAAATTTCAAGCTCCAGTGGTAATGGATAATGGGTCAATGGGGCTCTATTAAAAAGCTGGGTCAGGGGAAGGTGACTTCTTTGGGATGCTCTGGTAGATTGAGACCATTAATTTAGAGGTGGATTGTTTCATGGATCAAGAAGACGTTTCCTGGGGGGAAGCTACTGCATAACCTCGGACTGTCTCCTGTGGAATCCTAGGGACCCCATCTCCATTTAATTCAAACAGTGTTTAAAAAAATTACCAGTTTAGCCCTGCAGGAGTTCTGAAATGTGCCTCAAAGGCTCTGTAAGGTTACATAGCCCAGAGGGAGTTGGAAACTAAATTGAATTCTTGAGCTTTACAATTTCTTTACTCGGCTGGAGCTTACACATTACATTATTTAATGTACTTTGGAGTAGTAGCCTCTGTCTTGTTCTTAAGTCCCAGATAAACCATAACTAAAACTTAAAGAATTACAAATTCAGAGAATAGACAGCTGAAAATAAACATAAAGTTGTTGGTAATTCTCATGGAAAATAACAACTCTCTATTCCAAGGAATACAGACCATAAATATGCCCATAGACCAGAGTTCTAAATCTTTTTCAGGGGAAGCTGGTGACTAAGCAAGTTAATTATATTGTTGTCCTATGGGCTGAATGGAAGGTCATGTAATGCCTTCAAACGCTTGTTGCAGTTCTATGTTTTATAAGAATGACACTCTCATCAAAGTAGCAATCAAGCCAGCCCTTTTGCGGTAGCCACTTCATTACATGCTTTCAGAAGCTACAGCACTCTAGCTATAGCCTGGTGCAATTCAAAGAAACAGAAGAAAGGGAACAGACTAGAGGCTGTAGAAGAGGGCTTTGAGGTCAATCCCCCACAAGAAAGCCTAGGGCATTTCTTAGGAGAGAGGTCGGGGGCATAGCTGAAGATATAAAAACCTTTGTCAGCAAAGGAATTGGTGTCAGGTGCAGGTTTCATCAGAGATCTGGGTGGAGACGGCAGAATTCACTGTGCTGTGATTTTTTCAACAGCCAATCATCTCCCATGCTGGCCCTAATGCTGGTGTCTAATGGCTCATGTCACATCCCTTGTGTTAAACATTGGCTTGGCTGAGCTGCCGCTTTAGAAGTACAAATCTTCTCAAGAGAGGCACCTCATTAAGCCACTTAACACTTTCAAGTGAATGAATCTGGAGAGACAGGGGAGAGAGGAGAAAGGGAAGGTGAGGGATGTCAACAATCAAACTACAAATGTATGCAGGGCCTTGCCTAGGGAAGGGAGGATGGGCAGGAGCCGGGCAGAGGAGAGGCTATTTGCCACTTCTGGCTCGCACAGTGCCAGGGTAGTGTCCCTGACAGGTCAGAGGAGGGTTGCCATGAGGAGAGGAACGCCAGTATGCAAGTCCCTGCTGAAGGAAGAGCACCTTCCTGCACTGCCTCTCTGTTCTCCAGTTCTCTCATGTTTTCCCCTCTTCTACACTCATTTCCTTATGGCGTTCTTCCCAGTCCTTCCTGTTTGGTTTACAAACCCTTTTGACGTTTGTCTTGTGACCATTTCAAATCCTGTGTAGCTCTTCACATGGGGAGGTTGCTGGCAGGCAGGGAGGCACCATCTAAGGGTTTGAAAATAGCATGTCTGGCTGGGTGCGGTGGCTCATGCCTGTAATCGCAGCACTTGGGAGGCTGAAGCGGGCAGATCACTTGAAGTCAGGAGTTTGAGACCAGCCTGGCCAACATGGTGAAACCCCATCTCTACTAAAAAAAAATACAAAAATTAGCTGGGCACGGTGGTGCATGTCTGTAATCCCAGCTACTTGGAAGGCTGAGGAATGAGAATCGCCTGAATGCAGGAGGCAGAGGTTGCAGTGAGCTGAGATCACACCACTGCACTCCAGCCTGGGTGACAGAGTGAGACTCTGTCTAAAAAAAAAAAAAAAAAAAAAAGAAAGAAAATAGCATGTCTCAGGAGACATGAAAGGCCAGGACCTGGATGACCCTGCCTCGAGGAGATACAGCTAAAAGGGCAATAGAAGGAACATTCCACAGCTCCTGAAGGGCCTTTTGTATTGGGTGCGGAACATTGTCCTCTATCCTCCCTGCAGGTCACACAAAAAGAAGGGAAATGAATGGCAGGTGGGGGATTGAGGCTGGATTTAAGGAAGGGTTATGGATATGGTTTGGCTCTGTGTTCCCACCCAAATCTCATCTTGATTTGTAATCCTCACCTGTCGAGGGAGGGAGGTGATTGGGTTGGATCATGGGGGTGGTTTCCCCCACACTGTTCTCTTGATAGTGAGTGAGTTCTCACGAGATCTGATGGTTTTATAAGGGACTCTTCCCCCTTCACTCTCTCTCCTGGTTCCTTGTGAAGAAGGTGCCTGTTCCCTCTTCCACCATGATTGTAAGTTTCCTGAGGCCTCCCCAGCCATGTGGAATTGTGAGGCAATTAAACCTCTTTCCTTTATAAATTAACCAGTCTCAGGGAAGTTCTTTATAGCAGTGTGAAAATGGACTAATACAGTTATCGTCCCTCTTTTTTAAAAAATAGGAGTGAAGGAGGGGTTTAGCTTAACTGGGAATGTACTACAGGGAAAAGTGGAAGAAAAATAATTTGTAAAGTACTATGCTTTTCCATTTTTTAAGGTTACTGAACTCTTTTTTCTTTGAATTAAATTGTACATCAAGCTGTAATAGCCAACTTCCCTGGTTGAACTGGGGGTAGGTGGTCAGGCAGCTTGTCCGAGAGCCTCAGCAGGCTTCCTCCCCAGCCTGCTAAGGCTCTCCTGAGGAAATCCAGGCTTTTCTGAAACACAAATTAGAAACCCCTGGAATAGCATTTTTAGTTTACAAAGCTTTAACATCATTATATTACAGTGGAGGCAATCAGGCCAAGAGAGCTGAAGGGAGTGACCGGCTCATATTTGGTATAACAAGGACCTCCCCAGGCATTCTGGCCACTAGGAAACAACCCACTCTCCAGTGTAATGCACTGCTTCCTTGGAGTTGCCTCTAGACCTGTAAGAACCCCAGCATCTCTACCTTCTGGAACCTCAGTGAGATGGTCATACAGGCTTTGCTGTATTTCCGAGTCATTCCATTCCAAAACACAGAACTAGAGACCTGAGCTATTTGTGGCCACAGAAGGACAGAGAACAAACAAGGATTTTGTGATGAGGGGATCCTTATGAGTCTGACCGCTCTTTCCACAGCACAAATAATCAAGAAACGGAATGGACTGTCCCCAGATCTGGGACTCGAGAGGCAGCCAGAAGCCTGAGAGCAGAGCTTGGCAAAACAGGAGGCAGTAGATGAGCCAGCTGATGCTTTTAAACTAATTAAGAAAAGAGAGGCAGGTGTGTAATGGAAATGCTGGCTTGAAATGGTTAAAATCAGAAAACAGATTAGCACCTGTTTTGTCTAGTTTGCCACCATTCAAATGGAGGTGCAGGCCCCACCTCTGTCGCTCACTCCAGGCACACATTTATGAAACAGGAACACATAATTGTACCTTCTGAGGGTGGTCTACAATTCTTGCTCCCATCTTAGGAGAATGTATTCCTTCCTTCCTTGTTCATGCAGAGTTTGCTCTGTGGCGTTTTAATTGGCTCAGGTGGTTGTACTTAGCACTGCCCCCTCTTTCCCCTCCCTCTCCCTGCTTCCCTTCTCTGATTTCCCTTCCTATCTCCCTTTTAGTGCACCCACATCTTTCTCTCCAAAGTGCTTCTTTCCTCTCTCTGCCTCCTTCACATCTCCCTTCAAAGATGAGACTGGGAAAAGCGGGTGGTAAGGGAATTCCACGGTCTGAATACCTTATTGTGTGTATTTTCTAGTACTCATTATCAGGGGAAACTGCTCTGTACTTAACACAGTTTTGTATTTTCTGCATGTGCTGGTATGTTTTAAAATATTTCAAAAAATAATGCTTTCATTTCATGACAAAATATGATCTGTGTAAAAAGCAAGTCTGGCAGAAAGTGGCTTTGGCAGGAGCTGGGTTGGCCCTGGGCGAGGGCAGGCACCATCCTCAGGTTCCTTACTTTCAGTTGCTATGAACACCCACTCACCAGGGCTCTCCATCCTCAGTGGGGAGCATACAACAGGGCAGAGAACACAGGGCCATTGTTCCAGGATCCTAGATCAACAATTCTACATATTCAGTCTGGCCTTATCAACTCTGGACTCTTCCCTTGCTTGCCTGGGACATTTCTAGTGGCAGTTGAGTAACCAATTTCTGTGGATGTGGCCTCTTACTGGTCTGCACTGTTAAATAAGCAGGAGACCATAGGCATGAGGCTGTCTT
This sequence comes from Homo sapiens, assembly GCF_000001405.40. Taxonomy (NCBI): domain Eukaryota; kingdom Metazoa; phylum Chordata; class Mammalia; order Primates; family Hominidae; genus Homo; species Homo sapiens. Next base: position 104,704,302 of record NC_000008.11, read on the forward strand.
GTCCTTTGAGTTCCTACCTAAACAAACTGAAATCTAATTTAGGAGTATATTTTGTAATAAATAACTGAGTTTTAGCCAATCACAAGCAGCCAACTGATCAGACCATGCCCCAACAAAGCAAGTGCCTCATCATACTATGCCCAAATAAGGCAAACGCCTGCATATAGCCAATCAGGTGATTTCTCTACTTTGCTTCCATATTCGGCCTATAAAACTGTCTGCTTGTGCTGCTGGGTGGAGTCTCTGACCCTCTTCTGGATCTGAATGTTGTGCAATTCATGAATCGTTCTTTGTTCAAACCCTGTTAAATTGAATTTGTGTAAAGTTTTTCTTTTAACAGTACCTTCCCAATTTTACCTTTTCTGCTTGCTTATCTGATTCTTTACATGCAAGCTCTGGCAGCATGATGTGTTTGTGGTACGGAAGCATTGGCATGGTGATCATTTAAGTGACGAAAATAATCTTCATATGCAGAAAACCATGATCATGGATCTTGCCCTTTCTCCCTAGTCCACTACTCCCCCTGTGGGTATTAGCTGATTAATGGTATTACTGTCCTATGATTTCTTTGTGTAGTATATTTTCTTTTCTCTATAATTTACATAATCATACTCCTCCAGTCCTTTTGTATTCTACCTGCAAAATGTCCCTTGGCTTTTTCCCCTCCTATTTCTTGTGTCACTGCCCCTAGTCAGGCTCCTGTTATCTCTTATCTTGAAAGATGCCATTCACTGGTTATTTTTCTTTTCCTATTTATTTTCCACATTTCAAATAATTTTCTAACATCTGAGATAAGATTTTTATCACTTCCTGGCCTAAATATTGCTGCTGACTTTTCTCTGGCACGATGTTGAAGTCCCCAATGACCTGGACCCAGAACACTTTCCAGTCTCATCCCCCATCATATGTTTTCCTGCCCCTCATCACAAACTATTCCATTTTTTATGAGAAGCCAGCCATACTAGGCCCCTCTCTGGTCCTTGAACCTGCTGCATAATTGCTAGTATTTATGCTTGAGGGCAGACTGTTTCCTTTTCTCAGAATATATTTTTTCCATCTTCACTTCCCTCAGCCCTACTCAACTTTCAAGGCAGACTCAAATGCTGCTTCCTCTGAAGGGTCTTCTTCTGTCACAAGGCAGAATTAAGTACCTTTTCTTTGTTCCCATAGCACTTGGTTCATGTGACTCTTGTCATAGCCACCACTTTTCCCCCATTATAGTTACTAACAGATCTGTTTTCTTCCCTTAGCCTGTGAGCTTTTTAAGGTTAAGGATTTTGTTGTTGTATTCTTAGCATAGATCTTGGTACCTGGTAGGCAACAAATGAGATGCTGTCAGCTTGGTGACTGATACTGAAATGTCCCACTTACTCCTGTGGCTGGCACACATAAAAGTGATGTCCCTTAAGATAACCAGGACAGGAGAAGAAGCCCTTTCTAGGTGAGTGTGATAGGGTGTTAAAATGGGACTCTTGCAGTCTTGAGGTTTTGTCTGAAGCCTGAAAGCTGAGAACAACAGGTTCCAAGTATATCCACATCCTAAGGCAGATGTTAGACCATCTATGAGGCATTTGCAAAGGGAGTAATAAAAATAGTATTATCAGCAATATTAAGACTATGAAAGAAAAGGTTAAGAATTCATTAGCTAAAGTAATCTCCAAACTGGGCTCCCAATTTCTTCCTTTCTCTTCCTTTTCCCTGGTATACTCAACATAGCTGCCAGAGTGATTGAAGTTGGTCGTGGCTTTTCTCTCCTCAGAAGCTCTAAGTGAAAGCCCAAATTCTTGCAATGGTTTCTGAGGGCTGACAAAAGCAGCTCTCATTTCTCTCTTCAACCTCATCTCCTGCTATGCCTCCCTTTGCTCTCTCTGCTACAGCCATGCTGGCCTCCTTGCTATTCTTCAAACATGCAAACATACTTCTGCCATGGGGCCTTTGCACGGGCTTGCCCGGGATAATCTCATCTTCAAATCTTTGCTTAAGCATCACTTTCTTACTGAGACCAACACCATCAGCATATTTAAAATTTCGGCCATAAATGCTAGTCTTCCAAAGTCCTCATATGCTCCTCTGCTTTTTCCCTACAGCTGTTAGCACTATAAAATTGAATTTTTCATTATTTTATAGTTTATTGTCTGTCTCTGAGGAAGGGGGTTGATCTTGTTGTTCGCTGATTTATACTAATCTGCCATTCTACCAATGAAGCTTAGAATACACTTGCTGGGCCGGGCATGGTGGCTCACGCCTGTAATCCCAGCACTTTGGGAGGCCGAGGCAGGCAGATCACAAAGTCATGAGATAGAGACCATCCTGGCTAACATGGTGAAACCCCGTCTCTACTAAAAATACAAAAAAATTAGCCGGACGTGGTGGTGGGTGCCTCCCGCTACTCAGGAGGCTGAGGCAGGAGAATGGTGTGAGCCCGGGAGGCAGAGCTTGCAGTGAGCCGAGATAGTGCCACTGCGCTCCAGCCTGGGCAACAGAGCAAGACTCCATCTCAAAAAAAAAAAAAAAAAAAAAAAGATAAAGTACATTTGCTTTCTGTGCTAGTCATTAGCTAAGTCAGAATTTCCAGGAAAGAAAAGAAAGGATGGTTGATCAAGCTTACTTCCCATAACAACCATATTTTTCCTTGGATTTGACTCCTACTCACATGTCAGCTCTTGAATTTTTCAAGAAGGCTCTTTGAGATAATCTTTCACTATTATTTACTAAGATTTTAAAGAAGCTATGCAAAGTAGCATTATTTTAAAAATCTCCTTTCTAATGTAGGTAACAAAGATTTTGTCTCATTTTCCTTTTACTCTATTTTGTCTTTTCAGTGTCTCACTCCACCCCTTTCCCAGGTGAAGGAAGTGATTCATCTGTGTGTTTTATCTTAAGGAAGAAGAGGGATCAAATGAGCCAACTTTGGCCCCCCAAAAAAAAAAAAAAAAAAAACCTAGAACGAAGGTTAAGACACATGAAATTAATTTGGATAGACTTGTTGACAAAGCCAATCTTTAATGCCAACCTCATAAAAACAGAATTAGGTAACTGTTGTCACAGATTGCAGTATCATAATAAAGCACAAATACTGAGTCTTTATGCTTCTCCACAAATCAGAGATATATGGTGGAAGGACTGTAGGATTTGAAGCCAGAATACTGGGCAACATTCTGACCCATCCATCAGCTCTTATGTAGACATGGGTCTGTCAATTACTCTCTAAAGTGGGAATAACAACACACAGGCTATCCTATTTCACAGAGTTGTGGGAAGGTAAATGAGAAAATTTGGAAAGCACTTTGCTTAGTGCTCTACAAATACTGGAATCATTTATTCCAGAATTGGGATTTGTTTATTAGTTTACAGAACAAAGGCATTAAGATTCATTTAAATCTCCATGAAACAAATTCGACATTGTTCCATTTCCTCACACGAGGGAAGCAAATTCTCTTATTATGTGTCTATATTTATCAATGTGGAAATCCAGCCCTCAGCTATCCTCTTCCCACCAAGATTAAGAAATGTAACAGTGGCAGCTGGAAAAACACAGAACTTTGAATAGGAGATAAGAATTACAGACTTCTTAAATGTCTTCATCTCCAATATTTTCCAGATCAGAATTTTTCTTGTCATTGATGTTACTTACATAGTATGATCAGCCAGAAGGTCTCTACTCTCTAAAACTACTCATTGTTGCCTAAAAGTCTGTAATTGGAGATCCCATTTCTTTGTATTAAGGCATTAATTTATGCTCAAATCACTTTAAATTGTTACACTAAAGAAAGGAGAAAGTGAAGTCTATAGCATCAGGTGTCCCTGGAGAAGTAGGGACACTGGCTAAAAGAATGGCTTAAAAAGACATTGAAGGCCGGGCATGCTGGCTCATGCCTGTGATCCAAACACTTTGGGAGGCCACGGCAGGGGGCTTGCTTGAGCCCAGGAGTTCGAGACCAGCTTGGGCAACATGGCAAAACCCTGTCTCTACAAAAAAATACAAAACTTAGCCGGGCATGGTAGTGTGCACCTGTAGTCCCAGCTAGTCGAGAAGCTGAGGTGGTAGGACTCTTCGAGTCCAGAGGTGGAGGTTGTAGGGGGCCAAGATTGCACCATTGCATTCCAGCCTGGGCAACAGAGTGAGACCCTGTCTCAAGATAAATAATAAAATACATAAGTAGAAAGACAATAAAAATCAACTTTATTCCCTCTGAATTTTACCTTGGGCTGTCCTGTAGAGTAACAATCCCTTCTGCCCTCACCCTGGTGAAAGGTGCTGAACAGCAAGGGTTAAAGAAGAAATGTGAGCTCTTAACATTTCTCTAGGTGTCTTACTTGCAAATTGAAGACTAAACACAATTTTCACAATGGAGATCAGATTTACCCTTAGAGTGTTTTGGCTTCTGTGAAACTACTCCCAGCCAACTGCTGATGTTCATTCCTACCATTTTTAGCACCATTTTTCTTTCTTCTGTATGTGCCATCAAGGAACCATTGGGGGTTTGGATTGCCTGGAATTTGGCTCAGTTATGAAGCATGAAGTTAGTTATAAGGGCCTAGATCTCTGCCAGGTGCAACCAGAAGAACTACTTGGAATTCAGCACAGTCCCTAGGTAATGCTGATGACCCTGGGCTTGCATCATTATTTTAAGAGAAGCCTGGGGTATGTAGAAATTGATTTTGGGAATTCCAATGCAAACCTCTTTAATCACTGATTTGTATTTTGGAATGCAGGCTTCTATGTTGGCTTGGTTTATATGGGGCTTGCCACTTCAAATTACTTTTTTTCTTTTTAATAGCACCTCTTTTGGGATGTGGGTATGGAGGGTGGAGAGGTATGGGAAATAATGAAGATGAATCAGTGATTTAAGGCCAAAAACATTAGATGAGAATTTCAATATGGGACCAACTAGTTTTGCAGAGACCCAATTTCTGTGCTTCTTTTGAGGGCAAGTCAATCAAACAGACATAAAGATGATTCTTAGCCTTCTGCTGTCTGTGCCTATGAAATGCTATTTAAAGCTATTGAAGAAATGTAGGACGAAAACAATTTTGAATGTCACAGGAAGGAATTAATAAAAACCAAGACTATATGAACCAAAGTAATCATTGCTACTATAAGAAAATCAGTCGTGTGCATTACAAAGATCCTCTGTGATCCCAAGACAAAGACTTAACTGCTACTTCTACATAATAGACATTAATGATGAGGGACTCATAACTGTCCAAGAGGGCTAAACCCAAGGTGATGATAAATGCCCACCATTAAAGGTATATTGTGTAGTACTAACAATTTTATCTTGGCTCCAAATGTGAGATGAGAATCTGCCTAGAAATCTAAAGACAAAACAGAATTGAAGGTAAAACAAAATTGTGAGTTTGGAAAAATAAACATTTTAAAAATGAATATAATCTCCCTCTGTTGCTTATTTGGCCAGCTGCAAGTATACAAGGGGTTTCTCCCTTCTTCCACTTAAATAATGCATTTAATTCCCTGTTTGAATTTATTTGGAAGTAATATATTAATTTAGAGCAAGAGTCCTGAAGTCAGACTGCCTGTGTTCAAACTCTGCCATTGACCCTAGATAAGTTAATTAGCCTCTCTAAACTTCAATGTTCTCATTTGCCAAAAAAGCGTGGCTGGTATATAGTAAGTACTCAATACATTTTAGGTATTATGACTATAGTAAATACTATTGTCCAGCTTATATTCCTTTTACCAGTGTACCCATCCTTCAGCTGTTTTCAGTGTTGATGCTTAAAGATCATAGCTAATTGCTTTTCTTTGAAGACTTGCTCTTGTCAAGAATGGGGAATCTAGATGAAGAGACTGCAACCCACCCTGCCCTCTGCATGGAGCAGACTAGTGCTAGACTTTTCCCAAGATCACATTCTTGCTTAACTACTACTTCTTCTCTGATCTTCTTTCCCTCTCTTAGAAGTTATGTTTCTTCCCCTAAAAATCATTTTTTAAATAAACTATATTCACTTGAATCTCTCTCAGGCTTCTAGTAACCTAAGACAAGAACCATATTATTTCCTTGATTTTGAGCCATGTAAACTTTCACATTTTAACAAGTTTGAGGTCAGACTGTATCTTAAAATCACCGTAAGCTAGGGTAAAGTTTTCATTTTCTGCACATTGACATGAAAATGTGCAGAACGAGTGTCAAGTCTTTGAAGAAAATCCTGGGATAACAGTGAGGCATTCTTTTGCTGCATGTCCAACATTCTTGATGGCACAGAGGACCATGCTTTGCGGAGAAACAGTCAGCAATGACTTTGAATTGAATAGTTGAAAAATTGAAGAGTCAGACTGAATGATTAAAAATACTAGAAATATTGACCTATTTTGCTTTTACTTTCCTTTTAATATATGTAAAACAATAATATGTAATACATGTTGAAATCTAAAAGATCTTTCAAAAATATAAAATCCTAAGTGATGATTGTGACAAAGATGATACTTCAGTGCAGTGGGGAAGGGATGATCTTTCAATGAATGCTCTGGGTCTACTGGATGTCCACACTGGGGGGAAAAGCTTCATCTCTCTGACACCATACCCCAAATCAACTGCAGATGGGTTGCAGATCTAAAAGTGAAAGGTAAAATATGAAGCTATTGAAACATAACATCAGACTATCTTCTTGAACTTCAGTTGGGCAAATATTTATTAAGCAGAACCGCAAATGCTTTAATTATAAAGAAAAGAATAAATTGAACCATGTAAAAACTAAGAGCATTTCTTCATCAAAACACTCCATTAAAAGAGTGGCAAAGTAAGTCACAAGGTGAGAGAAAATATTTACAACATGCATATCTAACAAAGGGTTATAGTCCGTGCAATAAAAACTCCTACAAATTGGTAATAAGACAAACATCCTAATAAAATAATGAACAAAGACATGGACAAACAATGATATAAAATGGCCAATAAATGTAAAAGGTGCTTAACTTCATTAGTCATCAGGAAAATGCAAATTAAAACCACAGTTGATTATATACCCATGAGAAGGCTAAAATGCAAACATATCAAGTTGTAAGCTGGTTTAGCTATTGGAACTGAAACTCTTGAATATTGCTGATGGGAATGTTAATTGAGCAACTACTTTGGAAAAATATTTTGGCAACATCTAAATATCTCTTCTGATCCAGGAATTCTCCTTCTAGGTATGTACCCAGTAGAAATGTGTATAAATACTCATCCAAATAAAAGTACAAGAATGTTGACAGCAGCATTATTTGTAAAACCTTCAAAATATAAACAGCCAAATGCCTATCAATAATGTGATGGATCATTATATTGTGTATATTCATATAATGGAATATCATACAGCAATGAGAATATGTTCTAATAGCATGTATTAATGGGTATCATCAACATAATGTTGAAAAAAGCCAGACTGAAAAGAATACATAATTTACAGTTCTATTTATATAAAATTCAAAAATAGGAAAAAATTTTTTGTGGTGTTGGAAGCCAGGATAATGGTTACTTTTGGAAGAAGGTAGTATTGACAGCAGGCATACAGGTCTTCTAGGGTTCTGACAGTGTTATAGTTCTTAATCCAGGGTGCTGTTCACATGGGTGTGGAAATTCATCGAGCTTTATTGATGAGTTTCATACTTTTTGTTATGTATGTGAAATGAAAGCATTGCCATTGTTTAATTGGCAGCAGTATTCCCCCTTTTCTAGCAGTATTTAGATAATGATGTGTCTTGTAATTGATGGTATCTTGGTTGAGGTAAAATACTTTCATCAGTGGTCAGGTAGTAATAGTTCCCTAACTCTGATCTGTCTCTTACTCTGTTTTCCAATTCATCTCAAGTGCTCAGTGTGGCACCCCATAATCTCTTCTCAACTTTTTCCTTAAGAGTAGAACTGATTCTTAGCTTGATAGGTATTCACCTGGAACAAAAATTACCTTGCCCAGACTCCCTGCACCTAGGTGTGGTCAATGTGATGGCATTTTGGCCTCTATCAGAGGAAAGGGTATGGGGTAGTGTGTAGGAAAGTGTTAACTCAGCTGTCTCAAGTTGCAAATCTTGCAGTTTTCTAAGAAGGGTCTGTTTCATGACTGGCCCTTGGCTGATTCCTCAGAATTGAGCTTTTAGAATATTTTAACTGATGAGTGCTTTGCATGAATCACATTATACCCATTTATCTGGATAGTTTGTGCCAACAATGTGATTTATGATGGATACCTGCTTTCCTTCTTGGGACTCCAGTGACTGTAGTCAGTCATATAGAAACCACATGCCTATGTGACTGACACCTGATAAAAGCCCTAGACTGGGACAAGCTTCCCTCTTAGACAAATCTGAACAGAATAGGTTCTCACAACTTGTTGCTGGGAGAAATAAGTGCTTCCTGTATGACTCCACTGGGAGAGACTCTTGGAAGTTTGCCCTTGGTTTCCTCTGGACTTCACCCCATGTATTTTTCCCTTTGTTGAATTTGCTTTGTATCCTTTCACTGTAATAAACCATAACTGGAACATAATGATTTCTGAGTCCTGTGAGTCCTTCTAGTGAATCACCAAATGTACAAGTCTTGGGGAACCCTGGTACCGATGGTGTAATGTATTATGATTCAAAAAATATTCATTCCTCTCCCTCAACTTTCATGGGAAGAGTATACTTTCCATGTGATTGATATTGAACTTGACCATGTGACTTTTTTTTGCCAATGGCATGTGGGTAGAAGGGACTTTGTGCCAATTCAAACCTTATACCCTAAGAGGCATTGCACATTTTTGTTTGCCTTTCTGGGAGCATTTGAACTCTTCCATAGAAAAAACATGTTTCCAGAAGTGTTGATTCTATTAGCCGGGGCGACAGAGTGAAGACACATAAAGCAGACCTAAATCCAAACTGCAGCATGGTGCCAAGCCTGGTCAGATCTGCAGTCTAAAGCAGAGCCGCTCTGCTGAGGCCAGACTAGATCAGAGAGCCACAGGCACAAGAGTAATTTAATACAGCATTATTGGGGAGGAGTTAACTGATATAGGCATTTCTAGAAACTTCATTAAAGGACTGTGGGTGTGTATCCTCTCTTCCTTTGTCTCCTTTGCTGTCTGGAAGGCCAGATTTGGTCCTAAAGGTCTAGCCAATTTTGTGGGTAGTGATGATGGAGGCCAGACCCTAGGGACAGCTGGAAGGCACATGGAACCCTAATGACTCTGTGGAGCCACCACACTTCCATCTTGTTTTGACCACTTTTGGGTTAGATTCTCTGTCATATGCAGCTGCACTTAATCCTAACTAATATAGTCAGCAAATCCTTATCCATCAATAGGCTCTTAGACTATTGTAGTAGAACTGAGAGACAAGTCAAATTAGGAACGCTCAGGAAAACCACTTTTACTGTCTCTTGGAAGGTCCTGGGCGATTTTCTGAATATGAATCTGTTACCAGTTTTAGTATTTCCCCCATATTTCATGCCTAAGAATTTCCCACTCTGGAGGAATTTTTTTTTAAAGCTACTGCTAATCTTTGGGATAGTTTATCAATTTCTTTAAAAAGAAGTTTTTGTTTTCCTGTCTCCAAGCTCTTTCAAATGAAACCTGAGTGAAAGCCAATATGTAAAATAAACATGAGCCAAACTACTCTGAAAGAAGGATGGTGACAAAGTGTGGCATTATGCATCTTCTCTCTCTTTGCCCCAGAGGGTCTCCTCCAAATTGCTCTGGCTGTGTGATACCCAGGACTGTAAGGGGTGTGGGTAGGGGTGGGATGGCAGGTTGAAATCCTGTGCATTTTCAGAGAGGAAAACAAATACCAAAAAAAAAAAAAAAATCCAAAGGGACAAGATTTGGGTTTATTTCCAAGAATCAGAGTTGCCCAATGATAAGGTGGTCTGCCTTGTGAGGAGGTGATGCTTCCATCGAGAAGTAGTGTCCCCCTCATCTCTGGATCCCACTCCTACTTCCCACCCCAGCCCAGGGTTTTGCTGAGAACACTTTATTGAATATCACATTATTATTCTCTTCAGTGCACTCTGTCTTCCATCTGGGGTGGAAGGGAAACAGGCAGACAATTACATTGCTGATGTGGGATTTTTAGAGGAAAATTGAGGGAAATTATGGGGACTACCCAGCTGTGATGAAAACTCCTCACTGTCTTCTCATCGGACCCATTTTTTTGCAAACTGCAACTATTAAAAATGATTTAAAGTCACTTGCCAACTTTACCATGCTGTTAGATTCACTTGAATCTTACCTAGCTCTTAAAAAAGGCACAGGCAGTCAAAGCACGTTCACTCTCAAAGTGGTGTGAAATATGATGTCTACTATTTAGAAAGTTGAAATCTACTACACCATCAATGTCAATCTTCCCAGCATTCCCTATTCTATTTGATCTTATTTTCTATCTTCTAGATTCTGTCTCTTGTATCACTTCTTTTTCACCTTGTAATTTTTCCCACTAAAGATAGCTCTGGGCTTTTGCTTGTTTAGTCCTCTCCTTCTAAATATAGAGGAAACCCCTTGAAGTTTTTATCTTTACCCTTTTTTTTAAGGTGTTTACTATTTATGTTCACTTTTAACTTCTTCCTTTTCAGATTCATCAAGAAAGACATCTGAGATGTATGAATATCCTGTAAGACTGACCCAAATCCTGCTGGCTTGGTGAGCTCATCTCCCAGTTGCCTGATTATCTTAGAACATTGAAGAGCTCCAGTGAAGATGAAGGTAAACAGTGAGGTGGTTGTACAGTAGCAACCGCAAGCAGACCTTTAGCTAATTAATAAAAGGCAGCGTCTTCAAAGCTTGATGTCAACTTTGGGGACCTGGGTTTAAAAGGGGGCTGCTATCCAGTTCACTTTGTATTCTCACTTCAGAGGTTGCTGCTCTGTACAATTAACACTAAGGAAATGGAGAGGAAAGTGTTTTGCTGCAGAAAATGCTCAGGAGACCTCCTAGTAGTTTAGATTATAGGAAAGGAAATGTCTTCAGTGTGACAAAACACAAATGGAGCAGAGATAAAATAAGTCACTTTCAAGATGTGCATTTAAGAACTCGAGTAATGAGTTACTTTGACTAGAGGCAAAATGGATAATTTTACCAGTTGTCTATCACGTTAGGTAACTCTCTTTGGGTGGGGGGAAGAATTTCTGAGATTCTAATTGGGTAGTTTTCTAAAAAACATGCTATATACAGTTTTAGTGTTTGGTTTTTATATTATAAAAATAACTCATGCTTGCTATAAAAAATTTTAAACAGAGAAGAATATTGCATTGTTTGGGGTAGGCTAGGCTGTGCTGCCTGTGGTAGTCAGCCTCAAGGACGGCCCCTGGGAATCCAGCTCCTGATATTCATGCCCTGGTGCGTTTCCCATCCCCTTGAATGTGGGCTGGATTTAGTGACTTGCTTCTAATTAACAGAATAAGGCAGAAATGATGGGATGTCACTTGTAATATTAGATTATAAAAAGACTGGCTTCCATCTTGTTTCCTCTCTCTATGCCCCTCTGTCTTTTATCCTCACGTCTCTCTCTTTCTGGGGAAGTAAGCTGCCTTGTCATGAGCAACCCTACGGAGAGGTTGCTGGTTTTTAGCCAACAGCTATCAAGGAGCCGAGACTTACCAACAGCCAGGTGGGTAGGCTTAGAAGCAGATTCTCCAGCCCCAGTAGAGCCTTGAGATGCCTACTGCCTTGGCCAATACTTTGATGGTAGCCTCATGAGGGGTTCTGAGCCAGAACTCCTCCTGGGTTCCTGGTCTGTGAAGTAATACATATTTGTTGCTTCCAGCTGCTAAGCTTTGGGGGTGGGGGCTGGGGAAGTAATTTGTTGTGCTCCAATAGACAACTACTACATTAATGAACTTCCATCTCTCAGTGCCTTTACACAATAATCCCCTCACACACACACATATGCACACTCACACATTTTTAGTTCAAGTTAGGCATTCCCCTGGGAAGCTATCTTGCATGGGTAACAGTGATCCAGGCTCCTTCCTTTTTGTGGTAGGGAGATTGCTTGAAGGACTCACAACTTTAAATATCCCAGAGATAAAGTGATGTATGTCACTTCTGCTTACACGTCATGGGCTGAAACCAGTTATGTGACCCCACCTAACTGTATGGGAAAATGGAAAATTGCAGAAGTATATGGACAGTCAATGAGAATTAAAGGTTTGTGCTACATGTATGGCATAAAAAGTGTAAATCACTCTTCTCCCCATCAGATGTTTTATACATAACTGTTTGAATTGTGCCTTTTCAGGTATATATACTTATCATATAAACACATAAGCATATATATGCACAAATAAGCACAGAGGCATGTAAAATATATATGATATATCTAATTTATACACCAGATATATTTTTTAGTATATAAATTCTATATATATATTTTACATGTCTCTGTGCTTATATGATTATATTTAATATATAAATATATATGATTATATATTATACATATGATATATGCACATGTAAAATAGGATTATGTCTCTACATAGAGATCTATTTCATTCTTGGTAATATCTGCTTGGTATTTCATGGTATGGAATGTACTAGAATTCATTTTGTTGTTCCCTGTTAAGCATAATTTAATCATTTCTATGTCTACAAAAATGACTTATTAGCCTGATTTTCATCTGATACCTCTCTAACTTGCCCATATGCCATCATGTGCATATGTTGGAACCAGTCCAAAAAGGGAAAAAAATCTTGTCTCCACCAGCGCTTGCTTTACCCCATTCTTTCTGTCTGCTTAAATAAAGGGCATCATCGTGTTTGCTCCTTTTTTTCAGGGGCAATAAGAGATAAGCAATAAGAAAGCTATTGAAGAATTAAACTTCACCAGCTATCATTTTGATAAAAATACAAAAGACAGAAGGTAACTAGCATTTATTAAATGCAGAGTGCTTAGGCACTGTGCTACACATTTGTATATTGATTTCACTAGAACCTTGTGGTATCACTATGAAATCTGTAATTATTATTTAACTCCCACAGTGAAATCTTCTTCATAGGCTTTAAGCACCTCCTTTCCTCCACCCTACCACATATACTTACCATGTAAAATATATACATATATTTGGTAGAAAGCAGAGTTAACAAGGCTGTAATGACAGCTGTTTTTCTTAATAAAGATACTGTAAAGATTGGTGTGCCCTTTCCCAGAAGATAGACCATACATAATTAAAAAGGAAAAAGAGCATGCAATGTTTGCAAATTTCCTGGGAAAATTCTCTCGTCTAAAAGTGTGCTAGCTTGCTTTCCAATGTTTCTATTAAAGGACAAAACACAAATATGTGTTTGTGTGTGTATGTGTGTATATATATATGTATATATGTGTATGTGTGTATATATATATATATATATATATATATATATATATATATATATACACATACACACACACACATATATATATATCCCAAATGAAGAGAGATATGACTGGCTGTCTCCATTGGTCTATTGTTTCCACTTGGGAATTCTATAAAAGGGCAAGAACATCCTCTGCCTTTGAAGCAGTTGCCAGTTTATGTCTGTAGTTTCTGAGGTTGTAGGCAAACTCCTCTGGGTCCTTCTCTCTGACCAAGCAAGCTGTTCCAGTTCAGAGGCCTGGGACTGCTGGACAGCAAAATATTTCAACTTTGGCAGAGAGGTGGGAGCAGGGAGAATGATACCTGAATTTTTTATAGCATTTTCATGGATGGGAAATAGAGGGAGAGAAAACTCCCTTCACTGATCTCTGGCTCCTGGAGTTCTGCAACTTCTTTCTGTCTGCAATTCAAAGAAGTAAGGAAAGGCTCAGTCCATAGAGGGAGCAATTCTAATCCTGGCAGGTACTAAGATAGTATTACTATTTCAACTTTGTAGATGAATAAACAGAGGCTCAGAGAGATTAAGGACTTTAATCCCCAGCTCTGAATAACCATACAGGCCTTCAAGACATGCGCTTTCTTTACCTGTTTGGATTGAAGTAGGCGATCTCTTAAGGTCTCATAACTTTTAAAATACATTATTCTAAGCGGAGCTGTAGCCAAATTATAAACATCTGGAAGAACTCTCCTTCAATCCTAACACCTTGAACATTTTCTCTGGAGAGCCTAAAAATAAATTCTTACTCTACAACCCTTCAGCTGATGGAAAGGTTGGAGACCATTGAAGAGAATGCTCTGCTAAAGAATTTGACTGTTCAAAGTAAAGGAACATTTTAGCTATAGACATTTATGTTTTACCGTGTTCCTACAAATGAACCCAGTAGAGGGTGAAGTTTCTATTGGGATAGGTATTACAATGGGACTTGTTTTCTACATATCTGCAGGTTCCTGGACATTGTATGGAACCAGGAAAGAGAAACAGAAGCTGCTCTGAAAATCAGTGTTAAATGGAGGTATCCATGCCCAGATAGAAAAGCTATACAAATTAGATTACATTAATGAGCAATTTTCCTTTTCTTGGTATTGTGTATTTCAGAATAGCTAGAAGAGAGATCTTGAAATGTCCCTAACACATATAAGTAATACATGCTCGAGGTGACAGATGTCCTAAATACCCTGACTTGATTATTACATTCTATGCATGTAACAAAGTATCATATATACCCTATAAATGTACACTAATATTATGTATAAATTAAAAAGTCAGGTTTTAAATTGATACATAATATCACAGCAGTAATTCTGGCACTTTGAGGGGCCGAGGTGGGAGGATCACTTGAGGCCAAGGGTTTAAGACCAGCTTGGGCAACATAGCAAAAACCCATCTCTATAATTTCTTTTAAATTAGCTGGATGCCTGTAGTCCCAGCTACTTGGGAGGCTGAAGCAGGAGGATTACTTAAACCTAGGATTTTGAGGCTCCAGTGAGCTATGATCATGCCATTGTACTCCTGCCTGGGCAACAGAGCAAGACCCTCGCTCTAAAAAAATTTGCGGTGGCTCACGCCTGTAATCCCAGCACTTTGGGAGGCTGAAGCAGGTGGGTCACTTGAGGTCAGGAGTTCAAGACTAGCCTGGCCAATAGGGTAAAACCCCGTCTCTACTAAATATAAAAAATTATCCAGGCGTGGTGGCACATGCCTGTAATCGCAGCTACTCAGGAGGCTGAGGCAGGAGAATTGCATGATCCTGGGAGGCAGAGGTTGCAGTGAGCCGAGATTGGGCCACTGCACTCTAGCCTGGGCAACAGAGTGGGACTCTGTGTCAAAAATAAATAAAAAAAAATAAAATATAAAAATCAGACTGAAGTATTATAAAAATACCTTTAAAAATGAAGAAAAAATTAGACTGTCCCTCCAAGAATTGTTTATCATTGGGAGATATGTATGTATGTTCTAATAGTCCACTTATTTAATAAATATTGACTGAGTGCCTACAATGTGTCAAACACTGATGTCGTTGCTGGGAATAAAATAATGAACAAAAAAAGATATCAGGGAGGTTACCATCATGGAGCTTTTTCATTCCAGGGAAAGAAAAGAGTTCAAAGCAATAATGAATATAAGTAACATGTCAGATGCAAAGGATTACTATGAAGAGAAAGAAAGAGGCAAAAATGAGTGTTGGGTGGAGGAGGTTTCAATTTTAAGTAGAAGAGTGAGGAGGGGATAGTTTGAGTTCTGAGCCTTTCAGACATCAGAGGGAGGAGTTTTCTAGGTAGGGGATTGCCAGGAAAGGCAAGGATGCCAGAGGGCCTGGAGAAGAGTGAAAATGAGGAGAAAAGTGAGAGATGAGGCCAAGTGGGAACAGAGGGGCCAGGCATGTGGTCCTTTAGAGGATGTAATATGGACTGTAGCTTTTATTGAGTCAGAGAGGGGAACGTTGTAGGGATTCCAGCATAGCAGTGATAAGGTCTGATTTTGTAGTAGAATCATTCTGGCATATGTGTTGGAAATGAGCCATTTGGAATCTCTTGCAGAAATCCAGGAGAAAATGATGGTAGCTTAGATGAAGTTACAAGGAGGGGGCAAGAAGTGGTTTGATTCTGGATATATTCACTGAACAATTGAATGGGATGTGAGAGAAAGGGAGAGTCATGGATGACTTCTACATTTTTGGTCTGTGCAATTGGAAGCCTGGAGTTACTACTGAAGGGTAATTAGGAGTTCAGTTTTAAACATAAGTTTGAGATGTCGGCCAGATCTTTAAATGACAAAGTATGAGTCATTTACCAAGGAGAGGTATTTGATGGGAGAGGTCTAGACTGAAGAAAAAAGTTTGGGAATTGTAGACTGGTACTCAAGTCTTGAGATTGATGAGCTTACTTAAAGATGGATGTAGAGAGAAAAAAGAGAAGATCTTCTGACTGAGGCCTGGGGCACTCCAAAGTTGAGAGGCTGGGGAGATGAGGTAGAACCAGCAATGGCATGGAGAAGTCAGTTGAGATGGGAGTAAAACCAAGGGGTGTGATGTCCTGGAAGCCAAGTGAAGAACATGTTTTAAGGAGGTGGTGATGAACAGGATCAAATAACTCTGACAGATCCAGTAAAATCAAGACTGAAAACCTGGCCATTGAATTTGGTAAAGTGGAGGTCCTCGATGGCCATAGCAAGGGGAGTTCAGTGAAATGAGGAGTGGAAATCTAAAGTGGGTTCAAGAGATAATGGCATGGAATGAATGACAGGGAGACTTGGAAGAGGACCAGACATCACATTGTGCCCCACCAACCCATGACATTAAACGGTACCTGCCTCATAGGCCTTCCCTGCTCAGTGGAGGTCTCATATAGATCTCCTAGTTTGAACAATTCTGACTTTGAGATTATTTTAGTGAGAGGAAGAGGATGGATTCTAATGTAATCCAGCTCCTGTTTGCAGAGTGGGGTAGAGATTTACACTGGGGAGAACTGAAGAGCTTGTCTGTTTAGTCAGCTTGGGCTGCTATAACACAATACTATAATTTGGGTGGCTTCAACAACAAACATTTATTTCCCATTTTTCTGGAAGTCTAAGAATGCCAGCGTGGTTGGGCTCTTCCTAGTTTACAGATGGCAGCTTTCTTGCTGTATCCTCATATACAAAGATAGAGAGAGAGATAATCTCTCCCATGTCTCTTTTTATAAGGGCACTAATCCCATGAGAGCTCCACCCTCATGAATTATTTCCCAAAGGCCCCACTTCCAAGTATCATCACTTCCAAGTATTGGGGGTTAGGCCTTCAACATATGAATTTTTGGAGCACACAAATATTCAGTTCATCACAATGTCTGTCTGGGAGAAAATGGAGAGTGGATCTCGAGCAGCAGGGAAGGATTAGGAGATGGTGCACTCCTATGAGGCAAAGTAGTGCATGGGGTATTCTGCATCAGGTTTTAGATTTCATTTGTTTCATTGTAATCTCACTATTTTCAATCCCTCAATAAAGTTTCTTCACATACAAAACACACACACACACACACACACACACACACCCCCTTGTGTTCATGGTAGGGTTGGGAATATACAGAGGGGTGGCTCTAAGTATTTTCTGGTTGAGTCTGACATGCTAATAACAGGACATATTGAGGGAAGACTGTGGTATAAGAGTTGTAGGCAGCAACCTACGGAGGAATGAATGAAACTGAACAGTGAGGGAAAACATGGAAACGCAGCTGTCAAGTAGATGTAGAAGCATAAAACAAATGGATCACCTCTTAAATATACAAGGAAAGAGTGGCAATGTCAAATGAATGCTGGCACTTTGGCACATATGATAGGAGGAGAAGATATGAGGTGGGGAAGGTACCATTCAGGAAGCAGAGGGAAGCTCTGCTTCCCTCCCTCCAGCCTTGATTTTTAGGGCTGGCTCTCACCTATCTTGCCATGGTAGCTCTACTCTGTACTTCAGATTGAGCATCCCTAATCCAAAATTCAAAATCTGAAATGCTCCAATGGGCATCTCCTTAGAGTGCCATGTCAATGCTCAAAATGTTCTGAATTTTTGAACATTTCGGATTTGGGCTTCACATGGGTTGGCTGTGTCCCCACCCAAAATCTCATCTTGAATTGTAATGCCCATAATCCCCACATGTCAAGGGCAGGACCAGGTAGAGGTAATTGGATCGAGGGAGTGGTTTCACCCATGCTGTTCTCATGATAGTGAGTCTCACGAGATCTGATGGTTTTATAAGTGTCTGGCATTTCCCCTGCTTGCACTCTTCTCCTTCCTGCCACCTTGTGAAGGTGCCTTGCTTCCTCTTCCACCATGGTTGTAAGTTTCCTGAGGCCTCCCCAGCCATACTGAACTGTGAGTCAATTAAACCTCTTTCCTTTACAAATTACCCAGTCTCAGGCAGTCCTTTATAGCAGTATGAAAACGGACTAATACAGGATTTTCAGATCGGGGTGCTCAACCTGTATCAGATATTGTTATTCCCAAATTACAGATGAGAAAGTTGAAGTGGAGTAAGATAAAGGGATTTGATCAAGTTCAAGGTTTTTGAATGTGTTAACAGTAGAGCCAGGTTTAGAATTGTCTTATTACTCTCAGTATTAAAATACTGAGTGGTGTTGATGAAGAAATGAGTAAGATGAAGCTCTTCCCCTTTTCCCAACCTCGGCTTTCCTGTCTCATAGTTTAGGGCAGGGCTTCTCAGCCTGGGCACTCTTGACATCAGGGGCTAGTTAATTCTTTTTGGGGGTGGCACCTTGCAGTGTATGATGTTTAGCAGCATTCCTGGCTTCTACTCACTAGAGGCCAGAAGCACCACTTCCCCCAGCTGTGGCAAGCAAAAATGTCTCCAGATATTGCCAAATATCCCCTATGTGGGGAAAACATCTGTGGCTCAGAACAGCAGTTCAGTTTAGAGTCTCCATTCAGCTTGGACTGAGTTCAAGCTGCCACAGTTTCCCAGCAAAGCTGAGTACAGGGGTATCCGGAGGCTCTCGATGGCATGCACCCTGTGCAGTCTCCTGGGGTCTGTGAGCTGGCCTAATTGTGGCACCTCCTACCCTGGTGGGATCCCTGCACTGTCTCTTTCACAAGGACCTTTACTTTGCTTGCCCCTCCCTCTAAGGAAGTTCCCTTGTATACACTTAGCTTTCTACCTCTATTTCCTATATTCCCTCAACTGTCCAGAAAAGACAGCAAAGAACAGGTATAAGGTGACTTCTCTGATTCAGTGTCTATTAGCTAAATGCACAGCAAGTATATGTGGCTGTTAAACAGCAGAAAATATTATACACCTGGATTTGATTGGATTTATCTCTGATCAGGATGAGCAAGTAGAGAAGCTGATGGATATTTGTTTGTAGGAAAAAAAAATTATCACCATTCAGTCAAAAAGGATTTAATGAATACCGAATCTAAATTTGCTTAGCACGGTAGCTTTAACCCCAGAAGTATCATTTCCATACAGAAATGAGGAGGCATTAATTTGGAATTCTATTTTAAGTATTATATATTTTTTTAATCTGTCTGATTTTCCCAGCAACCCCTGGATATGCTTGGATTCCTCCAGAAAGCCTGGCTTGTTGCTTGGATTTTGTGTGTTTCAGTACATTCTATTGGAATGTTTTCTTTCAGACATTTATATCTGCCAAGTCCGTGACATTTCTCTCATGAAGCGTGCCTCCACGAGTCACCAAATGCTTATTGTTAAGCTGTAGCTTAATTTCTGCATTGACTAATTCTGCTTTATGCATAAAAGCCTGCTGGTCTTCTGCTCAGGGAGTGGACTCAGGAGTAGCCACTGGGAGGGCAGGGAGAGGTCTGGAAAGAGATTCTCAGACCTTTATCGGTTTGTTTTCCAATTTAAATTCATCAGGACACTCTATTCTTAATTCAGGGCATGTTATGATTTAGTGAAAGAACTGCTTCTTACTGCTCCGCTTGTGATTTATTAGTAAGGGGCGTCCTGGATGCTGGAAGGCTGGGATATCATTTAGTTGACAATGTTAGGCTCTTTGGAATCTTCTCCTATATCCTGTTTTCTGAATTATTTCCTTATGGGAAGGTTTTCCCTATAGTCATCACTTAAATTATGCAGGATAGTTCTTGGTTTGATATATTATTAGAGAGTCATGAGCCTCTGATATGAGTTTAAATACAGTAGCTCTAGATAATTTTCCCATGAATGGTCTCATTTGGTCACGTGAGGTTTTCAGGAACAGCCACTGTCCCAGCTTTGCCTAACAACCTCCTCCCTGGTCTGCTTGCCACTATACAGTATACAGGCTGATAAAATTACCCACTTTCCCAGCCTCTCTTAAAACTAGGCATTTCTATGTGACCTAGTTCAGGCCAATGAGATGATAAAGGAAGTTTACCGGGTTTGGGGAGGTTCTGGGAAAGATATTTTCTCATTGATGAAAAAAGCGTACAAGGATAGTGCTCTCTAACTTCCCTGACTACTTACCTGTTTCCTACTTCTGACTATGGCCAGGTGAGATGGCTGACACTGTGGCAGCCCTCTTGTGACCATGAGGGAAAGGTCTTTCCTCAAGAGAATTGCAGAGATCCCAATTCTGCATATCTGCCAAGATGTAGAGATCTTGGCATAATAGGAAACCCAACTAAGAGGGGTTTAAACACTAAGAACATTTTTTTTTTAATGGTAGCTATTGCCAGTGGTGATTCTATAACCTGCAGCTAAAAGTAGCAATAGCAACTAAAGCTCCATCACCAATATTTACACACTTCCTAATGGAGCAAATGCTAAAGGTTCAGGCTTTTGACCTCAGCAGGGTCTTCTTTCTTTATGCCTAACTGTATATATAGTTTATAAAATTAAATACTTACAAAGTACTTCTACAAATGGATAATAAAATATATAGATAATAGGATTTGAAGAGATATAATTTCAAATTATGCTTAATTCAAAAGAATCTTTAAAATTTACCAAATCCAGCAAATAAAACAGTAAAAGCAAAAGAATAGGTCCTAAGATGCAAGTATCTGTATAACATTTAAGTCTGGATTAAGGCAAAACAATGAAGAAGCTCTGAAATTCCATACTCTATGATTTAAATAACATAATAACAATTTAATTTGTCCCCCGCCCTTTAACTCTGGAGTCTCCCTTAGATCCTTCTCTACTTTGAAGTCAAGTTGTTAGTGAGTACCGTAGGGATCATTCTCTTATTATCTTCAAAAGAAACAACATAAACAGGCAGCAGTTCCCCGGCTCTCTGAGCCAGGTTCATCCACTTTCCTTTGGTTTTCTACATCAAGGCCAGCAGTATTTGAAGTAAAGCCTCTTCATAACATTCGGAACATTTTTGAAGAGACTTTGCCTTTTGTTCACAACTGAACTTAAATTAAGGACAAATGTAAAGTTGGTAAAAGGCTCAGACATGTAGATGGCATTTTGAATATAACTGTTTAAGATACAGGACCTTACAGGATTTGAAAACCAAAATTACATTTAGACTGACAGCTTGTATGCAGCAAGATTCATCTCAATGTAATTTTAAAGAGCTGAGAGCCTAAGCTGCGGGAATCAGCCTTTGAAAGAAAAAGATGAGCTCAATATGCCATGGCTGTGCTACTTGAGCAACTACAAGATGTTCAAATATGCTAACTCTGAGCAGGGTAATGCACTGTGACATGTTCAGAGGAGGAACTGAATTCCACGAGACAAGAAAGCCAGTGATACAGGCTTTTATGCAAGTTGATTAATAAACTTCTCAAAGGATTATACCACAATCAACTGCTTTCTCTGGAATAATGTACAACAGGAGGTGAAAAACTTCTCAACTAACAGCTGGTAGCAGAATTCATTGCAGAGAGGGAGCTGCCTCTGGTAGACAAAGCCTTCTAGGATGTCTCTTGGGGAAGACGGTGAGACTCCAAGGCTTGGGTGTTGACTGGCCCTGCAGAAACCCAGAAGGAAACGGCAAACTGCTCAGCATAAGAGGTATTTTAGGCTGGGCGCGGTGGCTGGCGCCTGTAATCCTAGCACTTTGGGAGGTGGAGGCAGGCGGATCACAAGGTCAAGAGATTGAGACCATCCTGGCCAACATGGTGAAACCCCGTGTCTACTAAAAATATAAAAATTAGCTGGGCGTGGTAGCACATGCCTGTAGTCCCAGCTTCTCCAGAGGCTGAGGCAGGAGAATTGCTTGAATCTGGGAGGTGGAGGTTGCAGTGAGCCGAGATCGCGCCACTGCACTCCGGCCTGGTGACAGAATGAGACTCTGTCTCAAAAAAAAAAAAAAAAAAAATTTATTTTTGGTTGTGTTGAAGGAGGGTATGAAAGGAGAGATAGAAGTAGAGGAGAGGTATGAAGACATGGTATGTGTGTTGGGTTGGGGGAGGTCTACAGAGCAAGAGATAGTCCATGAAGCATTTGGGTTGTGGAGGGGCTGAGGACTTCCAAGCACACGAATGTCTTTTTCAATTTGAAGTTCTTTGCCATACGAACTCTTCTTTGATCCCCCTTCAAATCTCCAATATGATCTGATAAACACAAAAATTGCCTTCTGTGAGTGGAATTTTTTGTGGAATTTGAGGAAGGGACTGCATCTTACATCTGGACTTAGGTGTTGCAGGCCAAGATAGCACCCATGGGGTGCCAAGGTGTTGTGTAGAGAAGAGATGGGAGCCAGAGGTAAGCAGAAGAACTTAAAAGCACTCTTCTCCCCCAGCCCCTTTTTGTTAGAAATGCTTGGAAATCTAGGGGAGGATTTGAGGATTTGAGTAACACCACCTTGTTACTTGCAATATGACTAGTGAGGTCTGTGCTGGGCAGGAAGTTGGGCATCTTCACCTGGACTCTTCTGTGTTTCTGTGGCTGGCTAGATGCTCTGTTTACTGCTCCAGGTGCACCCTCCACCCTTTTCTGTCCTCTGTGGACCAGGCTTCTGGTGGTCTTTGGCTCATGGAGGGGCGGTGGGCGGGGGTTCCTATGTGGAACTTTGGTAGGAGTTTAGAAGGAGGAAGCAGAAGTTTCTATTTCCTCTGACTTCCTGTCTGTGAGGTCCCTTTGGTTAAATGTGGCCTTATCTGAAGATCACTGCTTCCTTTAAGGGGACTGTCTTTCCTTTCAGGTTTTAATAACCATCCCCCTTCCTTCCTACCTCAGCCCCAGGTAGGGTGATCAGTTATCTTGGTTTGCTGGAACTAAAGTTATTCCCAGGACCTAGGACTTTGAGTTTTAAAACTGGGAAGTCAGCCAGGTGTAGTGGCTCACATCTGTAATCCTAGCACTTTGGGAGGCTGAGGTGGGAGGATCACTTCAGACCAGTAGTTCAAGACCTGCCTGGGCGAAAGAGTGAGACCACCATCTCTACAAAATTTTTTTTTTTAAATAATAAGTAGCTGGTGATGGTGGCATATGCCTGTAGTCCTAGCTACTCAGGAGGCTGAGGTGGGAGGATTGCTTGAGCCTAGGAGTCCGAGGCTACAGTGAGCTACGATTGTGCTGCTGCACTCCAGCCTCAGCGATAGAGTGAAACCCTGTCTCTAAAAAATGAATAAATAAATAAACTGGAAGTCCCGGGCAAACTGGCATAAGTTGGTCATCCTAGCCCTAGGACGGTTAACAGCTCTACTTCAGGTTCTCGAATTATCTCTTCTGGTTCCCCTATACCTCAGCCCTGCTTTGCTAAATAGTGCTTTTGCAGAAACAAACACACCCTTCTGGAATTATCATATTCAAGTATGCTTCCTCTTTCCTGCTGGGACTTTGTGTGATGCTATGAGTATCCATGAACATCCGTGTCCATTTCCTCTCTGGACTTCAGTGTCCTCTATGGCCAAATAAGAGGGCTACACCAGAACATTCCCTGCATTTTTCCAGCTCCAGCATCAGACTAACATCTGACAATACCTGACTAAAGTGGTTGAAAAGAAAATCATGATCTTTAGCTGTTAAAAATGTTAAACTATCTACTTTCATCCCATTGTAGTCTTCTAGGAATTCTGCCCAAACAATTCACGAAGGGCCTTTTATTGCCAGGTCTTGGCTGCACCTGGGGGAGGCTGAGATGCAGGTCAAGTGGTCCTGGCCCGGGAGAGGGTCATGTCTGGAGGAAAGGAGGTAGAGGTCAAACTATTATCAGATTATTACACTGCAATGTGCTACCTGTGGAACAAGATTAATAATAGTACCCTAGATGCCAAAGGAGGAATTCCAACCAAGTTCAGGGGGATCACCGAAGGCTTCCTGGAAGAAGGGACACCTGAACCTTTTCCGGATGAGGAGGGGCAGAAAACATGGAAAGGGCAGGCATCCTTCTTATAAGGACACCAGTCCTGTTGGATGAGGGCCACATCCTTATAACCTCATTTAACACTGATCACCTCCTTACAGGCCCTTTCTCCAAATGCCGTCATATTGGGGGTAAGGGCTTCAATATATGAATTTTGAGGAGACATGATTTAGTCTGTAATATGACACATTTGGGGAATATGGTCATGGTTTACAAAGAGGTTTTGCATATGTTTTCTTGGCTTCTATCTTGGTAACGACCTGGTAAGGTTAGCCACGACTTAAAGTGACCCTCCTTTTATTTATTTTTATTCACTTTTTTGTGATGGAGTTTCATTCTTTTTGTCTAGGCTGGAGTGCAATGGCATGATCTTGGCTCACTGCAATTTCCGCCTCCTGGGTTCAAGTGATTCTCCTGCCTCAGCCTCCCAAGTAGCTGGGATTACAGGTGCGTACCACCACACCCAGCTAATTTTGTATTTTTAATAGATACAGGGTTTCACCATGTTGGCCAGGCTGGTCTCAAACTCCTCACCTCAGGTGATCTGCCTGCCTCGGCCTCCCAAAATGCTGGGATTACAGGCATGAGCACCGTGCCCAACCTGACCCTCCTTTTAAAGGCTCAGATTCCTCCCTGACTTGCCCATGGTTACATCCATAATAAATGGCAACAGTCAGCTGGGCACGGTGGCTCATGCCTGTAATCCCAGCACTTTGGGAGGCCGAGGCGGGCGGATCACGAGGTCAGGAGATCGAGACCACCCTGGATAATACAGTGAAACCCTGTCTCTACTAAAAATACAAAAAATTAGCCAGGTGTGGTGGCAGGCGCCTGTAGTCCCAGCTACTTGGGAGGCTGAGGCAGGTGAATGGTGTGAACGCAGGAGGTGGAGCTTGCAGTGAGCCAAGATCGCGCCACTGCACTCCAGCCTGGGCGACAGAGCAAGACTCTGTCTCAAAAAAAAAAAAAAAAAAAATAGTAATAATAAATAGCAGCAATATCTTCTCATGTGGAGTCCAGTACTCTCTGCCACACCACGGTCTGCTCTTCCTTAAGCTACTTCTGTTAACAAAAAGCAAATGCGGGTGCAATACGTACTGTGTGTACGGATGAACACCTAGGCTGAGGTGAGCAATGCCAGCTCTTTTGTTCATCTTGGAGCCAATTTGTGGTGCAGATATAAAGGGTGGCTCTGTTAAGTACAAGCACATTGTGACACTTCAGGGGAGATTTTCTGTTACCAGTTAATTATCACTTACATTTGTCAGGAAGGGAAAAAGTGCCTCTCACATTTTATTTTAAAATATGAAAATCTTGGAGAATTTTGAGGGCAATTTGCTGTTCTTTCACTTCCACGGGCAGCCCAGAGTCAGGCCTGAAATGTGGTGGCATAAGGCCTGTCAGTGGGGCCCCTGAGGAGTCCTACAGTGGATGGCTGTAGGACCGGTGCTTTCACAGTTAACAGAATGCAAATAATGCAGTGAGGGCCTGAGAAGGGAAGAGAAGGGATGGAAATGAAAGATGGACCTCAAAGCAATTCACTAGAGGGGATTTGAACCTGGAAGCGTTGGCAATGCTAAGTCAATGAAGCCAGATACAAAAGACCACATTGTACGATTCCATTTACAGGAAATATCCAGAATAGGCAAATCCACAGAGACAGAAGACAGGTTAGTAGTTGCCAGGAGATGGAGGTTGGAGTGGGGAGGATAAGAAGTTGCTGCTTAATGGCTACAGGTTTCCTTCTAGGGTGATAAAACCTTCTGGAACTAGATAATGGTGATGGTTGCAGAACATTGCAAATGTACTAAATGTCACGAATGGAAATTTTTTATGTTAAGAGTATTGCAGTAAAATTAAAACACGTGTGTGCACATGTGCATACACAAATCATAGGTTCATTAATACAAATTTCAATCTCTAATGTGCTTCCAGCATACCTAATTAGTTCTCATCCAGATTGTACCTAAATATATATTTTCACTATGAAAAAATTTCCATTTCAAAAGTAAACCTCTTTCATTTTTTAGGAAGCCCTAAATGTAGAAACTCATTATTAAAGTGAAATATGGATATATGTGAGAGAGAGAGAGAGAGAGAGAGAGAGAGAGAGAAGGATTGCCAGGTGATCAGGTTGAAAAGAGTATCAGGTATCTCAGGTATCAATATCATCTCATACTGATATTTTTGCTGTAAGAAATGGTGCAGTTCTGGGCAAGAGGCAACAGTCTTGCAAAGAATGGCTGTGTAATATTATGCTCTAATCTGATGCAGGCTTGCTGCCTTTTCTTGAATAGAGTTTTTTTTTGTTAAAAGTCTTGTGTGGGTTACAGAAGTTATGCCTCAGAGTATTCCAGAATTTGGCTGTAGATTATTCAAAATCGGGCCTTAGTGAGGCTCTGACATAGATTGGACAGAAATCTAAAGAAAATTTTCACAATTTTCTATTCAATAATAATTCTATTCAATAATACTACTATGCCCATTTTCTTTAAGTGAGAAAATATGTTCCTACTTGAAAAAATGCATGAGTAAAACCATATTTACCAGAAACATTATATATTTTATAAGCAGGTATACAGTAAAATGTCTTCAAATCATAAAGCTCCCAAGTGCTTTGATTTGATTTATGAAATATCACTCATTCACATTTCCTAAAACATGTCTATTGTATAAGCCCATATAATAGACATTTCCCTTTCTGTACTATAACCCAAATAGCACATGCATAGTTTGATATTAGGAAGATTAATAGTTCAGAAATTATTGTACATTGTGATGTAATGAACAGTGAAAAGATCAATAGGAAAAAGTAACTGGCTCCCCGTAAGCAGAGCTGGGGGTAGTTTATGTGAGGAAAGGCTGCAGCAGCTTCTCTTGACTTCTGACTCACTCAGGCCATGGTACCCCAGTTCCTCATCATCATGCACCAGCTTGCTTCTGTGCTTCTCACAGCTCCTCTGGAGTGTCATGAGTAATTAGGGCTCCATTCCACAGGGGTGTTGAAGAGCTCTGTGGTGACACACAAAAAAGATGTGAATTTTGTCCCTGGGAACTAGCAATGTTTTATATGTTCAAAGCCCTGCTTTTAGACTGTTCTCAGCATCAGAACATTTGAACAATGCCTTATCTTTTATCATCATTGTAGCGGAAAAATACTAGCCTGAGGATGTGGGCTGTGAAAAGCTGTCTTTTTCAAATACTAAAGGTAGGCAGAGCCTGCCTACCTTTAGTATTTGGTAATGACGGTAGATGCTTTCTGCAACCCGTACTCAGATCTGACTCAATGTGGGGAGAAACTAGAAATACCAGGACATCTCTGGAAAAATGTAAGAGCAGCGAAGGAGAAGCCAAGAGGAAAGGAAGCTTTGTTTCAGACCTGAGGAGAGGGAGATGTAACCAGGTTAAGATACAAAGGATGTGAAAAATATGCATCTTTTTTCAGAAAGTGGTGAAGACTGGGGAGAGGAGGACCCACGCAAAGCTTCTATTCATTGAAGCTTTGAGACCTGTGATTTTCTCTAAATGTGGGAGGGGCAGGCAGCTTGAGATGAAGGAGACACGGAGAACACAGTGTGATGCTGAAAACTTTCCCTCTCTGTCTCCTCCCTTCCTGTGGATTTATGAGGCAGGCAGGCAAATCGGTGTGCAAACAATAGGTTTGCTGGAATAACAGCTGGGTAAATGGCAAATTATGTAATTTTGCAGGCGCACACAGATCTGCAGTTGCGCAGAAGTGAAATTATATGAGGTGAAGGGCTCCGCTATGCCAGCTCTGGGGCTGAGTGTTCTGTGCTGGGGAAGGGTTTTATTTGGAGCCTGTCTTACAGCCTGCAGTTCTGTGCTGCGCCATCCCAAGCACGGAGGTGGTGTTTACTCACTCGTGTGAAGAGGACATTTTAACTCTCCATCTTCCCCTCCAGTGTGCAGTATCGATTTTCTGCTATAAGGAGACAGAAAACCTTTCTTCAGAGTATCTTTGGAGGCAGAGTTGGCTGTGGATCTGGTTTTGTGAGAAAAGGCCTGAATCCAGGGAACGCACAATCTTGTTCTCAGTCTCAAATTGTGTTTGTGCAGTTTACTAGTCATAACAAGTTCATGTTTGACTGTTAGTTGTTCAAGAAAAATCCAACAGACTGAAGCTGTTTCATTACTTGATTAGTCTAAAGAAGTCTGGATAATTAGCCTGCTAATTAATATCTATGTCTATTGTGTGGTTTGAGCTGACATATTTTGAAGGTGGAGCCAGTTCAAAAATGTAGAAATAATTACTCTATAAAACTGGGCATGAGGCATCTTTTCATGGGATTTTACCTTGAATATGCAAATGCTTTCTCTTTTGAAATGTGATTTGCAAAAACGAGAAACATTTGAAAATTCTCCAATCTGGACCAGTTTTTTACAGGAGTTTATAGAAACCCTGATCCTGCCTTGCAGGCATAAAAGGCTTACTAGCAGCATCTTGTAAAAGAAAAAAAAAATTAACAGAGCTATCCCTTGCTCTAAAAAATCCTCCGTATATAATATGCTGAATTTGTAGTCTTGATAAAGCAGAGAGTTAGTCTTTTATTACTTTGAAATTAAGTACTCAGGTTCATTGGCTCCCCATTGTTTATCAAGTTAAGTATGGATTTCCAAGCCTAGTTTTCAAAAGGCCTTGAACACATACAACTCAACATCTACAGGTCCAATGTGAGATGGCAACTTAGTTTTATTAGACATAAATACCATAAAATACAATCCTCAAACATAGGAGAAATTCCTGATATTATTTCTCTCAAAGTGAGAGGAAAAGACAGGATATTTGAGGCAAAGAGGTACTGGTTTGTCAAGGCACTGATTTATTTAAGATCTATTTCCTGAGAAGTAACCGAGGAAGTATCATACATGGTAATCAAACTGAAAATCTGCCTTTATGAAGTTATTGGTGGCTTCTAGTACTAGAGGTTGAAGCCTTAATATATTTTGGAGCTCACCTCTTTGTTTGGAAATAACCAACTTTGGTGGTATCTTTTAGTGATGTAGAAGTGAGGCAAATAAGAAAGGTTCTTGGTGGAAGAGAACTGGCACTTTTCTGTTTGAGGTTCCATGTTCTATAACATATTTGATGGATTAAAGTGATCGTGATTGAAGACAGCTGTTTATAAATGAAGACCTCAAGAGGAAACTCACTTTAAGGAGAAGGGCAGTCTAGAGTGGTGGCCAGGGCCAGCAGCGTCATTAGAAGAAGACACAGGGTGTGGGTGGCATGAGAACACCTCTTGGCAGACAATGGATTATGGTTTTGAGGCTCTGACTGACAATGGTGTGCTATGAGAGATCGATTCCAGCCCTTCCCTGTACCCCAGGAGGTACTGCCACAGCAGCAGGTTCCTTACCACCAGAGCGTGACTGGGAGAGAGCAGAGGCTGCTCAGGATCGCTGGAGTACCTGGTTAAGAGCCTGTTTTCACAGAGACCCCATGATGCAGAGAATGGAGCATTTCAGAAGATAGGCACCATTTCCAAGCCCGCTGGAATTCTTGACTTATTCTGTGGCCTAGGGGTTGGGTAAGGGGTGCGGGTGTGTCTTTGTATCGAGGAAAGACATACATAATTGAGATAAGTGGAATTGGTTAATTTTAAAACAAAATTAAATGTGACCTAATTATGTGCTCCATGAAACAGAACCAATGCATCTATCTATCCATCAATCAATCGATGGAGAGAG
This sequence comes from Homo sapiens, assembly GCF_000001405.40. Classification (NCBI taxonomy): domain Eukaryota; kingdom Metazoa; phylum Chordata; class Mammalia; order Primates; family Hominidae; genus Homo; species Homo sapiens. The sequence goes on from NC_000008.11 coordinate 104,734,083, forward strand.
TTAGTTAAAGGAAAGGAATTAGCTCACATGACTGTTGGGGCTAAGAAGTCCCAAATCTGTAGGGCAGGCTAGCAGACTGGAACGCAGGCAGGATTTCTATGTTACAATTTTGAGGCAGAATTTCTTCTTCCCTGGGAAATCTCAGTTTTTGCTCTTATGGCCTTTAGTTGATTGGCTGAGGCCTACCTGCATAATGAAGAGTGATCTGCTTTAATTAAATGTAACTGATTGTAAATGTTAACTATATCTAAAAAATGTTAATTATGTCTGCCTTCACAGTAACATCTAAACTAGTATTTAACCAAACAGCTGGGCATCCAAAGCCTAGCCAATTTGACATAGAAAATTAACCATACTGTGTCCGGGCGTGGTGGCTCATGCCTGTAATCCCAGCACTTTGGGAGGCTGAGGTGGGTGGATCACCTGAGGTCAAGAGTTCGAGACCAGCCTGACCAACATGGAGAAACCCCATCTCTACTAAAAATACAAAATTAGCTGGGCATGGTGGTGCATGCCTGTAATCCCAGCTACTCAGGAGGCTGAGGCAGGAGAATCACTTGAACCTGGGAGGTGGCGGTTGCGGTGAGCCGAGATTGCGCCATTGCACTCAGCCTGGATGACAAGAGCGAACTCCATCTCAAAAAAAAAAAAAAAAAAAAGAAATCATACTGGGGAGACAGGGCAGTCTGGTTATATAATGTAAGAACTTACAACTTAGTAATGGAATAACACATTTATCACAAAATCTAGGGTACATAGTAGTATGTGGTATGTGTCATAAAAGGGGTTCGAACAGGAGATATAGGGGTGTTAGAGGATTGGGAGTTCACCTACACCTCAGGTGACCATGACAAAGACATTTCAGATAGAAGAGAAGGCCAGAACAGTTTCAGAGGAAAGTCTTAGTGGAAAGCATTGAATTGGGAACAGCACAACATGAGACAGATAGGGAAGCAGTAGAGGACTGGAAACACACTGGAAATTGGGAATTAAATGGAAGTGAGGGGGAATTATTGAGGTTTCTCAGCACAGGAATGACATAAATACACTGGTGCTGCTGATTGTGTATGGGACGGGTGGATGCACAACCATTTCTGAAAGTGGTAGAAACAAAAAAGTAATTTGATTGATTGGCAGTAGAATAAGAAACTTTAGAAATCTGTCCAGAGTGACATACACTTCTTGTTGCCCATTCTGTCTTCTGTGATCCTGTAACCCCTGAAAGATTAAAACATGAGAAAGTTGTATAAATAGAGGGGTGTGTGTGTGTGTGTGTGTGAGTGAGTGAAGGATATGGACAGGGTTGATTTGCATTTTTGAAGAGTGACATAGATACTCAGATGGAGTATCTATGAGAGGGAGCAGGAAGAGCAGTTCAGAATAGAGGTCAAAGATGAGAAACGAAACGCGGGAGTTCAGGTGAGGGAGAGCATTCACATGGGGGTGCTCAGGGAAGACAGTGCAGGAAGTTTCCTTTGATGTGGACCTGGAAGGATGAGGAAAACTTCAAAAGGTAGAAGATAGGGTGAGAGTATTTGAACAAAGACATGGTAAAATATACATACAATGTGTTCTGGCCAAGACATTGGGTTTGTGGAGGGGACCGGCAGGAGAATAGGCTTGGAAAGGTGTCCTAGAGATAAATGGCAGACAAGGGAATGCATGTAATTTGATAAGCAATTGTAGGAGGTGAGGGGTGTCATTGAAGGTTTGATTATTGAATAGGGTAGCAATGTTATTAGAATTGTGCTCCAGGAAGACTAATATAATAGAGGTGTTCTGGATAGCTTTGAGAGAGAGTGATGCAGGATAAATATTAGGAAAGTTAATAGCTATTATCAGCGAAGGGTAGAAATCAGGGCTGAAGCTGTGGCAATTGAATTGAGGGGTCATATTTTAAAGATACTATATAAGTGAAATCTATAGGATGTGACAATTAATTTGGGGTAGAGTGAATAGGAGTGGGAGGGATAAATGGAGATGTTAATGTTTCCAGACAGCGTGCCTGAAAGAGTAGGAATAATATTAACAGGACAGAAAATTCAGGAAGAGAAATGGCTATAATTTTATCTTTAGACATTTTCGATTAAATATGCTGGTGAGATGATCTGGTAAAATATTTTTAGAACCTAGTTGAAAACATGGTCTGGTAGTTAGGAAAGAGATCAGGATTAGAAATACATCAGTCATGCATTGCTTAATGATGGGGATACATTGAAAAATGCATCATTTGATGATTTTGTCATTGTGCAAACATCACAGTGAACTTAACCAAACCTATATGGTACAGCCTACTATACACCTATGCTATATGGTGTAACCGACTGTCAGAGGCATGTGAACTAGAGCAACTCCATCTTAAATAGGAGCTGGGTAAAATGAGGCTGAAACCTACTGGGCTGCATTCCCAGATGGTTAAGGCATTCTAAAGTAACAGGATGAGACAGGAGGTCAGCACAAAATACAGGTCATAAAGACCTTGCTGATAAAACAGTTTGCAGTAAAGGACAAAACCTACCAAAACCAAAATGGCCATGAAAGTAACTTCTGGTCATCCTCGCTGCTACACTCCCACCAGTGCCATGACAGTTTATGAATGCCATGGCAATGCCAGGAAGTTACCCTATATGGTCTAAAAAGGGGAGGCATGAATAATGTACCCCTTGTTTAGCATATCATCAGGAAATAACCATAAAAATGGGCAATCAGCAGCCCTTGGGGCTGCTCTGTCTATGGAGTAGCCATTCTTCTATTCCTTTACTTTCTTTTCTTTTTTTTTTGAGACAGAATCTTGCTCTGTCACCAGGCTGGAGTGCAGTGGTGCGATCTTGGCTCATTGCAACCTCTGCCTCCCAGGTTCAAGCGATTCTCCTGCCTCAGCCTCCTGAGTAGCTGGGACTACAGGCGTGGGCCACTATACCCAGCTAATTTTTGTATTTTTAGTAGAGACAGGGTTTCACCATGTTGGCCAGGATGGTCTCAATCTCTTGACCTCATGATCTGCCTGCCTCAGCCTCCCAAAGTGCTGGGATTACAGATGTGAGCCACCGTGCCTGGCATCTTTTACTTCTTAATAAGCTTGCTTTCACTTTGCACTGCAGACTTGCCTTGAATTCTTTCTTGTACGAGATCCAAGAACCCTCTCTTGGGGTCTGGATTGGGGACCCTTTCCTGTAGTATCTTTCTGTTGACCACAGAAGGGACTATAAGGAGGAAACTCCCAATCCAAATGTTAACTTTGGGTAAGTGGTGGGGTCCTGTAACATCCTCCTGGTGACCACAGAAGCGATTATGGTGCAGAAACCCTGACCCAACAGCTATCTTTGGGTAAGTGTTGGAGTCCTATACTCCAGCTGTACTGGATGGATACTGTAGGCAAGTGTAACATCATGCTAAGTATTTGTGTATCTAAACATAGAAAAGGTATAGTAAAAATACAGTATATAAAACACAAAAGTGGTATATAACGGTACACATGTATAGGGCACTTACCATGAGTGGAGATCGCAGAACTGGAAGTTGCTCTGTGTGAGGCAGTGAGTGAGTGGTGAGTGAATGTGAAGTCCTACGACATTACTATATACTACTATAAACTTTATGAATACTATACATTTAGGCTACACTAGTTTATAGAAAAATATTTTTCTTTCTTTAATAATGAACTAACCTTAGTTTACTATAACTTTTTACTTTATAAACTTTAAAAAATCTTTAAACTTTTTGACTCTTTTGTAATAACAGCTTAAAACAAAAACACATTGTATAGCCATAAAAATAGTTTTTATTTATATCCTTATTCTATACTTTTTTTCTTTTTCTTTTCTTTTATTTATTTTTTTTTTTCTTTGAGATGGAGTTTCGCTCTTGTTGCCCAGGCTGGACTGCAGTGGCGCGATCTCAGCTCACTGCAGCCGCCACCTCCCAGGTTCAAGCAATTCTCCTGCCTCAGCCTCCAAAGTAGCTGGGGTTACAGGCATGGGCCACCATGCCCGGCTAATTTTGTATTTTTAGTACAGATGGGGTTTCACCGTGTTGGTCAGGCTGGTCTTGAACTCTTGACCTCAGGTAATCTGCCCGCCTTGGCCTCTCAAAGTGCTGGGATTACAGTGTGAGCCACTGTGCCCAGCCACTTTTTTCTATTTTTAATTTTTAAAAACTTTAAAAAAGGTTTTAAACATTTTAGTTAAAAACTAGGACACAAACCTATACATTATCCTAGGCCAACATAGGGACAGGATCATCAAGATGTCACTAGGTGATAGAAATTGCCAATTTCATTATAATCTTATGGTACCACTGTGGTATATGCAGTCGTCCATCATTGACAAATGTCGTTATGCAGCACATGACTGTATATGCTTCTAATGGCTGTTTTCCTAAGTTGTGACTGGGATGAACTCATGCCTGGAAGCATCAGCGTTTTGCTTCATACAAGGATGATGTGGTGTAGTGGTTAAAACTTTCGCTTTGGCTCCAGCTGGGTCCAGCCCAGCTATTTACAGACTCTGTAAATGTTGGGGATATTACTGAGACTGTGTGTGTCTCAATTCCTTTATCCTTAACTGAAATAGTATGAAAATTTTTAAGTTAATGTGCATGAAATACCTGTCTGGGCTGCTATTGTTGTACCTGCTGGGGTTTGCTAATGGAAGGGAATTTTCTTCTCTGCTAAGGTCTCATGGCTGTGGATATCAGGACAGCCTTCCTCTCCCAGCCATCCAAAATCTCACTTAAAAACTCTTTCTCTGCCAGCATGAGTTGAGTCCACAGAGTGGTGAGAAAGGGTCATTCTAACTCTACTCCTCTGCCTTTGGGTCTTCTTTCTTCCCCTCTGTGTCTTGGGAGAATAGGAGGTGGGTGACCTGAAGGCCAGATTTCACCCTTATTCCCAGGTTGTATGCCTCTGGCTTAAGTCTACCCATGTAGACAGAAATAAAAACTTACCTTTATTGTTTACCCTGGAAAGAGAAAAAATTGTCCTTAATCAGAGAAATTCATTTGCACAGAGGTGATGTCTGAAGCTGCAGGAGTGGATGGCATTGCCACTGGAGAGGGGGTGGAGAGAAAAAGATTTCAAACAGAACTTTGGAGGATATTATCATTTAGGAGTCATGGAGAAGAAAAATGTGCTATTGTTATCAGCAACAAGACAACATCATGATTACTAACAAGAACTTTATGTCTTTTGTTCACCACTGTATCCTCAGCATTCATTCATTCAATTAACATCTACTAAATATAAACCACTATAATAGGCACTAAGCATATAGTAGTCAACAAATTAGGCAAAAATATTTCAGCTCTTATGGAACTTGGACTATCGCAGACACTCAAAAAAATTTGTTGAGTGAATAACTAGTTGAACAAGAAACATGTCTGAGTGAATGGAACCTCTATTAAGTGCAAGCACTGCATTTTGCATTGTATGTTGATGGGAAATCTTTGCAGAGGAATAAAGATAGGAGGTGATTACTTGGAGCATGAGTAGGACTTAGAGGAATAGAAAGAAGGGCAAATATGCTAGGCAGGAAGACAAGTGGATACAATGAAAGGACAGAGAGGGGTATATGCATAATGTCTTTAAGGAATAAAAAGCAGCTGGACCAGTTTTGGGGGAGCAATAGACTGGCTATAGAGAAGTAGAGAAGCAGAGAGTAGAGACAATGGGGCCAAAATACTTCAATTCCTTTATTTTGCAACACTTTATTTTTTTATTTTTATTATTATTATTTTTTTTTTACTTTTTAATTTTCTTTTTTTTTTTAAATTTTTTTTTTTTTTTATTATACTCTAAGTTTTAGGGTACATGTGCACATTGTGCAGGTTAGTTACATATGTATACATGTGCCATGCTGGTGCGCTGCACCCACTAACGTGTCATCTAGCATTAGGTATATCTCCCAATGCTATCCCTCCCCCCTCCCCCGACCCCACCACAGTCCCCAGAGTGTGATATTCCCCTTCCTGTGTCCATGTGATCTCATTGTTCAATTCCCACCTATGAGTGAGAATATGCGGTGTTTGGTTTTTTGTTCTTGCGATAGTTTACTGAGAATGATGGTTTCCAATTTCATCCATGTCCCTACAAAGGACATGAACTCATCATTTTTTATGGCTGCATAGTATTCCATGGCGTATATGTGCCACATTTTCTTAATCCAGTCTATCATTGTTGGACATTTGGGTTGGTTCCAAGTCTTTGCTATTGTGAATAGTGCCGCAATAAACATACGTGTGCATGTGTCTTTATAGCAGCATGATTTATAGTCCTTTGGGTATATACCCAGTAATGGGATGGCTGGGTCAAATGGTATTTCTAGTTCTAGATCCCTGAGGAATCACCACACTGACTTCCACAATGGTTGAACTAGTTTACAGTCCCACCAACAGTGTAAAAGTGTTCCTGTTTCTCCACATCCTCTCCAGCACCTGTTGTTTCCTGACTTTTTAATGATTGCCATTCTAACTGGTGTGAGATGATATCTCATAGTGGTTTTGATTTGCATTTCTCTGATGGCCAGTGATGATGAGCATTTCTTCATGTGTTTTTTGGCTGCATAAATGTCTTCTTTTGAGAAGTGTCTGTTCATGTCCTTCGCCCACTTTTTGATGGGGTTTTTTTTTTCTTGTAAATTTGTTTGAGTTCATTGTAGATTCTGGATATTAGCCCTTTGTCAGATGAGTAGGTTGCGAAAATTTTCTCCCATTTTGTAGGTTGCCTGTTCACTCTGATGGTAGTTTCTTTTGCTGTGCAGAAGCTCTTTAGTTTAATTAGATCCCATTTGTCAATTTTGTCTTTTGTTGCCATTGCTTTTGGTGTTTTGGACATGAAGTCCTTGCCCACGCCTATGTCCTGAATGGTAATGCCTAGGTTTTCTTCTAGGGTTTTTATGGTTTTAGGTCTAACGTTTAAATATTTAATCCATCTTGAATTGATTTTTGTATAAGGTGTAAGGAAGGGATCCAGTTTCAGCTTTCTACATATGGCTAGCCAGTTTTCCCAGCACCATTTATTAAATAGGGAATCCTTTCCCCATTGCTTGTTTTTCTCAGGTTTGTCAAAGATCAGATAGTTGTAGATATGTGGCATTATTTCTGAGGGCTCTGTTCTGTTCCATTGATCTATATCTCTGTTTTGGTACCAGTACCAGGCTGTTTTGGTTACTGTAGCCTTGTAGTATAGTTTGAAGTCAGGTAGTGTGATGCCTCCAGCTTTGTTCTTTTGGCTTAGGATTGACTTGGCGATGCGGGCTCTTTTTTGGTTCCATATGAACTTTAAAGTAGTTTTTTCCAATTCTGTGAAGAAAGTCATTGGTAGCTTGATGGGGATGGCATTGAATCTGTAAATTACCTTGGGCAGTATGGCCATTTTCATGATATTGATTCTTCCTACCCATGAGCATGGAATGTTCTTCCATTTGTTTGTGTCCTCTTTTATTTCCTTGAACAGTGGTTTGTAGTTCTCCTTGAAGAGGTCCTTCACGTCCCTTGTAAGTTGGATTCCTAGGTATTTTATTCTCTTTGAAGCAATTGTGAATGGGAGTTCACTCATGATTTGGCTCTCTGTTTGTCTGTTGTTGGTGTATAAGAATGCTTGTGATTTTTGTACATTGATTTTGTATCCTGAGACTTTGCTGAAGTTGCTTATCAGCTTAAGGAGATTTTGGGCTGAGACAATGGGGGTTTTCTAGATAAACAATCATGTCGTCTGCAAACAGGGACAATTTGACTTCCTCTTTTCCTAATTGAATACCCTTTATTTCCTTCTCCTGCCTGATTGCCCTGGCCAGAACTTCCAACACTATGTTGAATAGGAGCGGTGAGAGAGGGCATCCCTGTCTTGTGCCAGTTTTCAAAGGGAATGCTTCCAGTTTTTGCCCATTCAGTATGATATTGGCTGTGGGTTTGTCATAGATAGCTCTTATTATTTTGAAATACGTCCCATCAATACCTAATTTATTGAGAGTTTTTAGCATGAAGGGTTGTTGAATTTTGTCAAAGGCTTTTTCTGCATCTATTGAGATAATCATGTAGTTTTTGTCTTTGGCTCTGTTTATATGCTGGATTACATTTATTGATTTGCATATATTGAACCAGCCTTGCATCCCAGGGATGAAGCCCACTTGATCATGGTGGATAAGCTTTTTGATGTGCTTCTGGATTCGGTTTGCCAGTATTTTATTGAGGATTTTTGCATCAATGTTCATCAAGGATATTGGTCTAAAATTCTCTTTTTTGGTTGTGTCTCTGCCCGGCCTTGGTATCAGAATGATGCTGGCCTCATAAAATGAGTTAGGGAGGATTCCCTCTTTTTCTATTGATTGGAATAGTTTCAGAAGGAATGGTACCAGTTCCTCCTTGTATCTCTGGTAGAATTCGGCTGTGAATCCATCTGGTCCTGGACTCTTTTTGGTTGGTAAACTATTGATTATTGCCACAATTTCAGAGCCTGTTATTGGTCTATTCAGAGATTCAACTTCTTCCTGGTTTAGTCTTGGGAGAGTGTATGTGTCGAGGAATGTATCCATTTCTTCTAGATTTTCTAGTTTATTTGCGTAGAGGTGTTTGTAGTATTCTCTGATGGTAGTTTGTATTTCTGTGGGATCGGTGGTGATATCCCCTTTATCATTTTTTATTGTATCTATTTGATTCTTCTCTCTTTTTTTCTTTATTAGTCTTGCTAGCGGTCTATCAATTTTGTTGATCCTTTCAAAAAACCAGCTCCTGGATTCATTGATTTTTTGAAGGGTTTTTTGTGTCTCTATTTCCTTCAGTTCTGCTCTGATTTTAGTTATTTCTTGCCTTCTGCTAGCTTTTGAATGTGTTTGCTCTTGCTTTTCTAGTTCTTTTAATTGTGATGTTAGGGTGTCAATTTTGGATCTTTCCTGCTTTCTCTTGTAGGCATTTAGTGCTATAAATTTCCCTCTACACACTGCTTTGAATGCGTCCCAGAGATTCTGGTATGTGGTGTCTTTGTTCTCGTTGGTTTCAAAGAACATCTTTATTTCTGCCTTCATTTCGTTATGTACCCAGTAGTCATTCAGGAGCAGGTTGTTCAGTTTCCATGTAGTTGAGCGGCTTTAAGTGAGATTCTTAATCCTGAGTTCTAGTTTGATTGCACTGTGGTCTGAGAGATAGTTTGTTATAATTTCTGTTCTTTTACATTTGCTGAGGAGAGCTTTACTTCCAACTATGTGGTCAATTTTGGAATAGGTGTGGTGTGGTGCTGAAAAAAATGTATATTTTGTTGATTTGGGGTGGAGAGTTCTGTAGATGTCTATTAGGTCTGCTTGGTGCAGAGCTGAGTTCAATTCCTGGGTATCCTTGTTGACTTTCTGTCTCGTTGATCTGTCTAATGTTGACAGTGGGGTGTTAAAGTCTCCCATTATTAATGTGTGGGAGTCTAAGTCTCTTTGTAGGTCACTCAGGACTTGCTTTATGAATCTGGGTGCTCCTGTATTGGGTGCATAAATATTTAGGATAGTTAGCTCCTCTTGTTGAATTGATCCCTTTACCATTATGTAATGGCCTTCTTTGTCTCTTTTGATCTTTGTTGGTTTAAAGTCTGTTTTATCAGAGACTAGGATTGCAACCCCTGCCTTTTTTTGTTTTCCATTGGCTTGGTAGATCTTCCTCCATCCTTTTATTTTGAGCCTATGTGTGTCTCTGCACGTGAGATGGGTTTCCTGAATACAGCACACTGATGGGTCTTGACTCTTTATCCAACTTGCCAGTCTGTGTCTTTTAATTGCAGAATTTAGTCCATTTATATTTAAAGTTAATATTGTTATGTGTGAATTTGATCCTGTCATTATGATGTTAGCTGGTGATTTTGCTCATTAGTTGATGCAGTTTCTTCCTAGTCTCGATGGTCTTTACATTTTGGCATGATTTTGCAGCGGCTGGTACCAGTTGTTCCTTTCCATGTTTAGCGCTTCCTTCAGGAGCTCTTTTAGGGCAGGCCTGGTGGTGACAAAATCTCTCAGCATTTGCTTGTCTATAAAGTATTTTATTTCTCCTTCACTTATGAAGCTTAGTTTGGCTGGATATGAAATTCTGGGTTGAAAATTCTTTTCTTTAAGAATGTTGAATATTGGCCCCCACTCTCTTCTGGCTTGTAGGATTTCTGCTGAGAGATCCGCTGTTAGTCTGATGGGCTTTCCTTTGAGGGTAACCCGAGCTTTCTCTCTGGCTGCCCTTAACATTTTTTCCTTCATTTCAACTTTGGTGAATCTGACAATTATGTGTCTTGGAGTTGCTCTTCTCGAGGAGTATCTTTGTGGCGTTCTCTGTATTTCCTGAATCTGAACGTTGGCCTGCCTTGCTAGATTGGGGAAGTTCTCCTGGATAATATCCTGCAGAGTGTTTTCCAACTTGGTTCCATTCTCCACATCACTTTCAGGTACACCAATCAGACGTAGATTTGGTCTTTTCACATAGTCCCATATTTCTTGGAGGCTTTGCTCATTTCTTTTTATTCTTTTTTCTCTAAACTTCCCTTCTCGCTTCATTTCATTCATTTCATCTTCCAATGCTGATACCCTTTCTTCCAGTTGATCGCATCGGCTCCTGAGGCTTCTGCATTCTTCACGTAGTTCTCGAGCCTTGGTTTTCAGCTCCATCAGCTCCTTTAAGCACTTCTCTGTATTGGTTATTCTAGTTATACATTCTTCTAAATTTTTTTCAAAGTTTTCAACTTCTTTGCCTTTGGTTTGAATGTCCTCCCGTAGCTCAGAGTAATTTGATCGTCTGAAGCCTTCTTCTCTCAGCTCGTCAAAATCATTCTCCATCCAGCTTTGTTCTGTTACTGGTGAGGAACTGCATTCCTTTGGAGGAGGAGAGGCACTCTGCATTTTAGAGTTTCCAGTTTTTCTGTTCTGTTTTTTCCCCATCTTTGTGGTTTTATCTACTTTTGGTCTTTGATGATGGTGATGTACAGATGGGTTTTCGGTGTAGATGTGCTTTCTGGTTGTTAGTTTTCCTTCTAACAGACAGGACCCTCAGCTGCAGGTCTGTTGGAATACCCTGCCGTGTGAGGTGTCAGTGTGCCCCTGCTGGGAGGTGCCTCCCAGTTAGGCTGCTCGGGGGTCAGGGACCCACTTGAGGAGGCAGTCTGCCCGTTCTCAGATCTCCAGCTGCGTGCTGGGAGAACCACTGCTCTCTTCAAAGCTGTCAGACAGGGACACTTAAGTCTGCAGAGGTTACTGCTGTCTTTTTGTTTGTCTGTGCCCTGCCCCCAGAGGTGGAGCCTACAGAGGCAGGCAGGCCTCCTTGAGCTGTGGTGGGCTCCACCCAGTTCGAGCTTCCCGGCTGCTTTGTTTACCTAAGCAAGCCTGGGCAATGGCGGGCGCCCCTCCCCCAGCCTCGCTGCCGCCTTGCAGTTTGATCTCAGACTGCTGTGCTAGCAATCAGCGAGATTCCGTGGGCGTAGGACCCTCTGAGCCAGGTGTGGGATATAGTCTCGTGGTACGCCGTTTCTTAAGCCGGTCTGAAAAGCGCAATATTCGGGTGGGAGTGACCCGATTTTCCAGGTGCGTCCGTCACCCCTTTCTTTGACTCGGAAAGGGAACTCCCTGACCCCTTGCGCTTCCCAGGTGAGGCAATGCCTCGCCCTGCTTTGGCTCGTGCACGGTGCGCACACACACTGGCCTGCGCCCACTGTCTGGCACTCCCTAGTGAGATGAACCCGGTACCTCAGATGGAAATGCAGAAATCACCCGTCTTCTGCGTCGCTCACGCTGGGAGCCGTAGACCGGAGCTGTTCCTATTCGGCCATCTTGGCTCCTCCTCCCTATTTTTTTATTTTTAGAGATGGAGCCTCACTCTGTCGCCTAGGCTGGAGTGCAGTGGTTCGTACAATCATAGCTCACTGCAGCCTCGAACTTCTGGGCTCAAGTGATCCTTCCAATGAGGCTACTATTTTGAGCAACGGCCTTCTTCCATCATTTTCAAGGTCAACAAACTTGACCATCCTAGAATTTTCTGGTCAGTAAGAAAAAATGTCCCAAGAGGGAGCTAGCATCTGTTAAGCTTCCACTAAGTGCCGGACAATACATGAGGAGCTGTATACATACATATGTGACCTATATTAATAGCTCTACAACACTTCTGTGCAACAAACATCATGTTTCTTTCTTTAAAAAAAAAAAAAAAATCTGATTATATATGGGTTGGTACAGGTCAGCCAGGATTGGTAAGAAATTCAATTTCCATTCTTGCTGGGGAGGACTAGGCCTCTTCCCTTCCCTTAGGAAAGCACTGTAACCTCAGGATTGACACGATCCAGGAAAGAATCCCTGGGCTTTGATCCATTATTATTTATTAAGATGCTTATATTCTGTGCCTTCTCCCTTTGTCAGCTAGTGCCCGGGACATTTCCCAGCCCTCTCAGTCTCGAAGTGTTCAGTGTTAAATCCCCACCTGTGCATTAGGCACCTCCATTAGGCCTTCTGTCATCTTTTGGTTGTGAGCATTAGGGAGGACGGAAAGTCTTATGGCCTGGGGCCTCTTGTGGAAGGTGAATATCCATATTGACTCTTTCTCTGCAAGGGCCCCTACAGGGACTTCTTGGGGATAGCCCCCTTCTAGATTAGACTGCCAAAGGCCCCTTTGGCCAACCCCAGATTCTCTCCATCTAGACTTCCCATGTATAAATGAAGTCTCCGCATCCTTCAGACTCCAAGGAATATGAATCTTGCCCCCCAAATGATTCTTCTAAAGACTCCTCATCTGGCTTAACAGAGGGAGGTAGGATCACCTCCTTTCCCTCTGCCATGGAAGGGTGACTCAAAGAGAAGGGAAATGACTCAATCCAAAGCAATTCTCACTGCCTGCCCCTACAAAGCCTCAGTGAATGTCTTACCGTCTTGTAGTCATGTGTCACTTAACAATGGGGCCACATTCTGACAAATGCATTGTTAGGCAATTTCATAATTGTGTGAACATCATAGAGTGTACTTACACAAAGCTGGATGGCAACCTACTACATATCTAGGCTATATAGTATAACTTAGGCTCCAGACCTGTACTCCTAGGCTATAAACTTGTACAGCATGTTACTGTACTGAATAGGCAATTGTAACACAATGCTAGACATTTGTACAGCTAAACATGAAAAAGGTACAGTAAAAGTGTGGTATTATAAGGCTGGACATGGTGGCTGATGCCTGTAATCCCAGCACTTTGGGATGCCGAGGCGGGTGGATCACTTGAGGTTAGGAGTTTGAGACCTGCCTGGCCAACATGGTGAAACCCTGTCTCAACTGAAAATGCAAAAAGTTAGTTGGGCATGGTGGCGGGCACCTGTAATCCCTGCTACTCAGGAGGCTGAGGCAGGAGAATCGCTTGAACCTTGGAGGCGGAGGTTGCAGGGAGCCAAGATCACACCACTGCACTCCAGCCTAGGTGACAGAGTAAGACTCTGTCTCAAAACAAACAAACAAAAACAAAGGTATGGTATTATAATCTTATGGGACTGCCCTTGGATATACATTGTCATTGACCAAAGCATCATTATGTGGCTCATGACTGTATATAGCCTGGAGTTGGGAGCCTGGCTTTCTCTCTGTGACCAAGGACTCTCTTTACTCTTTGGTCATGCCATCTTCAGAGCTCTATTTTATGTTCCATAGGCTTTCCCAGATCTTCACTCAGACAGTCTCCCTACGTAGTAGCATGATGGTGCTTTGGTGATGGCCTGTCTATTGCTGCTCTTTCTCAGCATTTTAATAGCTTGGAAGCCTGATTTAAGGTCATCCCTCATTCTACTTCTGAGGATTTTCTCTTGCTGATGCTCTTTAAAATCATCTGACTCAGTGGACTTTCCTAATCTTAAAAGTGATTAGTAAATGACTCAGAATACCAAAAGAAGAACATTCAGTGTAGAGGCAGAAGATTCAGTCCCAGTCTGAAGCTGATGCTAATTTGGGTTAATTTTGCATTGACTTGGGTCAGATGAGGGTGTTTTGTGCATTAACCAGGCACTGGGACATAAGGCTATTTCCAGGAGTCATTGTCACTCAGTCTACATTTGGAATCCATAAGCTTTCAGTGAAATATTGCCTTTTTTACCAGGCTGTATGCAACCTTATGTTTATCCAACCCTATTATTGGACTGATAGCTAATGTGTTTGGTCATAGTAAAAAGACAAAGATTTGGCTGGGTACAGTGGCTGACGTCTGTAATCCCAGCACTTTGGGGGTCTAAGTGGGCAGTTCACGAGGTCAAGACATTAAGACCATCCTGGCCAACATGGTGAAACCCCATCTCTATTAAAAATACAAAAAATAGCTGGGCGTGGTAGTGGGCGCCTGTCATCCCAGCTACTCGGGAGACTGAGGCAGGAGAATCGCTTGAACCCAGGAGGTGGAGGTTGCAGTGAGCTGAGATCGTGCCACTGCATTGCAGCCTGGGTGACAGAGTGAGACTCTGTCTCAAAACAAAACAAAAGAAAGACAAAGATTTATACCACAAACACGTATTCTCAAAAATCTAGAGCAATGGTGACAAGACGGTAGCAAGAAGGGATAGACTTTGTTAAATTTCTATTGTTTCATTGCTTATCTTTTAGACCTGTGTAAGATATCCTAACTAAAGCCCTCATAACCAACTAGTGTGGTAGAAAGAATACAGTCTTTGGAATGGGGCAGATTTGATTTTGAATAGAGTCCACCAATACCATCTATGTCATCTAGGACAAGATTTTACTCTCTCCAAGCCTTTGTCTTCTCATTAGTAAAGTGAGGACAATAATACCTATCTCGCCAGTTGTTGAAATGCCTACCACCTAGGAGAGACTCGTGGACATGATGGATTAGCCTATTTAACATCCATTCCAAACTCCTTGTGGTGTACCCCCTTACTGCAGAGCTTACTTACTATAAGCTAAAAAGGCCATTTATCAGCCTCTCTTGCAGCTCAAGTTCTGGATGTGTTTTAGGTTCCATCAATTGCATGGACTCAAATAAGACCAAATAGGGGACAGTGTTAAGGAGAGAGAGCTATTGGCAGAGAGTAAAATGCCTGTTTTGTAGACACAGTCTATGGCAGAGGCAATGTGACTCTGCTGTCAACAGCTTTGTAAGGGAGTGGCTTCCCGTAGCAGTGGCCATTTCCTGATGGTGGCAAAGGCAGTGTGATTCTGGGGGCTGAGGGTTGTTCCTGGATGTTTAGTGGGAACATTGCTGCTCCAGCAATTTTGTAAGCCATCTAATACCTGGTATAAATATTTTTTGTGCTTAAGCTAGTGATAGTATTAATAGTTTCTATCTAAAACTGTAACTGAAACAAACCGACTAAGCTATAGCTAGTCCTCCCCCTCATTATGCCTACATATTTGCTGACATTATGCAAGATTCTAGGAAATGCAACAAGGAAGAGGGCACAGTCCTTGTCCTTGAGGAGCTTATTGGTTTGTGGAAGAAACACATTTATAAGTAGATGTATTTTTAAATGGTCTAAGCACCATATGTTATCACAGTGCTTTGAGAGTCGAAGGATGAGGTAAATAACAATGGCTTTATGAGCTAGGACAGGCTTCAGAGAGATAGATGACGTTTTACAGAATCAAGAAGACTGGGTAAGAGATCATTAGATGGAAAAAACGGAGTGGTGAAATAAGAGAAGGGCATTTATAATTAAGGGCTCAACATTTGTAAAGGGGCAGAGATGTGAAAATGCTCCTGTGCTCAGAGAAGAGTGAGAAGCTTGGTGTGGCTGGGGTGTAGTATAGTGGGAGTAGGATGGGGGGAGATGGGTTTGGAGAGTCATGTTCTGACCAGATTGTGTAGAACTGTATGTACCTAATTAGAGAATTTGAATTTTATCATCCAGTGAGAGTGAGCCAGCAGGAATTTTGAAGCAAAGGAATGAAAATAAACCTTTTCGTTGTTGCTGTTGTTCATGAGGAATACTCGGGCATTAGCACGGAGAATAAATTGGAGGTTGAAGGATGTTTACATTTAAGTAGTAAGCTGTTAAAAAAAAAAGTGAGAAATGAGGGTGGCAGTAGTGATGAATTTGGAATATATTTAAAAAATAAAAATGTATAGGACTGGAGACCAGTTGGATTGGAAGGAGAGGAAAAAGAAGAACATGAGGTTTCTTGCCAGAATATAGGTTTCACTGGAGTAAGAACTTTGTTTATAGATTTATCTTTAGTACTGAGAATAGTTCCTAGCACATCAATAATCACCAAATAATTCTTAAGTGAATGTGGTAAATGGTGATACTGTGGACTCTATCTTCTTGAATAATGATGTTATTCTTGAATGTCTGCAGGGCCCAAGTAGGGACGTTCATTGTGCAAGTCTGGTGCTTCCAGGAAAGAACTAGGCTGAACGTATAAACTTAGAAGTCATCAGCATAGACACAGAAGTTAAAGCATAGACAAAGTGTTCCAGGGAGAATATGTCAAATGAGGAGAGAATGAATGATACATTTCTGGGGCCTACCAGACCTTAAAAATTTGGCAGAGTAGAGGGAGCTTGTGAAGAACATTGAGATGCAAGGGCCAGCAAGGGACACTATCTGGGAGAGAGTGGTGTGTTAGAAAGGAAGGCCAGGAGGAACTTGTCGGTGTACAGCGTCAACTCTGTAGCACGAGCAAATGGGATAAAGACTTAAAACAGGCCATTGGATGTTTAAATTAGGAGGTCTTTCATCACTTTTGCTAATCCTATTTTAACAGAGTGATAGAGATAGGAGTCAGATTACAACAGGTTTGGCACTGAATAGAAGGTAAAAAATTAGAGATAAGTGTAGACTTCTATTTCAAGAAGTTTAGAGGCAAAGAGAAGGAGGCAAAAAAGCAATAACCACAGAAAACAAGACTCTCCTGTTTAGAAGTGATAGAAATCTACCCAAAATAGCTTAAGGATATAAAAAAGTGATTGGCTTACTTAACCAAAATATGTGTAGGGAAGGGATGCAGCTGGCCTTAGGAATGGCATAGCCATCTCTTGGTCTCTTCGCTCAGCTTTTCTCTATATTATAGTTTTATTCTCTTGGCAAATTTCTCCAGGAGGACTAGGCTACTGGCAACTTTAGCCTTCCGCTGCTACTTTACAATTAAAGAGAAAACAAGCTTCCCCATCCCAGCTCCAGTTGGAAAATTCCAGGGAAGAATTTCAACTGGTCTCATTTGGATCATATGAACATTCATTGAACTGATCACTATGGCCAAGGCCTTATCATTGGCTAAGCCTGCTTACTCCTAAACCAATCATTGTGATCTAGGCTGATGTGCTTCTGTAAGAAGATGGCAGCTCCCGTATGGAACACATGTTGGATGGAAGAAGAGGTAAGGAGTAAGGAGAAAGAAGCAGGATGTATCAAATATGGCCATGGGGAGAATCACTATGAACAGAACACCTACTCCAAATTTTCTCAACTATAAGAAAGAGAAAACAGCACAGTAGGTTAAATGGTAAATGAAATGAGGGAAAACGAAGACAGTAAATGCAGATTTCTTTTTCTAAAAGGTTGAGGGTCTTTTCTTTTCTTTTCTTTTTTGAGACAGAGTTTCGCTCTTGTTGCCCAGGCTGGAGTGCAATGGCGTGATCTGGGCTCACTGCAATCTTTGCCTCCTGGGTTCAAGCAATTCTCCTGCCTCAGCCTCCCAAGTAGCTGGGATTACCGGCATGCACCACCACGCCCGGCTAATTTTGTATTTTTAGTAGAGATGGGGTTTCTTCATGTTGGTCAGGTTGGTCTCAAACTCCCGACCTCAGGAGATCTGCCCACCTCAGCCTCCCAAAGTGCTAGGATTACAGGCATGAGCCACTGTGCCTGGCCTGGTTAGGGTCATTTTTCTAGAGAGTGGCCTGAGCAGGTGATTTACCTCTCCCTTAGATTCTGAAAGTCCTCATAAACCACTCTAAGAAACATACAATACAAGCAAAAACATTGTAATTACTGTGTAAATTCAGCTAGTCTCCACATTTGCTGGTGAAAAGGAGAAGTCTAGTGGAGAACATGATATTAAAGATACAGGAAAGGGAGGGTGTAGCAAGTTCTAGAAGGCGGCGTAGAAAGTAGATGTGGCCTTTCTTGGAGAAGACAGTCATCTTGTCTCTAAGAAAAATACAAAGGAGGTATATGTAGATATTGATACAGCTTGCTAAGGCGTTACAAATATGTTTAGAGTAGAAGGAATAGAGGAGGAAATACTTTGTACTTCACATAGCCTTTATCTGTGAAGCAAATGGCACAGACTGGTTTAAATGAAAGGGATGGTGTGGGGTGGAGTTAGGAATTTAAAGAGACCAGTGGAAATATCGAACTCCATGATGGAGGGTATGAACAAGAATAGCCTGGGGATAAAGTAAAGGATTTTTGAGCAGCATGATGAACCTTTGATGATAAACCTGAGTCACTTAGGGGAAATGGGATGTTAACTAAACAATCATAAAAGTTCACATTTTGTAACTCTTCCTGTAAGCTGAGCACCATGCTAAGCATTTCTCTTGTACTGCATCGTTCAGCCAGCTCAACCATCTATGAAATGGGTAGTATCATCTTCCTTTACAGATGAGGAAACTAAAACAAAAAGAGGGTCTTGCTCAAGTTCATGCACTTAGAAAGTGGCAGAGGTGAGGTCTGGTTTTAGGCCTCTTCGACCTCAGAGTCAGAGCTCTTACCTCCACAGAACACTTTTCCGCCGGTATCCACTCAGACATGTTCTGGTCCTGCCTCTAGTAAGATGATGCTGTCAGCAGGCTTCTAATGAACAATTTCATTTTTTCAGGTGCTCAGGCTGTCTCCTAGCTGCTTTGCTTACCACATGCTCCAGGGGGATATCAGGGGTCAGGGAAAGCTCAGATCCTAAGGTTACAGCTTTTTACAGCTTCTCTTGGGCTGACTTGTACAGTGAACATTTGCATCCCAGCACTGACCATACCAGCATCATGACCTTGGGCACAACACTCGACTTTTATAGGAATGATGGTGAGGTCATCAGATGGTGAGCAGCAGAAATAAACCAAATGGGCTGTGTGTGTTGGCTCACGCCTGTAATCTGAGCTCTTTGGGAGGCCGAGGTAGGTAGATCACCAGGGTTCAGGAGTTCGAGACCAGCCTGGCTAAGATAGCGAAACCCCATCTCTACTAAAAATACAAAACTTAACCAGGTGCGGTGGCGCACGTCTGTGCTACTTAGGAGGCTGAGGTGGGAGAATCGCTTGAAACCAGAAGGTGGAGTTTGCAGTGAGCCCAGATCATGCCACTGTACTCCAGCTTGGGTGACAGGGCGAGACTCTGTCTCAAAAAAAAAAAAAAAAAAAAAAAAAAAAAAAAAAAAAAGAACCAAATGAACAGAGCCAGATGGTATAGTTATGAACCAAATGAACAGATCCAGATGGTATAGTTGAAGGTACATGAGATTTAGAGTAGAGAACCCAAATTAGAAATGGATCTGCCACTTTTCAGCTCGTTTTGGGCAAGTTATTTAAACTCTGTGTACATCCTTTGGTTTTTTTTTTTTTCCCCTTCACTTTTTAATATGGGACTGAAATATGCTCCTGGCAGGAATGTGTTAAAAATAAGAGATATTTTAAGTAGAGCATCAGAAGAGTGCCTAACATACAGTAGGTGCTCAAATCTTAGTTCTTACATTATTGAGTTATTCGTTACTAGGTGGATGCAGGAGGGCTGTTTGTCTTTACAAAGAATTAGCCAGTGGATTTGTGCTTTTATACCTTCTCTCCTAGTCATATAGACCAATATTACCAAGTAGGGGTAATTTTTGCTTCCCAGGGGACATTTGGTGACGTTTGGAGGTAGTTTTTTTTTGTTTTGTTTTTGTTTTTTGAGAACGGGTCTCACTCTGTTGCCCAGGCTGCAGTGCAGTGGCCTGATCTCGGCTCACTGCAACCTCTGCTCCTGGGTTCATGTGATTCTCCCACCTCAGCCTCCCGAGTAGCTGGAACTACAGGCATGCACCACAATGTCTGGCTAACTTTTGTATTTTTTGGTAGAGATGGGGTTTCACCATGTTGGCCAGGCTGGTTTCGAACTCCTGACCTCAAGTGATCTGCCCGCCTCAGTCTCCCAAAGTGCTGAGATTACAGGCAGGAGCCACTGCTCCCAGCCTGGAGACATTTTTGGTTGTTAACCAGCTGGAGGGGTGCTACTGGGAACTAGTGGGTTTGAGGACAAAAACGGCATTAAGCTTCCTAAATGCACAGGGCAGCCCCCCACAATAAAGAGATTTCTGGCCATAATACCAATGCTGAGAAATCGTGCTGTAGAAGAAAACACTGCTGAAATGAAGCTGGCAGGGAGAAATGGTGTGGGGTGAGATGAAGGAGAAGATTTTTTCCCCTTTCGATATGTAACCCAGGTTCATCAGGTAGAGCTTAGAAAAGGCTCTGTCAGTGGAATACAAGCAGATAGGGTAAACCAGAAGAAGTGGCCTCAAGAATACTGCTGCCTCCTTTCTTTCTCACCACATTTGATGAAGGACAGTGGGGTGTATGTGGCAGCTAGCTGCTATTTACCTCTTTGTTAAGGAACATTGCCTGAGGACTCTGTGGTCAACATTGCCCGGTGTGTAATCAAGACTGTGACCACTTTTTCTGAACTAAAAATTGAGAATGAGTCAAGTATGAATCTATTTATAGGGACGAGCGGACAGGGCTTTTGAAATTCAGACAAGCCTGGAGTTACCAGGTTATATCATTGGAAGACAGAAGACAGGAAGAGCTGTGGGTATGAAACTGTGAGATCCAGGCACAAATCTCAGCTGCTCTAATTACTGGCTGCCTGATCCTAAGACATCTCTAACCTTCTCTAAGCCTCAGTTTCTCCATTTGTAAGTTTCCATTAGTGATACTCAACCTCAAGTGGTTAATGTGAGGTTTAATGACATGATGCATTTGAAAGTGCATTGAAAATTGGTAGGTCTAGTCAGCAAACAAGTTTTAATGAACAATAATAGTGACATATACAAGTTGTGAATATAAAATAGTAAGATTGGCCAGGCACGGTGGCTCACACCTGTAATCCCAGCACTTTGGGAGGCCGAGGTGGGTGGATCACCTGAGGTCAGGAGTTTGAGACCAGCCTGACCAACATGGTGAAACCCCATCTCTACTAAATACAAAAATTTAGCCAGGCGTGGTGCTGCATGCCTGCAATCCCAGCTACTTGGGAGGCTGAGGCAGGAGAATCACTTGAACCCAGGAGACGGAGGTTGCAGTGAGCCGAGATTGTGCCATTGCACTCCAGCCTGGGCAACAAGAGTGAAATTCCATCTCAAAATAATAATAACAATAGCAATAATAAGATTATGGTTTCTGTATTAAAGATACATATTACTGTAGATGGAATTTAGGTACTGCACCAGACATAGGCTTCTTAAGAGAAGGGCCTTTCACTGTTTCGTTCACTTCCTGGCATTTATGCCAAAGAAAAACTACATAGATAAGGTTGGAGTTCTGAGAGAAGATTTTTGTTCTTTCTCTTTTTTTTTTCTTTCTTATTTTGCAAATGTAAATCATATGCAAGGGAGCCCAGCTTTTGAATTAACTGGCTCTCAGAATATAGAGAAAAAGTGAAATGTGTAGTTGAAATTATTAAATGGTAGTTGGCAATTCTGATTAGATGTATTTTGGGCCAGTTTCAATAAACAGAAAGTTCTATCTTTCATTAACATAAAATTTGAAAAACAGGCCCCTGCTCCCAACAGAATGTTCCTGGTTTTTTGTTTGTATGGTTTTTGTGTCTTATCTCGGGGTGGAAAACTTTTGGCAAGGCCCTGTGATTCATTCATGGCTTATTTCTTGGAGTGAAAGTCTTTTTAGAAATGTAAATTTCTTCTGGGGCATGATTGACTACATTCTCTGTCAGGCTAAGTTTTACTATTTTTGCACAGCAGACATTCGATAAATATTTTTTGAAGGAATAGAAGAGGAGGAAGTTGTGAGATAATGCATGTAAGTGATTATCAGAGTGCCTGGCTCACAGTAGTTGCTCAATAAAAGAGAGTTGCCTGGATTTGTAAATGAGGAGGTACTATGAGTAAGAATATTTTTTTAAAGTGTGCTGTGAATTCTGAAGAAGACATGAGAGAAAAGTATTCTGAGGGTTCCTATGAATGCCTTTGCTTTCTTGGTAAAAGGAACAGACATTGATGGAATTGCCTCTACTCTCCTTATTCTTATGTTGAATAAGAATGTGATGCCCAAAATTGTGGCATGAAGTGACAGAGATGAGGCCCAAAGCCACGTGTCAATAAAGGCTGAATAGAAAGCTCAAAGGAGCTTGTGTTCCTGGCAGCATATTGGAGCCAGCATATTAGCCCTGATTTGTGATTATGTAAGCAGAAATAAAACCCCTATTTGTATAAGCCACTAGGTGTTGGAGTCGTCATTATTTACAGCCAGACCTAATCCTAAGGATGCAGCCCACATTAGACTCAGCACCACATCTGTACAACACCTCCTACCACTAACAGGGTGGCATCCTGAATGAAAGAGCAAGATGTTCCTCTATGTCTCCTTTATACTTGCTTTCAATTTTGTTTTTTAGCAAGTCTTGAGTTATATTTTTATTGACATTACACATAGGTTTACCATTTCTTGAACTTACTTTCATCCTGTATTCTCACCCTGTATTCACCAGTGATAACTCATCAGTATAATATATTTAAAAGGAGGGTGATGTCCATACCCAAGTTCCAGGCCCCACTCAGCTGAGATGTTTGTCCGTGCCCCTGAAGGCCACATAAGTTCACAACTGGAACTGCCATATAGGCACTGAGGAAGCAGGTGGAGAATGTCAGCTCTGCCTGCAAGTGCAGAGATGATCTATTCCAAGGGTTCTTTGGAGATACATCATAAATGTCTCAAGGAAGGTGGGTGAGCGGGATGCTGGGAAGGACAGGATATATCCTCTCTTTTCCCTCTCTCTCCTACATTAGAATTTCCCTATATTGATCTGAGTTGTATGACGTACATTAGAAAAAAGGGTTCTATAACTAGAAAACTGTGATTTACAGATCAGTCAGATGAACACCATGGAGGCTAATCTAACAAGTATTTGTTGAGATCCGCTATCTATACAACATCATGACAGGCAGGTCTGCACACTACACAAACCCCAGGATTCAGTTCCCCACACCACAGTGGAAATGCCACCTGGGAACTGTGCAAAAGGTAACCCAAACTGCCACATAGATGGGTAAGAGAGTTTTCTTACCTTAAGGCCCTAACGATTGTGTGTAAGGAAGGAATGGAAAAGACCTCAGACACACTGTGGCAGTTGTGCAAGGCGGTGCAAGAGAAATAGAAATCAATTTTACATAATGGAAGTTTAAAGAGATGATAGGTTCAAAAAGGGGAGGTATCACAAATGTCTTCGTACTGGAAGTAGTAGTTAATATATGGACCTTGAAAGGAGTCTAGAGAACTGTGTGTAGATTAGTCTAGACTGGTGAAAGTGAGATCGATCTTTACTGAGTGTAGGCATAGGTCCTATTTCATTTAAACCTCATGTGAAGCAAGTTTATCATCCCCATTTCACAGATAAGGAAACTGAAAGAAGTAGAAGAATTTGCCCAAGGCCATACAGCTAACACAGGGGTGGGGGACACAGGATTCAAAACCAAATTTAGTTGCTGTCAAAGTCTATGCTCTTTGTAGGTTCATGCTGGAATAACTTCAGGCAGAGGAGAAGGAAACTATCTACGATGTGAGAAGGAAACGATTCTGTAACTGCCCAAGGGGTTCACCTTGCCCACTGCCTGGACAGAGCCTATTCATCAGGACAGGGGAATTGCAATACAGAAAGAGTAATTCATGCAGAGCCAACTATACGGGATACTGGAGTTTTGTTATTACTCAGCATCCCCAAGCATTCGGGGAGCAGAGTTTTTTTGTTTTGTTTTTTTTGTTTGTTTGTTTTTGTTTTTTTAAGATGGAGTCTTGCTTTGTCACCAGGCTAGAGTGAAGTGGCATGATCTTGGCTCAGTGTAACTTCCAACTCCCCGGTTCAAGCAATTCTCCTGCCTCAGCCTCCCTAGTAGCTGGGATTACAGGCATGTGCCACCATGCCCAGATAATTTTTGTATTTTTAGTAGAGATGGGGTTTCACCATGCTGGCCAGGATGGTCTCCTGACTTCGTGATCTGCCTGCCTCAGCCTCCCAAAGTGCTGGGATTACAGGCGTGAGCCACCGTGCCCGGCCTCGGGGAGCAGAGTTTTTAAGGATAACTTGGTGGGTGGTGGGCAAGCCAGTGAGCCAGGAGTGCTGACTGGTCATGGATAAAATTATAGGGAGTCGAAGCCGTCTTCTTGCGCTGAGTCAGTTCCTGAGTTGGGGGGGCCGCTAGATCAGATGAGCCAGTTTATTGATCTGGGTGGTGCCAGCTGATCTATCAAGCGCAGAGTCTGCAAAATATCTCAAGCACTGATCTTAAGAGCAGTTTAGGGAGGGTCAGAATCTTGTAGCCTCCAGCTGCATGACTCCTAAACCATAATTTCTAATCTTGTGGCTAATATTGGTCCTACAAAGGCAATCTAGTCCCTAGGCAAGAAGGAGGTCTGCTTTGGGAAAGGGCTGTTACTGTCTTTGTTTAAACTATAAACTATAAACTGTTTCTCCCAAAGTTAGTTCAGCCTACACCCAGGAATGAACAAGGACAGCTTGGAGGTTAGAAGCAAGATGCAGTCGGTTAAGTTAGATTTCTTTCACTGTCTCAGTCATAATTTTGCAAAGGGGGTTTCAATCCTGTAACTATCTATAACCTGGTTTGAAGACTTATCTAACGCTGATGGCAACCCAGAAAATCAGTGACATGATCCTCACTTTACAGAGAACCCTGTGCCAAGTTCCACCAGTTGTGGTAATGGTGCAGCCTTGGTTTGGTCTGATTTCAGGGCCATTCACCTTCCTGTCATGCACACAGTCACACGAATCAGGAAATAAGAATGGGAACCTCTGTGCGTGCGTGTGTGTGTGTGTGTGTGTGTGTGTAGTATCTGTGTGTGTAGGACAGTAGATTCTGTTACAAGAATGGTGGGAAGTTGACTCTAGCACGGAATGCCAAGTTGAGGAGTTGTGTTAGAAGCTGAAAACTTCGGTGACCCCCTTCTCCTATCTGACTTGTTTTCTGTCAACCATGGGCTTTCTGACAGGTGTGGTCTTCTCTCTGGAAAGTAGATCCTGAAGCAGTGGCTTGTGTTCTGGTATTTATTTTGAGAAGTAATCCCAGAGAACAGGAGTGGGGCAAGGAGAGTGAAATGGAGAAGGAGGGGGAACCATACAGAAGTGTGGTCTTAAGTTGATCACTGCTGCGAGAAGCTGGGACTCAACTTCCCTGGTCCCTTTTAAGGAGCCATGGGGAATGTACTTCAGCATTGTCTGGCTAAGGACCGAGGAAGAGGACATTGTCTACCAGCCTTGAGGAAGGGGACATTGTCTACCAGCCTCGAGCCCCGGAGGGTTAACTCCCTCACACTTGTAGGTCGTGCACATGTGAATGCTGGGCAGGACCCTGCAGGTCTCCTGACAGGAGACTCTGTCAGAAGGCCTCTGGAGCAAGATTCTAAAGCAAAATTCAGCAATCACAGACAGGATGTTGTTTCTTGTCTGATCAATTTACAATTTCTATGAGATTTCTTATAAATGAAATAATGCAATATGGGGCCTTTGTGTCTGGCTTCTTTCACTTAG
Source organism: Homo sapiens (assembly GCF_000001405.40). NCBI lineage: Eukaryota > Metazoa > Chordata > Mammalia > Primates > Hominidae > Homo > Homo sapiens. The sequence continues at coordinate 104,759,755 of NC_000008.11, forward strand.
CAATGTTTTCAAGGTTAGAAAACAAATTTTGAAAGGATTGTTTTTGCTGCACCATCAAGCTATTTGGTCCTGCTTGGTGTTGAAACACTGTCCCTGCAGGTGTCGCTGCTTGCAGAACAGCGGCCCCTGGTGGAAGTGAGGTGAAGTCCACCAGCCCAATTGCACAGACAAACATTTGCCAAGCCACTCTCTGAGGGAAGAAATGGAGGTATGAGAGTTCTTTTACAAGGCCAGGGGAATTTCAAAAAAATAAAACTAGTTTGTCCCTACTACTGAAGCTTTCCTAAAACAAAATTGTATGGGGAAAATATGGCAAACAGGTGTTAGCAATTGTTGGTCTTCATGCTCTGTATTATAAGAATCTGTAAGGTTGAGATAAGTATATGGGGCATTTGCATTCCTTGAGATTACTCCAGTGGGATTTGATGGTCTTATAGGCTAGCCCTAATGAAATAGCAAGTGCATTTGGAGAAATCTATACTTAAAGTTATGTTAAATACCCATAAATTAAGCCTAAATACAGCTGTGCTATTACTCTGGCTATTAGTAGCAATCAAGTGTTTAAGCCCTGAAAATTTTCCCATCAAAATTCAAGTCTATGGCAAACAAGATAATGAAGAAGCATATTCTTATGTTAATAAGGCTATATTAGATCTTGTCCTCCCCACAGTGAGACAATTTAAATAGATCTTTGGACAAATATGTGTTCCCATTATTTTGGTTCCTCCACTACTTCAGTTTCAGCACGTCCCTGGCCACATTTTCTCCTCCTGACATAAAGTTGAACCAAGTACAGTAGAAGAGAGTCACCTAAAAAGAGTTTTTGCAGAGAGCAGGTGAGAAGCTCACATCTACTAATCCGAACAATAGCCCTTTGGAATATGCTTCAGTGGCTCTGTGCACTTCTTTTCAGCAACCAGTATATTGGTGATTACTTAATTATATAATATGCCTGGGTTCTTCCTCATGAGGTTTGTACCTATACCCTGAAATATACATATGTATGTCTTCCGTGAGGGTTATGTATATATAGCCTGCTAGTAGGGCTAAATATAAAAATACACCGTGTTCCCAGAGCCTAGGAGAGTGCCTTGCACGTATTAGGTGCTGAGTAAATATTTTTGGATTGATTGTCTAAATGAAAAGTGTTCTGAAGACATGATTTCTAGTTCCGACTCTGTGGCTTGTGTTTTGGCCTAGACCAGTAAGTTCTTGTGAAAATCAGATGAGAGAATGTGCTTTAATATAGTACTTTAAAATAGTAAATTTCCATAATGCAGCTTATTAAAACCAATGGTCACAATTGGCCTTCTGCAATGTTCGGTTTGGGTCGATTTAATTCATTGAGGGCCTACTGCATGCAAGATATAGGTGCAGACATTGCTCAGGAGCCCCAGAAAAGTTAGACACGGCCCCTGTTCCAAAAGAGATGAAGAGATTTTGATAAAAGGACAGGAAAATAAGACAAATATGAAAATAAGAATATCTGGTGAATAATTCAAAATACTTAATCATTGGTATGACAGAGGCAATTAACTATGAGAATGAACGTCTGCAGTAGAACTGAATATCAATCCTAGTAGAGGTGACATGGACTTTATAATAATGTCTTTACCTGACAAGAAGTGAATAAGGAGTAAAGTAATAGTGCTACTCAAGCTTTCTCATGGAAGTGTATATAACAGCAGATAAGTTAAAAAAATATTTTCTGTGGTCTGAGCCTGTGTGGCCCCAAATGGCACACCATGATTTTGAAATTACTTTGAAGTCCTGGGCTTTATCTCAAACACCATGAACATTTTGCATTCTGTACCATAATGCACCCCATTTCCTTGGATTATAATATACAAATACTACCCTCTACTCCACTAAAAATCTGAATCTAATTGACACTCCAGGAAGCTCCACTGAATTTAGTTAGGTATACTTGGTTGTTGGCCTAAAAGGAAGAAGCTGAGGCAAAATTAATATAGAGAGTTTATTTGGGCCAAGGTCAAGGGCTGCAGCCTGGGATACGCTTCCAAGTTGCCTTGGCGAGTGGTCCAGAGAACAAAATAGAGGCTCAAGTTTTTAAAGAAAAAAGGATGAATCAGGAGAGGGGGCAGTTACAAAAGTTGTTTGTCAGGAATTCTCATTGGTTAACAGAAATAACATTTGTTACCAGAAAGGGGTCTGGATCCAGACCCCAAGAGAGGTTCTTGGATCTTGAACAAGAAAGAATTCTGGGTGAATCTATAAAGTGAGATAAAGTTTATTAAGAAAGTAAAGGAATAAATGAATGGCTACTCCATAGGCAGAGCATCCCCAAGGGATGCTGGCTGCCCATTTTTATGGTTATTTCTTGATTATATACTAAACAAGGGGTGGATTATTCATGCCTCCCCTTTTTAGACCATATAGGGTAACTTCCTGATGGTGCCATGGCATTTATAAGCTGTCATGGTGCTTGTGGGAGTGTAACAGTGAGGACACCAGAGGTCACTCTCATCGCCATCTTGGTTTGGGTTTTGGTAAGTTTTAGCCAGCTTCTTTACTGCAACCTGTTTTATCAGCAAGGTCTTTATGATCTGTGTCTTGTGCTGACCTCCTATCTCATCCCGTGACTAAGAATGCCTTAACCTCCTGGGAATGCAACCCAGTAGGTCTCAGCCTTATTTTACCCAGCCCCTATTCAAGATGGAGTCACTCTGGTTCAAACGTCTCTGACACACTGGTTAATGATTGGCTATACATTGTTGAAGTACAGGGTGTACAGCATTTTATGGCTACTTGGCATCAGTTAGTCTAGAGCCTACATTGCAAGTGGCTTCAAGAAACAATTATTTTCATTTTTAATTTTTGTGGGTACATAGTAGGTATATATATTTATGGGATACATGAGATATTTTGATACAGGCATACAATGTGTAATAATTATATCAGGATAAATGGGGTATGTATCAGCTCAAGGGCGAGTGAGGTATGACTAGTGTTATATTTCAAATGCCTTTCTGGGCCTGATAATTTAAAGGGGCTCACATTCCTCAGATAAAAAGTATTTTTCTTTCTCACGGTCATGTTTCCTGGCACTGCAGAGGGTGTACTGCAGCTGAAAGCTGGAGATCCTGTGGGAGAATCACAGGGTCAGATCATTCAATCAGAAGTAGACATTTGCTCTGAAGGATCTACTTCTCTTTTGGGTCTGCGCCCTCCACGTGTCAGGGGCAGCACATCCCCTTCATTTTATTTATTTATTCCAGGCCTAGAAGACTTGGCATTCTGTCATTCACTGTGAAATTTTGGGATAACATTCTTAGTTTTCCTGTTTCTAGACTAGTTCTCAAGCTTCCTGGATGACTTCTCAGGGCTCTATAAGGGCAGGCAGGATCAGAGGTTAGCTTCGCACTCTACCCTCCCACCCCCCAGTGCTTCTCTGAGGGCGCTGGTGATGTTCTGGAGACTACATTCAATTGTGTTTTCTCAAACTCATCTGCCGTGACATTTGTTACAGGAAAGGGGTCTGGATCCAGATCCCAAGGGAGGGTTCTTGGATCTCGCACAAGGAAGAATTCAGGGCGAGCCCATGGAGTAAAGTGAAAACAAGCTTATTAAGAAAGTAAAGGCATGAAAGAATGGCTACTGCATAGGCAGAGCAGCCTTGAGGGCTGCTGGTTGCCCATTTTTATGTTGTTTTTTTTTTTTTTAAATTATATACTAAAGAGGTGAATCCCCTTTTTAGACCGTATAGGATAACTTCCTGATGTTGCCATGGCATTTATAAACTGTCATGGCGCTAGTGGGAGTGTAGCAGTGAGGAAGGCCAGAGGTCACTCTAGTGGCCATCTTGGTTTTGGTGGGTTTTGGCCAGCTTCTTTACTGCAAACTGTTTTATCAGCAAGGTCTTTATGACCTGTATTTTGTGCTGACCTCCTATCTCATCCTGTGACTTAGAATGCCTTAACCATCTGGGAATGCAGCCCAGTAGGTCTCAGCCTTATATTACCCAGCTCCTATTCAAGATGGAGTTGCTCTGGTTGAAACACCTCTGACACTGTCAGCATTGGGATGTAGGGGACTACTTCCTCCAACTAAACACAAAACCTTACTGGGACTTTTGTGAGAATACACATTAGTTTTCTTCTAGTTTCTGCTGTCACCATTGCTGAATTTTCGATGTGGGTGACCTCCCTCTTTACTATTTATCTTTGGGCAAACAAATCCTGCCTTATTTTCAGTGACTACTAATATAATATAGATGCTAAATGTAGGCCTTCATAGATAATGCCCTCAGCCCTAACCCTGTCTGATCTCCAATGCCATGATCCATCAGCATAGAAGACATTCCACTTGGATATCTTCCCATCACTCAACCCCAAACAAGTCCTAAATATAAGTCACGGGCATCGTCTTTCCCAAACCCCCTCATCTCACGACTTGTCCATTTCTGCCAGTGTTACCACCTTCCATCCTCCCAGTCATTCAGGCTCAAAACCTTGGTATCATCTTTCCCTCTTCCTTCTTACTGGTACCTTATATCCACCCAGTTGCCAGGACTTATTGGTTGAATTATTACCAGTCATTGAAATTTGATAGAATTAGCAGCAATATTTTACTTTGTACTAATCTCTGTGCCTTTCCTTCTTTCCGCCCATACTCTGCCCCCATCACCTGTCAGTCTAAGGCCAGGAACATTGCCTGAAGGCGAGTAGGGATTTCAGTGCAGGAATGTAAAGATAAGAGTTAGCTTTCTTTTTGACTTCCAAATTATGCTCTTGAGAATCAAAAGGGAGAGTGCCAGCGCAGGCAGGGCTTAGTGTTTATGCAGCAATGAAGCTTAGAAAGAGAATTAAAGGAGAGAGTTAAAGTGTAAAGGCCACCTGGAGAATGACCCGGGGGCTATTTTGAGGAAGGGCATGAAAGGCTTGGAAGATGGAAAATGCCAAGGAACCACTGGGAGCTGACCCATTCCCTACCATGCATCCTACCAGCCAGCAGAGACCCTCATAGCTCAGGGAGGAGGGTGGTCCATCCAGCACTTCATCTCATCTGTGAATTGTCCCATGGGGTTCCTATTCTGACTGCCCTGCTCGTTAGTCCTTCCAGAAAGGGAGGAGGTGGGATGTTCTTAACCTAGCAAGTAGTTAAGATTCTTAACCTTAACAAATGGAAGAAAGAGCCCCAACATCTGGACTTGGGCGGGACTCTTTTTACTAACACCTCTGCAGCTGGTAATTGTCAGATCATCATCAAGGAGGGCTGATAGGCTGGAAAAAAAATGCTGCACACATACAATCTGATCTTGACAAAATCAACAAAACAAGCAACGGGGAAAGGACTGCCTATTCAATAAATGGTGCTAGGATAACTCATTAGCCATATGCAGAAGATAGAAACTGGACCCCTTCCTTATACCATATGCAAAAATCAACTTAAGGTGGATTAAAGACTTGAATGTAAAATCTGAAACGATGACAATCCTGGAAGACAACCTAGGAAATACTATTTTGGACATAGAACTTGGCAGAGATTTCATGATGAAGACACCAAAAGCTATTGTAACAAAAACAAAAATTGACAAATAGGACCGAATTAAACTAAAGAGCATCTGCACAGCCAAAGAAACTATCAATAGAGTAAACAGACAACCCACAGAATGGGAGAAAATACTTGCAAACTATGCATTTGACAAAGGTCTAATATCAAGAATCTATAAGGAGCTTAAATATATAAGCAAAAAAAAAAAAACCATTAAAAACTGGGCAAAAGACATCAACAAACACTTTGCAAAAGAAGATATACATGTGGCCAACAATCATGAAAAATAGCTCAGCATCGGCCGGGCGCGGTGGCTCACACCTATAATCCCAGCACTTTGGGAGGCCTAGGCGGGCGGATCACGTGGTCAGGAGATCAAGACCATCTTGGCTAACATGGTGAAACCCTGTCTACTAAAAATACAAAAAATTAGCCAGGCACGCTGGCAGGCGCCTGTAATCCCAGCTACTCAGGAGGCTGAGGCAGGAGAATGGCGTGAACCCGGGAGGCGGAGCTTGCAGTGAGCCGAGATAGCGCCACTGCACTCCGGGGCCTGGGCGAAAGAGCGAGACTCCGTCTCAAAAAAAAAAAAAAAAAAAAAAATAGCTCAGCATCACTGATCATTAGAGAAATGCAAATCAAAACCACGAAGAGATACCATCTCATACCAGCGAGAGTCGCTATTACTAAAAAGTTAAAAAATAACAGATCCTGGTGAGGTTATAGAGAAAAGGGAACACATACACTGCTGGTGGGAGTGTAAATTAGTTCAGCCATTGTGGAAAGCAGTTTGGTAATTTCTCAAAGAACTTAAAGCCAAATTACCATTTGACCCAGCAGTCCCATTATTGGGTATATACCCAAAGAAATATAAATCATTCTGCCATAAAGACACATGCACCCTGTATATTCATTGCAGCACTATTCACAATAGCAAAGACATGGAATCAACCTAAGTGCCCATCAATGGTAGACTGGATGAAGAAAATGTGGTACAAGTGCATCATAAAATACTAAGCAAACATCAAAAAAGGAATGAGTTCATGCCCTTTGGAACAACATGGATGGCACTGGTGGCCATTATCCTAAACAAAATAACACAGGAACAGAAAACCAAATATTGAATGTCCTCTCTTATAAGTGGGAGCTAAATATTGAGTACATATGGACAAAAAGAAGGGAATAACAGACATCAGGGTCTACTGGAGGGTAGAGGGTGAAAGGAGGGTAAGGATTGAAAAACTACCTATCGGGTACAATGTTTCTTAACCTGGGCGATAAAATGATCTGTACACCAAATCCCTGTGACATGCAATTTACCCATGTAGCAAATCTGCACGTGTATCCTTGGACCTAAGATAAAAGTTAAATAAATAAATAAATAAATTGAAATATATATATATATGTATATATATATTTTTTAAGGAAGGCTGATGGGAAAGTGAAATCTAACTCCTTTCTTTTTCTCAGAGGTTTGCATTTTCTGGAGGAGATTTGGTGATATTAGTCTTCCCCTGAGCAGTCCAAAGGTCTGGCTTCCTAAAATATAGTGGAAAAAAAAGATAGGATGTAAAAAACTATTAAGCAGTTAATTTTATTCAGGCTTTATTCAACATTAGAGAAAATGTTCATTAATCAGAACCATCTCAAAGAAAGAGAAAACCTTTTCTACTGAGGTAAATAAACAAGGAGTCCCAAGGAAAGGTGGACAGAAAGTGAGTCTTCGTAAATATAAAGTGTGTGTGTGTGTGTGTGTGTGTGTGTGTGTGTGTGTGTGTGTCTCGTTATGTTGCCCAGGCTAGTCTCGAACTCTTGGGCTCAAGCAATCCTCCTGCCTTGGCCTCCCTAAGTGCTGGGACAGGCGTGAGCCACTGTGCCCTGCCTAGCAAGCAAATCTTATCTGAGTCATGAGAAACATATGGAAGGGCAAGATGGTGCTTTGTGATGTGCCCTTTTTTGGGACACAATAGGGTTCAGGGGGATCTTTTAACTGTAGCTGCTTTCAGGGAACACAGGGCTCAGATAAAGTTCAGTGTAGTCAAGGGAAAACTGTCAAGCAAATACAAGCATGCTGATATTTCCCACTTTTGCAGTTAAAGGCTTCTTTTCCTATCTTGTTCCCTGCTAGTTGTCAACTAATTCTTAATGAAGTGCGAAAACCCCGAGGTTCGATCTGCATAAAAATGTTTTATGTGAGGTTATGTTTGGACTATGTTATGACTTTTAAATTAAAAGGAGGCCCACTTAGTAATCTGTAAAAGCTAAGCTCTGACAGGTGACAGTTTGCCTGGACTATTACATGAAAATCTTCTGTCTTAAAAGACACATTTTTTCTTTAACATACCCAGGTCTGCTTTGATAGGACTCCTACGATTGTATGTCTCCTCTGGACCCTCTTCTAAGTAGAGGTTCTTCAGCCTCTAGATATTTGGGACTCTTTTTTTTTGATGGGGACTGTCCTGTGCACTGTAGCATGTTTAGCAACATCCCTGGCCTCTACCCTCTAAATGCCAGTAGCATTCCCGCTTCTGACATCTGGTCCCCATCCCACCCCTGCCCCGACCTTTGTACAATGAGAAATGTCTCCAATCATTGCCAAATGTCCTAAATGTCCTTGGGGGAGGAGGAACCATCCTCAATTGATTACCACTGATTTAAGAGTTTATGCATTAGATTCAGAAAATGCTAGGATTCGAGTAGGAATAGAGCATATAAGACATAGCTTGAGATAGAGTTTAATGAAATAATCAGGTTGCTAGCATATCAGCATGAAACACCATTGGAGGCCAAGGAAGTGGATGGAAAAGCCCAGCATAACTAGTACCAAGTGTTAAACATCCAAAGTAAGGTCAAGGGAAAGACTGGTGACTAATTAGGAGCAACTCGAGAGTTTCCAAATGAACAAACCTAAAGAATAAATGTGTTCAGGAGACTCAAAAGTACACTCAAAGGCTATGGGTTATAGCCACTGGATTCTAATTCTATTATTTTTATACTTAATCATTTCATATTGAGATATGAGTTTTTTGGCTTTATTCAATTTGTATTAATTTTGTACAATAAAATGGTATTTTATATTTTAAGGGGCACGTGTTTCACCATGCTGTCTTCTTTTTCATATTCCAAGTTAAGAGAACTAAATTACTTGGTGTAAGACCGGATTGTACAATCTTCTGTTACAAACCTCAAACGGCAGGTGAAATAATACTGAGAAAGTTCTTTGAGGGTCTAATAGGCAGTTTCATTCCTTTCATGGAGAAAGAAAACATGACAAGGTGTTATTGATAACAGCTTAATGCATGCTCCTCTCAGTGACATTTCTGTAACAGTATTTTTTGCTAGTTTTAAGTCTTTTGAGGGCAGGGACCATATCTTGTTTGCTCTTATATCTTTACCACAGTCCTTGGAACACAGTAGATTCTTAATAAATATTCTTTGAATAAGTGGATGAATACACACAAAGTGAGACTCAAAGAAGTTGGTGTTCCATCTAGAGTTTCATGCACAGACAGGCATATCGGGATGGGAAATGGTAGGACAGGGCAAGTAGTTACTATGGCATCCTTGAGAAGTGATCATTATAGAATAGACCTATATAGTAAGGTGGGCCCAACATTTCAACATGATCTGCAACATCCATCATTAGCCCTATGGAGGACATTTATTAACCAGGGCTGTCCATGTTTTTAATGCACTCTCACTTGTGAGCCACAGCGATCTTCCTCCTATCTCCAGCTGTATCAAAAGGACTCCATCCTCATTCTGCAACCGAAAACTCTGAGGCTTACATGCTACATATGTGCATAAATACAGCCACCCATAAATATAGTTTGTTTCCTTAGATCTTGCTTGCACTTGAATTTGCATGTCTTGTTTAAATATTCTTATGAAATGAAGATGTAGAAATATGCATTATAGACCTTCTCTTGTATTGCACAATATGGTTGAGTGCCACAAGATTTGTAGCTTGGGAATGTAATGCACAGATTTATAGAATCTCGGGGAGGTTTGCCAGAATAAAAGACATCCCTCTGCTTTTAAGTATTTATTTTAGAATAAATATAGATTTACTTATAATGAAACAGTAATAGTTTTCATTCTTTTTTTCACTCATCTTTTCTATAAATATGTAGCAATTGCATGCTTATTTTGAATGGAGAATTGTGTTAGGGACTCTGAAAGTCCTAAAAATGAGAAAGCCTGAGTCTCTTTTCTTTAAGAGTCTAATCCAGTTGGAGTGACTTGGAGGAATTAAAGTATACTCCCTTCCTATTAAAAAAAGAAAGATACAAAAGAGTGTAAGAGTTAAGCAAAAATGCAACCAGTGCAGCTTCATAAGCTCCTGACTACATTCTGTGATGACAGTTTGACTTTGAATATTCTTATATGGTGTAATGAAGTGAGAAGTTGAGTAGAGTAAATCCTCATTGCTCATCCTGTTGTTCATCATTTTGTTAATTCATTTTTGAGAATAAATGAATGCTAATGGGTGTTCCTTTAAATGTACTAGCTAAGTGCCATCATGCTCTTATTAATTATGGGTTTATTGAGGAAGGAAAATGGAAGAGAAGTGCTTTTGTCCTCTAAAGGGAAGATTTTAGCTGTGGTTACAGTTAACAAACACATACCATTGGAAACTCCCAGAAGATGGGGGGTGGGGTTGGAGACAGGAAGAGAGGACACACACACACACACACACACACACACACACACACACACACAGAGTTGGATTTTGAAAGAGAACTGACAGAGCCCTATGGGAGAAGAACTACTTCTGTGTAAGTGGTTAAAGTACTTGGTAGTGTGCACTCAACTAACACAAGTGATGTATTTTTTGAGCTAGGAGGATTGGTGGTGTTATTCTCCTTTTACAGAGAAATAAACTGAACTTTAGAGATAATTTTGACTTGTCCGATGTATAAAAGTGGTATGTGCAGAAGACAAACTTTAGAAATTGAATCTTCTGATTCCAGATTTTATGTGTTTCCCCTCATTCTATCAGGCTCTGCCCTACAGTTTAGAGGAAACAGAGACAGTGGAGAATAGGGGAAACATTGCTTATTGCTCTTTATTTTCGATCCCTCATAAATTCACCCATTCTTTCAGCATGTACTTACTGTGTGTCTAACACACACAGGGCCATACAGCAAACATACATCCCACTTTGAGAATGAAGGTGAGACAAGGGCCAAGAAAAGTCCCTGTTTTTAAAAGCCTGGAGGATTCTTCTAGAGCTGCCCTCTTGCTCTCTATCCTGCCATTCCAAATGACTCATTCTGCATTACATTAAGTGTAGCATCTTTCCAAAACTCTTGGTCTAAGCCTAGAGATTGTTCTAGCCCAAGATTCTAGCAAGATTTTTATCGCCTGCTGCACAGAAAAGCCAATACATGGAGACAGCAGTGTTGCAGCACAGAAAGAGTTTAATTATCACAGGGCAGCTGAGCAAGAAGAAGGGAGTTATTTCTCAAATGTACCTCCCTGAAAACTCAGAGGCTAGGGTTTTTAAGGATAATTTGGTGGGCAGGGGCTAGGAAATGGGTGCTGTGGTTTGGCTGGGAATGGTATCATAGGGATGTTGAAATTGTCTTTGTGCGCTGAGTCAGTTTCTGGGTAGAATTCACAGGACAAGTTGAGTCAGTTTCTTGGTATGGGTCACAGGTCCAAGTGGCATCATGTGGTCCACCAGGATGCAAAAGTCTGAAAAGTATCTCAAAGACCAGTCTTAGGTTTTATAATAGTGATGTTATTTAGAGGAGCAATTGGGGAAATTAACAAATCTTGACATTCGACTACATGACTCCTGAGCAGTAAGCAATTATAGAAAAGCAAGCTAGGGAAAAATGGCTGGTTATCACTTAACTATGTCTATGTCTTAGCAGAATTCAGGCCCTTCTCATAATTCTAACCTTGTGGTCTTTCATTAGCTTTACAAAGGCAGTTTTGGTCCCTGAACGAGGAGGCGGTTTGTTTCAGGAAGGGACTATTATCATCCTTGCTTTAAAGTTAAACCATAAACAGCATTCTTCCCATTCTTAGCTTGGCCTATGCCCAAGAATGAGCAAGGGCAGTTAGCTTGTGAGGTTAGAAGCAGAATGGAGTCAGTTATGTTAGATTTCTCTCACTGTTATTATTTTTGCAAAGGCAGTTTCAAGATGTCCTTGTTTCTTCTTTTGCACCTGCTCCAATGTGGTCATCAGGTCTTTCTCCATGTTTCTTTAATTTCTAATTCACACAGTGCAGGTCTTCATGGCTAAATGTTTTCATTTCTTAATAGACTCTTGAACAACTGCACCTAATCCAGTGTACTTGGCATGGAGTTCCTAGAGTCATATTTGATGAACATATTTTACAATCTTCCATTTCCTTAAGAATATAGTGTCTCCTTTTCCATATCCCACCTTATCCTAACTCTAACCAAGTGCGACAGGCTCTACATTGTCCAGCTGCCTCTCCTTCCGTTAAGCCTGTCCCCAATTATTCCCCAGCATAATTCCTCCACTTTCTGTGGACTAGACCTTAGTGTCTACTGTGTGCATGCATGTGTGCATGCACATGCGCACACACACACACACACTTTTCCTCTCTCTTGAAATTCTTCCTCAAAAATAAAAAAAAATATAATAATATCAATTGCAAAATAATTTTATAAGAATTAGATAATATAACAAGTAAAAATAAAGTGCTTTGCCTGGTTCAGAATAAGCTTTAAACAGGAAATAAATTATGAATTTGTATTTATCCACACCCTAAAACTCAGTCCACATTGACCGCTCTTTTGCTTTGGGCAACCTCCCCGATTTTATGAATTGAAGGAGTCCAGAATAAACCATTGTGGCATAAAAATTATTTTTAGCTGAAGGCATTTGAGTTCCTAAAATCCCTTATCTGTCTATAAGCAGAGCCTCCCCGAAGAACTCAATTGTCATAAATCCCCTCCCTGGGAGCAGCTGTAATCTCTTCTTGGAGAGGAGAAGTTGGCACCACACCCAAACAAACATTGTCACAAAATTATCACATCTCCCATCTATTCTCCCAAGGGCCCATTTATCTTTCCAAAAAGTCGTTTGTTTTTCCATAAGTTTCTCCCTGCTCCCCAAGAAGTCATTTGTTCTCCCAGAAACACCTGTTTGTCCCTTCCTATAACCTATTAACATAGTGTACAAGCCCCCAATTCTAGCCATCTCCTTCAGTCACATTTTTTTTGTGAACTCCTGCATACATTTGTAATTAAATGTTTTATTTTCTCTTGCTAATCTGTCTTCTGTCAGTTTAATTTGCAGGCTTCCAATCACTAAATTTAAGAGGGTAGAGAAAAGCTTTTACTCCCCAACAATATCATTTATATTATTTAGTACTTGTTACATTACGTAGGTTTGCTTGTTTATTTATGATGCTGTACCTTTTCTCAAATCGATTGTAAACTGCTTTAGATCAAGGACCATATTTTCATCTGTGTGTTTGTGTGTCTGTGTGTGGGGGTGCACATGTGTATACTTTATGGCGTCTATTATAGTGCTGTGGATACTATTGAATTAAATATCTGTTACAATGTAGCATATACAAGAAATGATATTTCTGGATGAATGAATAAAGGAATAAAGGAAATCATGGATATTGGTCATGTGATTATTCTTTAGGATGCAAAGCTACCTATGAGGGTCTCTTTATAACCATTTACTCTTTTCCAGCCCCTCATCTTGATTCCTTCTCCTTCAACACCCATACCCAGTCAATCATTATGTTTTGTCAGTTCCACTTAGCTCATCACTCTTGAATCTGTATTTCTATAAGTCCAGACCATCTGCTTTCTCTTGCAGGTTCATACTCTGCAGGGCAGCCTAGTTGGATGGTACTAAAGGACAGGGATGATTATGTCACTCTCTTGCTTAAAATCCTTTATTAGTTTCCCACTCCCCTTGGGATACAGTCCAAATTGCTCAACATGGGTGTCTTAGTTTGGTTTCTTCAGAGGGTACAGTATGAGACACAGATTTGGGTGGTGGTGGTTTATTTGGGAGGTGATCCCACAGAATAGCGTGAGGGAACCAGGAGTGTGAACATGAGAAAAAAAAAATCAATATAGGGTTTGCTATTGAGCTGGTCCTTATGGCAGATGACTGGGCTCAATTCCCTGGAGACCATCTGAGGAACCACACAGGATCCTTCTCAGAATTGTCCCCCAAGGATGAAATTGGGCACGTATCTGCTGACAGCATTTCTGTTGGTTGGAGAACTATACCTGGAGCTGGGCTATCTGCTTCCCCCAAACTTCCGGCTGCTTCTGTGTGTAGGTGAGCAGCTTTCTACAGCCTCAGAGAAAGCCTTGAGGCAGAACGCTTACTCTGCAGGGTGTACAACCCACACTTGATATTCCCAGACTGATATTCCCAGACTCCCCCAGATGTACCATGCTTTTGCTCATGTGTACATCTGATTCCTTTACCTGGAATTCTTTTCTCCTTGATGACTTCTGCTTTCCTTTAGATTTTAGGGCAGGTATTGCTTCCTTGAGGAAACCTTCCCTGCTTGGTGTCCCCATGCCCTGCCATGTGCCCATAGGAAGGAGTTAGTTTGCTCCTCTTTTGTGTTCCCATAACACACCCTTTTAAATTATACTTACTGCTCTGCATTGTCATTATGGTCTACTTGAAGAGTGAAAGTTACATGAGGCCAAGGGCTATGTCTTTTCCATCATTATATCCTACCATAGATCCTATCTATAGATCCTTATATAGTAGATGGAACACAATATATGCTCAATAAATATTTATGGAACAAAGAATAAATGAACTACGTAATAGTTGTGCCCTGAATATCTTCTAATGTATTAGTACTCTAGTTTCTAAGAAACACAAAGCCCAACCCAAATTGACTTAAGCCAAAAAGATAATTCAGTACTTAATTAATTAACTGAAAAATGCTGGGCAGATCTGGCTTTAGGGACAGCTTAATGAGGACTCAAACATTGGCCTTGGGATATGGCTCCTCCGTGGGAGGCGGGTAGGTAAAAGAGAGGCAGATGGGGTGAAGCAGTGATACCTTAGAGGGGGCACCTCTGAAGCAGAAATGTAGACAAGGATTCTTGTACAAGTAATTTATTGGGGAAATGTCTTCGGAAGGGGAATGAGGAAAACAGGATGGGGCAGTAGAAGCTAAACAAGGATGTGGTCTCAGCAGGAGTGTGATCCCACGGGGAGCTCTGGAGTGTGAATTAAACCGTGAAGTTGGTTCCACCTTAAGGCAAAGGGAATGGCTTTTTGGACCCCAGTGTTCACTTAGTCACTGTCTGTGGGCTGCCTCTGGGGTGTGTGTATGTGTGTGAACCTCTGTCTAGGTGGCACCTGTTTGACTGAGGGTAATTCTTTTCATACAGTGAGCTCAGAACTGTTAGCAGCTAGGGGATGGGACATGGGCCTGGTAAAGGGATCTAGGCAATTGTGCCCAGGAAAGGAGAGGTGAAGATCCAGGTCTTTTGGAATTATATGGACTGAGACTCAAGGAAGGTGAGTTAAAAAAAAAAAATCTGGGTGCTGGGATCCAAAGAAGAGGAGGTAGATGTTAAAAAAAAAAAAAAAAAAAGCAACCTATATACTGCATCCTGAAGGCAACGGTCTTTCTTGTTAGAGAAGGCACAGCCCTTCATACTTCTGGTCCCCAGGACTGTGTTGCCCCAAAAGGACATGTTTATAGGTTTAACCTGTGACATGCTGCATAACAAAAGACTTGAAATCTATTCTTTGGTTCTGGTATTCCCCTGTGTTGTCATTATACCTGGTTAACCACTCGAATGGCCGAATGTTTAATTAGAGTAGGTACGATAGAAAGAAAAGGGAGCACTATGGAAAGACAGTGAGTGGGGAGGGAGACAGGAGCATACTTTCTGAGAGAGAATTTTCCCACTTTCAGCATTTTTGCTTTTTGGGTGGGGAGAGATAGAGAAAAATATACTCCATAATTTTACAATCTTGGGCCTTGTCATTCTTCCTATCATCAGTTGGCAGGATCTGGGAAGAAATTTTTAAAAACCCACCATAACACATTCAGCTGGGAAGAAATGTGAAGTTTCTGTTTCATCCTGGAGCCATGAGAAGGTTATGACATCTGACCTACCTAAAACAGGAAGAAAGCGGCCACTCGGTCTTCTTTTCTGTCCTATAGCTCCCTTTAATTAGCTCCAGGTAGTGGACCCGAACATATATGGCAGATGGAACATTCACACGTCGTCTGAATCATTGTCCTTCACAGTCTCTTACTTCCTTCAAGCATTGCAGTAGGTTTAAACAACCACACATTTTAGTGGTTTCTCTATTTAGATTTCAATTTGAACATATGTTTGTTATAGTTTTTGAACTTGAGTTAATGTCTTGAGGGGACAACTATGAGAATATTCCTTAATTGGGGTTCTGTTTGAGTTCGATTATTAAGGATAATGAGTGTAACTATTTATTAGTCTAAGTAAGTCCCTCTGACATGGAAACATCTGTCATGTGAAAATACAAGGCTATAGACTTTGCTGGTGTACAGTTCCCCTCCAATGATGAAACTTAATCTTACCAAGCATATACCCATTAATCCTCACTTGATCTTCAACCTTATGGGATCTATTATTCTGATTCTGTTCCTTTGGCGGTATGCTCCTCCACCCTACCCCCAAGTTTTAATCGCTCTTTAAATAGTAATTTGGAACCCCTTTTCATGCTGTAGGTGCAATGTTTTTTTGAGACGGAGTTTCACTCTTGTCACACAGGCTGGAGTGCAGTGGCCCAATCTCAGCTCACTGCAACCTCCACCTCCCAGGTTCATGCGATTCTCCTGCCTTAGCCTTCCAAGTAGCTGGGATTACAGGCACCTGCCACCACACCTGGCTAATTTTTGTATTTTCAGTGGAGATGGAGTTTCACCATGTTGGCCACGCTAGTCTCGAACTCCTGACCTCAGATGATCTACCTGCCTCAGACTCCCAAAGTGCTGGGATTACAGGCGTGAGCCACTATGCCTGGCCTATAGGTGCAATTTTTGAGAGAGTCCTGGAATTAGGCCTAGTGGGTAGTAATATGAGCGTAAGTGAACAGTGTGTTAAATACAATCACTGCTGGTTACAGAGATTGCTGCTAGTGGCTGTACACATCTCTCTCATGTGCTGGAGCATGATATAATACTGAGTGTCTCAAAGTTCAGTTCTTGGCTCTCTTTATGGTTTTTGTCATATCAGTGTATTGCCTGCACAATTTTTTTTTTTTTTTTTTTTTTTTTAAATTAGAGACAGGGTCTTGCTATGTTGCTCAGGCTGGAGTGCTGTTCCTATTCATAGGTACAATCATAGATCATACTGCATCGCAATCTCCATCTCCTGGCCTCAAATAGTCCTCCTGACTCAACCTCCCAGGTAGCTGGGACTGTAGGTGCACACCACCATACCCAGCATGTGCACAATTTTTAATTTAAAACTTTTCCCTACATTAACCCACATTTTAAAAGTTTACATACTACTTTAGCCTCATCTTACGTAATAATATCCATGTATCTGAGATTTAGTGTGCCATTTGTTTACCTTATCTTGTTAGCTCTATGGTACACATTTCTCCATAAGTTAATATCTTTGAAGTCATGAGGAATCATACAATGGATGCCAGTTCCCATCCTTGGGCTTTCTATGGATCGGGCAGCAATCAGGACATAGTTGTCATTGCCTGACACCTTCTGGTGAGAAGAAGAAGGCAGCAGATAAAAACGAATGGATGTTAGCAGCACAGATGAAGATCCTGAAGCCACTGCGGGGAGCATGCTTGAAGAAATGCAGCTTCACCACCTTCACCAATGTTATTGATGGAGTGGATGATGACATCGTGTGGGAAACACAGGCATTGTTGACTTCGAGTTTAAAAGTGATTCCAAAAAGTTGAACACTTGATTGTAAAGAAACTTAAGAAATATTTAGCTAATTAAATTTTCATATATATTTCTTTTTATGTATGCCCAAGTGTGTTATATTTTAAAATTCTATGTCTAAAGAATCCTAAAGCTATCAGTAAGAATAAAATAGAAATGTTAAGTGATAAGAAAACTTTGGATCATAGCAATGTCCTGTTTTTCTTAGCACTGCAGGAAATACTGGTGTATATCACAATTGAAAGTGTCTTATACTTGAGGAAATATTGCATTATTTTCATTTTTATTTTTTAAATAGTTTTTTTTTCTTGTAGAGACGGGGTTTCACTGTGTTGCCCAGGCTGGTCACAAACTCCTGACCTCAAGTAATCCTTTGGCCACACCATTCTCAAGTGTTGGGATTCCAGGCATGAGCCCCTGTGCCTGGCCTTCCTTTTCTAACACACATTGAAATACTGACCAACCAATCCATTCATGTGCAATCTGAAAGCTTCTGAAGTACTTCCAGCAGTGCGTGTGTTGTGTTTGGGGTAATGTTAGTGATTAAGTGGAGTTTATTGTGAGTCGGAGCCTGGCCTTATTCACTTACTAGTAATGTGATTTGGGCATTCCTTACTTGGTAAGTGCCAGTGCTTTATTTTTTAAGCAGGTATCTGGAGTGGATACCCTCAGAAGCAGATCCTGAGACCAAAATTGGAATGTAAATAGTACCCATGATCCAAGGACACAGAGTGTCTTAGTCCATTCAAGCTGCTATATCAAAATATCGTAAACTTGGTGGCTCACAAACAATAGACAGTTGTTTTTCATATTTCCGGAGTCTGGGAAATCCAAGATCAAGGTGCTAACAGATTTGGTACCTGGTGAGGGCCCGATTCCTGGTTCATAAATGTGCCTTCTTGCTATGTCCTTACAGTGTGGAAGGGGGCAGTTAGCTCTCTGGGTTCTCTTTTATAAGGGTACTAATCCCATTCATGGAGGGTCTGCCCTCATGACTTAATCACTTCCCAAAGGCCCCACCTCCTAACACCATCACCTTGGGGGTTAGGATTTTGACATGTGAATATGGAGGGGACACAGACATTCAGATCATAGCACAAAGATAATGGAAAAGTGAGACAAGGAGAAAAAAAGGGAGCTGACACAGGTATGTTAATGAGCAGGTCATCACTCTGGGCCACTGGGGCTCCATCCCTTTGGGAACCTCTAACCCAGGCATGTGTAGAACATGCCTCAGCACTACCCCATCTAAAGGGTGATGAAGCTAGGGTATTTATCTGTCAAATACTGTTCTGTATTAATTGAGAACTGCTCCCAGGGATGTTAGCTCCATAGCATTTCTGGCCTGCCCCATGCACCTGCAGACAGACATATGCCTGAAGCCAGAAGAAATCCTGAGGCAGAGATGAGTTGGTGATTGCAGGAGGAAGCTATTGACATGAATGGGAATGGGGAGTGCTGTGAGAATGCAGGCAGGGTGTCAGCAACATTTCCTCCCGTGGGAATAACAACACTACCTCAAAGTGCTATTGTGAGTATTAAATGCAATCAGACATATAAACACTTGTATGTAGTAAATGTTTACAAATGTTGCTAACTTATCATTAGATATCATTCTCTCCTTGGACTCTTGACTGTCTCACCAATCTGTTGGGCTGGGATTCAATATTCTGTAGCAATCCCACATTATGTGAGATTTTGCTTTTGTGTGTTCTTAGGCACTTCGTTCTCTACCCCTTGGTTAGTGTGTCTTCACTCCAGTTGGCCAACTGGCAAAACTTTAAGAAGTATGTTCTCATCTCTGTATTTGAATGTGCTACTGCTGCCTCATCACTGTATGGCATTTAGATGACTCTCCTCTTTTTTGGTATTTGTTCACTTCGTTCCACTCCTGATTATGTATACTATGTATTCAAATTCTTTTAAAAGTAACTTTATATTTTCATCAGTTACATAAGAATTACATGCTCATATAGGGATCAAACACTTCTAATCCTACCACTGAAAGAATCACTGATAACTTTAATCTTTGATATTTTCTGGGAGTTTTAAAATAAATTTTGGTAGACATTCATCTGTCTCCTACCCATTACTGACACTGGCCTTTTCTCTTCTTAACTGAACCCAGATTTTTTGGAACACGGACATTTTCCCCCACAACCATGTATATTAGCTTTACGGTTTGTGCTCTGGTCTAAGTGTTTGTGTCCCTCAAAATTCATACACTGAAACCTAATTGCCAGTGTGATAGTGTTAGAAGATAGGGGCTTTGGGAGGTAATTAGGTTAGGAGGGTTTCACCCTCATGAATGGGATTAATACACTTAGAAGAGACCCCAGAGAGGCAGCTAGCTCCTTTTACCGTGTAGGAACACAGATAGAAGGAGCCATCCATGAACCAGAGAGGGAGCCCTCACCAGACATGAAATCTGTGGGCGCCTTGATTTTGGATTTCCCAGACTCTAGAACTGTAAGAAATAAATTTCTGTTATTTATAAGCCACCCAGTTTATGATATTTTTGTTACAGCATTCAGAATGGACTAAAATAGTTTAATAGGACTGACCTAGCCCACCTCCAGGAATGGGGTTTAAGTGACCCAAGTCTTTCAGAAAATCCCACCTCTTTGACAGAATTTTTGGTTAGTGGTGGGCATCAGCTCAGGCCTAAGCCAACCAATGCATGATATTTTTCTGCTTCAGAAGTAGTCATAACATCTGCAGTGGCCAAACAGATGTAAGGAAGGGCCTCTGTCCCTTCCCCTGATGAGCAGGGGAGAGACACTGTCCCCCTTCTGCTGGACCAGAAAGAGAAAGCCTATAGTTTTGATTGCTGCTGACAGCTTTCTGTCCTATAAATTTGCAAGGCCTGAGCTTTAGCTATTATTGTGTATGGGAGAGTGGTGAGAGGTCAAGAAAGAGTGGGTTGGGTCTGTTCCAAGACAGCCAACTCTAGAGACTCCTCAGGGATGGGATAATTCACATGTCTACCAAATGTTTTGTTCCATAACCAGAGAGATGCTCAGGATGTTCCCTTGGACTTCCTCATGAGTATCAGTGTCCATAGAGGTAGATAATACAAATGATCATTTTCTTATAGACTGGGAGAAGGTCAATAGTGAGCATCAACCCTTTTGGGAAGGCGTATGTTTCTAGCAAATACTCCTCTAAGGTGCCTTCCATTTTGTCTCTGCTGTAGTGAAGACGTATCATGATGTTTGCTCTCCTCAGGGGATGAGAAAGTGAAATAAGAGTCCTGATATTCCTTTCTTGTGAGAGATGCTTAGAGTTTGCTCCACAGTAGCACTGTGTTCTAAGCCAAGCCACAAGTCTGTGGGAGTAGTGATACTTAGTGGTCATGTTCAAATGTGGAAGAGGAGAAGAGATTGCTGGGATAAAGGATCCTAAACCCTCAAAGGGCTCTTTATTGCACCTATAAATTCTTGAGAGATTTCTGAGGAGGGGAAAACTAAGGAGCCTTTGATGCTAGATATCTGGTTCTGGTGAGCTGGGTTGTACTACACAGAGCTCCTAAGGGTCCGCCTGTCTAGGTTTGAATCCAGGCTCCATAAGTTCCTACCTTGGTAATCTCAGGCAAGTTACATAAACTCACTGAGCTTCAGTTTCCTCATCTATACAAGCCATACACTAATAGCACTTACCTCATAGGGTTGTGGTGGGCATTCAATGAGAAAATGATTATAAAACACTTAGCACAATACCTGGCACAAAGTAGCTGTTCAGTACATATTGATCACTATTACGGCTGCCTTGGTGGCTGCTGCTGCTGCTGTCATTGTTACTTGCCTAATAAGACTGAAGTGGATTGATACAGAACTCTTATACCAAGATCCAGACCCTCAACATGTGTTTGTGCTCTTATCCCTTCCAGTGAGGGAGCCTGAAGGAGGAGTAGAGGATATGAGGCTCTGCATGGAGAGCATGTGTCCTGGAGCAGAGCGAATTCACTCCACCTTAGGTCCTCCAGGGTTGGGGCATCTCCAGAGAGAGAAGCCTCCTCAAGTCTCTCCTACCTCACCAGCCCCACGGAAGATGCATTCTCCCATAGTCAAGCCTGGGAGGCTTTGCACACAGGAGCCGGGGCTTCAGCCTCTTTTTCTGTTTCTTTTTTTGAGATGGAGTCTTGCTCTGTTGCCCAGGCTGAAGTGCAGTGGCGCGACCTTGGCTCACTGCAACCTCTGCCTCTCAGGCTCAAATGATTCTCTTGCCTCAGCCTCCTGATTAGCTGGGACTACAGGAATGTGCCACCACACCCAGCTAATTTTTGTATTTTTAGTAGAGACGGGGTTTCACCATGTTGGCCAGGCTGGTCTCGAACTCCTGACCTCAAGTGATCTGCCTGCCTCAGCCTCCCAAAGTGCTGGGATTATATTTGTGAGCCACCACACCTGTCCCTCTTTGCTCAGTTTTCTGTAAGCCCAGCTCTGCTCCCTGGGACAACTTCCTGGCAGGGTCCTTGGCTGTAATCCTCTTCAGGTTTCTTCCTGGGTGATAGGCAAGAAGGAAGGAGCAAAAGGTTTTGAGGAAAGGAGAACTGCGCTATTCCTAGAGTCAATGATACCTCAGAACCTTTATTCTGCACACTTGGACGCTATTTCCAGTTTACAAAGTGTTTTCATCAGTATTTTCTGTAAATCCCAATGAATATTAAAAAGAAAAACAGTTCTTGCTTTGGTGGCACATATACTGAAATTGGAATGATATAGAGAAGATTAGCAACTTAAAGCAAAAGAGTTAGTTATAAAAGATAGGAAGCACATGTGATCCACCAGCATACAAATTTATGCATATAATTCATGCACATTCATGAATGCATTTCTAGTAACCTGAGAAATATTAGCAGTAGATTAATTTGGGTAGGGATGAGGCAAGCTATGAATTATTCTGAGGGTTGGGGCTAAAAACAGGAGAGGGGGGAAAGGAATATCTTCTAAGCTGTAGTTGCTTTACATATGTTCTCTAATATAATTTACAAGTATCAACTTATTAAAGAGGTATTATTCCCATTGTGTTGATGAGTAAACTGGGCCTAGCATCACAGACAATAAGCAGTAGAGCCCAGATTCAAATCTAGGACTGTTCTGTGTTTGAAGCCACATCCTATCCATTAGCACCATAATCTACTTTCCTTTAAAAATAGTAAAAAAACCTGCTGTGATATCAAGCTAAATGGAAGTTTTGTATCAGTAAGTTGCACTGAGATAACACAGTATGCCCACTCTCGTCATGCTCACTGAATGATAATTCTGCAGGTTCTGGCCCCTCCTATACCTATGTATGATCTTTTATTCCATTAGATCTCAGTGGAGGCAAGGCCAGACTCTGGACTCCAGCACATTCTGACCTCATGCCTGTGCTGTTTCTCACATCTGGAATGGCCCTCTTCCCACCAGCTAAACAACACATGTGTCTTTTCTCCTCCTTCCTATTATCTCTTTCCATCCCTGCCCTGAATTTTGGCAGTTAGGCCTCCATTTTCATCCCTAGCTCGGATGGGAGAAATCATTACTTGGGTTTTATTTCAAATGCCTAGCCCTGAGAAGAAACAAGATATTTAGGCAACTGCATGATAAGTAGATTGCGAAACTGAAAATAGACAAAGTTTCCCAGGCCTGGGTGAGGAGAAAAGCAGAAAAGAATCAGAGGAGTAAAGGTTTCATGTAGGTGTGTCCTTAAGAAGTCGGCCTTCACAAGGCTGAGTCCTGGGGATGAGGGTGTGAATGGAATCCTCATTAGTTTGGGGAATTAGGGATCAGAGATGGCCTATGCCCTAGACCATAAGGTAGAGCCTTCAGAAGTGGCAAATTTCCAGAGTTCTCTGTGCTTCCATTTGATATGGGGTAATACGATGATGTCCTGTGCCTAAGAGGGGCTCTGATGCAGTCCCTGAAGCTCTGAGAGCAGGAGTTAAGTAGAAGGAGTTCACCACAGAGCAACCTTGACAGGAGCCACTGGATTCAAGGGGTCTTGCAATTGGAGACATGAAGGACACAGCTTTGACCCATGGGGACTGATAGCTGAAGTCCAGATGGGAAGGAAATCATCAAGGCAGATGCCAATGTAGGCAGAGGAAGACAATGAGACCTGATGCATTATCTGTCCTCAGGACAACGAGATCCAATGCACCCCCATGCACCTCGACTACTATGGTAAATCCTGCTGCCCATCTTAATATAGACCTGCTGAGGTGGGGGCAGATTAAGATCCTGCCTCTCAAATGGGGTGCAAAATAAAAATCAACTTCTGAGTTTGTGAAGTGTTATTCAGAGATAATTGATGTCGTCTGTTGAGGTGAAGCGTGGCCACTCCAGGCCTCATAATGGTCCAGTTTCTCTTTTATTCCTTGTCAGGCTGAAAATCACCTTTCCAACATGAGAAATCTTCTGTTCATTAGTCTCACAAAGTTTTAGTCAACTTCATGCACACGGGCACAGGACGGTCACTTCTGCAAAGAAATGGTACACAGGAGACAAGGTCTGGAGGGAAGTGGTATTGCTGTGGGTAGCAGACACCATCTGGATACTTTGGAGGCAACTTCACTAGCTTTGCAAATAAGTCAAATTTTCATGAAGACATCACACCCAGCATCAGGGGAGAAAGTCATCAGTGGGCTGGGTAGAGACGCAGTTTGCTAGGATACATCGAGTAGAAAGATTGCTGGTAGACTTTACAAATCAGAAACATCTGCAAATCATCAAACAAATATAAATTAAAAGAACAGTTGCTACTTTATGATGATTGGAAAAGATAAGAATGATAATACTCAGTGTTGGTGAGGAACGCTGGTGGGAGTAGAAATTGTTCAAATCCTTCTGGGCAGTTTGGTACCATGGAGCAAAATGTAAAGTTTCCCTTTGAGTCAGCAATTCTAGAAATTTATGCAAAGGGAATGAGCAGACAAGCTAAGAATATGTATGTGCAAGGAAATTGATCCCAGCTTTGTTTATGGTAGTGAAAAACTGGATATCACCAACGTTAATAAAGAGTAAAGCGAGGCTGGGCATGGTTGCTCACGCCTGTAATCCCAGCACTTTGGGAGGCTGAGGCGGGCAGATCACTTGAGGTCAGGAGTTTGAGACCAGCCTGGCCAAATAGTGAAACCTCATCTCTACTAAAAATACAAAAATTTGCCAGGCATGGTGGCAGGCACCTGTAATCCCAGCTACTCAGAAGGCTGAGGCCGGAGAATTGCTTGAACCTGGGAGGTGGATGTTGCAGTGAGCCGAGGTCACGCCACAGCACTGCAGCCTGGGCAACAGATTAAGACTCCATCTCATGAAAAAAAAAAAAAAAAAAAAAAAGAAAAAGAGTAAAGTGAATAAATTAAGGACCATCAATATACCATTCAGCAGTCTGTATGCAAATGAATCCAGAGCTCTTATGTAGACATTGCAATGATTATGCAGATTTATATATATCAACATAATATGGTGTTTACATATATTGTCAAATGATGAAAGCAACTAAGAAATGGCATATTTGGTATTAATGAATTAAGAATATGCATAGACTAAAGTCTGGAGGTCATCACACAAAAATATTAAAGATAGGTGTTTTGGGAGCAATGGTGATATTAAAACAAAGCCAATTTTTACTTTCTCATTTTCACTTTAATGAATTATCTGAAAAATGTTTTTAGAGTGAACATGAATTATAGTTACATATTCAAGCACCTAGGGGTGTGGGATCAGGCACCCTCTAAGGCTCTTCCCTCCCTGCCAGTCTGAGCTTTCCCCTACCCCCAATGTACCTTCTCCTCCTCTGAACTCCTGGGGTGGTTAAAACCTGATATTTGTCCAAGATAGGAGTTCAACAAAAACTTTTCTATTAAAGATGCTGCTGGTGATGAATCTGCCTTGTGTTGCTTCTCCTACTGCTTCATGAATTCAGCTCAATTCTACATGATTTGAGGTCTAAAATCGGCATCACAATGAACACTTTTTTTGTTGTTTTTTTTTTTTTTTTGAGAAGGAGTCTTGCTGTGTCACTCAGGCTGGAGTGTAGCGTGTGATCTCGGCTGATTGTAACCTCTGCATCCCGGGTTCAAGAGTCTCCTGCCTTAGCCTCCTGAGTAGCTGGGACTACAGGTGCGTGCCGCCATGCCCAGCTAATTTTTTTTATTTTTAGTAGAGATGGGGTTTCACCATGCTGGCCAGGCTGGTCTTGAACTCCTGACCTCAGGTGATCTGCCCACCTTGGCCTCCCAAAGTGTTGGGATTACAGTCGTGAGCCACCGCGCCTGGGTACAATGAACACTTTTTGAGGTAGCACCACTAGCACACACTTCTGAGCACCCAGGAGGCAGTAAATAACCCTTTGTGGACTGATCTAGGTGTAGACATATTGTTGAGGGTAAAAGGCCATCACGAGTTTAAATGGCATTTCTGAAATGGAGTTTGAGACCTGGTGTGGTAATAGGGTAAATTCCAAGCACCAGGTGATGGTCAGAACTGCAGGGCATCAACAATAAAATAAAGGAGGAACATGCCAACAAGAGCTCTGTCCTGGGATCCTTCTTTCTTTGCCAGTAGTAAACAGCAAAGTTGCTTTTGCAGTGCATGGGAGGAACTGTTTGTAGGGAATATTGAACATCTGCCTGGTTATGCTTGTGGGGTACAAATCTTTTATGCTTGGGCAGGAGGGAGAGCAGGGCCTACATCACCCTTGAGCATAATTCAGGGGTAAGATCTGAAAAGCAATGGCCTGCTTCTTCCTGACTCTTGACAAGCAAACTGAGAGGAAAACTTTGGTTGCAAGTAAGTATATCGTGGAGAAAGAGAGTAAAAAGGAAAGAGGGAAACAAAAAAAATTGGAGAAAATAAACGAAGGAAGAAGGAAGGAAGGACAAAAGGAACAAAGGAATGAAAGAAAGCAAGAAGAGGCCAGGCATGGTGGCTCACGCCTGTAATCCCAGCACTTTAGGAGGCCAAGGTGGGTAGATCAGGAGGTCAGGAGTTCGAGACCAGCCTGGCCAGCATGGTGAAACTTCGTCTCTACTAAAAATACAAAAAATTAGCCTGGCATGGTGGTGTGCACCTGTAATCCCAGCTACTCGGGAGGCTGAGGCAGGAGAATCACTTGAACCCAGGAGGCAGAGGTTGTAGTGAACCGAGATCACACCATTGCACTCCAGCCTGGGTGATAGAGTGAGACTCTGTCTCCAAAACAAACAAACAAACAAACAAACAAAAGTAAGAAAAAAACTTGAAAAGAATCTAGGAACTTTTGCAGATACTACCTCTGAAAATAGTTGTAAAAGACTCAAAGGCCTTGGACTGTGTTGTCCTGACTATACTTGAGGGAGCTTTTGAGGCCCTTGAAATGTGAAAGATTAGAAGTTGGAAAGACTGGCGAAAGTCTAGCTCTGTTCTTAACCAGTTGGGTGACTTTGGACTAGACACACGCTCTCTGGGTCTCCCCTTGAAAACATGGGGATGAACTGGGAGTTTCCTTCCAGCTCCAACATTCCATGTCTTACAAATTATAAAAGCAGACATCTGAAAGAGGGATGGGGGCAGGATTTACTTGTGGTGGCCATGTCACAAACTCACCCACCTGTTCAGTTTTCCATTTGCCTTTGTTTCCACTCTGCTCAAAACAGTGATGGTTGGAAGATGTTCTCGTAGCTCCTCACAGAAC
Organism: Homo sapiens; assembly: GCF_000001405.40. NCBI lineage: Eukaryota > Metazoa > Chordata > Mammalia > Primates > Hominidae > Homo > Homo sapiens. The sequence continues at coordinate 104,786,818 of NC_000008.11, forward strand.
AATGGGTCCTGCCCCATAAAACAATGAGTACGATTCACTTTGTTCAGTTAAAACCTGGGCTGAGGAGTTGTCCTGAGAATTTCGGTCAAATTATAGAAATAATAAAAACCCAAGTCCTTTACACAGCGATGTTTAGGTTTCATAGATAATCAATTTCTTATCAAATTCCTGAGGATCCATAAGAAACCTGTGTGGGACTTAGCTCTTACCAGGCTACAAAACGCCTCCTGTGGCTGTTATCTCACAGGATAAGGGTAAAAGAATGGTTACGGAAAAGCTTCCTTTAGAAAATGTATTACTGGCTGGGCATGGTGGCTCATGCCTGTGACCCTAGCACTTTGAGAAGCCGAGGTGGGTGGATTACTTATTTGAGGCCAGGAGTTCGAGACCATCCTGGCCAACATGGTGAAACCCTGTCTCTACTAAAAATACAAAAATTAGCTGGGCATGGTGGCAGGCGCCTGTAATCCCAGCTACTCTGGAGGCTGAGGCAGGAGAATCACTTGAACCTGCGAGGTGGAGGTTGCAGTGAACTGAGATTGTGCCACTGCACTCCAGGCTGGGTGACGGAGCAAGACTCCAAATTAAGAAGAAAATATATTACCGAGGTGTATCATGCATACAGTAAAAGTTTACCTCGCTAATGTAGATTTTTCTCTACATTTGCAAATCTCCACCACAAATACAGCTTTTCAAAGCTATTTCTGTGTTTGCAGTACCTCCAAATAGCCATATTTAAAAATGCCAAAGAAACGTATTTTGGGGTGAAATATTCTGGTTTCCCTTACTGGTCTCTTGTGAACCTATACAGGGTCGCCAACACAGTTTCAGACAGAAAGTACACACAGCTTGGCTGCTACACGTACTGTAATATGTAACACATACTGTGCAATTTTACTCAAACGCATGGCAAGAGTTTCAAACCTCTTTAATCAGGTGCCACAGGAGTTAGGGAATAAATAGTGAATCCAGGGAAACAGACTGTCAAAAACAGATGAACCCGGCTCAGAGGGGAATTGCTGGAAATCTGTAAGGGGGTTACATTTTCCTCCAGAATACTTTGTAAAAGGGCATAATAACAGGAGGCATGTCACTTTGGAACAATGAACCAAACAAATGCCTAATTCATTTGACTTATAGGCCTTCCGAGAATTGCAAACAAATTACATGCTATTCAGCATACTGTCACTAGATGGGGATCTTGAGTCAATCATCGCTTGTTGGCTTTCTTTATCTCCTGTTTTCTTTATTTGAAGGTTTTACCAGGGTCTGAATACACATATAATACAAGTTTACAATTTTGGCATTTCACATTTTTGTTGAACTTTTTGGGGAAGGTAATTTGGAGTAAAATGGATTTAGTTTTAAATGTATTAGCTTAATTAATTTCTCATCTGGGGTCCCAGGGAGATGGAAATGGCCCGATGTGCAGGCGGCAATGCTATTAATCTGGTGTTTATTTCTGGCGGAAGTTACCAGTGTTTATTCACATTGCCCCCACAGGGTGTGGCTGGTTGTAGAGACTGTCATTATACCTTATAACTGATTAAAAGAGGAAATCCTTACTAGAAATTGCTCTGTGTTGGCCAAGAAGTGAACCCAACTGTTTTATTTTCAGAGAATAAGCAGTTTCAATCTCCTTATGTATAAAACTGTTGCAGCAAAAGCTAATGCTTTTTTTCCGTTTTTATTCCAAATAAAATTCCAAAGTGATTTTTTATATTGAATCACAATGAGACCATATAGAGAAATCTAGAAGTATGAGGTAAAGACCTTTGCCTTTCTCTTTTTTGTTGAGTCAGTCATGCCATTCAGGAATAAAATCTGCAGTTTGCTGAAAACAATGATGGAAGCGGCTTGTCATCTTGTCTAAGTTCTCAAGCAAACTCAGAAGCTGGACAGTTTTGCCTGTAACATGTGACCTTCTACCTAGGGATAGTGTGGGAGTTTAGCTTTGGCTGCTGTCTGGAATGAGTTTGAGTATTTCATAAGAAACACAAATGAAGCTGACATAATAAAACATGCAATTTGGGATTATTGCCAGTCTCTGTTCCGAAGATGCCCGGAACCACGTTTCTGAAAACTAAATTCCTGTTGCACGTAGAGACTCTCCAGATGGGTCCAGTTAGGGGGGGAAGGAAGGAAGAAAGAGAAGCAAAGGAAATTGTAAACGGCGAGGCATCGTGCTGGAGGAAATGACCTTGGCGACCCAGAGGGAACGCCCTGCAGTCCCCAGGTCCCTGCATTCAAACTGTGCGCACTTCTGAAGCTGGGTGACTTGGGAGTCTCAGGCAGAGGCTGCCTGTGCGTTCCCATTTTATGTTCTGCTTTTCAGTGTCTTCAAAGCTGCATGATAAAGAATACTATGGACTTCACTTCTTACTACCTGTCCTTGTCCCTGCCATAGTTCCTACCCACAGGGCAACCAGGGAGGCCCCTGCCCACAGGCCTGCACAGAGCCTGGGCTGTCACACTGTCGTTTGTCTTCTCTCCACCTGTCCAGCTGGAGCAGTAGGCTCCCGGGTCTAGCAGTGGCTAAAGCAGAGGCTTTGTCACTTGGGTTTAACTCTGAAGCAGTTTTCATAAGCATGGGGCATTCTCCAAGAAATGTCTCAAATTTCAGACTCTCAATGATCACTTTCTTCAAGAGCGGATATTTTCATTTGTTTGTCCGAAGCAAAAGTAAATCACATTCCTTAGAAAGGAAATTTCTAGTCTATTTCAAGAAAAAAAAGCCTAAAAGTACCTGTGACCCTACCACCTAGATAAAAACTATTACCACCTTTCTGCCTATCCTTTAATCAAAGGTCTGTGGCTGTGCACATATGTAAACAGTTTTCAGAAATAGTGGTTATTTTGTAATACTGTTTCGTGACTTTTATTTTTACAAAATACTACATCATATCTTTCTATATTATTAAGCTTTTATGTGTAACCTCGCATTTAATGGCTGCCTTGTATTCTATTATAAACAGTTCCTTGTTATTCAACAGCAGTCTCCCTGAATTTTATTGGTGATACAGACAAAACTGTAATTAATATTCAAGGGAGATTTTTACTGTATATTCTAATTTTGAAATATATGCAATTTGGAAATAGTTGACTATTGAGCTATTCCTTCCAGTAGGAGACTATATGCCTTTTACAGAAACATGAGGAACATAAATCAACATTTATAAAGAATGCAAAAGGCTTCTTCCCCCACCCCATGTTAAAACACCCTCCACATTTATTTACCTGAGTTGTTCATATAAATCTGGATACTCTTAAATGATACACCATTTTAATATGATGGAAAATAGTTACTTTAATCCTTAGAGTTGATTCATATGTGAGTAAATGGAAAAAAAGACACTGGGAATACAAGATGCATGAAAAATGTTTTAAAGTTTTTATTGGGCTTGAAATGATGAGAGTTTACATAATTAATCATAAGGGGATGTTTTTAGTCACAGAAATGATCATTAGTACTGCACTGGAGTTAAGTAATCTTTATAGCAATATAAAAATGCCATTTTACCCTTAGATCTTACCGAGATTTTGTTTCTCTTTTATGCTCTTTGGCATTACAACACTCAGTAATTGAATGCTACTTAATAATGAGGGTGGGTAATGAAACCATCTAAGCTAATGTGTCCGTGGAAATTTCTGAAGCACAAATCCCAAATATCACTACAGTACATTGTGTCAGCCCAAAGCTAGGAAAAAAAGAAATTAAGTTGCAATCATTGTGGTGCTTAAAAAATTACTCCTTACTTTAAAAATTGTTAGCCTTCGTTCTTCTTATTCTTTTTTTAATGATGTTTTAAGATGCAAATTCTGCGTTTTAACCTCAGCTTACATTTTTATCAGTTACTTTGGTGGGCTGTCATAAATTTTAGCTATCCTTCAGAAGTTATAAAAAAGTTTGTGGTGAGTTGTTTGATAAACAGATGGCTCATATTTGATCTATTTTGATGAAGAGGCAATAATAAAGACAATCACCAATTCCTATTTATGTGAGAATATAGGTCAGTGGCTAACCGTGCAGCCTCTGGACACAGAGGGACTCCATTTGTATCAGGGCACTGCCATGGCTTCACTCAGTGATCTTGGTAGGATCGTCTGCTATCCCCCACAGGGTGTGTCACCTGAAAAATGAGACAAAAACCTGAGAATTAAATGAGGAAATGCAAAGTGCTCACCACTGTACCTGACATAGAAAAGTTCAATAGTGTTAACTTTTATAAAAAGTTGGCTACCAGTTGAATTAAAAGATAGTGAAATTATACCTTATTTTGTCTCTAAAACAGAATGCCCGTGGGTGAGTGCAGTTGCAGAATTTTGAGTCTATTTGGTCAGAATTAATTGTGTCATCATCTAACTAGAAATCTCCCAAGAACACTGTTCAGAGACATTTACATTTATAGAAACAAAAGCATACAACGTTGGTCTAGATGTTTTAACTTTTCTCTCATCTGTTCAGTGAAGAGACCCTTCAATTGAGGTACACGTCTTCTTATCACAAATGCCTTCTCATTATGGCTTTTAGCAAATGTAACTTATTGAAAATAGGAAAAGCTGCCCTAAAGTATCATTTAATGAAGCACCTTTAAGTTTAAAAAAGCAAGAATATCTCTTGTGCCTTCGAAATGTAACTTAATTGGTTCCAAACATGAGCAGTTGGATTTTGATCTCAGTCTATAAAAAAAAATCTTTGATTTTGACTATAAGACTTGGTTTAAAATTTAACCGCAAGTAATTGATTTGTAAAATTTCAAAAGCAACTCTTTAATCTTTTAACTAAACTATTAATAAGTTAATAACCTTATTCCATTGAATTTGTTCTTTTATTATAGAAGTCCAGATCCTTGAGTAGGTCTTTGTTCATTCAAAAAGATGCTCTTATTTTTTGAAATGTCCATCTTGCTGTGTAAGAAAAATGAACGTGCAGTATCTTTTCTTAGTTGGAGGTTTTCACTGAAATTTACCTTTAAGTGAAAGTGGGGTGAAGGAGGTCAGGAGAGGGTGACCATGAAGAGTATCTTACCTCATAATCACATGGGCCTTGAATTCTAGCAACTGGTTAAGTAAGTAGACTCCAATTTTCTTTAATCATTCCTGATAATAGATACAACTGGGTAGATTATCAGCTTTGCTTTTGTTTATACATTTTGAAAACAATATTTTTTAAAATGATTATCACATGGGAAAAAAGCATAAATCATATCTACCCCATAATAAATAGACTTCTCTGTTCAATTTTTTATGAGAAATAGTTTGTGCAGACTTTTTCTGTCTATACAACACTTATCAAAATTTCCTTCCTTACTAAAATATTGACACCATCTGTCTTAAGCTTAGAAGGATTGTCTCTTTAATAAGTAAATTTTATGAAAGTTATGTCTATTTACTACCTCTCAATTGTTTGCAGATGGATGTATTTAAATGCTCTAATGATGGGAAAAAATGTAGATCGGTTTTCTATTTGAGATCAGGAAGTTCACTGATTTAAAAGTAAAAGCAAAAATAAAGTATCATTGATAATATATTTGAATTTATCAGAGATGGTGACTATGTAAGTCTGTGTAAGTGACAGAAAATAGCTACATTTGGTAATTCATGAGAACTGGCTCTTTTGTCAGCTTTTAAAAGTTGGGCGTAGGTAACTCTAGCCTCACAGCTCTGTTACAGAGATGGTTAACAAAGATTCCTAAGCACACTGATATGGTGTGGATGTGTGTCCCCACCCAAATCTCATATGGATTTATAATCCCTAATGTAATCCTTAATGTTGGAGGTGGGGCCTGGTAGGAGGTGATTGGTTTATGGGGGTGGACTTCTTATGAATGGTTAGGCAGCATCCCTCTTGGTACTGTCCTTGTGATAGTGAGCCCTCACAACATTTGGTTGTTTAAAAGTGTGTAGCATCTCCCTCCCTGCTCTTGCTCCTGGCTCCTGCCAGGTAAGACGCTGCTCCCACTTTGGCTTCTGCCATGATTGGAAGCTTCCTGAGACCTCCCCCAAAGCAGAAGCTGCTATGCTTCCTGTATAGCCTGTGAAACTGTAAGCCAAATTAAACCTCTTTTCTCAGAAATTACCCAGTCTCAGCTATTCTTTTATAGCAGCACAAGTATGGGCTGCTACACACATATTTTGATCTTCTAAACATTTTTCTTTACAAAGCTCAAATCTTTGGATCTCAGACCTTCTAAGAATTCATTATATGTTTAGGTAGGGGCAGTTGGGAGGATGAGATATATATTTCTTGTTTGTGGATGATCTGACTCCACTAGAATGTAAGGTATAGGACAGCCAATCTCTGTTTTATTCACTGCTGTATATTTAGTGCCTAGAAGTGAGTTAGGTACTTAGTAGGGCCTCAGTAAATATTTGTGGCATGGCATTGATTGAAAGAAAGAAGAAATGTGTTTAGAGAGGAAGGAGGTACAGAAATGGAGAAGCGATGCCAATTTTCAAACACAGCAGGCAAAGACATTTCAGTTTTTCCAGCCCTGAAAGCTTGCAGGTGGGTGTGACTGATGGTATCAAGTATGAACCATGCAGTGAGTCTCACTTTGTTCTAGTTCCCTTTGGGGACACCCCATGGCCCGGAGTATTTGGCTACTTCCTAGCTTCTTGACTTCTTAGTTCCAGTGGGGCTTCTTCCCTCCTCCAGTTGTCCTCTGCTTGTGTCAACATGAAGCCTGGGCTTTCTGGGTAATGAGCAGAACAGTGAGTGGTTGCGATTATGGGTGTGGCCTTCAAACACTTCTGGGCATCAGTCCAAGACCTGCCACCTTGATGTATCTGATTCTGAGCAAGGTACTTCGTCTAGCTCAGCCTCATTTTCCTCATCTTTACATTTGGACTGATAATAATTATGCCTATCTTGTTGGGTTGCTGAAGGCTTAATGAGAAGATGCCTGATATAAATACCAAATGATAAAGACACAGTGTAGGTGGCTCATTGCTTTCAATAAGTACAACTTCACAGAGGGGTCATGCACGTTCAGCACCTAGCATAGGACTGGCTCGTGAGAAGCCTTTGAGAGTATGTTACTTTCTATTTCCTTGTGCGTGTTTTCATTGTTCCTGGTGTAGAGAAATAGGAGTAGGGAGCAAAAGATACTGAAAGACTTAAAATCACAAAAGATACACAACAAAGAGGAGCTCTGTAGTTAGCAGCATCTCTAGGCTTGTCTTCCCCAAGCCACATAGCTATGTGACCATCAACATTGAAATGATCTACAAGAAATATACCTTCTGCAGCGTGGGCAGTACAATTCCGTAGTCATTTTAGTTTTGCTATTGCAGAAGACACTTCTTAACAGATTTTGTTTCTCCCTTTAAGTTGATTTTTTTTCTTTTTTTTTTTTTTGGAGACAGTCTTCCTCCGTCAGTCAGGCTGGAGTACGGTGGTACGATCTTGGCTCACTGCAACCTCTGTCTCCTGGGCTCAAGCAATTCTCCAGCCTTAGCCTCCTGAGTAGCTGGGATTACTGGCGCATGCCACCACACCTGGCTAAGTTTTGTATTTTTAGTAGAGATGGGGTTTCACCGCACTGGCAAAGTTGGTCTCGAACTCCTGACCTCAGGTGATCTGCCTGCCTCAGCCTCCCAAAGTGCTGGGATTACAGGCATGAGCCACTGTACCTGGCCTTAAATTGATTTTTAAAAGCCCAAACAGCATTTGCTATCATGGAATAGGCTTAGCGTTGGGAGGCTGGTGCTGCTCAGGCTCCTGATGTCTTCCATGTTATGAAAATGTGCTGTTGTGAGGGGAGTGTGGGGCTTCATTGGTGATCTGCTGGCACAAGAGGTCAGTTCCACCATGACAGTGGTCAATCAGTTAATCTTGTAAAAGAAGGTAAGACAATTTGACAGACTACTATCTTTGTTTGATGAAAAATAGATCTCTTTATTAAAATAGCTAAGCATAAACATAAGACAAAGCTACGAATTTTCCCGTAGAGAATATATAATTAGAACAAGTTAATAAAGAAAATAAGCACCTACTGACAACTGGACGCCTTTATCATTAACCTTCCACTGTTATGAATGTTAATTCTTTCTCTTGCTTTCTTTTGTAACTTGAAGATAGAAGCATTCAAGCATTTTATTTTCACACATCTTCCTGGACACCCTCTACCTTTCCCTAGGTTCTGACTCCTTGACTTTTGGAGTTAAAATATTCATATCTTTCTGGAAACCTGATGCTCTCTCCTGCCTGTTTGCCCTCCCACTTTTTCATGTACTGTTTTCTCAGTCAGGGAAACTCTTCCTTAAGGAAGAGATCCCCATCTGGCAAGACTAATTTCTTCAGGGGCCAGGCCTGGGGGTGGGATTTATCCTTTTTGGAGGGATGTATAATACAGTAGTTTTATTGAGATATAATCCACATGCCATACAATTCATCTGTTAAAAGTGTATACAATTCAATAGTTTTTATATATTCACAGAGTGTGCAAACATCATCACAATCAATTTATAACATTTTCATCATTCCCAAAAGAAATCCTATACCCATTAACCCATTAGCAGTCGCTCTCTCTCACTACCACCTCAGCCTCCTCAAGCTCTAGGCAATCACTAATATACTTTCTGTCTCTAAAAATTTGCCTATTCCAGTTGTATAAACATCATTTGCTTTTAAACTATACTGCACATAATTAGAAGCAAAGAAAGTTCATTAAATGCCAGATTTTAAAATGCATCCCTAAATATTTTTCCTTACCACAGAATTGAAGTCCACTGGAATAAGAGCTGCATTATGGTATAATGCAAATGCCAGGATATCGCAGATTAAATTTAACAAAGAACATTTTACCTGGTGTTTTAGTGAATCACTATCAGCAACCACATAGCAGGAAGCAAAGTTACTTGGCTCTCCTTGTATATTTCAGGGACACAGTTCTGTTCAATTTGGATAAAATTCTGGAAGAAAAAAAGCTCTCTCCTAGTATTATTGCAAATGACTTGCCTTTTCTTGTCAGAACTGAATGCTGACATAAATCTTTTTTTCATAAAATGAACTATTACAATTATTTTTTTTCCTGAATGATGGCTGAAACAGATGTATTTTAATCTATAGGGCATAGAAAATGAAATTTACATGTCACTAAGGTATTTCTGGTTAATAAATGTTTTAAATAGAAAGAAAGCACTAAGCTAAATAAATATGAAGTGATGCTGCTTTGCATAGGATTAAAAAAGCAAAATTGAAGGCCTTTCCACTAAAGAATTGACTCGTAAGGTGAAGGTATTTTATGCCATCAAATGTCAGTCTTTTGGAATATCATGAAAACACTGCCTTGATGCTCGTCTTAAAAAAAAAAATAAATTGCAACATGTAGTTCGGAACACTGCCTCTGCCTTTCTAACTTGGTAGATGTGCTTGGTATAGTAAGTGCTCATTCATTAATACCGTAACATTTTCTCTAGTTTTGTGTGCTAGTGAGCTAAAATAAATGAATTTCATTCATAGCCTGGTTCTAAAAATTTACACATTTTTAAAAATAAAATATCATAAAGCCTATCTAAGTTTTGTTTACTACTGACAGAAAATGTCCATCATAAAAAATGAGAAAATTAAAACTGCCCTTTCAAAATCTTGGCAGACCTTTTTTTTTTCCCCCCTTTTTGTAAAAAAAACTTTTCCTGGATGATTTGACTATTGTCAAACTAGATAAGGTAAAAATGGCTGCATTTTTCTAAATTGCTTGCATGGGAAACCTTCAAATAACTTTCACGGACAGGCAGGCTACACAGGCGGTGCCACTAATCCATCTCCCCCAACCTATTCAGCCTCCCACCTTCAATGAGATGAATCCCTGGTGGAATCAACCTTGGAAAAATAAAATGGCAGCTCAGATGACCTGAATTGCACCCCAAATACAACAATGCCTTGAAAGTTACTCTTTTCATTGTAGTCAATGGGCTGAAAATATAGGAATTCTATTCCAAATTCACCTCTTTACAGTTAAAAATTGTGGTAAAAATCATTTTTTAAAAAGTGTTTATAAGAAGAGCTCAGGTGTTATCCTAGCCTGATTAAAACTGGTTGTGAGTCCCTTCTCCCCCTTTTAAATTGCAACAAGACAAACTCTGATATGATGCACAGATTTTTTTTTTTAACAACAAACTGAGTTTTAGAATTATAATTTAGAGTGTATTGGATGTATCACCAAAAGACAGGGTGGTTGTGCAATTGTAAGGCGGTATTGTATTGTTGCTAGTCTGAGTAAATCTAAATCTTTTCAAGCTTTGGTTGAGTGGGTTAATTCCAGGACCTGAATTAGAAGTGCAATTTGAATTACATTGCAAATGCTGAACTTACTTCACTTTAGCAAAGTGCTTTCTTTTCCCCTTCTCAGACTTATGAATTCTAGCTATTTTGATGTTTTTCAAATGTCGAAATATTTCAGTTAGCTGTAAAAAACAGCAGTTCCAACTAGAAATGGAGGAAAAGATTTTTCCCCTTTGCTTCTTTGTTTATTAATTCTCCCTCCCCTCGCTTTTTTTGGTTTGCCTTTATTTTGTGAAATCTTCACATTTAGCACAGATTTAAGTCTTTAAAATTGTAGCAACCTCTGAGTCATTTCAGGCAGAATGGCATTAACCCTTCAATCTTAGGATACATGTTTTGTGAAAATACTGCCACAAACATTCAAAACAGCCCAGCCTTCAAGTTGAGAGGGAAACCAACAAACAGGTAAGAAATTAATATACCATACAAATTGAAATTTCTGATTTAGCGATTACCCAGGCATAAACAAACATTGATAAACACAGTTTCTCAGAAACCCTGTGAGACAAATCCATAGGATGGGCAAAGAACAAAGAGATCAAGTTGGTTTTTCAGAGGTGGAATTCCCATCCTCCTCACCCAGGTCTAACCACAGTTCTCTGGGTTGAGGATGGAAAAGTCCTGCAAAGAGCAAACAACAGGCATGGGGTGGAACCAGGGGGCTCTGCTGCTATGTGAGAGATAATGTCAGGGATTTCAACAGTCGCAAGAGGTGATAGACAAACTGCCTGGTAATTATTTAAGCACATACCAATTTATTTGCAGCATAAAGTCTAAGATCAGGCTGCTCAAGCATGACACTATAGTTCTCAGACTGTGGAGGTATTTATCTTGTAGTCTTCACAAAAGAAGTCTGATTGAATAATTGTTGTCAGAAGACAAGAAAACACAGGTTAATATGGGAATCCAAAAGCCTGACAAATTTTTAAAGAGAATCTGCTAAATGGGATACGAACACTGTCAAAAATTGCAGTAATCAAGGGCTTTCAGAAAAAGCACTGGGAGTGAGTGATCAATCTAGAACGTTGTATGCTGTGGTTGCTGTGTGCATGTGGGGCTTTGGCAATTCCTGCCTGCTCTTCCCTTCCAGTTTCAAAGCCTCCATCCATTAGAGCACGTCTCCTTCATGGGACTAGGGTAATGTGGTGTCTCATTTATTGAGTGCCAAAGAGGACACGAGAAGGCCCTGCGGGAAATGTAGGAGCCCTCTCTGTCTTCAGAGACGATTACTCCAAACAACACTACTGCACATTTTTCTGGCTTGCACATGTATTGCTCTGCTTTCATTCTTCTATGTTTTGCAGCATCACAATTTAATTAAGACCGATTTATCCAGTTCAACATTATGTAATTAATGAAACATTTTGTTGCCCCACTGAATATTTGCAGAAGAAATGCTAGGTACATTTGAGAATACATAGTGAAATATATTATTTTCAGCTTTCAGACATATTTAAACAAAACACTATGCTTTCCTTCAAAAGTGGAGGAGCAAATGGCCCTGAGAAAAACAATACTATCTGACTTTAGTTCCAGATCAAGAAAAAAAAACATGGAATTTTATTTTTAAAATCATTTGATGTATTTCCCCTCTAACTTTATATTTTATAAAATTTCTCCCTTTATGAATGGAATTTTTGTTCTTTGCATAATTTACATGTTATACATAATAGCAAACACAACCTCACAAATATTTATTGTACATTTTTACAAATCTGTAACTCGGAGTATCTCAATGAACCACTCAGTTAATCCAAGCAAGGTAGACATTTTTCAACTAATTAATTTTTAGAAATCCCCAAATTTTGGTCTCATTCATTAACCAAAATATTTTATAAATGTAGAATCCTGTATTGATGAAAAATACAGTGACATTTGTGTCTCTTCTGTTTTCTTTCTATTTTAAGAAAATAGCATTATGAGGATAGGAATAATGCAATATTCATGCAGTAACTTTTAAAACAAAGTCAGAGGTTGTAAAATTTAACATTCTCATAACAGCATTAACTTACCCACGTTGCACATACAGTACATTAAGGGATCACATTTTGCTGTCTTCCGTGTAATTGGAAATATTCTATATGTACAATTTGAGTGAGTTAATGTTTCTAGAAGAACCTTAACTTTTGCATTTCTTGACTTTTTTATGTTTGAATTTGTAGCCTTAACATTTGCATTAACATAGTTATTTGCATTTCATTACAGCTGAAGTTAGCCTATTCGAGGACTGAAGTTATAAGGGAGTGTTTACCTAAAGGTCTGTTTAAATGAAAATTCTCAACATTTTTAGTTTACATATTTATAGTTAGAAGACATATTAGTTTAGGACTTTGATGTTTTTTGTGCTAACTTAAGTCTAACCATTTTGGTGCATGGTAAGTGTCCAAGAATTGGGTAACAACTGAGTAGGTGAGTAAATGGACATTTGCTTCAAGAGTTTATTGGCAGCATAGAAACAGGAAAAACTGGCAATAGGATCGGTGGAATGTTTGGATTAAAAAACAGTTCTTGGCAGGGTGCAGTAATCCCAGCACTTTGGGAGGCCAAGGTGGGCAGATCATGAGGTCAGGGGATCGAGACCATCCTGGCTAACATGGTGAAACCCCGTCTCTACTAAAAATACAAAAAATTAGTCAGGCATGGTGGCATGCACCTGTAGTCCCAGCTACTTGGGAGGCTGAGGCAGGAGAATCGCTGGAACCTGGGAGGCAGAGGTTGCAGTGAGCCGAGATCGCGTCATTGCACTCCAGCCTGGTGACAGAGCGAGACTCCGTCTCAACAACAACAACAACAACAACAACAAGAAAAACAAACAAAAAAACTTCCAGGAAACTTGTCCCAGAAAGGGAAGAATGTCTCAGCTTTTTATTATATCTTGCTGTTGGCTTTTGCTGTTCTATATATTCTTAATGTGTTACTGTTTTCAATATTCCTAATTTGAAAGTAGGAATGATAATTCCCCAGTTCCGTACATAAAGGAAACAAGTTCCTGAGAGATTATGTAATTATTTCAAAGAAAAAGGGGAGGGAATGCTACACCCCCCAACATTTCTCAATTTAATTGTGCCTTGATTTTTGGAAACTTATATGAAGACATGAATATAAGCAAATACAAAATGTCAGAGATAAGAAAGGAAAATCACTATTTTACTTATGAAGAAAAAACTAACATGGAAACCCTTTCCTCAGACTAGAGACTCCATAACAGCAAGAGCTGTTCTGTTTTGTATCCGAGTTTCTAACCCAAACTAGAGACATATTAGCTCTTTCTAGATCACATAAATACAAAAAATAGACAATTATACTACTGTATGCACTTCCAATTGTATTAACCAAAAGTTATACTTTCAGGGGCACAACTACTTCTTAAAGTGGCATGAAACCAAATGCTCTGTTCTTTCTGATTATGCTGCTTTATATGTGAAAGGTTTTTAGGCATTTGTGAAAACTATATGCTAAAATATGTTTTTTAAATATATAAATATCTGTAATAAGGATTTTTTCTTAATAGTAAATTGGTTTGTTAAACCTCAAAAGGTGCAAAACCTTTAATAAAATAATTGAGCTTAATAAGCCCATGTTAGAGATAAATATGGATGCCATGCTGATTGAAGTTTTATGGGGAAAGTAGAGGAGAAATAAGGAAAGTATGGAAAGAATCCAAGAGAATAAAAAGTCCCTGCTTTCATAGGATTTACTATCTAGTGGGGAAGACAGTAAGAAAAGAAGTTCATAACTAAGATTATTTCATGCATTTCGATGCTATAAATGAAACAGGGTGGAAGGGAGCTGTTTTAAATTGGGTATGGGAAGGGTGTATTTTTGATCTGAAGATCAGGGAAGACCTCTTTGAGGAGTTGAAGTTTGGGGCACAACCCGAAAGGTGGAAGAAGCAGCCACATGACATCTGGAAGTTTCTAAGGAAGAAAGAAAGTGCCTGGGTCCTGAACCAGGAATTGGTGTGCTTGAGGACCATCAGGGTGGTCAGGATCACTGGAGTTCAGTGGGTGGGAGAGACAGGTTGGCAAAAGCCTGACCATGTGGACCTCCCTCAGCAGTGGAAAAGAGTTTGGGTTTTACCTTAAGGGCAATGAGAGCCACTGGAAATGAGAGACCTGACTACGGTCTATTCATTCATTCCTTCCTTCATTCATTTACTCATTCATTTATTCATGCACTCATTTGTTTTCAAAATAGACTTAATTTTTTTAGAGTAATTTTAGGTTCACATCAAAACAGAGTAGAAAGTACAGACAGTTCCCATATACCCCTACTCTCACACATGCACAGCCTTCCCCGTTAATACCTCCCACCACAGTGGTATATTTGTTACAATGAACCTACATTGACTCATCATTATCACCTAAGTTCCATAGATGATAGCATTACTGTTCCCTCCTTCAGTTATGCATTCTATGGCTCTGGACCAATATGTGACGTCACGCATCCACCATTATACTATAATACAGAGTATACTATACTATAATACAACTTGGTATTATAGTATAATACATACTATATATGAATACTACATATACTATAATGTGACTGTATTGTAGTATATGAGTAGTGCTCCACCTATTCATCCCTCTCTCTCCTGGAAACCACTGACCCTTTTACTATCGCCTTTTTTCGTGATATTTTCCAGAATGTCATATAGTTGAAATAACAGTATGTAGCCTTTTCAGATTGGCTCCTTTCACTTAGTAATATGCACTTAAATTTCCTCCATGTCTTTTTATGGCCTGACAGCTCATTTTATGTTAGTGCTGAATAATAATCCATTGTCTGCAAGTACCAAAGTAAAACTAGTTTTTTTTTAAATTCAACCAAATATTACCAGCTAGTGTATTTGTCACTGAAATTGTATAGTGATTAGCACAATAAGAAAATGGAACTCAGTCTAGTGGAGAAGATAGATGTTAAATAATGAAAAGGACAAATATAAAACTTCAAGCTGATGTGTACTCTGAAGGATTGGGACATCTTTTAATGGGTATGTATGAAGAAGGAGACTTGGGGTCCAGGAGGGGATTTTCTGACAAAATGAGGCTGACTTGGAGTGAGGTCTAAAGGATGAAGTAAGAAGAGAGGCAGAAAGGGAGAAAATAAGACAGAGGAAGCTTGGCCCATTTGAGGAGCAGAAGGTCAGCGTATCTGGAGCCCAGCTCTCAATGGGAGATGGGCGTGAGGAAGGCTAAGGGCAGGCATGGGCTGCCTGAGCAGGGTCCTATGGGCCAGGGGATGGTCACCCTTCTATCCCAGGAGCAGTGGAGTGGCCCAAGCAGAAGAGATGGGCATGCTAGAAGGAACAGAGAACAGTAGGTTGGCGGGCAGGGGGACAGCCAGTGAGAAGACTATTCCAGTGGCCCAAGAAGCAGTCACCAGTGGCTCGAACAAGGGTGGCAGTAGTGGAAATGGAGAAACACAAATGGATTGGATAGATACGGAGGTGAAATTGATAGGCCTTAGGGATGAGAACTAAGGGAACAGTTCTCTTAGGTTTCTAGCTAGAACAGGGTGGACTGAGACTGGGAGCACAAGGTAAGGACAGAGTTGGTTGTAAAATAAATTAGTCATGTTTTCCCAGATTAGGAAAAAAAATCATATCATTGAGCTTCTATCAGGTTTATGCAAGTGCTAGAAACTAAGAGGAGAAACCCTTGTTCAAATTGTAAAGAGGAAAACTACCTACTAGGGATGGTGCTTAACAGAAGACCTGTAAGTATGAAATTAAAAGAGGAATTTATTTTGTGCTTGGGAACTCAGTAGCTGAGCAAAAGTTAGACTCATGTAGATTTTAGGAAAGCCGAGATTTGTTTTGGGAATGAGCAAGATTTCTAAGAATAGTATTACATTTTACTATAACTCTTTAAGAGTACAGACTATAATATAAAAATAACATTTACAAAAAGCATAATATTTATCTAAAACTGTGTTATTTGCGTGCATTATTTCCTATAATACTAAAAAATGGTTATTAAATTCATACTGGTATCACCTTCAGTGATATTCTGGTAAACATCTAATACCTGCTTCTCTAGTGGGGAAGGGGAACCCTCTGTAGCTTTTGCCAATTTCCTGCAGTGTAAATTTTCTCATTGTGACAGATTTCAAGCTACCAGGTAATGTCATGGGACATGAAATTGGGAAGAGATGCACACAATTCTCTGCTGAGTTTCTGTGAGCCAGCACGCCACCAAGTCTCCCTTTTATTAATGAGGAACTTGGCCTTGGAAAGCTTAAGTAACTCACAGAAGTTCACACAGAGTAAATGGCAGAGTGAGAATTTAAACTCTGGCAGAGACCCTGAAGCCTGTGTGTTTAATTGCTGTGCTGTATACACCAATAGCTGAATCATAATGTTGAAAGGTTGATGTGAACCCAGAGCCCATTTAAGTTCAACTTCTTTTAACAGAGGAGGAAACTGAGTCCAAAAAGCTTTTATTGATTTGCTCAAGGTTAAAAGGCTATTAATTGACAAAGCTGGGGCTATAACCAAATTCTCTGGTCACTGCCCTACATAATGCTGTAGCTTCTTGGTTCTTTTTTTTTTTTTTTTTTTTTGCAAACCTCTTCTACAAAATATTTAAGTAGTTTATCTTTTAATAGAAAAAAGAATCGTGAGGCTCTTTTCCTTTCCACACATTTGGAGTGAAAATTTAATCACCTGGCAATGTAATTTAAGAGCATCAGCCCACTTGGATGTGGTTAATTGTATATAAAATTTCTAAGGAATAGTCATAAAAATAATAACAGCCATAGCAGTCATCATTTGCATAGAACATGTGAATACATTTTACACAAAGGTTATGTCTCTGAAGATATGAATGTGTTCTTATTAATAGGTACATTTACAATTACCTTACAATGTAACTATAAACCAACACTAGTTGCATGACTAGTTGCATAGCTAGTTGCATCACTAGAAATTGAGCCATATTTGGTGACTCCAAAAGCCTACATTTAAAAAGCTGGTCCTGTGCAATTCCAGCTCATTTTAGGGCCAAGTAAATTACACAATTTGCTTTAACCCCAAACTTAACAGTTTAAATGAGAAGGAGAGGATGAAAATAAATTATGGATTGCACATATGTATGACAACCAAAATTTCAGAACTTCTAGTGAAATTGCAAAATACAATTTGGCCAAGTTACCAGCCCTCTCTGGGGCATACAAAATAGTTACCCATTTCAAGAACTGTTGTTAGGAAAAACTAATTAGTGATAGTAATGCTAATTATTACAGTGATGCTTAGAAAAATTCTGAATTTTGAGAAGACTCTAATTCTTGTAGCAATTGAAAATTGAGAACTGTATTACTTATGAGAAGATATGTAGTATGAAAGACATTATTGACATATATTTTTGACCAAAAGTTAAAAAAAAAAAAGCAAATTGATGCTACATGTGGAGCAAGTATGCTGCATGAGGAAAACATTTTTATTTCCTTGATAATTAATGAGGAAAGACTTGCTATTTATTACTTGTTAAAGACTTTATTTCATCTTTCTCCTTAAATCATAGACTATTAAGGATGGAAATAAATACTTCTAAGAGTTATATGTAGAAATTATTAAAGAAAAGTGACTTTCCTTAAGGTGAATGGTTCATTACACTTCTTCGGTTTAAATCTGGCCTATCAGTGTTTCTATAGCACAGCAGGTAGATTTGTGGTCTTAGAAAGGAAATAAGAACTGAGTTATTATTCTCTGTTTTTAGAATGTGCTCAGCATATATTGGGCCTATGGAAATATGATATCCAAATTGACATTAGATTGAAGAAAAGTGTGAGATAAAAATGAAGATCTTAAGTATATGCTTGAATGTTGTAGATGTTCCCAGGGAGAGTCCTTGACCTTTTTTGGAGCTGGCATTTTAAGCCTGGGGACAAATAGTCGCATTTTTGACAGTCATGTGAAGATTGCATTGGGGACTGCAGATGTGAGACCCTTTCTCTGTCAGAACTTAGAATTAAACCCACATCAAAAGCATTGCGAGAAGTGGAAGATCAGTGGGACGTAGTAAAAAACTCTTAATGAGCAGATAGACTGCTCTATAGCCTCTTGATGTGTGTCAACTTAGTCTTGACACAGCCAATTCTCAATTCTCTATGCAAGATAGAATGAGGGTAACAAAGATAATTGAAACCCTCAGATAATCTGCAGGTTCCATTTTAACCCTCAGTTCTAACTGCTTGCTTTGCAAGCCTTCTAGGAGATCCAGGAAACAGTTGTATCTCCTCTCTGATGTTGACTCATCAGCATATCCTGAAAGTGTTGAGAAACTATGAAATAAATAGAAGAGGCTATATCATTCGGGGTCCTGGCAAGAAGCAGATGGTACACTGAGGAGGTGATTAAAAAGAGTTTAAGGAAGGGACCATTTTCAAAGGTATGGGGTGGGGGGGAGCGGGACAAAGGAAGTTAAATGGATGAGGAAACACCCTGGGGTTAGAAACCATCAGAAGCTTCTCCCACTTCTAGGGATGAAGGAGCAAGAGGAGACAGCTGTGAGTAGAACCAGGCAAGACCTGTCTATAGGATAGGAGCTGTGGTTTTTCCACAGGATGACAGCCACTGGCACCCACAGCTCCACAGAACAGCAGCCAGGCCAGGCAGCACCCAAACTCTCTCTCCTCTGATCTCACCCCAGAGGCTCCCAATGGTCAAACCCCTGCGGAAGCCAGAGAGAAGGGGAGGCCTGTTGATGTGGTCCACAGCTGCCAGGGTCCTGGGGCACAGAGCAGGGCAGAGAAGGGTAAAGAGAGGATCTGGAAGGACAGAGAATACCTAGCCCAGAAGGGATGAGGAGAATGGTGGGTCATCCAGTCATGCCCCTGCATTTGAACACAAGACCATATATTTTATTTATTTTTAATTATTTTATTGAGACAGGGTCTTGCTCTGTCTCCCAGGCTGGAGTGTGGAGACATGATCACAGCTCATTGCAACCTCTGTCTCCTGGGCTCAAGCAATCCTCCCACCTTAGCCTCTGGAGTAGCTGAGACTACAGGCACACGCCACCATGCCTAGCTAATTTTTGTATTCTTTGTACAGACAGGGTTTCACCATGTTGCCCAGGTTGGTCTCAAACTCCTGGGCTCAAGCAATCCGCCCACCTCAGCCTCGCAAAGTGTTGCCATTATGGGCATGAGCCACCACGCCCAGTCAAGAATGTATCTTTTAAAAGAGATACTTTTAGAAAGCCAATGAAATAGAAAGTGAAAGAAAACCATATGCTTTAGGAAATGGCCATTTGCATCACATAACAGGTAAATATTCTGTCCAAGAGAAGGGGAGAGAGATAATAAGGAGAAAGTGCTTCTTTAAATTTTGGTGACAGAAAACCTTAGCTGTGATTATATTACTTTTTATCAGCAAGGAGTCTTGAGGAGGACTTTGATGAAATCTGAAAGTAGGATTCACTCAGATTCTGAAGGCCAATTTGAAGATCAAGTTTCTATTGCCCTTTCTGAATTTCAAACCAATTCCGATTTTTCAGTGGTTCATGGGAGTAAGTTAGGGGTGAGGGGACTATTACCTGTATTATCAGTTACAAGAAGGATGTTAAAAATGACCTTTTCTTAGAGATCCAGTTATCGAGAGCCTGAGGCTGGCAGATCACTTGAAGCCAGGAGTTCAAGACCAGCCTGGCCAACATGGCAAACCTCCGCCTCTACTAAAAATACAAAAATTAGCTGGGCATGGTGGCACACGGCTGTAGTCCCAGCTACTCGGGAGGCTGAAGCATGAGAATCGCTTAAACTAGGGTGGCGGTGGTTGCAGTGAGTCGAGATTGCGCCACTGCACTCCAGCCTGGATGACAGAGCGAAGCTCTGTATCAAAAAAAGATCGAGTTATTGTCAGAAGTTGAATTATAATACCTCTGAATACTTATGGCTTAACTATTTTAATATGTTTATTTGCTTATGGGTTCAATAATATGGAAGATTCTGTGTTAATACAGCCTCTGTCTCTCTCTCTCTCTCTTTCAGTGGTAAAATGTTCTAGGGGATTTCTGGAGCTCACATAAACATGCAGGAGAACACGAATGCCTGTCTTCTTCCATCCTGTCCACTTTCCATGACAGGCTTAGCCCTGACCCATTCCCAAGCCCAATCTTACCAGCACTGGGAGCATTTTAACATCTTTGCCCTGATAGTTGTTGGAGGCTGGAATAAGTTTCACTGCTATTAGCTATGAATCCAAAGTTCTGGGATAGCCCTGAGTGCCCAGAGCTTACACTGATCCCAGCATGTGGTCTCACTTCAGGTGACAAATCAAGTTTAGGATCAGTGGGTTTTTGTAACTCTACCTGGAACTTCACCTTGCTTGACCAAGAAATTGGCACTTTCTCTAGCCATTGTCAGACCTTCTCTCCCTCCTGAACAGGGCCTACACCACGATCTCATCATCTTTCTTGATGCTCTCTGGTGCTCTGCCCACCATACTGGGGCTTATAACAAGGAACTTGCTCCTTTTGCTCCACCTCCCTGCCTCTGCTTTAAATTCTGCCATATTTTCCAGCTTATGAGACTGGGCTTCTGTCTTCAAGCTGAGAAGTGAGCTCTCAAAAGAGGTTTGATGTGAAAGAAGAGAATGAACAAAAATATAAAGTTGCTTCTCTAATCGTGAGGATTTCTGACATCTGGCCTCTTACATTTGCTCTTCACGTGCTGGGTGGGATGTTTTATACCATCATCTGCCTCCACAAAGCCTAGTGTGAGTTTGCTAACCCCTGCTGAACCTGCTGAAGTCAGGCCCGTATCAGGATTGGTGATGGTAGCTTCCCATCCCACCTGGTCCCATGGTCTTTCTCTTTTTTATCATCCCATGTTGCTCAAGTCCCCAGTTACCTGGATATGAACCCACCTAATGTGTGACAGATTGCCTCCGATGAATGAATTCCTCATTTTCTAGTATTTTTTATATATTCAGCAAGATATGAAATTTTATTTTTTCAAGTAAGAGACACTTTGGAGGGCTTGGACTATATTATTTGCTCTGAAAAATATCATGCAAGTTTAGGAAACTTCAAACTCCTCTTTGGTTATTTCATTAGGAAAATGTAATCTCATTTAACTGGCACTTTTACATCTACATTCATGCTTTTAAAACACTGAAGTGAGTGTTCTACAGCTATGTAAAGAAACACATTATCAAAGCATTAGGAAATGATTAAACTGACATTTTCTTAAGAAAACGAAAGGAGCAGGAAAAAGCCATTCTAAAAGGACTGAGTGCTACATATTCCAGATATTATCTTCAGTGCTTACTCAGGGATCTTTAAAGAAGCTTATTACCAAGTACCCTAAGAAGACAAGTGTGGATGTGTACAGATCAGAGGGATGCAAGTTAATGCACCTGCCAGATTTTACTATCGTACAAAGTATGTCAATCAGCACTCAGACCTTGCATTTAAAAATGTGTTCTTTCAGGTTTCCTCTGTACTGTATCATTCATAACTCAATCCTCCAAGTCAGTAACTATTCTGGATTGCCAGTGGTCACAGATGGCACACACGTACACTCACACAGCTTTTGAGGTTATTAACAGTCTTTTCTGGACACAATGAAATATTTTAAAACAATAAAAAGTTAGAATCTTGGCTCTTCCAGCTATTAAAAGCTTTATATCCAGCTAACATTTATGAAGCATTGTCTGTGTGCTGGGCACCCTTTTCATGCGGTCCCACCTGTGATCTCAGGAGATCAGCATGCAAAGCTCCAGGATCAAGATCCAAACTGTTGGATAATTATAGTCTTTTATAAAAAAGGAAAATCATACCTGATAAACCAACGTTATTAGAAAATTTCTGGCAAGGAGGCCAGCCCCAAAGGAAAGGAACATGATTAGGAAGTCAAAGATGGCAGGCAGTGGTTTTAAATGGTCTTGCTTCTTTTCTAAGACCCTTGCCAGGGATCAGGAAAACAATGCCAGACACTTGCTTTCTTAACATATATGGGAGGAGGAGTGATCGAAATTGGTAGATGTTCTTTCTGCATTGAAATAAACACTTTTCAATTTGACTCCTCAGTAGAAGTTGGCATAGTCAACTACACTCTCCTCTAAATGCCACATCTCCTTGGCTCCCCTACAACCCTCTCACTCCCCGACTATTCCTTTTCAAGGTCACTTACAGTCTCCTCTTCCTCATCCCTTTCCTTGAATGCCATTGTTCCTAGGGGGTTATGTCCATAGAGCCCCTGTCCTTCCTCACACTCTGGGAGGTGTTCTTTATCCCTTGGCCTCTAGGATGCTGAATGTCTTCCTGAGCTTCAGACCCGTACAGCTGACATTGGTATATCTTCTTTGCTTGGAAGCTCCATAAACACTTCAGACTCAATGCATTCAGAACTGAGCTCCCTGACTCCTCCTAGACAAGCTGCTTTGGGTATTCACTGTGTCAGGAAAAAGCACCACCATCTGTTCATATACCCTAGGCGCTTTGGGCATCATTTTGAACTTATTCTTCTTCCTCAATGTGTCCACTCTCTAAACCAATGTCAGCCACCGAATCCAGAGATAGGTTAATGTATAATACATTTTACATCCATCTTCTTACCATCCCCACTACTGTTACCTGTACCTTTGGTGTATTTTATAGAAAAACTCCATAAAGCAAATAGGCTAGATATTGAGAAATTGGTGAACTTAAGAAAGCACCAGACTGCGGATTTTGAGACCTAGATTCTTATTATTTATTTGTTTAGAGATGGGGTCTCACTATGTTGCTCAGGCTGGATTGGAAATCCTGAATTCAAGGAATCTTACTGCCTCAGCCTTTTGAGGAGCTGGGACTACAGGACTGCCTTATGGTCCCCTGGCAGAGACCTAGATTCTTGTCTTCATGATGCTAACACCTGGCCAGATGGACCAGACTTGTTTTTTATAGAGCAATGATGTTAGTTTTTTTGAGGACAGGAGCTGTCTTATCTCTTTTTCTGTAGAGCCTAACACTTGTAAATATTTGATTGGTGTTTCTTGAATTAAGGACCAGGATTGGAGATATTTCCTTCATGTGAAATTTTAATGAAGTCTAGACATATTCCTGTTTCTGGAAATAAAAACACTTTAGGTAACGGTGGGGCAAAAATAAAAAAGTGGATAAAGTGGAGTATTAAAGTAAACTAAGTGGTGTATTAGAGTAAATGTCTCTTAAGATCCTGTAAGGGGAAAACTATAACATAATAAAGGCAAAGCCAGAGGCTAAATCCTAGTTCTGTTCTCTCCCAGCTATATAGACTGTGTGCAGCACTAACTACGATTATGCTGCAATTCAAAGTGAAGGGGGCAGAGCGTATGTGCTTTAATATTATCTTATTTTGTTGGTGGTGGGTTAGTGTCTTTGGTCAGGTATCCCACAGGCAGAACCTGAGATGGGGACTCAAGTGCAAGTGATTTGTTAAGGAAGTGCTTCCAGGAAAAATTGGTAGGGAATGGAAGAAGCAGGATAGGGTGGGGAAGAAGTCAAGTAAATTTGGCAAAGTCCAGTGAAGGGTAGCATCGCCCTGATGCCACAGGGGGTCTGGAGTGTAGGTTTTGCTTCTAAGTGGTTGCAATCTCTTGGAAGATAGCTGGGATTTTCTCCTTTTGCACTAGTCAGTTGCTGCCTAAAGTTCATCCCAGTGTATGTAAGCCCTGTATTCTTCTGTGCTCGTGGACAAAACAGCTCCAGTAGCCCCAGAATGGTCCTATGAAGAGGAACGGCAGGGGTGGGCACTGTAAGCAAAAGTCACCGAAGCCATGATAGAGCCCATGGGAATGGGAAAAAGATGAGATGGAGTCCTGAGTGGAGGTACTGACAGGGTTTGCTCTCATTGGCCATCTTTAGATATTCTTGGCCTTTTCAGGATTGGTTATTTTGATTTAAATTGGAATTATCACCCATACTGAGTGAGGAAAACATGATTGTGATAGTTGGCAAATTCTGTTTTGAGAGTCCATGCTTCATCCTGTTCTGTGATGATGGATGGTTAGGGCTGGTTCCTTCTTCTCATTGGAATGGCTATTCTATCTTCAGCATAAGTGATCTGTGCCATTAGAAGAACAGAAGAGACAGCTGAAGCCTTGTTGATTTTTGAGGTAAAATATGGGTGTTTCAAGGGGAATTTGCAGATAATGTCCCACTTGCATTGCTTAAACCCCAAAGGAGTGCTCTTTTGGGCAAGAGAAGAGGGGAGATTGTTCTAGGGCACTAAGTAATATGCCCAAGGTGACACAGGGAGGTTCTTACGGCTTTTGCTCTGAGTAGAGAGACTTGGGATGGTACCTGTGGCCTCAGCCATAAAAGTGTTTCCTAATATTCTGCTCTGAAGGAAGCAATGATGAATATGAAATAGGAAATCAATGGGCTAAGAGCCTGGAGTCTTGGACCTATTCTGGATCCTCTCACCACTAGCTGTGTAATCTTGGCTTGGGTGCAGCCTCATGTTCCTTTTCTATAAAATGGGGATAATAATGCCTACCTGCCTACCTCACAGGGCTGATGTGAGGAACAAAGATTATATATATTACTGCTCTTTGAAGTTAAGTGCCATTTAGATTATTTCCCTGTGCCATCAAGGCCAAGTTACTCAATCTCCTCTGCTTTGCTTTCCTCAACCGTACAAAGAGCATATTAAAAGTACGCACCTCACAAGGTCATTTTAAGGTTAAATTTAGATGACCCATGTAAAATGGTTAGGACAGTCTAGCAAATATGAAGCAGCCTGTAGATACCTGCAATTAAAAAAAATGGTGACGTGACAACCTTAAAGCATTTAATTACAAGCACAATCACTTTACATTGTAACATCATTCTATTCTACTTGAATTTACATGATCTTCCTTTATAGTACTTCAGGACATAGTAAATACATTTATATTGTTGACTTCTCAGTCCTGCCTCTTCTCAGCCTCCATCTTTTCAAGTTCACACATCCTAATTCTACTAGGTTGTTTCTATACCATGGGTCCTATAATATTTGAATAATCTGTACTTGAATATGAAAAATAAATAAAATAAAACGATAACTATAAAATGCCCAGCAATATGCATGATGTTTAGACAGGGCTATCTCATGCTTGTTCAAGGGTAGTTTTATTACCAGTACTGTTTTTCGCAACACTTGGGAACAATGCTTCGTTCTCAGTACTAATTTTATGATGTCCATTTATCAAGGAATAGTTAGATTAAACTCAGGCCAAGAATCAGAAGATGTGAATATTATTCCCAGCTCTTCCATTGCTTCCTTGTGTGTCTTTGGGTGGGTTCCTTAACTTTGAAAGCCTGAGTTTCCTTGTCTCTAATCAGTACCTTACAGAGCTGTTGGGAGATTGAAATGAAATCCTATATGTAAAAAAACACTTGGCATGTGGCTGCCACATAGTAGATCCTGGGTGTAGTACAGCAGCATAGTAGATCCTCAAAAATTTTGATTTCTTTTCTTATTACTTTCTTTCATACTTCTCTCACCCCCAGGTTCCCAATCTATGGGATATAGATTTTAATTTTTTTTTTCTGCATCTCTGTGGGATTGTTATGAGGCACAGTTGAGATAACGCTAATGAAGGCACCCAAGTCATTGCATAGCTGTAAAATATTATTCCCAACAACAATGGCTAGTGATTTATTAATTGACTGGGTATCTGTTATATTACAGGCACTGTGCTCAGTGTTGAGGATACACCATTGACATACAGACATAGTCTCTACTTTCAATAAACTTTTAAAAAGAAAATACATGCATAAATAATCTTCCCTGATACCTGGTTTTAATTAAATACAGAATTAGAACTTTATTGATAATTAAACCTGTTACTTTTGTTTAACCCAGCATTTCTCATAATTATTTGATCATAGAACAGCCTCCCTTGTCATTGTTTTGTGTTGGAAAACCCACTGGGGTGCCGTGGAGCACCATTTGGGAGGCACCATTGAAACAAGCAGGATTTCTTTTCCCATGAGGCCTGGTACCTATTCCTTCAATGTGCTGTATTTCCATAAATCATATGTAGGTGGCTGCCTGCTTTGTCTGTGGTCAGGGCTGGCTCTAGATAGGGTACAACCCTGAAGTGAACATAACAGGAGTCAGTCCTGGGCAGAGAACACAAACTTTGTCAGAAAATAAATTACTGGAAACATTTTTATTAAAGAAGAGGAGTAGTTTTGAGGGTGTGATAGCTTCTGTTAAAGCTTATGCAGTTAATCATTCCTTGTTTGAGGTTTGGACTTTCTTCCCTTTGATGTAATTAGCCATTAGGCTTTCTGAAGTACATTTTTCACGTCAAGGAGACAATGGTTTCAAAGGAGAGATAGGGCGGGGCTGAAGGAAAGGCCAAGTTAATGCGCAAAGCAGCAAGAGACAGAAAAACATCAACAATTTTTGCACAAGCTGTTTGTTAATGGTGCCTTAGAACATGATGCTATTTTCACTTTAAATACAGTGGGGTGTTACTGCTTTGCTGCATTGTAAGCATTTTCTGGAGCTTCTGGTACCAAAGAGTACCTTCCATATAGTATGCTTTCAATAAACATTTACGGAATGAATACACAGTTTGGATAAATGATTCTTTCTTTGAATATCTTGACTGGGTAATTTGTTTGGATATAGTAAGTCCAGGTTTGATAGGAATGAGGCAACAGGTGGTTAACCAGTCCTGTGTCACTTAGTCAAACTGTCTATTTCAGAGGTTTTAAAATGTTTTAGCAGTTATGATTTTTTCAAATGACATATTGCTTTGAATCATAAACAAATAAGCATAATAGAGCTTCTCTAGTTGAACCAGATGAGGTTCTGTAGCATCTCCAAACACACACACTTCCCTCATCGCACATGTGTGTATATGGGTATGTGGAATGCAGTGTGTGTGGGTGTGTGTGTGCTTGTACCAATTAAAGGAACTTCAAAGCTGACAGTGATCTGAACCGTACCTTCGAAGAGCTTTCTGTAGTACAAGAGAAAAGGCATAAATACAGACAATTATAACCAAAGTTAGAATACAT
Source organism: Homo sapiens (assembly GCF_000001405.40). Lineage (NCBI taxonomy): Eukaryota > Metazoa > Chordata > Mammalia > Primates > Hominidae > Homo > Homo sapiens. The sequence continues at coordinate 104,814,094 of NC_000008.11, forward strand.
TCAAGTCTAAATAAAAGTATTTCTACCCCAGAGAATATACTTGCTTAGTTCTTTGTCTTAGGAAAATACAAAAAATTACAAAGTACACAGGTTAACATTAAAAACACCAGCTTTCTGCCACCCCAAACTAATTATTTCAAAATTTTTTTGTCATATTTGTATGATTTGTATAGGTCTTTTATTAAATGAAAAAACGACAACAAATGCTGTTTTCTTTGATGGTTCAATTCCCTTTCCCCCACCCAGTATCCGTGAATTTGGCATGTGTCTTTCCTGCCCTTGCTTAATGTTTCTCCACATATATATGTGTATCTACATATAATGCTTTCTCTGTTGTTCAAAATTTACATATGCAGTATCAAACTTTTTTTTTTTTTTGAGACAGAGTCTTGCTCTGTTGCCCAGGCTGGAGTGCAGTGGTGGGATCTCGGCTCACTGCAAGCTCTGCCTCCCAGGTTCACGCCATTCTCCTGCCTCAGCCTCCCTAGTAGCTGGGACTACAGGCGCTGCCAACCATGCCCAGCTAATTTTTTGTATTTTTAGTAGAGACGGGGTTTCATCATGTTAGCCAGGATGGTCTCGATCTCCTGACCTCGTGATCCGTCCGTCTCTGCCTCCCAAAGTGCTGGGATTACAGGTGTGAGCCACCGCGCCTGGCCCAAACTTTTAAGCTTTTTGTATTTTTTCCCATTCAGCATTGTAGTTTTAAGATAAATACATGTTTTAATAAACATAGCACTCATTTATTTTATTGCTGTTTTAGTACTCCATGTTGGGATGACATCTCTATTCCTTTCCCCAGTGATAGGTATTTAAGTTTTTTCCAATTTTTCATAATTGCAAACAATGCTGCAATAAACATCTTTGTATATATGTCCTTGGGTAAGTGTGTAAGAAAGTTTCAGTAAGAGTTCCTTCAAGAATAATAGAAATGAAGGGGTCACAGGGGATACACTTTCACCAGACCCTGCCAAATTGCTCTCCAAAGCAGCTCTGTCAATTTTTACTTCCAACATCAATGTATGAGAGTTCCTTTTATCCACATTCAGGCCAGTGTGTAGCATGTTTGAACTTTAAAAATTTTGCCAATCTGATGGGTATTTTTATTTGTCATTCCTTAATAATTAGTGAAATTGAATACTGCTTCAAAGATTTAGTGACCATTTGATTTTTTTCTGTGAATTTTTTTAAATCATTTTCTTTTTTTTAAGTCACTTTCTTTTTAGGTTAGACTGATTACTTCTCCATAATATATTTTGTAAATGTCTTCTTTCAGTAGGTTGTTACTTTTCCTTAAAACTTGTTTATAGTATTTTTGATATACATAAAGTTTTAACTTTTCTAGTGAATGAGATTTAATTTTTGTAGGTGTGAAATAGAGATGTAATTTAATTTTTTTTAAGAGGCAGAGTCTTGCTGCATTGCCCAGGCTGGCCTTGAACTCCTGGACTCAAGCAATCCTCCCATCTCCTCCTCCAGAGTAGCTGGGACTATAGGCATGTGTCACTATATCCTGTTTAATTAAATTTTTTTCCTATGAAAATCACTTTTGATCCTTCTTTAGATCCCATTCCATTTACTATTTTGATCAAATAGGGTAATGGAGCATGGGTTAAGAACACAAGTTCTGAAGCTAGAATGCTGTTCAAATCCCAGATCTATCACTCACAAATTTTGTTATCTTAGGTGGGTAATTTTCTGCCTCAGTTTTCTCATCTGCAAAATGGGGATGATAATGATATTATTCTTTACAGGTTGTTTGTCACATCCAAATTAGTTCATGTAAGTAAGCATTTAAAAGAGTTCTAAAATGTAGTACTATATGTGCTTGCTATTATAATAAATTCTTCATAAGAATAAATACAATAACCTGAGTTTTAAAATGCTATCTTTTATTTTAGGCATGATAAATGTATTTGTATGTGGCAAGGAGAATCTGGGGCATGATGGCGTACATATTCAGAAGACTGAAATGACATACAACTAACTCTTTTTTTAAATTATACTTTAACTTCTAAGGTACATGTGCACAATGTGCAGGTTTGTTACATAGGTATACCTGTGTGGAGACATACAACTAACTCTTAATTATATGTATTATATTTATGAGCCCCTCCAGGATAAGGACTACAAATAGCTCATTTTTCTTTTTATCCTTAGTACCTATCCAGTGCTTGGCACAAGTAAACTGTCACCAAGGATCTGATGAATGAATGAATGAATGAGTGAACGAATAATTTTCTTACATATATGTTTAGCCATACACTCTACCATTTCCTGTCAGTATTTTCTCAGAATGAAAATTGCCTTAATATCAGCACAAACAAACCCAGGAGGATCAATCAGCTGCAAAATTATTATGCAAAGTGTTCCTGAGCCAAATATAAATGACTTTTGGATTATCTGATGCTATGTATTTTCTGCATCACTACCCACTCCATCAGTGTGAATATTCAGATAGGTGTGCTAAGCAGTCCAGTGCCTGTTTCACCGTCAGGGAGTCCAAGGAAGTAAAACCATCCCAAATTATTTTAGAATGGCCTCCTCTTTGTTAATGCTACTCATTCTGTTTGTGCTCTTGAGTTGATTACAGTGTAAGGGCTTTTAAAATGGAATTTATTGCTATGAAATTTACTGATATCTTTATTTGGGAGGGCAAATGTTGTGTCATGGTTCATATATCAAATTACTGTTCAATCATCCATCTACCCATCTATCCATCTACTCTACAGATATTTAGGGTGATACTGCTGTGTGCATTGGGTAGTACTGTGGAATATGCAAAAGAGTGTGTTTGTTCCAAGAGCCTGTAGGAAATTATGATGCCCACTCCTTGAAAAAATGCACAGATTCTAGTGTAAGATTCACTATCTTTGAATTAAAGCTCTAATATCTACTGAGATACTTGAGGCAACTATTTAAACTTCCCGAGTACCCATGAGGAAATGCCTATAAATTATGTGGAGAAGAGTAAATACTTTCTAAACATTAGTTTTCATTCCTACAATCTTGGCTCTCAGTGGATACCTTAAATGCAAGTCATAATATCAATAACATGGGAAATATGACAAAGATATTTGTATTAGAAACTACAATTGGGGCAACCCAACCATGATTTAGTGTCTGCTTCTGCAAAGGCGTGGGCATGCCATTCATTACAGCTAATATTTATTGAGTAGTTACTATTGGGCAGGCTCTCATCTAAGTGCTTTTACATGTGTTAATTATTTTAATATTTCCAACAATGAAGTTAGGTGGGCATTATTACCTCAAATTTACAGATGGGGAAACTGAGCCAGGGAGTAGTTAACTATGTTGCCTCTGGTCACCTAATAGCAATTGGCAAAGTCAGAGTCACACTCTGAAGTCTGGCTGCAGAGCCCTGGCTCCAGCTGCCTGTCCTTGTTTAAGATGATGGGTTGAGGTTGGACCCACTGGGCAGCCCATGGGCCTGGAGTTTGTCTTTTGGTTCCAAGTTTGTTTCTAGGAAGCACAGGGGCCTATGACATGTAGAACATGGAAGCCAGCTTTAGGTTTCCCTCAAGTGAAAGAACTATGTCTTGTTCTACAAGAAAAAGTTTCCCTGACCTCTAGGTGATGAGAGTATAGCCCTCTGAATTTGAGTTCAAAGTAGATATTTATTTAATATATTCAACAAATATTTATCACGCACATACATTTGCCAGATGAGGTGTTGTCAGGACATAGTGGATAGCAAGATGAACATGGTCCCAGCCCTGAATGAGTATACTGAATTGTACATTATCACTGTATTCCACTTTATTCTCCTTTGGGGAATCAAAGGATTACTTGAAAGTATTCAATATCTAGTATCTATCATCAGGTTTATTGTTATTTGTCAGTCATTTGCATGTACTATAGGTCAACTCAAGTTCCCCTGAAACAATTTGATCCAAACTAATGAGGTATAGCAGAGACTGGATAGTGGTTCACCAAACCTTCCAAGCACATCCCTGAACTACATTTTTCAGCCTCTTTTGCACTTTAGGTGTGGCTGTGTGACTGAGTACTGGACAATGGGATACAGCCAAAAGAAAGGCACACCATTTAGAATCCTGTTTCAAAGCACCTCTCATGCGATCCTCCACCATCTCTCTTCCCTTGTCTGCTGGCTAGATGCTGACACCCAGAGTGACTTTGGAAAATTCTGTTAGTGTGGGACCTGAAAAACTGCAGAGAGCCCAACACCCACCTGCACTACTACTCCAGCCAATTGGGCTTCCTATAAATGACAGGTCAGATTCTGTTAAACTATTGAGGTTTTGAAATTGATTTGTGGTAGTTGCTTTCTCATACGGGCCAGGTTTGAGTATTTTTTCTTGTGCATTCTAATAACCTTTTAAAAGTTTGGTTATCTTTTGTTTCCTGATGCTGAATCAGCACCCTACTTTCTATTGATCTTTTTCTGTTGTGGCTTCTACCTATAGGCATGTCTAAGTCAGGGCCTTGTTACAGAGAAGATGAGCCGTTATTGAAGAAAGGGCTATGACACCAAATGCATACAGAAGTAACTAAAGAATATTTAAAGTGGGAGAGATTTGGAGAGAAATGTGAACTGCTGTCTGAGGCAGTTGTTTTTTTTTTTGTTTGTTTTGTTTTGTTTTGTTTTGTTTTTTAGCAGGAACAAATACCTCCAGATTTCTGTATTTATTTAACAAAGACAGAGTCTTATATGGTATCAGAGAGACGTGGAATCTAGAACCTGCTCCCTGATAATGAAAAAGGTATCTGCCAATCAAAACAAATACCTATGAGACATGTGTTCATCCTTCCCAAGGGTGTAGTAGCTCCATTATAATTGAAATGCCACCATTTTTTCAGTTTGTTGGGGTCCTGTGATTCAGCCATTTTCATTGTATTTCCTTTCTGTGTCAGTTTCTGTTCTACAATGATAAAATATTTGAAATTCTGGTATTGAATTTTATCCCCTCATGAGACTTCCCCATTTAGAGACATGGCTCTTTTAGCAGTGCCAAAATTTTAGCTTCTAAAATTCAGATGCGGAGATTTAAAACAGTGGCAATCTGGGCAGATGTCAGCGGGTGAGAGGTTTCCTCAGCCAGTTCTCATAAAGCACATATCCATACTGCACTGTGGCTTCTAATCCACAAATAAAGCACAGATCCTACCGTGATCATCAGCAGAGTCTCATGTCCAAAGGCAGATATTTTATTCAAATAATCTCACTCTGCTCTGTGGGAAATACTATTTTCATTATGTTTGCAAACATGTTAGCATTCATTAAAATGTGCATTGCCTTCAAGAAAGATTCATGGCGAGCTTTCCTGTTAGAGGACATATTTGGGAACAGCTTTTGTGAGGCAGAAGTTTATAACATTGGTGCTTTGAAGTGTGTAATATTTTACGTTGCTACTCTTATTAGAAAGTTTCGGAGTGCAGGCATCTGGGGTACTTTTCTTCCCTCCAGCCATCTGACAGGGCCAGGCCTTCCATGGGCTTTGAAGTTTGTCAGTTTATATTTTGATAGGTTTCTGTATGTGCCAGACCTGACAACTTGTCACAGAGGAAGGAGATTTAAACATGCGTTCCAGCTCAGGTGGAACCCAGAAAGGAGTTTTTGTTTTTCTCAGCTAGAGCCTGAGAATAAGCAGTCCTTGTGTGTCTTCTTCATGGAAAATGTGTTGCAGTTTGAAGGTACTTCATTAAGCAACTGTTTTAAAACTACAGTTATAAACTACAGAATTTGAGAATTGGAAGGACCTCAAGACCCTGTTTTCCTATGTAGGACTTCATTCCATATTGGTTTTGTATTGTTTCTTTCATTCCATGCATGGTGTCCCTATCTGTTGTAATACTTTTGAAGGCCTCCTTTTTAGTTCTTTATTGTTGCCCTTATGCCACTTTCTGTGGTCTGTTTGGGTTTTCTTCTTGTCTTAACAGCTTCATATCCTATTTTGTCTGTTGAGAACAGGCTTTGTCCTCTTCCTCCATTGTATATTTTTATTGCCTGTCTAGGTATTATTCTGTTATACTATGGATATGATACTAAGATCTTGAAAGTAAAAAGTGTTCATAAATTGAATATAATTTTTATATAGACTTACATTAAGTTTTCAAAGATGTTTAGTAGTCTGATGAAATACTATCTAGTTCCAGAGGTGCAGCTAGAGTGGAGTCTTTCCTTTCTAGATGAATGAGCACTTATACAGAGGCAGGGCTCTATAGAGTACACATAAAAATTTAAGTAAACTTTAATTTTTAAAATGAATGTAATCCCCACAGCCATGCATGCATTGCATGCACATTATACACACACACAGACACATACACACACAAATACACGTGCGCACACACACACACACACACACACACACATGCAAATACTTGTACTTCATAGTAATGGCCAGGGAAGAAAAGGACTAAAAGTGTAATTATATCAAAAGTGACTGGTGTTTAGGGGTACATTGGACCACCAGAGACCTTAAAAATTTGAGTCCAGGCAGACAATGGTTAACCATCACCCCACACCCCAGCAAAATATATATCCTTAAAAATTATGCTGTGACAATTATATCTTTCATTTTAATGGCAGTTTTGAACACTAAAATGAAACCCTGTATTGTCAAATTGTATCAGCCATGTTTGTGTTTATCATTATTTTAGAAAACAATCTGGTAACCAACCGATGAAAATCTCATCCTTAGAGTCCTCCCGAGGAAGAAGGTAGGTCCCTGGAAGAGAGAAATGTCCCAGGGATTCTCTATCAATACTTGCTATTTTTATTTTCATTCTGATATATCTTAAATTGACTGAAAAATTATTTGCCTCTATATTAGTGATTGATAAAAATGATTGTCACAATACTGAACAAGTTGTTTCACTTTTATTTCTTCATTAAAGGGATCGCAATTCTGGTTTAGTTGGGTTGCTGGGAGGATTAAGGGATATGATCCTTGTAAAGGTCAGAACACAATCTGATACATAATAGGGACTTCATGTTGGCGGTTCTTCCTGGCTCTATCTTTTGGCATCCACTTCGTGGCTGGTATTGTGTCGTCTCCACTCCTGTCCTTTTTGTTGCCTACTTGCATATATTTCCAGGAAATCTAGAGGTCATGCTGAACTTACAAGGATCTATGTTTCTCTTTAGAGCTTTGAGATACTCCCTGGCCATCTACGTTCCTCTTTAGAGCTTTGAGATGCTCCCTGGCCATCTAGGGTCTGCTTGTCACAAGCATGGCTCCTACAGCTTCCACAGTTGTTATATGTGAAACTTTGTTTATCCTGTCTAGGGATAGGATACACGGGGATTTATGTAGACATAATTCAGTCATTCTATTTTACGCTAGTATTTGAAGCCATCTATATCTTCTTCTAAACTGACAGAGAATCTGATAATCTAACCAAAGCATTCACTCTAACCCAAGTAAGGGTCAGTGACTTCTGGTGATCAGGGCTCTAGTATTTTGGCCTAATTTGAAGGAGGGCTCTAATTGTAATAGATACAATGGAATTATAGTTGGGAAAGATCTACGAAATGCTTGGGCTCATTTCCTCATTTATGTAGATGAAACTGAAGCCCAGAGAGGTTAGGTAAGTTTTCCAAGGTTACTTAATGAATTAAATTGAGATCTGAGACTGGAACTGGAGTATTCTTCTTTCTAATGTTTCCCTACCCTTCTGCGCTCCATTATATATGGAAATACATGCTTTCTTGCTGGTTGGATACATAAGGCTCCTCAACTCATAGAATGTGAACAACTAAATGCTTCTGTCCTCAAATTTCTTTGACCTTGGCCTTTCTTATTCAAATAGTCAAATACCTAAAAGCTCTATGCCAGCAGTGTTCTATTCATTGATAAATAATGATAAAATTACAGACATTCAGGGTTCATCAGATATATATTGAGTACATGTCAAACACTGTGCTTGTTGCTATGGATACAGCAATGGACAATATATATTTTCTGCCATGAATAAGCTCATAATCTAGTGGAGGAAATAGATTCATAAACAAATAATCGTAATTCAAATAGATATTACAACTTACAATGTAAACAGTGTCCATTTATAATAGTTTTTGAGTGTGATCGGGAAGCGTGTATGCATATAGTTTTTGAGTAGTACTTTCTTACATTGAGATGACTATATTAGGGTACTTATTAATTCTTTTCCCCCTCTCCCATCCCCTTACCATTTACCATAAATTGTATTAAAAGAAATAGTTAAACTTGTATCTCAACATTTAATCTACAGGATATTTAAGTGGGATATTCAGCAAAAAGAAGAAAGAGTGTTACCCACAAAAAAAATACATTTTTGTATCATTTTTTGGTGAGAGATTTTGCACATTTCAGTCATATGAAGGATAGCTGTATCATGTTAGGTGGAAGCATACATTTGCTATTAATTTAGAAGTTAAATAAGGTTAAAAGAAGTATGTGCGAGTGCCAAGTTAACAAGGGTTGGGCTTTAATGACTTTGTGCCGTGGCAAATGAGCTAAGCTGGAGCTGCATTTCCCAGAATTTGATTAACTGTATGGTTGCTGTTTGGGGAAATTGTGTGAGATATGGAAGGCAGACTGAAGCAGTAGCCTATATGCTCTGAAGATCAGAGAGGGTATTGGGTACCACCTCAGCTCATGCACATTGCCCCCGATCTGCAGACTCACTGTGAATGAACATGACACAGTTACTCAGCCCACAATCCTCTAGTACCCACTGATGAATATTCCCTTTCGATGTCACCTAGCTTTGGGCCAGGCTTAGGGGCACCTCCAAGGTGTAGGGTACCAACTTGTTTTGCAGATCACCTATGTCACTGAGGTTGCAGGGTGCAACCCACAGATGCAGGTTTTGGTTTTTCCTAACTATACCATTCTTCACTTAGAGCTTATCTTTTGATTTTTCTGCTTCACTGACCTACAGTGAGTTCAGGACCAGACTTCTTCACTAGTTCCCACAACTACATAAGGTCTAGTCTTTATTATGAATCCATTATTTCTTATCACTCACACTTGATTCTGTTTTCTTGAAGAAACACTTTCAGATCCAAAAGAAGACCTTCATAAACTATGCATCTGAGAGAGGCCTAATATTCAGAATCTATAGAGAAGTTAAACAATTCAACAAGTAAGAAACAACCCTATTAAAAAGTGGGCAAATGACGTGAACAGACACTTTTCAAAAGAAGACGTATCTGTGGTCAACAAGCATATGAAAAAATGCTTAACATCACTAATCATTAGAGAAATGCAGGTAAAAACCACAATGAAATACCATCTCACACCAGTCAGAATGGCTATTACTAAAAAGTCAAAAAGTAGGCCAGGCTCAGTGGCTCATGCCTGTAATCCCAGCACTTTGGGAGGATGAGATAGACAGATCACCTGAGGTCAGGAGTTCAAGACCAGCCTGGCCAACATGGTGAAACCCTGTCTTGACTAAAAATACAAAAATTAGCCAGGCGTGGTGGCGCACACCTGTAATCTCAGCTACTCAGGAGGCTGGGGCAGGCGAATCGCTTGAATCTGGGAGATGGAGGTTTCAGTGAGTTGAGATCATACCATTGTAATCCATCCTGGGTGACAGAGCAAGACTCTGTCTCAAAAAAAAGTCAAAAAGTAACAGATGTTAGTGAGGTTGAGGATAAAATGAAATGCTTATATACTGTTTGTGGGAACATGAATTAGGCCACTGTGGAAAGCAATTTGGAGATTCTCAAAGAACTTAAAACAAAACTGCCATTTAATCTAGCAATCCCATTACTAAGAATATATCTAAAGGAAAATAAATTGTTCTACCAAAAAGACATAGGCACTCATATTACATAGGCCTATTTACAATAGCAAAGACATGAAATCAACCTGGATGCTCATCAATGGTAGATTGGATAAAGAAAATGTGGTACATATACACCATGGAATATTATGCAGCCATAAAAGAACAAAATCATGTCCTTTGCAGCCATATGGATGCAGCTGGAGGCCATTAAGCTAAGTGAATTGATGCAGGAATAGAAAACCAAATACTGCATGTTCTCATTTAAAAGTGGGAGCTAAACATTCAGTATATATGGACATAAAGATGAGATCAATAGAGGGAGGTGAAACAAGATGGCTGAATAGAAGTCTCCAGTGATTGTTCCCCCAACAGGAACACCAAATTGAACAACTATCTGCACAAAAAAGCACCTTCATAGGAATGAAAAATCAGATGAATGCAGTCACAGTACCTGATTTTAACATCATATTAAGGAAACAATAGTTTCTGCCTGGTAGTCCAGGAAATTCTTCTGGATCTTACCCAAGACTACTAACATAGTGTCTCTGTGAATCTGCAGGAGCCAAAGTGTTACTGGGATTGGGGTGCCCCCTAAAGCAGATATTGTTGCAGTTACTAAAGTCATAGATCATAACACTCAAGTCCTGGAATACCTGGAAAACATTCCCAAGAAGGATGGGTTTCCTCAAATATCTGGAAAACCTTCCCAAGAAGGATGGGTATGAACAAGCCCAGACTGTGAAGACAATAAATACTTAACTCTTCCATGCCCAGACACAGACAAAGATCCACAGGCATCAAGACCATTAAGGAAAACATGACCATCAAGGAAAACATAACCCCACCAGGAGAACTAAATAAGGCACCAATGACCAATCCCAGAGAGACAGAGATATGTAACCTTTCAGAAAGATAATTCAGAATAGCCGTTTTGAGGAAGCTCAACAAAATCCAATCCATCACCACCAGTACATGTTTCCCTTCCCCTCTCTGGAATGTATTTTGGTTGAAACAAGTGACTGTAATTTATTTAGAATATGAAGACAACCTTTTATGATTTTTTTCACCCCTCTTTGGCTTACTGGTATTAATTGTATTCCTTTCAGTCTGAACATGATTCTCTTTAACAGAGCAGAAATGAGTACATTTAGAATTGGGGAATTTACTTTTCTTTGTAGACCAAGAATTTCTTTGAATAACTTTGTCCTATTATGTTATAATTTGGTACAATATTTGCTCAATGTTTATCCAGAAATTCCATGAGCTGTATGAAAGATATGAATACTTCCACTGATTTTTTTTCTTTTCTTCACAGCAAATATATTCTTCTTTTAAATCAAATACATCTGTAGGATTTATGATTGATCCTATTCTGGTATCATAACTTTTATGTCTCCTGAGCAATGTAATAAAAATATTTTAAAGGAAACGGGAAGATATTTTGAATACAGAAATGCCTAGCATTACCCCAAAACTTTTGGAGAAAATAACTATTATAGAACTATAAATAAATATAAATACATCTTATTAATTATCTTTAAAAATTAATATCCTATGAATGAGATAACACTTGAAAGTGTCTATATTTTCCCTTCTGCATGTCTAAACTCATCTATACTAGGCATTCTGGGCAGGGTGTGCTGTAGTGTTTCTCAAACTTGCCTGTGCCAAGGCTAAACATTACAGATCCTCAGGAACTTTCTTTAGAAATTCTGGTTCTTTAGGTTTAGGATGTGTTTATAATGCTGAATGTTTAATAAATACTCCAGAAGATTACATTAGGGGACTTCAAAAATTCATGGAGAATTAAAAGATAAAAATGAAAAACATAAACCTTATTTCTCAACATAAACTCCATCAAGGTCAAGACACTTTTGTAAGCAATGAGATCTGCCATTTAGTCCATCCCTAAAGAACTGAGGGTGCTTGGAATTTAACTGTGTCAATGCAGTCATTTGTATATGATCAACTAAAGAAAAATGGGTGCACTTTACAGACTTTTTAAGATTAGAGAACAAAAAGAAGTCAGAAAAAGCCCAATCAAGACTGTAAGGTGGATGCCTAATGGCTCTCCATTGAAACTCTTGCAAAATTGCCCTTTTTTGATGAAAGGAATGAGTAGAAATGTTGTGGTGGTGGATAAGGACTTTCTGGTGAAGCTTTTCCAGATTTTTTTTTTTTTTTTTTTTTTTTTTTTTTGCTAAAGCTTTGGCTAACTCTCAAAATGCTTTTATAGTAAGTAGATGTTATCATTATTTGGTCCTCCAGAAAGTCAACGAGCAAAATGCCCTGAGTATCCCAGAAAACTGGTTGCCATCACGTTTGCTCTTGATTGGTCTGCTTTTGCTTTGACTGGACCACTTCCATCTCTTGGTAGCCATTGCTTTGACTGTACTTTGTCTTCAGGATTGTACTGGTAAAGCCATATTTCATCTCTTCTTACAATTCTTTGAAGAAAAGCTTCAGGATTTTGATCCCACTTGTTTAAAATTTTCATTGACAGCTTGGTTCTTGTCAGTAGCTGATGTGGGTGCTATCATTTTGTGTAAAAATCCGAAGCACATCTTAAATACAAAGAACCAGAATTTCCAAAGAGGGGTCCTGGGCATCTGTAATCAAGTGGAAATTTGGCTGAACTTCAATTTTTCAGTCAGAATTGTGTAAGCTAAACCAGTGGAGATGTCTATGGTGTTGGCCGTTGTTTGTGCTGTCCATTATCAGTCCTTTTCAATTAGGGCTTGAATGAGAGAAATTCTTTCCTTATGAATTGATATGGAAGGTCTGCTGCTACAGGCTTCATCTTCAACATCATCTTGTCCCTTATTAAAATAAGTTAACCATTTGTGAACTGCTGACTTCTTTGGGACAGTGTTCCCGTAAACTTCTCATAAAGCATTTTACCCTTCTTTCACCCCAGATCTACCCTAAATTTGTTCTTGCTTCAATTTTAGAAGAATTCATTTTACTCTGACATGGCTTTTTTTTTTTTTTTCAAACTAATGTCTTTTTCTTCTAAGTGCCTCAAACTTGATCTTATTTAGGCCTGTTATAAATTAGTATGAGTTTATTTTGGTGCAAAAACATTTTGAAGTCATGCATAGTTTTTTCATTATATGCATTTTCCATGAACTTTTTGATAACAAGTGAGTTTGGGAAACAATGGAAAGAACCCATACTTTAAAATCACCTTACCCATTTGTGAATTCAGAGTCTAAGGCTTACCAGCTGTATGAACTCAGACACATTATTTAACCTCTTTGAAAATCAGTTTCCTCATCTCTAAAGGGGAAATGTTAACACCTTCCAAAATAATTTTTATGTGGATTCAGTTATGTAAATGTAGCTATTCCAAGTGCTATTTTTATTGAAACGTGGAAACTTGTTTCAAATCTTTTAACCTTTACTCTTGCTGGAAGAGAAAATATAAAAATTCCGAAACAATACAAACATAAATATTTAATTATTCTTTCTCTTTCTTAAAAAAATATTTTTTTACAGACAGGGACTTGCTATGGTACCCAGGCTGGACTTGAACTCTGGGGCTCAAGCATTCCTCCCACCTCAGCCTCCCAAGTAGCTGGGCCTACAAGTCTTCTTGGCTTCAAGTCTTCTTCCTCAGCGTAAGCAATAGTAAAATCATTTATTAATCTATAAAGTATTTGAGGCACGAAAGCTCAAATTTAGAAGATTGGTAAGCCAATTGGTACTGATATCTTTCAGATACTCAAAGACAACACCACAATTGTTATATTTCCATTTTATTAAATGCAAGAAAATTTTTGTAGATTTCTTCTACACACTTTAAAAAAAGTCTATAGGAAGTTCTGTTGTTTATCATTTCTTAAAATAGTGTTTCTCAAAGTGTATTCCCTGGCCCACCAGCATCAGGATCATCTGGGAACTTTCTAGAAAAGCAAAGTCTCAGTCCCTATCCAAGACTCCTAAACTAGAAACTCTTGAGTTGAAGGCACTGCAATTTGTATTTTAACAAGGCCTCGGAATAATTCTGATACAAATTAAAGTTGGGGTATTGCTGGTCTAAATCCAACTTCTGATCCCCTCCCTTCTTCCAATCTGTTCATTTTGTGGTTTTCCCATGTAAATAAATGGAAACACTATCTTCCCAGATCTTCATGTCAAAAATGTTGGAGTTATTCTTGATTTCTCATTTGCTGTCTACTCTACATCCAATGTATCAGAAAGTCCTGCCATTTCTACCTTTAATCACCAAAATATCACCATCAAATTCCCTCTACTATTAATATTAATATCCTCATCCAAGTCTCTATTTTCTCTGGCATGGATTATTTAACAACATTTTAATGAACCTCTCTGCTTCCACTTTTGCATTCCTGCAGACTGTTCCAACACTGAAGCCTTCCTTCCTGATGCTTTTAAAACAGAAGCCTGATTATGTTACTTGTACTGAATTGTGTATTGGCATATGAGCTTCTTTCCATTCTTTTTATATTCCCTTTTGTAACCTAGAAGTTGGAAGCCTAAAAACTGTATTACCCTGAATTCCTGCCACTAGAATTCTAGGCTAAATGACAACAATTGGTGAAAATTACTAGAGATTTGGAAAGTGGAATTGAAGAAACAGAAGAATATGGTACAGAGGCCGTATTATTGTTCCTCTAGCAAAACAGAGGTTGTATAAATTTTGGTAGAAATGAGATATTGTAGGAGCCTCAGGAATTTTTCTCTGAATTACCTGCCTCTATGTTGGTAGTTTTGCAGCTGTTTCTGAAATTTCTATCACTTTCTGACTCTCTGAAATTTAGTAATCAACATAAGAACTAGTTGGCAGTAGCTTTCTCTGATCTTCATTACTGTAACCCTGCTAATGATTTTATAAACATGAATTCCCTGTATAAATCCATTATTGCCTGAAATACCTGGAGTTGTTTCTATTTTTTTGAGAGAACAGTGACCATTCTTCTGATCAAAATGTTTGATTAGCTTCCCATCTCATTCAGAGTAAAATTCCTTAGATGCCTACAAGGCCCTACACAATCTGGCCCCTTTACTTCTAGGATCTCAACCAGTTCTGTGCTCTCTTGCACTAACTCTGTTCCTGTCAGACTGGCTTTCCTGCTGTTCCTTAAAGTAGCCAGGTATTCTCCCACTTAAGGGACTTTGCACTTTTGCTCCCTCCGCCTGTAGTGCCTCTCCCCCCAGATAGTTGCTCATCTTATGTTCTCATTTCCTTCAGTTCTTTGCCCAAATGCTGTCTTTTCAAAGGGGCATTTCCCTGACAGCCCAATTGAAAAGTAACTTCTACCCCCAGCACAAGGTATAAGAGGTAGGTGGTGGAATTACCTCCATTTAATATATGAGAAAATATACAACCAGGAAAGAAAAGCTCATTGAAGTCTCATGGTTTTTAAATGTTAAACCAAACACGTATCCAAAGGGCTTACCAAACAATTTTGAAAAGACTGGGTGATTAATAAATGCTCATGTTGATGTTGCAGTGATGGGGGATGATTTAAATTCTCTTCAGCAAGATCAGTTAGGACTGTCCTATAATAGGGAAGTCCACTGGAGTTTCAGTGATTGATTATAATAGATTTCACAATATATTATGTTCTCCGAGAGGTTAGATTAGCTCATATATATTTTTCCTGCAGAGGTAGGTCAGAATAAAAGAAATTAAAACATATTTTAAAAAATGGATCTTCTAGTATAACCACTACCCAAATTTCTGGTAAGGGTATTCAGGACAATCTACGTATTTCCTAGTATCAACATGTTATAATGATAGGTTGGTCTTAGATTAAATTACTCAACTCCTGTTAGTTCATAGCATTCAGTGTTAAGAAATTTATTTACTATTGTGTTAAAAGTAATGGGAATAAGGAATTTGAGTTTATAGAAAAATAACAAAATGGAATTACTATGGCAGAAATGCCCCAATAGTTCTCTGTAACCTCCCTTTTTAAAGGATATATTGATTATTTTCATGAATGCATGGTTGGAGGGGAGTGGTAAGAAGAACAATTTTATGTAAAAAACTTTCCAATTTTTAGTGTGAAGAGTAAAAATAAATCAACTGGAGCCAGAGTCATATTGTAAAGGTTTGGCGGAGCTGACTAGAGAAATAAAATGGATCTAGTGATCTCTGTGACCTGGGCTATTTAGCTGCGACGTTGTGCTCTGCCTCTCAAGAAAACAGCAAACTCTTAAGGAACAAAAATAAGATAACTCTTTTAAAGAAAAATGGATAGAACAATTCAGGAATAAATGTAGTTGAAAATGGCAAAGGAAACACAAAGGACAAAATTGTCCTTTATCCAATTTAAGGAGTGAAAAACAACTAGAAGTGTGCTGAGATTCTGTGCTGTAAGAAATTTGAAGAGACAAAATTGAAGGTTGAAGTTCTGGTCACAGTTCTTCTGGAAATGGGCTTTATGTAATATCTGGGCATAGACAGTGAAAAAGCATCCAGAGCTGGCTTTTTTTGTCATTCCCTGTAAACTCCAAAAGACATGTTTTGGTTTTTTTCTCTCTAAACGTCTATAGTGACACTAAAGGACATCCACAGATTTCTCTATTTCCATAGTTAAGTTTCTGCTTTGGATTATAAAAATAACTGGTACTTTACCTTTCTTCCTCTAGTTTTGTACCCACTAATTTATTCTTACAGCATTCAGTGTAATCTTTGCAAATGCAAATCTGATCCTGTCTCTTCTGTGTTAAAAGCCATTCAATAACTCTCCGTGGACGACAGCAGCAATTCCCAAAGTCTTTTCCAATAACTGCCATAGAATATTAGTAGATATTAAAGACAAGATGTGAGAAATTGTAAGTTAAGATTAAGCAGTTTTGTTTACAATAGGTCTTCTCAAGATCCTTAATGTTAATGTCCCTAGTGAATCTCCAAAAGGGGGAGGAATATAATATGCAAAGTTTCCCAAACTTACTTGATGAAGAGATCCATTTCTTTTTCATGAAGTGTCTTGCAGGACTAGTTTGGAGTGGGACACATATTTGAAAATGCTTGTTTATAGCACAGTGCAAATTTATGAGTGAAGCAAGGAATGAATGGAATGATCTGGAACCTACGGACCATTAGTTTGCATTTCCCTAAAGTATTATGCTTTCTTTCTCCTCCATGCTGCAGGTATTAGAAATTCCCCTAAATTTCTCATCAACCCCCCTTTTCCAATCCATTGAGTAACATCTACTTATCATTTAGGACTCATCATTTAGCTTTTTACTGGTTATTTCCATAGCTCTGACTTTGCACTTATTCTCTTCAGCTTGCAGAATTGTTTAACTGGCATTGCTGTTTACATAAAACATTCCTCTGACTTAAGATCTGAAAGAAAGAAAGTGAAGGGAGCTGAGAAAAGCCTGTCAACTCAGTTTATAGAAAGATAATAGATCTGATTGCTCTCTCCTCGTTTTTGGACGAGGAAACAGAAGGAAAAGGGATCCAGGAAAAAATTCTACAAAATAAAAGATGGACAATAATTCTCAAGATTGTGTAGAAGAAACATTTGAAACAATTCATTAAAATAAACAGTACATTTTACATAATATGTATTTGATTTTTGAATAATATAAAAATATAAGCTTGGAAAGAGGATGCTATATGTAATAAAGCAAGTTTTAAAGGAAACTAAAATGCAGTAACAGCTGGTATATTAACTAGAAATTGGAAATAACAATATACAATGCATAAAGTCAAAATTATTTTAAAGAAAATTATTAAGACTGTTTTAGAAGATGGGAGAAACTCAAATAAGCAGTGATAATTAAAGAGAAGAATATAGCTATGGATAACAAAGGATAGAAATTTAGGCTAAAGATAATTTATGTTTCTAAAGATGAGTTGGTAATAAATGGAATAGAAGTAATACTCATAAATGGAATAGAAAGAGGGTAAAGAAATATCTCAGAGCACGCATAGAATAAGATCTCTGTGTACCTGGCAAAATTAAAGAGAGGAAATTAGTATCTCTATCCTATAGAAAATTTAAAATCACAATAAAGAATCTTATAAGCAAGATTTCAGGAAGGAAAAAAATTACCTACAAAAGTAGAAAAGTTAGGCTGCCTAACATTAAATGCTTTGACATAATGGCATAATGTTTATATAATTTTGAAGGGAAAAATTTTTGACTCCAGAAATTTACATCTAGCTGCATTGCTGTTAAGATGTGAAGTTAATAGAAGGACATAATCAGATTTAGACACAATTAAATATATTTCACATGTCCTTTACTAAAAAGTTACTCAAAATATATTCTGCCAAATGAGAAATGAATCAAAATAAGAGACTCAACAATTAAAAAATGCCACACATGGTGGCTCATGTCTATAATCCCAGCACTTTGGGAGGATAGCTCAAGTCCAAGAGTTTGAGACCAGTCTGGGCAACATAGTGAGACACTGTCCACAAAAATTACAAAAAAAAATTAGCCAAGCATGGTAGTGGGCCTGTGGTTCTAGCTACTTGGGAAGCTAAGGGATGAAGCTGAGGGAGGATTCGTTGAGCCGTGGAGGCCGAGGATGTAGTGAGGTTGATTGCATCACTGCACTCCAGCCTGGGCAACGGAGCCAAGACCATCTGAAAACAAACAAACAAACACACAAACCCTAAACTAAAAAGTTATATATGAACTGAACTGACAATGAACATTTCAGTCAGATGTATAGACTTGGATACAGTGTTTATAACAATGGTTAAAATACATAAATACAAAAGTTATCAAAATATAAGGAGTAATTGTCAGAAACACAGTATTGGAAGACTTAAGTGCATCCTTATTTAATACATAGAATTGGGAAAATATTACTAAAAGATTTAATTAGTATTTATAAAATTAACCTACATATAGGCCTCTACATCTAATTTTGTCTACTAAATATGCAGAACGTTTCACCTTGTTTTTGAGGTGGCTCATGAAACATTTATAAAATAATCATATACTAGGCCACAAAAAAGCCTCATTCAGTTCCTCAAAATGATTTAAATAGATCACTTTCTTTACTATGCAATGAAAGAAAATTAATTTTTTCTGAATTTACAACCACTTATACTTTAGTTTTCTAAATAATTATTAACTATATGTTAAGATTGTAGTTAATAAATAATTTACAAAATACTAGCAATGAGAACACAGTATTTAATCTGAGATTTTTTCCAGAGCCATAATGATATGAAATGATCAGATTTTTAAAAGTGCTTTTATTACTAAAGAGGAAGGAATAAAAAATAACTTATTAAAGGCTGTGGACCACTTATAGCTTTTGTTTTATATTTCCAAATTTCAGACTTCTCTCCCTCTACCATACGTAAAGTTTTATACTAATGTACATGTTCAAGAATATTGACTTTAGTGCATGATCCTGGCTTTAGTTATTATTTTAAATACTTGAAAATTTGATATATTTAAAAAATATAAAGTGTTTGGCTACCCATGAGGTTAAATACTTTTTTTTTTTTTTGAGACAGGGTCTCACTCTGTCACCAAGGCTGGAGTGCAGTGGTGCTGCGATCTCGGCTCACTGCAACTTCCACCTCCAAGGCCCAAGCGATCCTCCCACCACAGCCTCCTGAGTGGCTGGGACTAGAGGTATGTGCCACCACTGCCAGCTAATTTTTTCCTTTTTTTTCTATAGATGGAGTTTTGCTGTTTTGCCCGGGCTCATCTCCAACTCTTGGGCTCAAGCGATCCGATCGCCTTGGCCTCCCAAAGTGTTGGGATTACAGGCGTGAGCCACGGCGGTTGGCCTAAAGAATTTTTCTATTGTTTATAGACTTTTATGTTTCTATTATTGCAACTTGACTTTTATGGGAAAGGGATTATAAATTTATCAGAACAACCAAGATAATTTTGAGAAAGAATAATAATAAAGAGGCTTTATGCTACTGGATAATCAGTGCAGAAATGACACAAGTGCACACACATGGATCAGTGAAAAAGATAACAAGCCCTGATAGACTGTTGCCTGGACTGTGGTGGTTTTTAAACATGCATTTCCTATTCTTCCCAGGCATACAGAGATACTACATTTCCTGTCTTCTCCTGCAGTTAGAGGTGGCCACATGTTTGAGTTCTAGTCAATGGAATTCACCTCCCCATAAAAAATTCTCATGGAGGCAGGGGAATCCTCCATGTTCCTTCTCCTTCTGCTGGCTTGAGACAGACCAGCACAGACACCTTGTAAGCACATGCTGAAGTGAAGTCTCAGCTTGGAACGTTCTGGGTTCCTGAATCCCTGCTTGCAGGAGATATATCTGGCAATCAGCAAAACTGTTTTGGATTCGATATGATTAAGATACACATTTATTTTGTGTTAATCCATTAATATTTTGGCATGTTTTGTTATGGCAGCTAGCCTTACTCAAAACATAGGCCTTTACATATGTGCATAAAAATAAATTTACTCCATGAAAATATGAGGATATAATGGTTATTAATTTGTGGTTGCTGTCAACCTGTGTTTTGTGTGGCACCTATCATATACTAAATGGTTAATTTAATAATTATTATTATTAACTTGTCACTTCAGATAGTTCAGGTCAATTGTGAAAAATTTTATAATCCAAAAAGTGGTGTTGGATTACATGATTTAAAATTTGAGAAAAATAACTTGGATCTCTAACTCAATTACTTATATTAAGCTGGGGTTCCCCAGTCCCTGGGCTGCAGACCAGTAGTGGTTAGGAACTGCGCCCCGCCACACAGTAGGAGGTGAGCGGCAGGGGAGCAGGCATTACCATAAGAGCTCCGCTAAGAATCAGTGGCAGCATTAGATTCTTATAGGAGCACAAACCCTGTTGTGAACTGTGCATGCAAGGGATCTAGGTTGTGTGTTCCTCCTGAGAATCTAATGCTGAAGATCTGAGTGGAACAGTTTCATCTCGAAACCATCTCTGCCCATCTGCCCAACCCCTTATCCCCGATCTGTGGAAAAACTGTCTTCCATGAAACCGATCCCTGATGCCAAAAATGTTGGGGACCACTGGTGTATCTGGTGTCAGCCTGTTCACGTGCACATTCTAGTTCTGTCTCTTTCTAGGTGTGTGAGAACAGTCAGTATACAATGCAGAAATTTAAATTATTATGAAAATAATGATGATGCATAAATTAGTTGCATTCACTGCTAGTTAAGCTTTAAATGGGTAAAACTGGAAAGTAATCAATTTTGTATGTGTGTAAAATGTCTTTAAATTTTTTATAATTTTATTGTACCTATGTAGCTTCTAGGAATTTATTTTAAATAAATAATCACAAAAGTTTATATGCACAATAGGCCGGGTGCAGTGGCTCAAGCCTGTAACCCAGCACTTTGGGAGGCTGAGGCGGGCAGGTCACCTGAGGTCAGAAGTTTGAGACCAGCCTGGCCAACATAGTGAAACCCAGACTCTACTAAAAATACAAAAGTTAGCTGGGTGTGGTGGTGCACGCCTGTAATCCCAGCTACTTGGGAGGCTGAGGTAGGAGAATTGTTTGAACCCAAGAGGCGAAGATTGCAGTGAGCTGAGATTGGGCCACTGCACTCTAGTCTGGGCAACAGAGCAAGACTCCGCCTCAAAAAAAAAAAAAAAAAAGTATATGCACAATAATGCTCATAGTTGCATTATTTTAGCAGGGATAATCTGAAGACAAGCTAAATGTGTAACAAGGGGAATTGGTTGTAAATGTGGACACATTCATCAGATATATCCCATGGTGATTAAGGGCGTGGCTTAGTGGCACATAGGCCTTGCTTTGATTCTTTTCTACTTCAACCACTTATTAGCTGTGTGAATTTGAATAAGCCACATAATCTCTAATTTGATTTCCTTATTTATAAAATGGGGCTAATAATAGCACATATTTGTCTCATAAGGTTGCTAAATGAGAATTAATTGAGATAGTTTATGTAAAGCATCTGATACATAGTAGATGGTGGCTACTAATATCAACATGTAAAGTATTAGAAACTAGTTACAGATTATGATAGACCATATGTGAGCAGAACATCTAATGAATGTATGCCTCCTGTCAATAGGAGTCACCTGGGAATTTTTGATTTTTCTTTTTCTGCACCTACCATGTCTAATTTTGCAGCAAGTTCTATCCTTTTACTAAATACTTCCTGCCTTTCAC
Source organism: Homo sapiens (assembly GCF_000001405.40). NCBI lineage: Eukaryota > Metazoa > Chordata > Mammalia > Primates > Hominidae > Homo > Homo sapiens. The sequence continues at coordinate 104,835,969 of NC_000008.11, forward strand.
CATCCGTCATCTTCACTGCCCCAGGCTTAGTCTGAGTCACCATCAACTCTTGCCTGGACAACTGTGATGGGCTCCTGGCCAACCCTGGCCTCATTGCTTGTCTTCCTAAAGCCTTTCCTCTATATATACAGTGGCCAGGCTGAAATTTTAGGGGTTTTCTGAACACTTTAATCCCTTCTAAAGGCTTCCCATTACAATCAGAATATAATCTAAACTCCCAAAGATGCTCTTCGATCTGGCTCTTCCCTAACTTTTTAACTTTATCTTTCTCCATGATGTCTCTCATTTCAGAAATGATGGTCTTCTTTTTGTCCCTCATACATTCCAAACTCATTTCCATATTAGGACCTGTGCTCCTGAATGCTCCTTTTGCTAGGAATGCTCTTTCCTGAGATCTAGGTCTACCCTCAAGTGTCATCTTCCCAGGGAGGCCTTCAGACTGACCTAAGGATAGGAGCTTCCATAAGTTACCTTTTACTTCCTTACCCTACTTTATCTTCTTTGTAACACTTATCTTCTTAATTTTCTTACTGAAGTTTTTTTGTAGCCATTAGGATGTAAGTTTCTTGAGGAGAGAGGCTCTGTTTCTCACATTCAACACTGTCCCAAACACCCAGAACAATTCCTGGTGCATGGGGGCCCCACCCAGGCAGTATTTGTTAGCTGACTGTCCTCCTTGACTGTGGATATTTGTGTTTTGGAACAGTGGAAGAAAGGGACTTCACTGTTTACCTTATACATGACATTATTGTAATTTCTTTGTAATATAAAATAAAATGATGATAATTTGTTGATATGGTTTAGCTGTGTCCCTACCCAAATCTCATCTTGAATTGTACTTCCCATAATCCCCATGTGTCATGGAAGAGACCCGATTGGAAGTAATCGAATCATGGAAGTGGTTTCACCCTTGTGATAGTGAGTAAGTTCTCACCAGATCTGATGGTTGTATAAGGGGCTTCCCCCTTTGCTTGGCTCCCATTCTTCTCCTTGCTGCTGCCATATGAAGGATGTGTTTTCTTCCCCTTCCACCATGGCTGTTAAGTTTCCTGTGGCCTCCCCAGCCATCCTGAACTGTGAGTCAATTCAACCTCTTTCCTTTATAAATTACCCAGTCTTGGGTATGTCTTTATTAGCAACATGAGAACAGACTAATACATTTGTGAATTAAGGGTACTTTTAAATCATTTTATTTGTAATCTCCACATTTTATATATTTCTCTAAAAAATCTGATTCTTTTTAGAATCAGAATAATGTTTTTAAAATGTTATAAAATCTGAATCAGATTAAAAATTTTGATTACATATCTTCATAGATACCCAGGTGGTAATTGGTAATAAGAATATGTGATAATTCATACACAGTTAGCCATGTTTAAGCAATGGATAATGATTAATAATTATGGTGTCAGTGATGATAATAAAATGGTAATTAGAAAACAGGAATGATTGTGCCTGATTATGGCAGAAATTATAAGAAACATTCTTCATTTTCTTTCTTTCATATTTTGTTGTTATTTTCCTATCTCTCAGTAAAATAAATATAATGTTTTCTGTCTAAAGGTGACTGTGTCTTTACTGTGAAATTTCCAATGTGGCCCTTGAATGTACCTGAAAATAGATATAATGCTCTGTGGTAAAAATAAGGCTGTAATCTGGAGATGAAAGAAGAGAGTCACTGAATTCAGAAAAATATTCTAAAAGACTGAAACTGAGAAAGGTAGTTATTTCACAAAAAGAGGATGTAATTTGACCTGTGAAAAGATTCCATAGGAGCCTAACAAGCTTTCTAATGTTTTCTTGTAGAGTTTTTTTTTAAAATTCCCACTTCTAGCTTTACTATTTACCCATTGTTTCATTCATAAAACATTTTTCTTGTGTTCTACTGTGCCAGGCACTGTGCTAGCATTTGGGAGAAAAATTATGACATGGATAGACACAGTTACATTTCACAGGAAAATACACGAGCTAGAGCTTGTGAAATAAGGTGCAAGATATTGAGAGAAACCAGAGAAGCCTCATGAAGTAGAAGGCAAAGTTAAATTTATATTTAATGCTGGTAAAATTTCTATTTCTGAAGAGTCAAAATGTAAAGGCATCTATTGTGGTAATTCACCTGTTTTCTCTTGTAGCTTTTGGTCTGTTTTTACTGTTTTACCCCCATCATTTCTTATTCAGAGGATTGAGTTTATATGGGTGATTTTTCTGGAAGCAATCGCCCTGGGCTGGCAAAGGGTGCAGCAATTCATAACAGTACAGTCTATGTCTCCCCCGCCATTTTAAAATTTAGCTTCACTGTTATTTCTTTGACCTGCCCCCACTCCGTTTTCAGATTTGTATACTCGTGTTTCATGTATCAGTGATGATTCCAATTACACGCTAGGTAACAAGAGTTTAATAAAATGTGGCAATAAATTGTGGAAAGACATCATGCATGTGAAAAAAATGTATTAAGAAATGTGTTCCAGGTAGAGCTTCCAGTATTAAATGACTAATCACTTCCACACACATACACAAAGTGAGGGTTTTATTTAGTGGAACTTGGCCTTTCAAAACTAGAATGCCAAGCAATACCTTCCAACTGGTTTTTTAGCTTGTCTGAGGCATGGGGGCAATTGTTTCTTTTTACAGAAAACTTTTCAGATGGTCTTCAGTGGCTCTTCCACTGAAAGAAAGTAGGGTATCTTGTTCAAACTCATATTATTTTTATTTTAATGACAAATGATAATAAAAAGAATGGGTAATAATTTATGTTCCTTACAACCTAGTGGGCAAATGATCTGAAATTGAATTCACGCTCTTCCTTTGATTGTGAACTTAGGCAAGTTTCTTATGTGCCTCAATTCTTTTGTGGCAACACTGAAAGAGTAATTTATTTACTGAGATATTGTGGAAGATTAGTAATTTTAACAAATGAATGTAAAACATTTAGCCCAGTGTGAGACACAGAATAAGCATTCAATAAAAATACTATTATGAGAGTCAAATTTAAGGATTTGAATAGGTAAAACAGTTCTAGAAGAAAATAAAACAGGCTATGTAGGGGGTAGAGATGCTATTGTTTGGCTTTTTGTTTCTTTGTCATCTCCAGATTATTCTTTATGAGACCTGCTTCTCCATCAGCTGTAGCATCAGATGGGCTCAACTCTGCTCACCTTACCTTCATTAACAACTGCCAAGAGGGGTCCTAAATTTCAGTAGCCATTTCCTGAGACGGGAATCATGAGTGCAACTCCTTTCTGTCCATTTTGTTTTAAAAGAAAACATCCAGAAAACATTGTAGATAAGGAACCCACTTGCTGATCATCAGGTTGGTCTTCTCATTGCTCATCCCTCAGGAATATTCTTGTCTTACTTTTTGTATAAGAGATGAAGCCTTGCTCTGTTGCCCAGGCTGAAGTGCAGTGGTGCCATCATCACTTACTGTAGCCTCAACCTCGTGGTGGGCTCAAGCAATCCTCCTACCACCTCAGCCACTCTGTAGCTGGGATTACAGATGTACTACACTCTGCTTTCAGTAACATTCTGAGAACCCATAAACAAGCCAGCCATGCTCGATTTGTAGGTGAGTGTGTTAAAACAGAGGCCATCTGGGCTGTGGGCTTGGAAATCCAATCACTTTCTTATTGTGTAACTTTGAGAAAGTTGTTGAACTTTTCTGTACCTTTTGGTTCTCCTGTGTAAAATGGCAATAATGATACCTTACGGTGCAGTAGCAAGGATTAGAGAGCACATCTTTCATAATGCCCAGGATGGTGCTTGGCACGGAAAAGGAATTCAATAAAGGCTAGTTATTGGTATATTATTGATGATTTGTGAGAATAAAATATCAAGTTAGATGGTAAAACTGGAACTGATGCATCATATATTTATAAATGAGTTGACCTTTATCCTTAGGGAAGTAACACATAAAAAAGGTTACGCATGATTGCAGTTTTGGATGCAGGAAAATCATGGTGAAGAACAGAGACATTAGAGGCTACATTTTTCTCATAAATGTGTGAGTAAGGAAAGAGACAGTCAAATGATAATTGAAATTGTAGTATCAGTCATTATGCACATTATTAGATCCTGTTTCAAATGTAAATAGACTCTGAAAACAAAATTGTTTTTTAAAAAGAGTGCAGATATGCAGGGAATTGGGGGCTCTGCTCTTCATAACTTCTCATGAGAATAGTTATAAAAATAGTAAACATTTTTTGTGTGCTTACAACACTGAGTGTTACCTGTATGTGACTTATTTAATTATCACAGTGACTCCATGAGGTGAATACTATTTCTTTTAGCATTTTACATGAAAAATGACCTTTTCCACTGTATCTTCCTAAGGAAGAGTAGAGATCCCCTTTTTCCCGTGGTCCCTGAGATTTGGGAAGCCATTGCTTGTCTTGTGTGGAAAGAAAAATAGAGCACTACAAGATCTCTAGGAGGGAAGGAAGCCATATCTTGCACAACCTCTTTTTTGTTTTTTGTTTTTTTTTTTTTGAGACGGAGTGTCACCCTGTAGCCCAGGCTGGAGTGCAGTGGTGCAATCTTGGCTCACTGCAAGCTCCACCTCCTGGGTTCACGCCATTCTCCTCCCTCAGCCTCCTGAATAGCTGGAACTACAGGCACCCGCCACCACGCCTGGCTAATTTTTGTATTTTTAGTAGAGACGGGGTTTCACTGTGTTAGCCAGGATGATCCCGATCTCCTGACCTCGTGATCTGCCCACCTTGGCCTCCCAAAGTGCTGGGATTACAGGCGTGAGCCACCGCACCCAGCCAGACAACCTCTTATGGTTCCATATCTACTCATATTTATGATCACATATAATAGTCTCCCTATTACTAGTATGAATAACATTTATTAAATTCTCATGAATTTCTGCCTTATATAATGATATTTCTAGAAATGAAGGTTATTGAAAAATATGCTTTTAAATTAATACAAGTATGATAGTGTGCTGAAGTGTTCATTCAAGAAGGTGACCGATATGGTTCCGCTGTGTCTGCACCCAAATCTCATCTTGAATTGTGGCTCCTGTAGTTCCCATGTGTTGTGGGAGGGACCTGGTGGGAAGTAATTGAATCACGGGGGTGGGTCTTTCTCAGGCTGTTCTTGTGATAGTGAATAAGTCTCCTCATGAGATCTGATGGTTTTCTAAAGGGGAGTTCCTCTGCACAAGCTCTCTTGCCTGTCACTGTATTAGATGTGTTTGCTTCCCCTTCCACCATGATTGTAAGTTTTCTGAGGCCTCCTCAGCCCTGAGGAACTGTGAGTCAAACCTCTTTCCTTTATAAATTACCCAGTCTCAAGTAGGTCTTTATTAGCAGCATGAGAACAGACTAATACAGTGACACATACCTTGTCTATTAATTTGGAGATATATATATATACATTTATATATATATTTTACCATTTACAAAAATTAATTAATACGTATATATAAATTGCTTTTTTAAAGGTTATAGCAAATGTAAAAAATACCTTCATGGGAAAAAGAATAATCAGGGAGAATGATTCCTTATTGTCTTAGCTCAGAGTCAGCTATACTTTGGGAGTGCTAATATGCTCAGCTGATTTGTTTTGGGGGGAGGATAATGATTACATCAATGGGATTTGTACTTAAGTGATAGTGTGTTTATAAATCAAATATATTAAATATTTTTAGAAAAATATGAAAAAATCACATCTTAGCTAATGTTTCATAATCGCACTTTTGTTGTTTCTTATAATAAAATATTATAAAGAATTCAGATTATTTTTATAAAATTTTTATAACTTTTCTTTTAGATTCAAGAGGTACATGTACAGGTTTGTTACCCGAGTATATTGTATGATGCTGAAGTTTGGGCTACAATTGATCCTGTCACTCAGGTGGTGATCCATAGTACCTAATAGTTTTTCAACCTTTCCCCTGCCCCCCACCAGCAATCTCCAGTGTGTATTATTCCCATCTTTATGTCTATGAGTACCCAATGTTTAGCTTCCACTTATGAGTAAGAACATGCAGTATTTGGTTTTCTGTTCCTGTGTTGATTTGCTTAAGATAATGGCATCCAGCTCCATCCGTGTTACTGCAAATGACATGATTTTGTTCTTTTTTATGACTGCAGTGTATTCCATGGTATATAAGTACCACATTTTCTTTATCCAGTCCACCTCTGATGGGCATCTAGGTTAATTCGATGTCTTTGCTATTGTGAATAGTGCTCTGGTGAACATACAAGGTGTTTTTTGGTGGAGTGATTTGTTTTCTTTTGGATATATACAAAGTATTGGGATTGCTGGGTCAAATAGTAGTTCTGTTTTAATTTATTTAAGAAATATCCAAACTGTTTTCCACAGTGGCTGAACTAACTTACACTAACAGTGTATAAGCATTCCCCTTCTCTGCAGCAGCCTCACCAGCATCCGTTGTTTTTTGACTCTTTAATAATAGCCATTCTTACTGGTATGAGATGTTACGTCATTGTGGTTTTCATTTGCATTTCTCTAATAATTAGTAGTATTGAACTTTTTTTTCATGTTTGTTGGGCACTTTTATGTCTTCTTTTGAAAATATCTGTTCATGTCTTGCCCATTTTTAAGGGGGTTATTTGTTTTTTGCTTGTTGGGTTATCCCTTATAGGTTCCTTATAGGTTCTGGATATTAGATCTTTGTGAGATGCACAGTTTTCAAATATTTTCTCCCATTCTGTAGGTTGTCTGTTTCCTCAGTGGATAATTTATTTTGCTGTGCAGAAACTCTTTAGTTTAATTAGGTCCTAGTGTCAATTTTTGTTTTTGTTGAAATTGCTTTTGAAGACTTACGCATAAATTATTTCCCAAGGCCAATGTCCAGATTGGTGTTACCTAGGTTTTCTTCTAGGATTTTTATAGTTTGAGGTCTTATGTTTAAATCTTTAATCCATCTTGAGTTAATTTTTGTAAATGGTAAAACATAGGGGCCAAGTTCATACTTTTGCATATGGCTATCCAGCTATCCCAACCCCATTTATTAAATAGGGAATAGTTTCCCCATTGCTTATTTTTACCAATTCTGTTAATGATCAGATGGTTGTAGATGTGCAGCTTTATTTCTGGGTTCTCTATTCTGTTCCATTGGTCTATCTGTCTATTTTTACACCAGGACCGTACTGTTTTTGTAACTATAGCCTTATAGTTTAGTTTGAAATTGGGTAATGTGATACTTCTGACTCTGTTCTGTTTGCCTGGGATTGCTTTTTCTATTCATGCCTTCTTTGGTTTCATATTTATTTCAGAATAGATTTTTCTAGTGCTGTGAAAAATAATATTAGTAATTTGATAGGAATAGTGTTGAATCTACAGATTACTTTTGGTAGTATGGTCATTTTAACAATATTGATTCTTCCAACTCATGAGCATGGAATATTTTTCCATTTGTGTTATCTACAATTTCTTTCAGCAATATTTTGTAGTTCTCCTTGAAGGGGTCTTTTACCTGCTTGGTTAGATGTATTCCCAAATGGTTGTTATTTTTTATTTTTACAGCTATATTAAATGAAAATGCATTCTTGATTTGGCCCTCAGCTTGAACATTTTTGGTGTATAGAAATGGTGCTAATTTTTATACATCGATTTTGTATCCTGAAACTTTACTGAAGTTGTTTATTAGTTCTGGCAGCCATTTGGCAGAGTCTTTAGGGTTTTCTCTGTATAAAATCATATCATCAGGTAAGAGAGATAGTTTGACTTCTGCTTTTTTTATTTGGATGCTTTTTATTTCTTTTTCTTCTGTGATAGCTCTGGCAAGGATGTTTTGTACTATGTTAATTAGGAGTGGTAAGAGTGGGCATCCTTGCCTTGATCTAATTCTAAAGGGGAATTATTTCAGTTTTTGCCCATTCAGCATGATGTTGGCTGTGGGTTTGTCATAGTTGGGTCTTGTTATTTTGAGGTGTGTTCCTTTGATGCCTAGTTTCTCGAGGGTTTTTTTATATATGGAGCAATGTTGGATTTTAATCAATGACTTTTTCCAAGTCTATTGAGATGAGCATATTTTTTTTATTTTAATTCTGTTTATGTGATGAATGACATTTATTGATTTGCATATGGTGAACCAATCTTGCATCCCAGGAATGAAGGCTTCTTGGTCATAGTGAATTAACTTTTTGATGTGCTGCTGGATTTGGTTTGTTACTATTTTGTTGAGAATGTTTGCATCCATGTTCACCAGGAATATTGGCCTGCAGTTTTCTTTTTTTGCTGTGTCTTTACCAGATTTTGGTATCAAGGCGATGGTGACTTCATAGAATGAATTAAGGTGGAATTCTTCCTCTGTGACTTTTTGAAACAGTTGCAGCAAAATTGGTACTTTTTTTGGCTGGTAAATTTTTTCATTACTGATTCAATTTTGGAACTCTGTATTGGTCTGTTCAGTATTTCAGTCTCTTCCTGATTCAATGTGTGTGTTTCCAGGAATTTATCTATTTAGTCTAGATTTTCTCATTTTTGTGCTTAGAGGTGTTTATCTTAATCTCAGGATCTTTTGTATTTCTGTGGAGTCAGCTGTAATGTCACCTTTATTGTTTCTGATTTGTGCTTATTTTTTCTTTGTTAATCTAGCAAGCAGTCTATCAATTTTACTTATCCTTTAAAATAACCAACTTTTGGTTTTGTTGATTCTTTGCATGCATTTTTGGGTCTGAATTTCATTCAGTTCTGCTCTCATTTTAGTTATTTCTTTTATCATGCTAGCTTTGGGTTAGTTTGTTCTTTCTCTGATTCCTCTAGAAGTGTTCCTAGATCATTCATTTGAGATCTCTCTAACTTTTAAAAATAGACATTTAGTGCTGTCAACTTTCTTCCGAGCACTGCTTTTGCTGCATCCCAGAAATTTTGGTGTGTTGTGTCTCTGTTTTCATTTATTTCAACATTTTGATTTCTGCCTTAATTGTATTATTTACCCCAAAGTAATTCAGGAGCAAATTATTTGATTTCCATATAATTGTGCAGTTTTGAAAGATCTTGGTATTGCTTTCTATTTTTGTTCCACTGTGGCTCGAGAGTCTGGTTGGTAAGATTTTGATTTCTTTTGAATTTATTGAGATTACTTTATGACAATGCATGTGGTTGATCTTGGAATTTGTTTCATGTGCAGATGGGAAGAATGTATATTTTATGGTTGATGGGTAGAGTATTCTGTAGATGCCTATTAGGTCCAATTGGTCATGCATTAAATTCCAGTTAGAAAAATAATTTCTTTATTCGTTTTCTGCCTGGATGATGTGTCCAATTGAAGTTCCCCACTATTATTGTGTGGCTGTCCAAGTCTTTTCATAGGTCTAGAAGTACTTGTATTATGAATCTCAGTGCTCTAACGTTGAGTGTGTATGTATTTAGGATACTTAAGTCTCCTGGTTAAACTGAATCACTTGTCATTATGTAATGCCCTTCTTCGTCCTTCTTTATTGTTCTTGATTTAAAGTCTGTTTTATCTGATATAAGAACAGCGACTCCTGCTCTTTTCTGTTTTCTATTTGCATGATAGATCTTTCTCCAACCCTTTACTTTTAGCCCGTGGGTGTTGCTACATTTGAAATGGGTCTCTTGAAGACAACAGATGGATAGGCTAGTATTCAAGACAGTGGATTAAAGGTTAGTATTGATATGTGAGGTTTGGATCCTATCATGAAGTTGCTAGCTGGTTGCTTTATAGTTTCTATTGTGTGGTTGCTTTATAGGGGCTATGTACTTAAGTGTGTTTTTGTGGTAGCAGGTATTATTCTTTTGTTTCTATTTCCAGAACTCCCTTAAGGAGCTTTTGTAAGGTTGGTCTAGTGGTAATAAATTCCCTTAGTGCTTGCTTGTCTGGAAAATATTTTTTTTCTCCTTTGCTTATGAAGCATAGTTTGGCAGGATATGAAATTTGTGGTTGGAATTTATTTTCTTTTAAAATGCTGAAAATAGGCTCCCAATCTTTCCTGGCTTGTGAGGTTTCTGCTGAGAAGACTGCTGTTAGCCTGTTGGGGTTCCATTGGTACATAATAGGACCTTTTTTTCTAGCTGTCTTTGATTTTTTTCTTGGACAAGCTGATTACTGTATGATTTTGTAATTTTCATTTTGTATGGTATCTACCAGGTGTCTTCTGGATTTCTTATACCTGTATATCTACTTCTCTAGCAAGATTAGGAAAATTTTCTTGTATTATTCCCTCAAATGTATTTTCCAGGTTGTTTACTTTTTGTCTGTCTCTCTCAGGAATGCCAATAATTCATAGGTTTCATCACTTTACATAATTCCATATATCTTGAAGACTTTGTTCATTTTTAAAAATTCTTTTTTCTTTATTTTTGTCTGACTGGGTTAGTTTGAAAGACTGGTCTTTGGGCCCTGAAATTTTTCTTCTGCTTGGTCCAGTCTGTTAATAAAGTTTTCAATTGCATTTTCATAATGATCAGTGATAGTGAGCTTTTTTTTTTTCCATATGTTTGTTGAGGGCATGTATGTTTTCTTTTTGAAATGTCTGTTCGTGTCCTTTGCCCACTTTTTAATAGCGTTTTTTTTTTTCCTTGTAAATTTGTTTAAGTTCCTTTTAGATGCTGGATCTTAACCTTTGTCATTCTGTTTGTCTTTCTCCCATTCTGCAGATTGTCTGTTTCCTCTTTTGATAGTTTCTTTTGCTGTGTATAAGCTCTTAAGTTTAATCACATCCCATTTGTCAATTTTTGCTATTGTTGCAATTGCTTTTGGTGTCTTTATCATGAAATATTTGCCAGTCCCTATGTCCACAAAGGGATGGCCAAGGTTATTTTAAGGGTTTTTATAGTACTGGGTTTTACATTTAAGTCTTTAATCTGTTTTGAGTTGATTTTTATATGTGGTGTAAGGAAGGGGTCCAGTTTTAATTTTCTGCATATGGCTAGCCAGTTATCCCAGCATCATTTATTGAATAGGGACTCCTTTCCCCTTTGTTTGGTTTGTCAGCTGTGTCAAAGATCAGATGATTGCAGATGTGCAGACTTTTTTTTCCTGGGTGTTCTTTTCTGTCCCATTGGTCTATTTTTCTGTTTTTGTACCAGTACCATACTATGTGGTTATTTTAGCCGTGTAGTAAGTTTGAAGTCAGGTAATGTGATGTCTCCAGGTTTGTTCTTTGTTAGGATTGCCTTGGCTTTTGGGCCTTTTTTTTTTGGTTCTATGTGAGTTTTAAAAGTTTTTTTTTTCTAGTTCTGTGAAGGATTTCATGGGTAGTTTGATAGGAATAGCTTGAATTTATAAGCTGCTTTGGTCAGTAATGCCATTTTAATGATATTGATTCTTCCTATCCATGGGTATGGAATGTTTTTTCATTTGTTTGTGTCATCTCTGATTTCTTTGAGAGTATGTTGTAATTCCTATTGTAGAGATATTTTACCTCCCTGCTTTGCTGTATTCCTAGGTATTGTATTCTTTTTGTGGCAATTGTAAATGGGATTGTGTTTCTGATTTTGCTCTCAGCTTGGCTGTTGTTGGTGTATAGGAATGCTAGCAATATTTGTACATTGACTTTTTATCCTGAAACTTTGCTGAAGTTGTTTCTAAGCTGAAGGAGCTTCTGGGCTGAGACTATCAGGTTTTCTATATATAGAATTATGTCATCTTCAAATGGATGGTTTGACTTTCTCTCCTATTTAAATGCACTTTATTTCTTTTTCTTCCCTGATTGCTCTGGCCAGGACTTCCAATAGTATGTTGAATAGGAGTGGTGAGAGAGGGCATCCTTGTCTTGTGTTAGTTTTCAAGGGGAATGCTTCCAGCTTTTGCCAGTTCAGTATGATGTTGTCTGTGGGTTTGTCATATATGGCTCTTATTATTTTGAGGTATGTTCCTTCAATATCTAGTTTATTGAGAGTTTTTAACTCTTTGTCTTTTTTGATCTTTGTTGGTTTAAAATCTGTTTTGTCTGAAATTAGGATTGCAACATGTGCATTTTTTCTGATTTCCATTTGCTTGGTAGGTTTTTCTCCATCCCTTTATTTTAAGTCTATGGGTGTCATTGCATGTTAGATGGATTTCTTGAATGCAGCATACCATTGGGTCTTGCTTTTTTATCCAGGTTGCTACTCTGTGCCTTTTAATTGGGGCATTTAGCCTATTTACATTCAAGGTTAGTAGTGATACATGTGGATTTGATCCTGTTATTGTGTTGTTAGCTGGTTGTTATGTCACCTTTTTTGTGTAGTTCCTTTATAGTATTACAGATCTGTGTACTTAAATGTGTTTTTGTATTGGTTGGTAATGGTCTTTCCTTTCCACATATAGTGCTTTTTTCAAGATCTCTTGTAAGGTGGGTTTGGTGGTAAGAAACTCCCTCAGCATTTGCTTAGCTGAAAAGCATCATATTTCTCCTTTGCTAAGGAGGCTTAGTTTGGCTGGATATGAAATTCTTGCTTGAATTTTTTTTTAAGAATGTTGAATATAGGCCCTCAATCTCTTTTGACATGTAGGGTTTCTGCAGAGAGGTATGCTGTTAGCCTGATGGTGTTCCCTTTGTAGGTAACCCTTCTTTTATCTCTAGCCACCTTTAACATTATTTCTTTTATTTTGACTTTGGAAAAATCTAATGATTATATGTCTTAGGGAGGATATTCTTGTGTAAAATCTTGCAGGGGTTCTATTCCTGAATTTGACTGTTGGCCTCTCTAGCGAGGTTGGGGAAGGTTTCATGGACAATATCCTGAAATGTGTTTTCCAAGCTGTTTACTTTCTCCCCTTTTTTTCAGGGGTGCCGGTGATTCCTCAGTTTGGTCTCTTTATATGATCCCATATTTCTCAGAGGTTTTGTTTGTTCCTTTTCTTTTCACTCTTTTTCCTTTATTTTTTGTCTGACTGTCTTCAAGTTCCAACATTCTTTCCTCAGTTTTGTCTGTTTTACTGTTAATGCTGGTGATTGCATTGTGAAATTCTTGTAGTGTGTTTTTCAGCTCTGTCAGATCTGTTAGATTCTTTTTTATCATGACTGTTTTTTCTGTCAGCTTCTGTATTGTGTTTATTGTGATTCTTAGTTTCCTTGGATTGGGTTTTGCTGTTCTCCTGTATCTCAATCATCTTCATTTCTATCCCTATTCTGAATTCTATCTCTGTCATTTCAGCCAACTCATCCTGGTTAAGAAACCTTGTTAGAAAACTAGTGCAATCAGGCCATGTGTGGTGGCTCACGAGTGTAATCCCAGCACTTTGGGAGGGTGATGTGGGCAGATCATGACCATCAGGATGGTCAAGAGATCGAGACCATCCTGGCCAACATTGTGAAACCCCGTCTCTACTAAAAATACAAAAAAAATTAGCTGGGCGTGGTAGCATGCACCTGTATTCCCAGCCACTTGGGAGGCTGAGGCAGGAGAATCACTTGAACCCAGGAGGCGGAGGTTGCAGTGGGCAGAGATTGTGCCACTGCACTCCAGCCTGGCAACAGAGTGAGACTCTGTCTCAAAAACAAAAAACTAAACAAACAAAAACTAGTGCAATCATTTAGATGTCATAAGACACTCTGGCCATTTCAGTTGCTGGAGTTATTGAGTTGGTTCTTTCTCATCTTTGTGTGTGTGTGTGTGTTCCTTTAACTGCTGGGCTGCCTCTGATTGAAATGCTCAGGTGGGGGCAGGGTGATTATGCTGGAGTGCCAGGTCAGGCAGCCCTTCCCAGTGAGGAGAAGTGAGGATCAGGACCTGCATGAAGAACAGTCTGGTCAGTTTTTCATGAAGTGGGTGCACTGTGCTACAGGTCTCAACCAGCCCTTGGTTTCTCTGGACTCTCCAGGACCTGGAGATAGCAAAGGTAAGGGCTACAAGACAGCAAAGTTGGCAACCCGCTCCTCCCAATGGGAGCTCTGTCCCAGGGAGTTGCAGAGCTGCTACTGTCTTGATAGCCCTGGTGTGGGGGCTGGCTGGAGACCCAGGCCAGGAGGACCCACCCTGTGAGGAGATACGGGATCAGGGACCCACATAGAAGTCTGTCCACTTTTCCACTGGGCTGCTGCAGTATGCTGGGGGTCCATTCCAATCTCTAGTCACCTCAGATTATCCAGCACCTGAAGGTATCAACAGTGAAGGCTGCTAAACAGTCAAGATGGTTGCCTGCCCCTCCCTCTGAGAGCTCAGTCCCAGGGAGGTAGGGACCTGTTGCTGGCCAGAACACACTGGTGGGGGTGGCTCTAGACCCTGATTGGGAGATCCTGCTTAGTGAAGAGAAACAGGACCTGGGACCCACATGAAAAAGCACCCTGAATACTTCTCTGTAGAGTTGCTGTGCTGTGCTGGGGGACTGCTTTAGTCTCTAGTCACCTCAGACTCCCTAGAGCCTAAAGGCAACAACAGCCAAGGCTGTGAAACAGCAAATATGGCAGCCCATCCCTACCCCTGGGAGTTGTATCTCAGGGAAGCTCAGAACCACTGACAGTGGGAAAACACTAGTGAGGGTGGCTGGTGACCCTCGTCAGAAGGTCTTGCCCAGTGAGGAGAAATGGGACCAGGGACCTGCACTAAAAAAGCAGTCTTGCTGCTTTTTCATAGGATGACTGTACTGAAGGCAACAATGGCTAAGGTTGAGAAACAGCAAAGACGGCGGCCTGTCCCTGTCTCTGCGAGTTTCGTCTCAGTGAAGTGTAATGCTGCTACTCTTGGCTGGCTGGAGTTCCAAGCCAGTGGGTCTTATCCTGCAATGAGTCGTGGAAGTGGGACCTGCAAACCACCACTGTTCAGCCCCCTGGATTCAGCCCCTTTCCTAGGGATATGCATGGGGGTCTAACATCCCACTTTACTGGAATTGCAGCCACTTCTGCCTGGAAGCCTGGATATCTAAAGCTCCTGGACCTCTGTGTGTGTCTGAGCAGCTGTTGTACTGAGACTCCACGTAGCTCTGCATGTCAGACTGCAGGCTCTGGTGGAGTGGGTTCATGAGGGGATCTCCTGACCTGAGGGTTGCAAAGAGCTGTGGGAGAAGTGTGGGTCCCTGGGGTCACTCATGTACTCACTGCTTCCCTGGGCTACGGAGGTTCCCCTGACTCCGTGTTGCTCCTGGATGGGTGGTCACATTGCCTTGCTTTTCTCCACTCTCTGTGGGTTGAGTTGTTTTCTTGATGAATCTCAATGCATGTACCTGGACGTTTCTGTTGAAGGTGCTGTATTTACTTGCCCCTTCTATTTTTCTCTGTGAGAGTGGTGCATGCTAGCTGCTTCTAGTTGGCCATCTTGGCCAGCCTCTGACTCTTTTCTTTCTTACCCACTCCCATAGCCAATCTGTCAGCTTGAAAACTTATTTTAAAAAAGCAAACGAATAAATGATTAAATATATATTTCATAAAATAAGACAATAATGATGGTATACTGCAGAGATGGAGTGAAATGCTAAATTGACTTTCAATCATGTTTTATATATTTTAACATTAGCAATAAGCTTCTCTGAAATTAATTTCCATATATCCACCTATCATCTTTTAACTAGAAATATTTCAGATTCTCCCTCGCTAATCCTTACAACAAAAACTTTGTAATTTTGGTGTTTTGCTTTGTTACTATAGGGGCTCTGTTTTCTCTGATGGCTAACCCTCCACTCATATGTTGACAATCTTGTTGAAATTTAGAATGTTGGATCTCTAGATTTCTCTATACAATGCAGAGTTACTTGCAATTCAATGTCTGTATGTTTAAAGCAACTTTTATTTCTACTTCCATTACACAGGGTTAATTGTCTATGCTTCCCAAGGCCAGAAATCTTTCTCTACCTTCCAGGACAGCAGATTCCTTCTTGGGAAAATCATGAATGGGAGAGGAACTAGTATTTCTGGCCACTTGTGGGAAAGCACAAATACATTTGTTTAAGTGGGAATGGATGGAATTGTTATCTCCCTTTTGCAGAGGAGCCAACTGAGTTTACTTACATAGCTTAAGATCATCAAATTAGTAAGTGGTAGACCTATAATTAAAACCACTGTCGGATCCCACCAAAACCCATGTCCTTTTCATGCAAGAAAGGGATTGGAAACTATCAGGACTTGTATGATATTGTGCTTTGAGAACATGTACTTGGTACCTGTGAAGGGAAAGGGAGAGTTGTGAAGGGCCAAGTGGTTATTGTGTATACACTATGTGCTAGGCATTGTTTATCAGTTTAAATAACTTATTTCTTTGATTTTAGAAATATTACATGATAGTCATAAAAAACCACGAGAAATACATAAAAACATAAAGAAGAAGACAACACAGCAATTCACAGCTCAGAGATAACCACAGTTGACATTTTGGTGTATTTCTTCTCAGTCTTTTTACTATTAACAGATTGAGATCTGGAATGACACAAAAGGTTCAGACAGTAAAAACAGTTTTGAATACTGCCTTTTCCATTCAAAGTTATATCCTATGCATTGTTCTAACTAGAATTTGAATAATTACTTGACGTTTTTGGAAGCTATAATTTGATCTGTGCCATTCTTTTGCTGAGAAGAAAGGATTGGTTTAACTAAAGTAACATAAAAACTAAAGTCATAGTTTTTGTTTTTTGTTTTTTTGAGACAGAGTCTTGCTCTGTTGCCCAGGCTGGAGTGCAGTGGCATGATCTTGGCTCACTGCAACCTCCACCTCCCAGGTTCAAGTGATTCTCCTGCCTCAGCTTCCCAAGTAGCTGGGATTACAGGCACATGCCACCATGCCAGGCTAATTTTTTGTATTTTTAGTAGAGACGGGGTTTCGCCATGTTGCCCAGGCTGGTCTCAAACTCCTGAGCTCAAGTAATCTGCCCACCTCAGCCTCCCAAAGAGCTAGGATTACAGGTGTGAGCCACTGCACACAGCCAGGTTTTTGTAGAAAAAAAAATTATAGAAAGGAAGTAGGTACAAGACACATTGGAATTTTAAATAGAATATCATTCATATAAAACAGGCTCTTATATAGCACTTCTCTTGTAGGAAACTTCCTAAAGGCATAACAAGGTGCCTGATGTGGGGGAAACATTCAAACTGAGTAGACTTCTGACTTTTGACCTGTTTTCTGGAAGGGATCCTAAGCAGATCCTAGTAGACTTCAAAGCACACATGGATTTGTTCTGGAATGACCTGGTGCCTCCTCCCTATCCTCTAGTGTCACCTGTCAACACAATGTTTGCTGAGCTTACACTCTGGGCCAGGCACTCTGTTAGGCACAGGTAATGAGACTCATGAGGCCTTCCTGTTCATAGAGTTTACAATCCAGTGGGGGAGAAAGGTAGGAATCCACTCTTTGCCTGCTCACCTGAGGACAATGGTGGAAAGTGCAGTGGAAGAAAAGCAGAAGGTTCTGGGAGTCTTGGGGCGGCAGCAGGTGGAAAGTGGGTGGTGGGGAAAAGCTTTGCTAAGGAAGAGAGATTTTATCTGTGGCTTGAATGATGAGTGAGCTCTGCCCACGAGAAGTGAATATAGGGAGATAATTCAACTGGAGAGAGGACAACATACGAATTCCTGAAGGAAGAGAGTAGCTTGGGGTTTTCGAGAAGTGGAGAGAGACCAGAGTGGCTGGAGCATAATAAGTGATTTGAAGTGAGTCTAGATAAGTACTATTGTCTATCTGATGCTGCATCCTTTGATTAGTAGGATCTAATAATAGAATAGAATCTAATAAATGCCCACCAATGGTTGAAACACCCACGTCATACTGGTAATTAGGCCTAGGAAAGGAACAATTTTAATTCTTAGGGAAGGAAATACAAATAAGCGAAAATGTCTGAGAAGACAAATGCAAGAGAGAGACTGAAATAGGAAGGACTGTAAACTCAAGGCAAATTTAAAAGGCGGTTTTCCTTTGTTTTAATTCCCAGTGTTTGTTTAGAGGATAATATGAGCATACTCCTAAGTTAAATGCTCCCTCCTTGTAAAAAACATTTTTATACACATTTTAAAAATTCCAAGAACAGAAGAAGCTAATGCTCACATTTTTATTCTCAATGAATTGCCAACATTTTATTCACTAGTTTCACAAAAGAGCTGAAATCTCACGGAGGTTTCTGAATTAAATTAGCTTTCAGAACCATTTAAAGTTCTTCCATTCTATTAATTCAGCAGACAATCAAGTTGTTCACTTGTTGACTTTTATCCACATGCACTCAATCAAATCAACTATCAACGAAAGATACCTATTAGTTGTTAATTTCATATGTTAGATAGGAATCCTAGAACTCCTGTTTATATCTGTTTGATAACCTTCTAATCTTTGCCACAGTCTTACTAACAGCAGCATTAACTAGTCTGCCGTCTATGTTGATTAACAACACTGGGACTCAGAAAGATGCACAGCACCTGATAAGCCAAACAGTCCAAACTTCTAACAATGCCTGTAGCCCTGTGGAAAATGGGCTTCTATCACCATTTTTACAAACCCTTAAAGTTGTCTTTAAATCACAGTTTTGTGAATTATTATTTTAAGCAAATGTGAAGAGCTTGTTTGAGTGTAGAAGCTTTTATTAATAATTGGTAAGACAATGTTTTACAACATTTTAACCCTTTATTTTGTGTCCTCTGTGTTCATAGGTTTAGAAATTGTTTTTGCCTTATGTTGAATTATAAGTATTCTTTGGATTAGATAAATTCAATAAATGTTTATTTCTAAATGTTTGACAAGCACTTACTAGGTACATAAAAGATGTGGAAAATACACATCCACATACCATAAATTTCCATATATTTGAAATTACAGAAGATTTATCTTATAAGTGGAATTATATTGGATTTAATGAGAGAGAGAGAGAGAGAGAGAGAGAGAGAGAGAACAAATAATTATAATATTTGCTCCACATAGTAACTTCCAGGTCATTTTTCAAGCATTTCTTTCAAAGTCTATTTACATTACTTATCCAATGTCTTTGCTGAAATCTTAGAAACTGGCCCGCAGCCTTTG
This sequence comes from Homo sapiens, assembly GCF_000001405.40. Lineage (NCBI taxonomy): Eukaryota > Metazoa > Chordata > Mammalia > Primates > Hominidae > Homo > Homo sapiens. The sequence goes on from NC_000008.11 coordinate 104,854,818, forward strand.
CCTCCATACTATTTCTGGGAAGTCCTTGGTGACTTCCATATCCGCTTTGTCAATGCTTTCACCACTACGACCTCATGGTTTCACATTTTTAAAACTTCCACTGGCCCCATTCTTTATTTCATTTCATACATTCTTAGTCATGGCTACACCATGGAGCTTGGTTAAGACCATGCTGTATCCAAGACTGAAATCTGAAAAGTTCTTTAAGACCTTTTCTTCTTTGAATTTTTATTCGTCCATCTGCTCCTTCAGGTGGCTTGTGGGAAGAAAGTATCAACAAGAAGTTGGAGCAGAAGAATATGGGATGAATGATCTCTGATGTGAGACATCCCTAAATACATCTTGAATAAATTACATAAAGTTGAGATAGAAGGGTTGAATTCTTATCTTACAGGGCTTTGCATAGCACATTTTAGATATTAATGTGATAAAATATGATTTGGATTAAATATGAACTTATCTATATCCTTAGGTTGGTGGACCACAAAGACATCCAAATTTCTTGTTCAATTCCCATAACTATGCAAATGACTCCTTAATCTATTTCTGAAGCCAATGTCACTCTCCTGAGCTCCAAACTTGGGTATCTTCAAATGCCTCTTCTAGAAAATCTTCAAACTCAACATGTCCCAGTTTGTATTCATCATCAGTCCTCTTACACTAGCATCGTCTGTGAATTTTGTTGTTCATTAATGATAACACCATTCTTTAAGCCATCCACATTCTCTTGTTTTGCTCCCCCACTTCCAATCCATTACCAATTCCTGACAATTCTTTTCCCCACAACTTCTGTTAAGTCTATGTCTTTTTTTTCCTGTTCCCAAATTCACTTCTGCAATTCAATTCTGCATTAGATCTCATTCTGAGTACTGCAATCCATGTACCTCTATCTGGTTTCCCCAGACTCTCATTTCTTTAATATATCTCACCCAGAAATGAAGATTTCTTTCATTAACCTACTTTGTTACAGTCATTCCTGCTCAAAATTATTCAGTAGTTCATCTTCTTAATGAAGTTCAGACCCTTTAATCTTGCATTCTGGTCCTTTACAACCTGACCAAACTTTCAAGGTTATTTCCTTCTCACATATCTTTTTAATATTGACATTTTTACATATTTTGGGGGATGAATGTGATATTTTGATGCATTTATATAATGTGTAAAGATCAAATCAGGGTAACCTATCATATATCTTTATCCATATATCTCTCCACCCATTGTCTTGAGTTTTACATTTTATACCTTAGCTCATGAGGTTCCTTCTGCCTGTAATTCCCTTCTACATAACTGTTGGTTACCAAAATGATTTTCCAAACTATTCAAATCATTGTTTCCTACCTTTATTCCTTCCTTCCAGCCTTCTTTCCTATAAATAGATGCATTCATAGGCACCTGTTATGTGCCGAAAGTGTACACAAAGCCACCAAGGACCTCACAGTCTAGGGTAGATGACCAATACATTAACAGGTATAATCAAATATGCAAGCAAAGAGGAGGAGACTGTAATCTATCTTTGTTTGAGAAGTGAGAAGTGAATCACAGAATTTTTGGAGAAAGTTGCAGCTCTGCTGAATCTTAACGTATAATGAAGAATTATCTAGGTGAAAAAGGTAGCAGGGAAGGAAGGCTTTTCCAAATATCAGAGCTAGCGTGAGCATAGGCTAGCTGAAAAAAGGAGGTGTTTGGTGAAACCACCAGGAGGCAGGTGCTGTTTCAGCTTAAGGGATGGAGGAAGGGGGAAGCAGCAGATGAAGTCAGAAAGGTGGGCAGGGTTTGGGGAGGAACTGCTGAACTACGTTAAAAACTTTGGAATTTGTCTTGTAGGTGAGGAGAACCATGAATGGATTTCAGTACTGACATGGCTAGATTTGCATTTTAGATGCACCAAGCAGGAAGTTATGTTGAGAATGAATTTGAGGAAGAAAAACCCACAGCCAATAGCAGTAGATGGAAAATGTTAACATAATCTAGGAGTGAGAGAGAATCAAAAGGAGGAAAACAAAAAATATTCAGTAGCTAATATTGATAGCATTCTCTTAACTGATATTGGAGATTGGGAAGAGAGGGAGAGAGAATCAGTGATCACTCACTGATTTCTAGTTTCTTAATTGGCTCGATAGTGGTGCTACAAATTGAAGATTAAAAAATAACACATGAGGAACAAGCTTAGTGGGGGAAATGAGAAGGAAAGATTAGAGATAAATGTGAAAGGCCTCATTATCTTATCAGGTAAAGATGAATGAAGTTAGATAATGTACAAGAGGCATGGCATGCTACCTGAAGCTTAGAAGGCAGGTCTCTACTGAGTTTTAGAGTTGGAATTAATCAGCACCCAGGTGGTATTTTATACCTGAATTGAGTCTGTAGCAATACCATGTAACATGAAAGGAAAACTTAAGAGATAGCTAGAGGAAGAAGAGCTGAGGAAGTATATGGGGAAGAAATCATGGAAGAGGAAGAAACATCAGAAAAATACATTTTTCTTGATTTCAATATCCCTCTTTTCTTTGAGTTCCCAAAGGATTTGATACTTTTGGTTGGGGCAGGGGGCAAGGGGAACATTTCTTCTATTTCTCTCATTCTTTACAATATCCCAATCTGGTCAGAGTAGAGGAAATTTATTGGGCCGTGTTTACTAATGGATGCATTTACCATTGCAAACTGATGTTCTCTTGTGCCCTGATCTCTTTCTTCTCCTTCCTATTGCCTTTAAGAGAGATAAGTGGTAAGCTGTGATAGGGCTCTCTGGAAAGCCTATCTTGCCTCTCTTTTATTACACACTCCCAAATTCTCATCACTTCATGTGAGAAGTTGGAGAATTAAGACTAGGGCATGGTAGCCGAGTGTGAGTTTTGAGCATCAGACACACTCACTAAACCAATTTTACAGGAGAACCCTGTATTGGAGTATTGGGTCCTGGTCCAGCTAATTCTAAAGTAATAATGTGTCCATTCATCTTTGTCTCTTGTTGTATTGCTTTCTCAGTACTTCAGAGGAAGAAGAAATTGTTGAGCAATGGTAGAATTCAGATGTTCATATCTTTCCCTCTCCATCTCAACATTCCTTTCTGGCACTTACTAATTTACACTATATATTTTTATATGTAAATATATATTTTATTTATGACTATATCTCTTATTCCTTCTGTTATATCATAAGGCCTTTGATATTTCATTCCTATAATAACAGAAGGATTTTCTTAAATTTTCAATGAAATGCCAGATTCTTGGATAGTTTGAAAGATTATGCCAAACCTGCAGCATTCTAAGTTGAAGGTGACAAAAAATGAGGTATTAGAAGCATGAATTGATAGCATTTTGTGTAATGACTACAAATGTAATTTGAAATCAGGATCATAGACAAAACCAAGACTTATGAAAATATTATGTTACGTGCACTTTTTCCCACCAATTCAGTGCCTCATTCAATGCTTTGTAAACACACTATTATGATATCTTTCCCTTTCTAGCGATGTATGTGGGCTTTCCTATAGTCATTTCAGTAGATGCTATAGATATTATGGTATTTGGGAAACTATATTTCAATGTAAAGAAGGCAAGGTGTCATGCTTTGACATTGATTTGGTGGGTAAGAGTGAGAAAGTGCAAGTGTCTATGGGAATACACAACATACTTAATACCTTTGAAGTATGTACTGAAGACTTGCAGTGAGGAAATGCCCTTGTACTTCTCCTTTAAGATGTTATTTTTTATATGTAAGCTTTTCATTGGTTTACTCTAAGCATCCTAGTTTTTTGGCTGCTGAGTGCATGAACGATATCTTGGTGCCTTTTATTACTTTCTTAATAATAATCGCCTTCTCAATGGCAAGGGAGTCACCTCCCAATGGTAGGGGAATTACTTAGGTCTCTCTCTGTGCTCGTGTGTGTGTGTGTGTGTGTGTATTTTATGCAGTCAAGTTGGATTTTTGACGTGTACTTTGAGCCAAGCCAAGTACAAATAATTTTAATTTCCTGAAACAAGAATTTGAATTAAGGGTGCCAGAGGCTAGATATCACCATTAAACCTCGTAATTCTAGCTTGAACATGGCTTGACTACCCAACACCCTGGGCTCAAACCAACTAGATTGGTCTCTGTTTATACACAGTAACTCTCCTTAATACTAAAGGGTGCATTTATATTTTTCAGTTGTAAGTTAATAAATTTTTATAAGGGAATAATGTGTTATGGTGATATTAAAAATTTGGAGATTCTCAACGATATGTCACTTCATGAACACATTATTAATATCTTCTTTACTTTTAAATATAAGATGGGATTCCTATCTTCAAGGAGGAACCTACAACCAGATTGCAAAATCTAGTTGAAGAGAATGTGAAAAATTCAGCTATAGAGGCTAAAAATACAAAAATAGAGTATATGAGATGTCAAAAGTCAGTGATCCAAACTTTAGAATGAAGTTTACATTTATCTTAATAAAATATTTTCTTGACCTCTTATGATTCTGTAAATGTTCCCAATTCCTGTTAAGTGCCTGGGAAATGGAGCCATTGTGAGTGCTTGGTCCATTTTGTAAGGCGTGGATGATAACTTTTGAAAATTCAAGAGAGAAGGAGTGCTTTATCAATGAAGTTGGATGAAATGCATTATATCATATTATGACCATCAAAGTTCTATTTTTCTGAAGTCACTCAGGTGTGGCCACAGAGCCAAGGCTTGAATATTGCTGTCTTGTTTTCTGCTCAAATTCTAGGCATCATGGAAGGCAAAAAATTGCTATTATAGTTTTGATGTTGGTTGTGGTCTGGGTCCCCAATCTGAAAAATGAATCTAGAAATGACCTAGAAGTTTCTTCCTGTTGATGACCACCTTTTATCAAATCACATTTTTTACCCTAGATTTCTTGGCAGAAGCGTTTCTCTTGCTTAGTTGAAACCCAAAATTTTAGTCTCTCTGTATCCTCTGCAGTATTGTTTACTTTCCTTCTTTGCTCAGTGCAAATGATAACTACAACCTTTAGCTTTGGGGAAGGTGGTTGGGGTATCTTTCTTTTCTACCAGTCCCTTCTTGAAAACAATATTAAGTGAATCTTTCTTTTGTCCCTTTGCTTTAGTTATTAATGTGGCAAGTACTTTTGAATCTATTCCTCTATGTTGAGAGGATAAGAAAATTGTATGCAATTATAGAAACTTTGTTTTATACCTTTAGTAATTTTTCCATCCATTAATATAAGTCTACTAATTTCTAGTGAATCTTCAACTAGGTCACAAAAGCCTGAATATTTGATTTCTGTTAGAAAGGCTAGGGTTGATAAGATGTTTCATTCATAATTCTATTAATATTAACTTCATGTATATATATCACCTCCCCTAGAACCTCTGACCACTTTTTTATAAAAAAAAATTTACTCTTTGTTTTATTTTGTGGTGCTCAAAAAACAAAAGTTCCTGTCTCTGTGTATGGCATTTTGAAAAAGTACAGTCATGACAATCTTATTATTATAAGTCTCATTTTAAAATATTCATCCCATCCAATAATAATGAGCATACCTTTCTTACAATAATTGTGTTAAATGTTTAACATTACAAAGCACTGAGAGAGCATTTCAAAGCTGACTCTCTTGATCTGACAGCCACGGAGGGATCTTCTTGAGCACAGCTCACACCAAGGAGGGAATATTTTCATTACTAAGAGAAGATGTAAAAGGAACAAAATTAACATTTGTTGATCATATAATATGTAATAGGTACCATGTGAGATATTTTTTCACAACAATCTTTATAATAACTCTATGAAGCAGGAATTATTATATCCATCTTATAAACATGGCTCAGAGGTAAAGGACCTTGCCGAAAGGAATATGACTAGAAGGTAGGCAACCTGAGGTTCCCCAACCTGAGGTTCCAATCCAAGTCTACTTGGTCACAGAGCCCATATATTGTTTTCAGTGTATCTATTGCTTTCTAGCGTCATAGCAGCATGGAGAAAGAACTGAGCCTAAACCAATTTTACAACTGTGGATCCATGGGAAAGTTGGGCTTCTGGGCTGCTATCTCCCAATTTGTCAGAAGAGAAAAAACAAGTTCCCAAGCTGGTTATGAGAATTAAATGAGATGGTGTATGTACAAATTCTTTGTAGAAAATAATTGTGGCCAACATGTTTTCATTAGTATGATAGGTTTTCTAAATACTTTAAATATATTTATTGATTTATTCATTATTTTAAAGACCCTATATGGTTATTTTTACCCCCAGTTTATGTAAGGAAACTGAGGCACAGGCTAAGTGACTTCTCTAACATCATACAGGTAAGTTGCAGAACCAGAATTTTTTGAACTCAGGAAATCGAGATTCAGAATGCATGCTTTTAACCATTAGTATACAATATGCTGTAAAATATAAATGTTGGAGAATTTTAGATTTCAGAATAAATATTAAAATGATACAAGAAATTAGGTGAGTTCAGAGTCAGCTAATAACTTTGGAGAAGTAGAGCTGCAGCTGTTGAACATCTTAGCATATACATGGGCAATAGGAGGTATTTGAAAGAAAGTTCATCTAGCTGACTACTATATGAGGATGGAGCAAGGCACTCCTTTTGCTTCCACTTTGACCCCTTAACAATGCTAGACTGTCTACAGTGATCTTTTCCCAGGGACACTCCAGTGCCTTGGTAACATGCCTACTGAAGAACTTGAAGGATCCTAGCAGGGAAACATTCTCTTAGATATATAAGCCTAATATATATGCTGATATGGTTTGGCTCTGCGGCCCCACCCAAATCTCATCTCAAATTGTAATCACTACTTGTTGAGAAAGGGACCTAGTGGGAGGTGATTGGATTATGGGGGTGAATTTCCCCCTTGCTGTTGTGATAGTGAGTGAGTTCTCATGATGTCTGGTTGATTGACAGGTGTCTGGCCCTTTCCTCTTCTCTTTCTCTCTCCTGCCACCACATAAGATGCGCTTGCTTCCCCTTTGCCTTCCACCATGACTATAAGTTTCCTGAGGCCTCCCCAGCCATGTGGAACTGTGAGTCAATTAAACATGTTTTCTTTAAAAATTACCCAGTCCTGGACAGTTCTTTATAGCAGTATGAGAATGGACTAATACAAAAAATTGGTACCGGCAGAGTGGGGTACTGCTATAAAGATAACCTGAAAATGTGGAAGGGACTTTGGAACTTGGTAATGGGCAGAGGTTTGAACAATTTGGAGGGCTCAGAAGAAGACAGGAACATTGGGAAAGTTTAGAACTTCCTAGAGACTTGTTGAATGGTTTTGACCAAAATGCTGATAGTGATATGGACAGTGAAGTCCAGATTGAGGTGATCTCAGATGAAGATGAGGAACGTACTGGCAACTGGAGCAAAGGTTATTCCTGCTCTGCTTTAGCAAAGAGACTGGTGGCATTTTGCCACTGCCCTAGAGATCTGTAGAACTTTGAGCTTGAGAGAGATGATTTAGGGTATCTGGCAGAAGAAATTTCTAAGCAGCAAAGCATTCAAGAGTTGACCTGGTTGTTTCTGAAAGCATCCAGCCATATGTACTCACAAAGAGATAATCTGAAATGATAACTTTTATTTAAAAGAAAAGCAGAACATAAAAATTTGAAAAATTTGCAAAACGGGCCAATGTACAGCCCAGGCTGTTTCTTCAGAGGGTGCAAGCCCCAAGCCTTGGCAGCTTCCGTGTGATGTTGGGCCTGAGTGTGCATAGAAGATAAGAATTGAGGTTTGGAAACGTCTGCCTAGATTTCAGAGGATGTATGGAAATGCCTGGATTTCCAGGTAGAACTCTGCTGCAGGGGCAGAGCCCTCATGGAGAACCTCTGCTAGGGCAATTCAGAAGGGAAATGTGGGGCCGGAGACCCCACACAGAATCCCTACTGGGGCACTGCTTAGTGGAGCTGTGAGAAAAGGGCCAGCATCCTCTAGACTCTAGAATGGTAGATCCACTGACAGCTTGTACCTGTACCTGCAAAAGCCACAGGCACTCAATGCCAGCTCATGAAAACAGCCACAGGGGCTGTACCCTGCAGAGCCACAGGGGCAGAGCTGCCCGAGGCCTTGGGAGCCCACCCCTTGCATCAGCATGCCCTGGATATGAGACATGAGGTCAAAGGAGATTATTTGGAACTTTAAGATTGAATGACTGACCTACTGGATTTCAAACTTGCATAGGGCTTGTAGCCCCTTTGTTTGGCCAATTTCTCTCATTTGGAATTGGAGCATTTATCCAATGCCTGTACTCACATTATATCGTGGAAGTAACTGACTTACCTTTGATTTTATAGCCTCTTAGGCAGAAGGGACTCCTTTCAAATGAGACTTTGGACTTGGACTTTTGGATTAGTGCTGGGATCAGTTAAGAATTTGGAGGACTGTTGGGAAGGCATGATTGGTTTTGAAATGTAAAAAATATGTGAGATTTGGGAGGGGCCAGGAGTGGAATGATATGGTTTGGCTCTACGTCCCCACCCAAATCTCATCTCGAATTGTAATGCCCATAATCCCCACTTGTCGAGGGAGGGAACTGGTGAGAGGTAATTGAATCATAAGTGTGGTTTCCCACATGCTGTTCTTATGACAGTGAGTGAATTCTCATGAGATCTGATGATTTTATAAGTCCTTGACAATTCCTCCTTCACGTGCTCTCTCTTTCTCACCTGCCACCATGTAAGGCATGCCTGCTTCCCCTTTCACCATGATTGTAAGTTTCCTGAAGCCTTCCCAGCTATGCAGACTGTGAGTTAATTAAATCTCTCTCTTTTTTCAAAATAAATTACCCAGTCTTGGGCAGTTTTTTTTTTATAGCAGTGTGAGAATGGACTAATACAGTGCTCAATAAATTAGCTGTTAGACAACAGAGTACCAACAGGATACCTGAAGCAAAATTTGACAGAAATGAAGGGAGAAATAGACAATTCAACAGTAGTAGTTGGAGACTTTACTATCCCACCTTTAATAATGGATAGAACAACTAAGCAGGTCAGTAAGGAAACGGAAGATGTGAAGAATACTATAAACCAACTAGCCCTGACTGATATCTGTGGAATTCTCCATTTAGCAACACAACATACTCCTAAATAACCAATGGATTAAAGGAATCAAAATGGAAATTAGAAAATACTTTGAGATGAGTGAAGATTACCAAAACTTATGCTACAACAGTGCTTAAGGAAAAATTTACACCTATAAATGCCTGTATTAAAAAAGAATAGGCTGGGCGCAGTGTCTCACACCTGTAATACAAGCAAGCACTTTGGGAGACCCAGGTGGGTGGATCACTTGAGCCCAGGAGTTTGAAACCAGCTTGGACAACATGACGAAACCCCATCTCTACAAAGAATACAAAAATTAGCCAAGTGTGGTGGTGTGTGCCTGTGGATCCAGCTACTTGGAAGGCTGAGACGGGAAAATAGCTTGAGCCTTTGGGGTCAAGCCTGTAGCGAGCTGAGATTTCACCACGACACTCCAGCCTGGGTGACAGAGTAAGAGCCTGTCACAAAAAATAAAAATAAAAAATGAAGATCTCACATAGTTAACTTTACCTTAAGATACTAAGGGGAAAAGAGCAAACTAAACCTAAAGCAAGTAGAAGAAAGGAAATAATAAAAACTAAAGTGAAAATTAGTAGTGATGTCCCAGAATAGTGTTAAGAAGTGTTCTAAGATAATATGCAGGCCTGGAAGAAAAGGGTGCCTAGAGAATACTAATGCTTGTCAGAGTTGTGAGTTCAGGATTGGGAATAGAAGCATAGAAGTCACAAATGTATACCCTGAATTCTGGGCCTTGTTAGCATAAATCTTCAAGAAGCATTTCCTCTTTTTATGCTTATATTATGAGCATATGTATTAGACTGTTTCCACATTGCTATAAATAACTACCTGAGACTGGGTAATTTATAAAGAAAAGAAGTTCAATTGACTCACAGTTCCACATAGCTGGGAGACCTCAGGAAACTTAACAATCATAGAGAAAGGGGAAGCAGGCATGCCTTACATGGTGGCAGGAGAGAGAGAGAGAGCGAGCATGTGAAAGAGGAACTGTCAAACACATAAAACCATCAGATCTCGTGAGAACTCACTATTATGAGAACAGCATGGGAGAAACTGCCCCCACGATCCAGTCACTCCCCACCAGCTCCCTCCCTTGACAAGTGGGGATTATGGGGATTACAATTTGAGATGAGATTTGGTTGGGGACACAGAGCCAAACTCTATCGAGCACTTACTATATTCCAGGCCTTGTACAAGACAGCAGATACACAGGGGAAATCAAAATGGATAGAACCTTACCCTTAAAGCTTATAATGAGATACACAGACACTGAATAATTAAACTTACAAATGAATTATAATTTAGAAATTATAATAAATGCTGGTTTTTTTCTACTAGTTTCTAAGTCATTCATAGTACTTACCATAACATGAAATTATTTCACTAATTTATTTATGTTTCTATCTTTTCTGATAGCCTACATGCCATGTATTTATCCATGTATCTATGTATCTATCTGTCATCTATTTATCTAGTTACCAGAAACTCTTGTTTTCAATCCCTGGCACAGTGTTTGACACTGTGCTCAATAAACATTTATTGAAAGAGAGAGGAATGAAAGAAAGAAAAGAGCAGGACATTAATAGGAGAGAAAATAAAAGACTTAATTTAGTTTTCCAGGATCAGGGAAGACCTCCTTTATGAGTTATTTAAAGATTTGACCTAAAGGATAAATGGAAGTCAGGAGAAGGAGGGTTGGACAAAGATACAGGGAATGGGAATTCAGTTAAGGGACTAAATATTTGAAGGCTATAAGGCAGAAAAGAACTTGTCACATTAAAAAGTCATTTGCGAACAAAGGGAGAGTCCCATAGATGAAGTTGTTAAGAACAAGTCATGAAAGGCTTATAAACTAGAATCAGTGAGTGGATCAGGGTGAAAGCCAGGTTGCTGGAAAGAAGAGATCCCAAAGTGCAATGGCTCAAACAAGATGGCAGTAAATTTCTTTCTCAAAAAAGAGTCTGGGAAAGCTAAGGGGTCTCTGCTTGGCAGATTCATCCACAGATGTAGGCTAACAGAAGTGTTCTGCCATCCTCAATACTCCTCTTCCAAGATTGCTTCTGTTGTTGCTATATTTAGTTGGTGGAAATGTGAGAGAGCATAAGGGTGTGGGCATCCCATGTGCGAAGACTGGGGTGTGGAAATGGCACACATCATTCGCATTCATTTTGGAATCATCATTGGAACCTAATTATATGGTCACATCTAGATCCTAGAAGAACGGCAAGTTCCAGTTGTTGTCCAGACACCTATTGTCCAGATGCAACTGTATCACCAGAGAAGAAGGGGAGTAAAGATTTAGAGTTGATTCTAAGGGCAGAGAATAATTATTGTAGGTTTTAAGCCAAAGGTATGTGATCAGATTAACATTTTAAAATGGCTTGTGTGAAAAAATTTATTCTAAAGGCTCAAGAGTGGAGGTGAAGAGATTTGAGTGAAAATTAGTGCAACATTTCAGACATAAAGTGGTGGTAGTTTGAACTCTAGTGGTGTAGTGGAAATGCAGAGAAGCAGTTATTTGAGGTATAATCTGGAACTGTAATTGCCTGGGAAAGTATTGGAGATGTGGATGGGGGTTATTTGAAGGAGACATATATGTAAAAAATGACTTCCGTAGTTCTGATTTAAGGGACTGAGTAGATGGTGGTGCCATTGACTAAGATGGGAAGGCTGGGGGGAGAAGTAAGTCTTGTGAGAAGATCAATAATTCCATTTTGTATATCTCATGTTTGAAATGTTTGTTTCCATATGACTGCAACTGACTATGGAAAGGTGGTTAGTAGGATGACCTTCCTAGTTAGACCTGGGCTAGGTAGACCCAATTGGGCTAATTCCCCAAATATGGTCCGATGGATTGTAAATGGAGCCTTATACTTTGCAGGGCACCTGGAGGCATCATTTGCTTCAGCCTAATGAAATACATGAACTTACTCAAACATATACTGCTTTGTGTCTCAAGTGTTGGTCCTCTGAATTATCTTTTCTTCTGCTTCATCAATTTCCCCCTCCTGGTTTTCCCAGTCTCCAAGTTCTCTATCTGACCATCTAGTCTGTTCTTGAGGCCTTCCTTTCGCCTCATGGTATTCTATGCATGCTTCCACCACAGAGCTGATCACAATAAACCATAACTGAACATGAAGTTTTCTCTCTGCCCAATAGACTCAGCTTCCTGAAACTGGTACCTGGCCCTATTCATTCCTGTATCCCAAGGGTCTAGCATAGTACCTGGGACAGAACAGATGCTCAATAAATATTTAAGTGGATAAATCATTCTTGAGCAACCCACTCTTTGTTACTAGAAAAGCCTTCTTTATTTAAAATAGTAATCATATATTTGGAATAGAACTAGCTAAAAAATTTAAAAATATAAATCTATGTGCATAAATATATTCAGAGGGAAGAATATATTTTAACATGATTAAGCTTTCTGATGACAGGGTTGATTTTTGGGAAAATGTGTTTCTACAATGCAGATTCCACCTTACATTAAAGAGCACAGAGTTGCTTGTGGCTATAGAGATACTTTCTGTCTATGCAAATACTGACATATATGACTAATGTAGATGCCCTCTCTTTTGAGTAACAACAAAAAAAAAGATTTTCACCTGAATGTTTTTCAGTGCAAATATAAGCATAAATAAAGATTTATGTAGAAATTGCAGATGGCTGAAAACAGAATGAATGTGTAAAAGAGGTCAGATGAAAACAAAAAAAAATCCATGCTGAAAGTTTGTCTCTACAAAATTCTTAGTATTTCCATTGGGTTTTATTTGTTTGTTTTGTGTTGTTTTGTAGTATTTATTATTTACTATACTCCAGGCACTTAAGCATCTCACATGCTTTGTTTCATTCAATCCACTTAACAGCTCCAGGAGGTATATACAATAATTAATGAATTTTAGTTTATGCTCTTTCTTATTAGCTTTCATGGAATCTAATCAGAATTTTAGGGTAGATTCTTAGATATATTTGCTAACATGCTACACGATAGTAAGCCTGTCTGCCCAATTATAAATGTGAATGTTCTCCCACTTTTATTTTTCTTACAAACAAATGAACATTTGTGCATTTACTGTGTTGGACTGGTAGAGTCTTCTATTAAGGTTAAATGTTTCTCGTGGAAAGGCTTGCCATGGACTCTTAGTCATTTGAATCTAGACACTCTTTTTACATCCTCTTGTGTTTGTGGTAAGCTGAGGAGTTGCAAAGAATCCCAACAGTGAGCAACTGTCACTGGCCTAGCCTTAAAGCACTTTAAAAAAAATGCCAGGTGCCATAAACCACAAGTGAGGCAACCGATTTAAGCCTCATTTTAACTTCAAAGACCCATGAAAATATTGCAATGTGTTGTGGTAATACTAGGCTTATGACTCCTTGGCTCTGGCTTATGAAGGCCCAGAGGAAGACAGTTGTATCATTACTACAGTAAATGATGCTCCCAGGGGCCCCTTCTTTACTTCCCATGCTTCCAAATGGTGAGAAGCTGCGGAAACTCTTCTGCATCCTTCTCCTGAAACTTTCTCTGGATTTTATCAAGAGTTGTTCTTGCCCCGTTGTTGAAAACCTCTCTTTCACTAAACCTTGAAGAAATGTTCCATAAATATTATTGTATTGGGATATTCTAAAACACCGACTTTTAGCTCCTGAGGTTACTCAATTTTTAGAAGATCATTAGAGTTAAAAGAATAAAAATAGTCTTTGTGCAGTCAGCGTTTTCTCCAATATGACTGCACTTAATTATCAGATTACATGGTGTAGGTTGTTTAGGTTCAAATTTATATACGTGTGCTTTACATGGTAAAGGATGGATTTACACAGGGGACTTTCTCTTTTTCCTCAGTGTAACTATTTATGTATTGCTTAATTTAAAGATTACCCTTGGAGATAGTCTACAGATTGGGATACTGTATTTTACTCAGTTTACATTTAGTTTCAGGATGCTTGCATTCTATGAAATGTATTTCAAGACTCCCTAAAAAGACAAAATAGACACTCTTTAAGCAGTTTACAAGATACAGATCTTTATCTCTTACAAAGGAAAGGAAACAAGGAAGCTGTAAATAATAAGTTCTGAATAGAAATGACATAAACTGCCTAATCAATGTCTTCCAGAACTGGCAAGTGACACCTCTTTGTTTTTTGCAAATAAAAACCTTCTTCCCATCACAATATAAACCATTATCTCTGCAGGCAAGGTATATTTAGAAATGTACAAAATGTACATTTCCTGCCAGCCTCTAGATCAGTAGGTGGAGATCTAAAGTCATGCAAATATTACAGTAAATGCAGGCAACCAATTTCTAATTATTCCATATCAGCAGATTTGTGAGGAATATAATTTATTAAAAAAGAACAGTTTATGATCAGCAGACCTTGGTTATGACTGTTTAGGAATTCAGTGCATTTTGATCTAATCACAAAATCAAAATATTCATGAAACACAATGATATCTCCCCAAAGCAGCCGGGCAGCCATTAATTTTGAAATTCGGGTAATTTATTAACACTTATCTGAAGCTGTAAAAGCTTACCTCTGTGTTTGTAATACGGAGAAAAGTGAAAGCAGTTTTAAAACTGATTCCTAATGATTTATAATGGTTTGCTGTAATTTGAGCCAGAAATTCAATTAAAATGTATGTCTAGTTTTGTTTCAAGATCTTTAGTTAAAAATTCTATTAAAATTCTATTTCCTTCTTGCATTAAATGTATCTGTTATCTGCATATACAAGAAATATAAGAAAATTCTATCATTTATTCCCCAGTCCCCATAAATGCTTTAAAAAGCATTCATTTTTATTTCATAATTCTGCTAAGGTAGCATTTGGAATTTATATACAGTAGAAGAAGAATTACTGTATATGCCATTTTCTTGGTAAGGAAAGAAATCTAACACTGAATACTTTAGGGACAAGTCAAGTAATATTTGCTACTTTATCAAACTAGAAGAAAACAAATAAAATAAAACAGACATTTTTGATTCCAAATTATTAACCTAATGGTATGTCTCTGAGGTTTAAAAAAAACATATAACATTCCAGAGAAAGGAGCAGGAGCCAGGGAGAGGTGTGGGGAGACAGATGTTCTACTTCCCTGAAACAAATACAAATGAATTAAACTTTGAAGGAATTGTTTGCGGGTGTGAGATTCTTTAGATTATTATTATTATTATTATTATTATTATTATTATTTTTTTTTTTTTTTTTTTGAGACGGAGTCTCGCTCTGTCGCCCAGGCTGGAGTGCAGTGGCGGGATCTCGGCTCACTGCAAGCTCCGCCTCCCGGGTTCACGCCATTCTCCTGCCTCAGCCTCCCAAGTAGCTGGGACTACAGGCGCCCGCCACTACGCCCGGCTAATTTTTTGTATTTTTAGTAGAGACGGGGTTTCACCGTTTTAGCCGGGATGGTCTCGATCTCCTGACCTCGTGATCCGCCCGCCTCGGCCTCCCAATAGATTATTTTTTTTTAAACAAAAACCAAAAACACAATGAGCTTGGTGGCTAGCTGAAGGAGAACCTATTAGTTCTTGCTTTTTATTTTCCATTATTTTCTTGAACTACATTAAATCTTGGAATAATTACCAAGTGCAAACATTAAAAGAGCTGGTTTGTGTCTTTTTTTTTTTTTTTTTTTGGTAGCAAGAGTCTATGAGCAGAAATAGTAAATGAAGCTAATAATTTTTTGAAGATTTGCTATGTATAGATACTTCACATGTGTTTTAAACATTTCAATCTCCTCAATAGTAGGTATATTAGACACAGATGTTATTTATATTTTACTGAAGTGGTAGCAGAGGCAGGACAAAGTTTCATAGGGCTGGTAAGTGGAAGGGTGAGGAAATTCAGAAGGGTTATGATTGATCTTCTTTGCAATTTGACCCTACAGTGGGGTGGACAGGTGGGTGGTGGTGACGGCATTCAGAAAGCTCAGAGTTGGACTGAAGTGAGCCAACTCAAAGTTTATGGGCTATTTTGAGAAAGGGGAGGATTCAGTTAGCAATAGCTGTGGGCTCTGGGAAGAAACAGGGTTAGGAACCTGCTTGTCCCCGCTCTCATGGTAAATTGGGGACCTGAGCAGGGTGCAAGGCTTGAAGAATGGAGAGCCGAGTGTCCTAAAAAATACCAGAACACAAACAGAGTAAATGATGAGTGAAATGATTACAGAGAGAGAGAAAGAGTGAGCAAGCAGGCTAAGTTATAAAGTCATGTGAGCCTGAGACAGAGGGAAGCCTCAGAATGAGATGTTAAAAAAACCAAAGAAGGGGAGGTAGGCCTGGAGGAATTCTTAAGCTTAAAATCTTTTTGTTTTTTAAATTATTATTATATTTGAGTTTATTTAACCCAATATATCTGAATTATTATTATTGCAGTGTTTAAAAACATGCTCAATATAAACATTTTGTATTTTACATTTTTGGGGGTAATATTGAAACTTAACATGTTTTGATGCTGCTCTGAAGGTCCCTTGTGAGAATGAACCAGGATCATATAAAGCAACAGACACCAGTAAATCATGTACTTTTATTTGGCTGCTCCCTTAGCCAGAACCACACTGAGATTTCCCCGTGTTTACCTGGTGAAAGGTACTAATGGCCAGTGAGTTTGCATTTTATACTTCCAGGTGGGCCAGGATCTGACATCATCAGGAGCCCAGCTCTTCCCTACACATACAAGGGTTCCTCATCTGGTATCATCAGAATTTTGGCAGGGCTTTTTTGGATTTAGCTTGTTGATGAATGATGCAAACCGGCGTGGATGCCAGAGCTGCTGTGAAAGTGGATATTGATAGAAGCAGATTCAGGAATGAGGTGGGGGTGGGCAGGGGGTTTAACTACAATTGCTGATGGGTTATTGATGGAGGAATTTTTCTAGGCATTAATATGCTCCATGGGTCCATCTGCCAACAATGGCTAAGTGGACATGAATGTGAAAGGCCTTAAACAAGCTTATCTAAAGCAGACCTGTCAACTAGGGTCTGTGGTCAGATGAAGTAGGTAGGTTAGAGGTAAGGAAGATGGGAGTTGAAAGATTAGGGGTCTAAATGTACCACAGCTACCAGGGTATTCTTATGGTAGAGGGAAGAGGAAGTCAGAGATGCAGCATAATGTGGTAGTATTTCTGGGTATTGTGAATGCAGTGTTCAGTCTTCTTGGGTTGGCTAGGCCAGTATTTGACACTTGAACCATTTCCTGTCATGGTTGAGCTCACCAACAGTCTCTGTACATGTTGTTGAAAGGTTTGTATGGGTCAGGTTGGCCAGCCAGAATGGCATTATGACATAACCAGAATGTCTAGATTCTGGTCTTCCTAGTGTGTTTATATAGTTGACTTCCTTTCTAGAATAAATCTTTCAGAATTCTCTACTTCCCAGGGCCAGGCCTGGGAAGCCCTGCACTTTTGAGAGTGTGAATCCTGGTACTAGATCAATTATCCAATTATATTTCTGATTAGGGGAAAGTTTTTGGCTCCTCGTTAAAAAATAACTCCCGTTACAAAACATGCTTGTCCCATCCTGGGCATGAGAACATTTGATAGGGAAGCTCCGAGAGAGAGAATCATTTCTCATTATAGAAATCTGATCAAGTAGAGGTGGCTATTGACATTCTGATGTCAAGTCCAGATGAACCTCTATCCATGTTCTAAATGGAAAGTTAACTGAG
The DNA here is from genome assembly GCF_000001405.40 of Homo sapiens. NCBI lineage: Eukaryota > Metazoa > Chordata > Mammalia > Primates > Hominidae > Homo > Homo sapiens. Next base: position 104,872,494 of record NC_000008.11, read on the forward strand.
TAGGAGCATAGCTACAGTGCCCTCTCCGGGTTCCCTGATGTGGCCTTGCCAAGAATGCAAATAGGCAGAAATAGAGTCCATGGAGATTAGGAAGAAAGATGACTGTGGAAGAATTAAAACAAAAGCAAGATTTAGGAACGAATACGGCAACATAAAGGGCTTCTGAAGCCACCCTGATTTTCCATTTCTTTCTCTCCTTCATTGCCTGAGAATTTAACTAAAACTCTGACACAAACAGCCTAGGGCTTTTCTGAGTATTTAGTTTTTGTGAATTTTTTTTTTTGGAATAAATTGTTTCTGTTAATTAAACTTCTTCCTATTAACTTTATAACAAGGGTACTTTTTTGGCAAGGCAGATGGCATATAGAAGAAATATCTCTGTGAAAAGGTGTGGCTGACAAAAGTTTACATGGCAAGAGTTATATTTCCAAAGGTTACCTGGTCAAGAGAAAACCAAAAGACCTTGAAGTAAAGTTACTGATGCTTAATGATTGTTAAATAATGCTGCATTGAAGAATGGGGATGGGAGAGGAAATCATTTGATTCCATGTACAAAAGTCTACTAGTCATTAGGGTCCTGTGGTTATTGAAATAATATAAGAACACTAATAAATATATTAAGAAATATTGAGAGTTTTTGAATCCAAAAATGCAACATAAAATTTTAAATAATTTGTTAAAAATCAGAACAATTTATCCAGGGTTAATTGTCATAACAAGTAAATGCATGCGTATTGTTTTGGCATATATTAATTTATTCAGTTTTTAAATTCACCAATTTTAGTTCAAAGCAATCCTACTATTCCTTTACCATCAAACTTCTTGAAAATAATGTTTTACGGTTGATGTTTTTACTTCCTTTACATTAGCTCTTCACTTTCATATACTTTATGTATAAAGTTCACAGAACCTGGTTGATGCTCCTCCTACGCTAATGAAACAGTTTTCATTATGTTCTCTAATGGCTTTGTTTTTAGTCACCATCTTTGTTTATTTCTTTAAGATGTGTCCTTCTGTTAACCACTCCCTACCTCTCTTCGTTCTTTTCAGTTTTGACCACACTCTCCTGTTTCTCCTTGATCATCCTTCTTGGTTCCTTCACAGTCCGATTTGTGGTTTCCTAAGATTCTATTCTTGATCTCTCTTCAGGACTGGAATGCAGGCCTCCTGTTTCTTGGGTCAGGGTCAGGCTTTTTCTCTGTTTTTTTTTTTTTTTTTTTTTTTTTTTTGAGTTGGAGTTTCACTCTTAACGCCCAGGCTGGAGTGCAATGGCGCGATCTCGTCTCACTGCAACCTCCGGGGGGCGGTGGGGGGGCGGCGGGGAGCGGTGAGGTTTTTTCTAGAGAGTCATCCTATCCTAGATCAAATGTAAAGGCAGGCGGCTTCTGTAACTGTCATTGTTCTGCTTTCTGCTCCAATGAATAGCAATTAGATGGGTGCTTCCTCCAGCTAAATATTCATATACCTTCTGCAACTACCCCTAAAAGGACTATTTGATCTCTTTGATAATTGATAGACACCACACTTACTGTATTATCAGAATGTACTCCTCTATTTACAAAACTACTTGTGTTGCTGAAGTCAAAGAATAGACATGGCTTGATCTGCATCGTCTTAGCTAAATATATAGTTTAGTAATCCCAAATACTTTGAATTTCCCTATTGTTGCTTTCTTCCGATTTGTTGATTTTCTTCTGCTATTTAATATATTTTGTCTAAATTTTAAAGTCGTAAATGGTGCTAAGGTTTAACTAACTCATTCATTCATACATTTGTTCTTTTATTCATTTCTTCCTTCAACAATCTTTCAACATTAAATTACTTTGTTTTGAAAGTGCAATGTAAGTAGACCCCCAAGAGTTTTGTATTTAAGGAATTTGAGGCTTGGCCTGAGGGCATTACATGAAACAAATGAGTATTTTCCGGTTTCATAATCTGAGCGAAATTGTGCTAGTAATTACTTCTTTCTTTTCATTGTGTTGTCTGGGACGTGCTCCTGGCTCATAGGTGAATATATGTCTTGATGGCCTTTGACATAAAGTATTTTCCCATGTGCTGGTTAGCAATTTGATTTTATGTTCATAAATTGTTCATTCTTGTTTCCTCCCTATAGGTTTGTGGCATTTTCTTTATCAATTTATAAGTTTTTAATGCATAGAAGTATTAATGCTTTGTTATACTTGTTGCAAATATTTTCTTTGTGCTTGCCTTTTAATTTTGTAAAGTTTTGAACCTTCCAACTTTAACATTTTATAACCATACCAATCACTTTGAATTTCTTTACCACATATAAGCTATAAAAGCCTTTCTACCTCCAAATACTTGATAAATATTTGCTTACTTTTTTTATTTCTTTTTTGCCATTCTTTCTTCTACATTTAATTCCTTACTCCAGCTAAAATTTTATTGTAAAATGTTCTAATGCCTTTAAAAATAATTTTAAATTGCCTTTTCATCTGTGATACACATTTTATACCATTCTAAATTTTGATATATGTAGCTCTGTTTCTGAGTTACATATTCTCTTCCATTACTTTGTCTATCTAGTCTTATCAGATCTTTAATCATTATCGCTTTATAATACATTAAACTCTGGGAGGGCTAGTGTCTTCCTTCCTCTATTAAGCTTCTTTTATTCAAAATCCGCTTAGTCATATATTACTGTTTATTCTTACTTTGAGAAATATTGTTGTAGTTTATGGTGTTCTGTAAGTTTCTTAAGGTTCAAGTTTTCCCACAGAGAAATTTTCACTGGGACTACCAGAAAGGCTTTTGTCAACATCTAAAGGTCTTGCAAAAATAGCCATGGATAAAATAAAAGTTACGGATTCTAGCTACGACCTTGAGCAAGTTACAATTTCTCTTAATACTACTTTTTCATTTATAAAGTAAGAGCTTTGTTCTGTAGATTTTTAAAGACTTTCTTTCAACTCAGGCTTTTTACATACAGAGTTCTGTTGTTAGATATTTAAACCATTCATTTATCCTCTCGTTAAGTTACAGAACACTTCTAAGAACAATGGTTGTAATAGTGATAGGGATGGGGTTGGGGAGATAAGGGAAATAAATACACATAGAAAGTATAGTTCCCATTTTCTGGTAATTTACAGTATTATATGTGTTTATCTCTGCCACTAGACTGTAAACTCTGGAAGGGCAGAGCCTGTGCCTTGTTTCTTGTGCCTGACAAATACTAAGTGCACATAAAGATGATTTGTTGAATGAACAAACACTGACTCCTACAGATTGGAAGAACATTTTTCAGGGTCCTCCAAAGGCAACAATTCCATAGATGTCTTTCTCTGTCATTGTCCATGACCTCTTCCTATTTTATCAGCCAATTCAGTTTTGTCTTCCATCCTACACTCTTGGACCCAGCTCCAGTGACTCAAGATGAGGAGCTGGATACACAGTGAAATAAATACCAGACTCTAGCCAGTATCTTAGTAAAGTCTTGTTCCTGAGCAATGGGAATGGGAGGAATGGTTTAACCCAACCACCACCCAGGATTTCCAGCAATTGCCCAAGATCCCACCTTCCTATTTCCAATTTTCCTTCACTTTAATACTATTTCTGGTCACTCCTATTTCTTCTTACAGTGTTTCTGGAGTTTGTATTCATACTTAGAGTGCCTTATTTAAACCATAGCTTTCTCTAACTGACTCTGAAGTCATGCCATTCTGGCTGTGGGTATGTCAAGACAGACTTGTGTAAAAACCCCTGCCCAGCCAAATGCCACCCTAAATTTTAATCTTGTCCACCTCATTGGTACTCTACTGGAGCAGTACCATCACCCCAGTGAGGAATTGCTTATTTAGGATCACTGGGTAGCCCAAGAAAACCTTCCAAACTGAGGACAAAGTGCTGCTACTGAGAAAGCACTGGGAGCCTACATATTTTTTCCAATATTTTAATTGCAGTAAATACACATAACATGGTATTTACCATTTTGACCATTTTTAAGTGTACAGTTCAATGATTAAGTACATTCATATTGTTGTACAATTATTATCACCATCAATCTTCAGAAGTCTTTCATTTGCAAGACTGAAACTCTATACTTATTCAACAATAACTTCCTATTCTTTCTCCCTCCAGTCCCCAGCAACCCTCGTTCTGCTTTCTGTCTATAATTTTGACTACTCTAGGTACCTCATATAAATGGGATCGTACAGTACTTATCTTTTTGTGACTGGCTTATTACACTTGGTAAAATGTCCTCCAGGTCCATTCATATTATATGAAGCATATGTCAAAATTAATGATGAATAATATTCCATTGTATGTATATACCACATTTTGTTTATCCATTCATTTACTGATGGACACTTGGGTTGTTTCGGTGTTTAGCTTGTGAATAATGCTTCTATAAACCCGGGTATAACATTTCTTTGAGACTGTGTTTACAATTCTTTTGGGTATATACCCATAAGTAGAATTGCTGGATCATACGGTGATTTGATTTTTAACTTTTTGTGGAACTGCTATGCTATTTTCCATAGAGGCTATACCATTTTACATGCCTACCAGCAGTGCGCAAGGGTTCCAATTTCTCCACATCCTTGTCAACACTTGTTATTTTCTGTTTTGTTTTTATTTTTATAGTAGTAATTCTAAATGGTGTGATGTGGTAGCTCATTGTGGTTTTGATTTGCATTTCCCTAATGATTAGTAATGTTAGGCATCTTTTCATGTACTTATTGGCTATTTGCATATCTTCTTTGAAGAAATGTCTATTCAAGTCGTTTGCTTATAGGGGCCTGTGTTTTTAGAACTCGCATCAAATCTTTTTTCAAGTTTTTCATAATATAACTTTCCTTCAGTGAAAAGTTAATTTTTTCATCATCTATGAAGCCCCCTCTGACTGCTTTAGGTAGAATTAGTTGATTCATTTTTTATTTTTATCCGTATAAGACCTGTTAAAGCATTTATTCCAGAACATTATAATTGTCTAATTAACAAATGTGTTTCCTCCCACTTACACCCAAGGCCAGCAACCGTATTTTATTAATTTTTGTTCACATAATACTTATTGCTAATTCTGGCACATAGTAGGTGCTCAGTGAAGCTCTGATGAAGGACTACATCAATATATTCATTATCTACTTTAAAAATAAAATATCTATTTCTATAGACAACTGAGTATGTATTATCATGGCTTTGTAGCAAACTAATAAAGGTATCTATTAAGGCCATTTGCACTGTTGCTTTTCCTACTAAAAAAGAGCGGTGATTTTCAACTCTGAATGAACATTAAAATCATCTCAATTCCTGGGTTTAACCTCAAAGATGCCAGGTGAGGCTTGGGCAGTGTGTTTTTTAATAGTTTTCCAGGTAATTCTAATGTGTGGCCAGGGTTGAGAACTGCGAAGAATCACTGAAAAGTGAGATCACAAAGTATATTGCTCTCTTCCAGCTTTATGGGGCTGAGTCACTCTGGCATCACATTATAGAAAATATAGCCAACACGTGCATGAGAATTAGCTTGTAGATCCACTCGTTTCATAAGCATTTTTGAAATAACCCAATACTTCCTCCTGTACTTTACATCCCTTATAATTATATTATAATCCAGTTAGTAGTCCAACAGTCACACGAGTTCCTCTTTATTTTAATTTGAGAGACATGAGTTCAGGTATTATTAATCCAGGCATTTTGAATCCATGGAATCAGGTAAGAAGCATGGCATATCTCTAAGTTTGTGCTATTACCATGTGGAATGTTATCAAAGTTTTCAGGGAAATGTTGGTAACCTCTTTGCACTGGTAGATGTGGATTTTATAATTACTTGTGACTTTGCTTCTTTTATTGTCTCTGGCCCTAGCCTTGGTATTCTTTTAATGTACATTTCTGTACAAATGAGAAAAGCAAGAGTTAAGATGTGGAACTTATGTGTCTGGCCACAGCTGTTCAGAGCAATTCAGTGTGTCAAGCTGAGGTCAAATGAATAGGGAATGTCATTACTAAATGGTAACATTTTCTGAGGGCTTTAAAAAAATTCAAGTCCTTTTTAAATCTACATTTATTTTATCTTTTTTCAGGGTGATAGGTTGCACTTCTAGTTCTTGTCAGAGATTTGTACATTAAAATGACTCTAAATTTAACTATTCTAAAAATCAACTTTCCAAACAGTTTTTCAGGCGGCATCAGCTGAAAGCATACAGTTTTATTTGAGACACAGTCTTCAAGTTTGGTAAGATGTACTTGCTTATTTGCAAGGGTGATGTGACATATGCCTATCTACTATGCCTCTTTGATATATTAACAAAGACACTGGGGATTAGGTCATATTTCCAAATTCCATGAGCTGAATTATAGGTATCAAAGCAACCTTCTCATGGTTCATTAAATTTAAAATGCTATAATATTTAGAAATTTGAGACATACATATACCAATTTGGAAGCTAACAAAATGAACAACATACTTGTGTATCTGTGCTGTGTATTGTAATAGTATGTTGATAAACAGGTAGTTCAGGCTATAAAGTACATTATGTGTATGTCAAATCAGTGATGTAGCATTTATGGTATGAAATTTGCAAAAATGGATCAAGGGCAAAACTGGGTTATTGAGGCAGCTTTTTAGCACATGCCAACCCTATTATACTTGTAAGGAAATGTGTCACATGATGAACAGGAGAAAAGTGGGTGTGTTCACCTCTTAATTATCTATGGACTAGAGGTGTATTAGTCCGTTCTCACACCACTATAAGGACTTACCCAAGACTGGGTAGTTTATAAAGCAATGAGGTTTAACTGACTCACAGTTCTGAATGGCTGGGGAGGCCTCAGCAAACTTACAATCACGGCAGAAGGCACCTACCTCCTTCACAGTGCGGCAGGAGAGAGAATCAGTGCCAAGTGAAGGGGAAAGCCCTTTATAAAACCATCAGATCTCATGAGAACTCACTCATTATCATAAGAACAACATAGGTGGTGGAACACCTCTGTGATTCAATTACCTCCTACTGGGTCCCTCCCATGGCATGTAGGGATTATGGAATTACAATTCAAGATGAGATTTGGGTAGGGACACAAAGCCATATTGAGAGATGAGCAGAAATATAGCTAAATATATAGTGGATCTCCAGAAAACCACACATTATTGCCTCATATGTATCCTTCAGACCTTTTCATTTCTATGCACTCTGCTAATTTTCTTTTTGTCTGAGGACTTTTTCCAAAGCTATGGAACTCTGTTCAACTCACTTGCAGACAAGGCCGAAAGGGCCAGAAAATTATTTCTTTTTAGGCACAGCCCTCTCAACCAATGATAGATAGGAATTGATGGATAAAGACCCTGGCTCCCTCTTTCCACAAGTAGAACTCCAAACTACATGTTCTGTTACATCTCCCAGACTTTTCCAACTGATCCCAGAAGATCAGCTGAATAATCTCCAGGTTCCCAGAGGGATGACTTGCTTAACACACCATTTCTTGTCTTACTGCTTTATTAGCACTCTGGCCATCTCACTTTTATTTCCCCAGTATCCTACCAGTATTTCCCATACCTCCCAAACTTGCAAACTAGTCTTTGTCTTAGGGTCTACTTCTGGGAGAACTCCAACTATGATAACTGAACAATGATATATGCTTTTAGCTTTCATTTTAAAATGGAAGTTTGTGAGAATTCACCTAAAACCTGTTTGCAAAGCAGTGCCCTAAGGAACTCTGTGGCTTTGGCTTTGGGCCACTCACACCATCTTTTTGAGCCTCAGTTTCTTTATAAAATTAACAGATGGAATCAATGACCTCATTCTAAGATTCTATTATTTTAAGACCTGAATTAAGGTTTCTTCCACCCTCATCCTAGCACCATTTCAGCAATTTACTGCTGGGTGTTACTTCTCTATGTTGGTAAAGACCATTCTCTTTCAGGGTATTCTTAACCAATGCAAACAGGGTTTCTAAAAAGTCCTTCTACTGGATTCATGCTTTGGATACCCTTTTGTCACTTGTCATCAGCTCAGACTCTGAATACTGTTTCTCCTACTACCTCCCTATCCTCTGAAGTTGATAGTCAAGGCCTCAGCTACAGAACAACCAAGATTCCAGGGCCTTTCTCTGCAAAATTCCTCACCTTCTTCTTCCCTCTTAGATGTGTTCTATCCTGATGCAATTGAATTTGCCTCTCTGTGGGGCTCCCCTAGTCACTCCCTACATGAGGTATAAGCCCTTGTTCTTCTATCTGATTTCATTTGTACAGTTCAAAGAAAAGGGATTTCACATCATACTGAATAGATACATAGAGCATGACAGGCTGATTCCACAGATGAAGTTAGTGCCTTTTCAGGTGGTTGAAATAATTGCAAGAACCACCAGCATGGCTTACCTTTGGGGGGATGGGAGTAAAGACAAAATGAAATGTGAAGTAAGTGGGAGAAGTGTACATTTTAAATAATTTATTTTTTAAACATGCAAACATGGTGGTTATTTTCCATGGCTTGGCTGGTCTGGAGAGGGCTGTCTCATGTTCCTGAGCACCTGCGGCTCTGCAGTCTGTCCTCCTGGCAGAGAAATGCATTTCAATTCTGGGTGTTTGTTTTGTTTTGCTTGTAGCTATTCTTAGATTGGGAATAGACACATGAATAGATACAGTACTGTGGAGAGAGCTTTATGGGGTCAACATGGCATCACTCTTGCTCAAGAGGGGCTTCCTGGAGAAGGGCTATCACTTACTCTGTCTTTTGGGGGTGGTTTATCTCAATTTATTGGGGCTTTGACATCCAGAGACTCAGGATCATATTAATTCCAACAGACATCTCACCATTCAAATGAATGAGAACAGACGTGCGAATTATTGGACTTGATTAGATCCAAGGCTAGGCTCTAAAGCACTCAAATAGGATTCTGAATGCAGAGCCCCATGGAGGAGCTAGATTTCCATCAGCCAAATGACCCACCCCAGGAGTGAATTGGGGATTGCAGTGATGCCCAAACTAAATAGAGCTTCCAATGTGGCGGTGGTGACCTTACTCATCTACCAGTGTCTGGGGGTGATTTTATGATTTTTCAAGTCACTTTATTCCTGTTGACTTTGAGGTAGGCTAAACTTAGTTATACCATTACCTGGAACTGCTGAGTCCTTCAGTTAGAAGGTCATTTTTAAGTTCCCAAATGTTCCCAGTTTAAATCTGATCAAGGGAACATTGGAGTGGGTAAAGGAGGGGAGCAGTTCAGAGCACATACAAACAATTTAGACTCTTCTCTAGATTGGAGCAAGGTCTGGGGGTGGGGTCTAGAACCAGCCTGTCTGCTGATAGTTCTTTGCAAATTATCATGTCTTGGCTTTGAGGCAGCTCCACATGCAAGTGACTTCAGGAGGGTATATATTATGGATCTTGTGTTTTTATAGTGTTTTTGTTTCACCAGATTTGAAGCCCCTTGCTGGAAGTATCTTCACTTTTCTTATTTTGAAAATTTTACACAACATTAGTGTGTCAGGGACAATAATTCTCGTCAAATACGCTTCCCGTATTCCCTGGCCCCATGAAGTTAGGTGGACCATCTGGATAGTTCTGACCAATGAAATACTTGTCAGTGCTAAGCTGAGGCAGCAAAAAACCTATGAATGATCCTGTGGTTTCTCTTTCTTCTACCTTGGTGGATGATAATGTCCCAGATGGTGGTGCTTCTGTCAGTCTATGAAGCATGGCCCTATTTTGACTCATGTTGCGTATGTAATCCAAGCAAAAAAATCTACTTTTGTTGTATTGAGCCACTGAGATTTTATGGTTATTTGTTATCACAGTACAAGTAGTCCTTTTTTTTTTTTTTTTTTTTTTTTTTTTTTTTTTTTTTTTTTGAGACTGAGTTTCTCTCCTGCTGCCCAGGCTGGAGTGCAATGGCTCAATTTCGGCTCCTCTGCCTCCTGGGTTGCAATTCTCCTGCCTCAGTCTCCCCGAGTAGCTGGAATCACAGGAGTCCACCACCATGTGTGGTTAATTTTTTGTATTTTTAGTAGAGACCAGGCTTTCACCATGTTGGCCAGGCTGGTCTCGAACTCCTGACCTCAGGTGATCCACCTGCCTCAGGCTCCCAGAGTGGTGGGATTACAGGTGTGAGCCACCGCGCCTGGCCCAATTGTCTGTCTTGACTAACTTGGAAATTGGTAACTGAGATGGGGTGATGCAGAACAAAGTTGTATCATGTTGGTTTGGTGGTCAGGTTATAGGTGGTAACTGAGTAAACTAATATTAGGGACTGGAAAAGTGGTGATTGTTGAATGCTGGCTCCCTAAAACGTCACCAAAACAACCTGTTTATAAGACAAAGCGGAGTTCATTGCTTACCACGTAAGGGAGAATCCCACCTTGACAGAACCCTCTTGGGAAGGATCATGATATAAGTCTAGAATTGGTGAACGTGATGAAATGTAAGTTAAAGTGTTGGTAGATGTTTCCTTCACTATAGCAAGCGTATGTCCAAACAGCCTCTGCTAATTTGATCTCTAACTTACTTTTCTTTTTGACAGAGAAGAATTTGAATAGGAAGTTATTATAAGAAAAGCCCCTGCTCATTAAATAACATTTAAAAAATATAGACTTTAAAATGTAGCAGCTCCAGAACACTTTAACAGCAATCTCTACATGAGCTACCTACATGAAGTATCATCTTCCTCAAGCAGACTTCTAGTGAGATCATTCAGCAGCTAGAAAATGATCTTTTGATTTTATCTGTTGTCAAAACCACAGGGGACTATTGTAGGCTCTTATGTAATTATTATTGTAGCTCAATAAACCAAGAGAACTGCAGGGTGGGCTTTTAATCATATTCTTTCCTTTCTGTTGCTTCTCATCACCACCCAGAGAAGTTCTTTAGGCATAGATTTAATAATTTAATGATATATCCTCCTTGGGTCTTTCTCAGATCTGCAAAGCAGAGTTAATCTAACCTCATTCTGCTCCCAGAGCCCTTTAGTTATTTTTCCATTACAACATTTAACAGAGGTTGATTTTGTATTAACAGTTTTTTGGGTCTATGTCTCTCTTATGTTTCTTTTAGTCTCTATGCATGAACTAAAGTTTCCTAAAATTCAGAAGATGTGGGCCATAAGTCAGAAAAATTAACTGTGTTTTATCAATTTTTTCCAATACATTTAAGTGAATAAATCTCTTGTGTACTTGTTCAATGTAAGACTTTACTAGGTGGATTAGTCAGGATGGGGTAGGTTACAGCGCTGTAACAACAAACCCTCCAAATTTCTATAGTTTGACACACACAAGTTTATATCTCACTCATACTACGTATACAACATAGATCAATTTAGATCTCTGTACCATCAGTGACTCAAGACACAGGATGATAAAGAACTTATCATCTGGAATATTGTTGATAGCTTTTACAGAGGAAGAAAGAGTCTGAATCATGCATGAGTTTTGTACTGCCTCAATTCAAAAGTTTCATGTAGGGATTGCTATTAAGGTGTTCTGGTGCTACTAAATTCTAAAATTCTATATTTCAAAAAACGTTGTTCAATGGGAAGCGTTTTTTAAACTACACATTTATATTCAAGTTCTATGCCCAAACCAAAACTAAGTTAGAAATCAAATTAGCCAATGCTGTTTATTCATATGTTTGCTATAGCAAGGGAAATATCTATGGTCCCTTTTGCTCCTTCAGAGGTTCAAGGAGGATTTGAAAGGAAAATGAGTTTTATAGGAAAAAAAAGCACATTCTATTAAGGTGAGATTTTTGAAAGGGGCATGGGGCAGTCTTATGATTGGCCTTTAAGTATATTTGGCTGTCCTTGTTTGGTTGCAAGGGAGCAGGCACTTTGAGGTTTCCAGAAAGGAAGAGGCTATTCAAACTGTGGCCCGAGATTTCCTACAACTAGTGAGTCAATTGAGTGTTCTTTATGGTTATACTGATAGAATATTTGAGTCATGGTCCTGAGGTAAGGATGGTGGTAATGGCAGACAGTTTCTCAAAAAATTGTAAAGCACTGAATCGCTGCATTCTCATCTGCTGTGGCTAATTGTGAGGGCTTGGGCCAGTCAACATATCTCCTTTGACTGCACTTTCTTTACACCATGAAGATGGTAAATTGGGTGATGTTTACATTCTCTTCAGAGTCTTGCACGTCTAGGATTCCATGATGACACTGGCCACAAACTAATTTAATTCATTATGTTTATCAATTGCTAATTGAGATGAATAGCAATTCATCTCTTAGGTTGGTTATAGGGAGAACTCAAATTTATCTGAAGCCTTATGAACAAACACATCTACTGAGTTATGAAACTCTGTAATAACCAGCCATTCTCTGCTATTCAAAGGTGACAGCTTTAGGGGGTTCTCCTTCCCAGCATATGTGTCTGAAGCTCAAGAGACTGATGGAGGTGAGCCCTCTTCTTTTTACATCCATGGAGTAAAGGCTCTTCTCAGATTGTGGATACATCTTTGCCTCCCAGCACCTAAGGCCATTCCTGACCCTGCCACTTAGATGTGCAGTCAGCTGGAAACCTTTATTCAAAGGAGCTGCTCCAGGCTTACCTGCTGCCAGGCTGATGCAACTTGCCCAGCTGCCCACATCCATGCTCCAGAGTTGGAATCTATGCCCTGGAACAACCTGGATCCTTCCCTGCATATGGTTTCTCCACTTCAGCTCACCTACGTACTACAGCAGGGTTCACCTCGGGGCAGAAAGTACTGTCATGATTTCAGAAATTGCACAGTGGCCCTCTTTTCATGTAAATTATAAATAATGGATGCTCAACAATAATTTAAAGATGTGTTTATCAACGACCAGTGTTTTGCTAAAGCCTGTCTATAATTCACAAAGCAGGAATTCTTTATTCCTTTATTCACTGGGAATGGTCATCATTTGCCAGTTCAAGTAATGCATTTGAACTTGGCACAGTATGAGAATTCTAACATTTACTGAGCATTTACTAGATGCTAGGCACTGTGTCAAATTTTTTACATACACAATGAATCATTTAATCATCAAATCACTTGGGTTGAGAGGCTAATACTATTTATAGCATCATTTTACAGATGAGAAAAATGAGGCTTGGGAAGATTAAAGTAATTTGCTTGGGGTCTTATGTAGAATAATGACATATTCTAGCAGCGCCATTAGGGTTGCTGAATAGGCAGACTTTCTATTTTTAATTTTTTTTTTTTTGCTATGACTGTAAATTTTCACTTGGGAAAAAATTATTGGATTTTAAGCATCTTAATCTTTTTCACTTCAAAAATACCATCATAATGATGCCACAATACAACAGGCACTTAGTTCTTCCGAGTGGCTTACCCAGAATTATTATTGGTGGGTGTAGTGGCCTCTGAGTATCTGTCATCGTAACTTTCAAGTCAAGTTACCCCAGGAAGGAGGAAGAAATATGTTCTTCATTTTACACTTGGTGGCAGTCATTGTAGATGCCATGTTTCCTGGTGAAAAATGATCATGCTCTGAACTCTGCATCTGCGATCTGGCAAAAGTTGTTGCTTTAAAAAAATCATTTCAATGAATAAAAATGGAGCTTACTAATTTCTGTGGATCCTGAGAGGAGCAATGGGGACAGGCGTCATGTCACCTCTCTTTCTGTCTCTGAATGTCCATCTGTAAAATGGGGACTATGAGTGACCTCAGAATGCTTGCTGAGCATTCTGGAATGTACTGTGCAGATGGCAAATATGACTCATTTTCACATATGGCCCTTCCCCAGAAAGAAGGGCTGGGCAACAGTTTCCCTGAATCTTTGCAGGCATGGGCACCAATGAGCATTTATGAAGTGTTTAGAATTGTGCAGTATATCACTTGGTAGGCACATACATTTGGTCTGAATCTTGATGAAGAAGTTTTTTAAAAAAAAAAAAACAAAACAAAACTTCTCCCTGTTTTCCTGGCATAATATTCTGAACAGCAGCAACGCAATCTGTTGTTTGTTTAGAAAAGATGGCAGAAGGGTGTATGTAGTGTGTGTGCATGTGTGTTTGTTTGTTATGGAGGGATATCTGTTCACAGTGCAGTAAAAGAGTAATCCTACAACATAGAGTTACCTGAATTAGTTATTATCATTTGGGAAGACGTTGAGGTTTAGAATGAATTAGTTAAAGCTCTGCTCCCATGGTGGGCGTATAGCAGAGAAAATCCTCTCTTTAGCCTTCCCTCCCCAGTGTGGGCATATGCACACATGTGCACAGACACACACACATACAGACACATGGCAGAGGGGATTTTATCTCATGGTCTTCCCATAGTAGAATTCTTCTGGCCTTGGCTTCAGCAGCCCTATCTATTCTTTCCCCACCTCTCCTACTCCCTTTCATCTTGGAGGCTGGGCTTTGCTAGAGAGCAAGGGAAGCTTCTGAGCTGGTGGAAGAATCGCCATAGCAACATGGCACTGAGTCCTGCCCCCAAAGGTCTCAGCCATGCTTGGCTTTGCTTGGCTTTGGTCTTAGCTATGCTTGGCTTTGGTCTTAGCCCAAGTGAAGCAATATGAGGGTCTTTCTCACCTCTCACTTTGCATGGCCCAATCAATTGTGACTTTGAGCTACCTTTCAAACCCAGATAGACTCATACCCCCGGCCTCTGCATGCCTTTGTGAGCTGGCTTTTCTTTTTTCTCCATCAGTGCCAATTTATTTACATGTTTCAGATAACGAGCCAGTGTTCCCCAGTGTTGAGTTGGCAGCCACTTACTGTTGTGATTCAGGACTCCTGGGAAGAGCTTCCTCTGAATAAACATTTCACTCAGAAGAGGAAGGGATGCTTGGAGGGCAAAAGTGGCAATCTTAGGGTAATGAAGCAAGTGCTGGTGTTTCAGTTAGGAGATTGGGGTTCAAATCTATTTCCTGTAAACATCATAGAGCTGGACTCTGTGTGTGTGTGTGTGTGTGTGTGTGTGTGTATGTGTGCATGTGTGTGTTTTCTAACCAATAATTGAACTACAGATACATGCAACAATATGGATGAATCCCAGTAATGCAATGGTGAATATGAAAAATAAGCTCCAGATTATCTATTTTATGATAAAATTCAACCTCAAGTAAAACTAAACAACATTGTTTAAGAATGCATGTATTGTGACTTTAAAAAAAAAGTGTGTGTGTGTGTGTGTGTGTGTGTAAAAGCACCATAAACATTTTGGCTATCATGGGAAAAATAATTGCATAGGAGAGGTGAATATAAATTATTATTAATGTGGAGTCCTTGGGTTGAGTCATGAGTTTATGAATATTCATTATTTTATTTAAATCACTTAGTTAATTAAAGCAAGAAGGACCATGCCTAGACAGTAATGATGGTAGGTCCTGAAGCAATGATTGTGGTTAGTCCAATTCCATACATTCAAGGACCACAAGATCAAAACCAAAGAAAAGATTTCTTAACTGTAGTTGTGGATGCAGGTTACCCATGCTCTCTGAACCTTAATTACATTACTTGCAAAATGAAGGGTTTGAGCTAACTTGTCTCATGGATCTGTGCTACATAGAATAGCAATGTTGTTGAGAGTGACTTTACAGCCAGATTGCCCGGGGTTAGTAGCTCAACTGTGTCACCTCAGCAGTGCAATAGGCCATTGTAATGTCAGCACTGCCTATGATTTTGTTATCGATATCACAGATGTTTCTGTATCACATTAAAATTTTTCAGGTACCTCAGAATATTATTTACAGTCATAATTCCTTCAAAATTGTAGTAGTTAGTGGACCTGCTTCTAGATCTTATTGCTGAATGAATTAATACAAGCACATATATTACTATATTATATGGTTTTATTTTGAAAACTGTGTTATAATATACTTGATTTCCTTTGTAATCCTGTTTTTTCTGAGGTGGGTTCTGTAGATTTCACCAGAGAGTCAAAGGGACCTGTAGCTCAAAAAAGGTACACAATCTTTATAGAAAACTCAAAATTCTCCAAACACATAAACACACATACACACAGAGAGAGATGCATAGTTCTGTTAAATTGATAGAATAACTTGGGTGGCCTGAGAAAGTTTGAATGTTTTTCCCATCCATTTCCCATAAGCTGTATTTTTGGTGTTCATCTTTCTTTTTGATAGGTCATCTGCATTTACTCCTTTGAAGATGAATAGCAAGATGGTATTTTTGACACTTTAAATACATGAAGAAGTGTGCTCATTACCTTTTCAGTTAAACTTCACAAAGGAAAACAATTCTTTTGGAAATGATCTAAACGTGCTAAAATATTTCCTTCAAGTTCTGAATCACTTGTGAAAACTCTTGAGAAAATTTTAGGACCTGAAGGTCTTTGGGTTGTTTCTTCCCATCTAAAAATGAGGGTCAGACAAAGTGCAAAATGACACCCTCACAGCATTTCCTACAACACCCTCTTTTAAGAAGATGAACACACATGCCCCTGTGTGTTGCAATCCATCTAGGGAAGAATTTCTATGATTTCTACTTACGCTTTCTTATTCATTGACTTCACCCTGGGGACTTGAATCCCAATTAGTTCTTATAAAATTATTTACCTCCATGTAAGGTTTTAGTATAAATGTACAGCAGATGTGGTAGACACTAATTTGAGCCACATGCCCAGCAGTTTAGGAGGGATTTGTCAGGAGCCTATTTGTATGAAGGACCAAGGAGTCTTTGAGAAGAAGGACTCTCAAATGAAGAGGAAATAGAGGCAATACATAATCTTGGTCCTGGGACAATAATCTGTTGTTAGAGGAGTGCCAATTTTCAGCAGAG
The DNA here is from genome assembly GCF_000001405.40 of Homo sapiens. Classification (NCBI taxonomy): domain Eukaryota; kingdom Metazoa; phylum Chordata; class Mammalia; order Primates; family Hominidae; genus Homo; species Homo sapiens. The sequence continues at coordinate 104,889,167 of NC_000008.11, forward strand.
AATGAAATATATCTTTCAGATTGTTCTTTGGCCATCTGGGACTGGAGCAGATCTCAGAGATGGTAAATACGACAGAGCTGGCTTACAGAAGAATCTCTGTAATTTTCTTGGAGCTACTTTCTAGCCTCTGTGGTGAATCTAACAGATGGTGCAGCTTTTGGTTGTCTCACCATCCACCCCTTTTTCCCTGTGTAGCATCCTTTTGTGGGTAGCAGTCATTCTGCTTCCACCCCCTGAGTAAATCAGCATAATTTCATTTCCCGACCATAAATATTGGTTTCAAGGATGGGCACAGGACAGAAGGTGACTCAGTCAAAGTGAAGCCCTGAACTTGTGTTGGGTGGTAAGGGAAAAACGTCCTATTTCTTGGAAAAAGTGAAGTGTGGGCTTAACATCTGGATATGGTGTCCCATGGCGGAAGCCAGCCTGGGATGAAGGATGACTAGGAAGGAGGGGAGAGAGACAATGTGTTTGTGTGGAAGCAGAGCTAGAACCCTGACCACAACAGGCCTGAAGCTGCTGTATTGCAGGATTTTTCTGGTACATAAACAATATAGTGCCTTTACTATTTAAACCACTTTTATTTATGTATCTTTTTGTTATCGGGAGCCAAAATTGTTGCTTATTTTGGTCACTGGATTGTGGTGACGGGCATGTTAACTTCTAGAAAGGAGGAGGAAGATGCAAGATTAGAAAACCACAGTTAGTTGGATTCCTTAGCCTTGTAGCCCTCTGCAGAAGTTTGTTCATGAGATAATATTATGAATATCCCAATTTTTCAGATGAAAACACATATTCATTGAGAAATCTGCTGGCGAGTCTCATGGTCCCATATGAATTACTATGTAAATTAAGAATAGAAACCACTATCTTTTGATTCTATTCCCAACTCATACAGAGAGCACAGATTATTGTTGACTTTTAAGTATTTATTTGAAGTTTTAAGACCTGGAGGCATTTTACTAAATTCTTTCAGATTTGGGACATGTGTATGACTTAGGTCCCCCTGAAATTCACCCACAAAGAATAACTAGCTGATCTGGTGTTGACACTCTTTTATTGTCATTAGATGAAGATGACAGGGTATATATTATTGAAATAACTTCAACCCCCAATAGAAAAATTGTACTCATGCTCCAGCTCATGGAATTTCTCTGGCTGGCAAGAAGGTTAGACTATAATAATTGCGATTGTTTATTGAGCGTGAGCTTTATGTTAGGCATTGTGTTAAGTGCTTTATATGCATTATCTCATTTAATCTTTACAAAAACTTAAAAGGTTGTTACTATTATGCTGTTTTTGATACAACGCAACATTAGAAATGCAACAGGAATGTGACTTGGGGGTGCTGTTAAGAGGTTTATGGGGGTTAATAATCTCAGGCCTCTCTGGGGCATTAATACATTACCATTCAATATGATAAAAACCATCATGATGCCACTCAGGATATAAACAAGTCCCTGTAAAATGGTTTTATGTCATTCATGAACTGAAAATTGCTGTCTTAGATGCTGCCACTAATCTTTTTCTAAAATCTTCAGTGTTGGTCCTTTTGAGTTTGAATAACGTTACAATTTTTGAAAATTTTCTTTCTGTATGGGAAATAAAATTAATTTTTCAAAATACAGTGTTATTTTATATTTGAAAGTAATTTTATTGAATACTTCATGCTTCATTTGTTGACAACTATATATGTGTCTATAAGAAGAGGGGCATTGCATTTCTGAATGACGGTGATGAAGAATCAATTTTTGTAACTGCATATCATTACATTTTTATTTTAAAGTTGGAATAATGGTTTTATAGTTCCAAGGTATTTTAGATAAGGTTAATTATTCAGACCTTTTCATAAGAACAAACATGTATCTAAGACATGTTTAGTAAAATGCAATTATATGTCTTACAGCAAAGCTTTTTATAAAACATATTTCTTGAAGGTGAATGGTATTTCTGACTGAAATGGCTAAGCAATTAAAAATAAATTCCTTTGAAGGAAAATTTACCAATGGAGATTTGAAGTATTTGGGGGTAAAAGTGGTTAAGATGGCCAATTCAGGAGCTACTGGGCCTCATAGTACATCACTGGATATTGGCTGAACAAGGTTTTAAACTAGAAGTTTGCTTTTTCCTTAAGATATTTTCTTAGCTTGAGGATATCCTTTCTTCTGAGTGCTAGGTGTCATTCCCTCCGTCGTATGTTCTTCTTGGGTCAGGAGGACTCGTAAATATTTTTCTTCTTTCTGGTGATCCTTTGATTTTACATTCAAACCCGGCAAAACTGTATTGCATTCTTTCTTGCTTTACTTATCTAAAACCCCGACTAGGTCATTATTTCCCTATGAGTACATGAGACTGCAATGTTGTATTTTGCCAGGAGGTTTCACCATCTCACACATGATTCATAACATCCTCAAGTTCAAGATTTCAGGAAGAAATTAGATTCTAACTGATTTGATAAAGTTTTATAAACTTGAAAGTCTACTCTCAAATTTACTTAGAACAAGTATTATCTTGTAAGAGTTTCTCATTTACAATAGCTACATTACTGAACGGTCAAAAGTGGACATTTTTCTAACAAATGGTATCAAATACAAACACATAATTAACTTATCTTAGCCGCTCCTCTCAAAGCGAGGCAGCTCCTGCCAATCTATGGAGCTTTGGAGACAGATAAACGAGAAGGTGAGGAGCAGTGGCTTCGCTGCCTGCGGTATCTCTTTCTCCATCCACATACAGATAGAGTTTCTTCTCATCACCTTCAAATCCCCTTTAAGCTCCACTCTTACTCATCTCTAAACTTGATCCTCTGACGACTGATCCAGACACAGCTGCAGGAGGTGGGTACCTGTCTTCGCTGAAAGCTAGACTTGGCTCGTCCTAGTTCTTGTTTAGTGTGCTGCTTTCTCTACAACTGATCTGCAGTAAAAGAGAAAATGTCTGCACTCTACTTCCTGCATTCATGCTGGTACAGTGACATTTGCATGCAAAGACATGAAAATTATGTGGACTAAAATGAATTCTTGAAATAAGCATGCATGCCCCCTTCACCTAATCAATGTGGTGTTGGATAAAGACAGCAATCAGTCAGATCTAGGGAGGGAGTTAGATGAGTTGACCTGAAGGCCTTGCAATCCTGATTGTCTCTGAATCTAAAGACTGGAGGAGAATTGCACCAGCACTGAAAACCATGTGGCACAGCTATTGGTTGTATCCTTTCTTATCTTTACCACCTAAATTCAATTCAGAAGAAAGTACTGTTTTACATTTTTACATCTTAGTCTTCTTACATCTCTCAATCTCTCTACCCTAGTCCAACTTTTTTTCACCTCTTGCTTTACCACAGCCTTCTAATCTGTATTTTTGCTTCTCCCTGGCTGCCTTCCAATCAGTGCTACGGAGCATGGCTAGACGAAATTGGTGAAAATGAACTTCCAATTATGCTATCCCCTACAAGCACTTCTTATGGATCTTAGGATTAAAACTCACATTCTGAGCTGGATAGCAAGCAGCAAATGGTGTGATCCTGCTTTGAGGTTCTCACCACTACACCTCTGCCTAAGGCTGGGAGCAAGGATTTCCAGAGTCCTCTTCCCTTCATGGTCCTGGGTTAAACATTGCCAATGACAGGATCTGATTTGAGATTCTCAAGTGGTCATGGGGTTCAGACATGGGGTTGTCGTACACTCAGAAGTTTCATGGACCTTTCTGGAAACTCCTACTCTGTGGTTGAAGTGGGCTTTACAGTCTTCCCTTTAAGTTCGTCTTCCCATTCACCCTCCCAGACTCCAGGCCGAAGCTGCTGGCAACTGTTTCTCAGATTTCTTAGCCACGTCTTTCTAGACTTGCACTTGTCTGCCTCTTCTCATATCCCTGAAAGTTCTACTTCCTATATGAAATCCTCACCTGCTTACCTCTCCTGCTCATTCTCTGATTCATTAATTTTGCTTTTCAGTTTGCTTCCCTTATTCCCATGTAGGCATTCTTTCACCAAATTAGCTTAACTTTTCTGTCTAAGTTGGAAGGTAGACCTCACTTTTTCATAGGATTCTTCCTTGAAACCTAGATTAGGTCTAGTCCCCCAGTTATGTGTCCTCCTACCTTTATTTAGGATAAAGGTAGAACAACACATATCCTTTATTTGGGATCCCTTATTTAGGATATGATTCTCTTAAAGAGTGTCTTCTGTGCAGGACCTTAAGCTCCATCAGAGCGGGGACTGAGTCTGTTTTTCTCAGGATCTGGTTCAGTGCTTGACACATAGTAGGCCCTCGATTCACATTTGTTGAGTGAATGAAGGAATGAACATGCTGGGCTTTTATAAATCTACCCCGTGGGTCTGCCTGAATAGATATAAAGCAGTCAGATGGATGTGATATGGACCTTGTCCTTCTTGATCTGACTTGTTTATCCAGGGACTCTCTTTCTCAATGATATATTTTCTCTTTAGCTCATTTCAGTTTGGGAGATCTATGTGATAACTTCAGCACCCTATTTTTAAACATATTCATGGTAATGAACACTTCTGATGGAGATGATTTAATTTTTTAAAATTTTGCCCTTTACTTGAAAAGCCTGAAGACATAAGCTCAGTAAAATATAATGAAAATATCTGAAGTTCTCAACAGTGAAAATTAATAAAATATCAAGCAGCACATAGATGGTGGTCTCATCTTGCCCTACACGGACACATGCTTGTCCTCTGCTCAGGGACTTCCTCTTCCTAAGCGGTACTCTGTGTGTGGACTTTACCCATTTCATGACTGTGATGGATAACACTTCACACTTTAATGTCATATAGCACACATTATAACACCTGATCTTTTCGTAACTGACATTCTTTTCTCCACTATCTCCAAATAGAATTTTAATGGTTAATGTAACCTATTGGATGGTTCTCAGGAAAATTTTAGCCAAGCATTTTTGCCTAATGACCTGAGCTATTGCTGTCACTTTCCACATCTTCTTGGTCTGGAAAGCCAGGCTTTCAGTGAGTGCTGAGCTATGGCATGGACATGTTGATAAATGCCAGGGTAGGAGACTGATGAATAAAGGAATGAGGCTGATGGCAGGGCATGGCTGGAAGCCAGAGAATGTCATCTCCCCTTCAAGGTAGGGGGCCCGAAGTAGAGGGAACAGATCAAGATGAATGACCACCCGAGTAGTTCTTAGACTTCTTTTTCCTTTTCCTATAGACTTTCTCTTCTTCCCCAATTTCCCAGTCTCATTTAATGTAAGGTACATATCATAACACACAACACTGAATAATCATGAATTTATCTCTTTCTCTTCAAAGTCCTTGAAAAATAGCGAATGTGCCCCCAACAACTAGACATTTCAAACTGATGACCTTTTTCTTTCTGTCCTTCCTATGATTTTGTACCCCTCTGAAGGGCAGTAACTTTACAATCAATCCACTTTGATTGATTGATTTTAATTTTTTTATCATGAATTTTTTGCACTAATTTTGTTTTTTAAATATTGCATTAAAATATTTATCTTGACTACTGAGTTTTTGGCACCCCTTAGATTTCACTCTTGAGATGACTGCCTCATTTTAGTGCCAGCCATGCTAGCGTGGCAGGCAAGAATGTCCTTAGATGTGGATGGTCATGAAGCTGTCTATGGCATCCCAGTTACACATAATGATTTTCTTTCAAATTTAGAAACCTGGCTATTTTATGATATAACAAATTATTAGATATTGTTGTGATGCTGTTTGTTTTATCCAGCTTGACGTAATCATTTAATAGTAATCTTCAGAAATAGGGAACTGTTCATATTTCTCACGTGAATTTTAGACTTTTGGAAAAAATGCTGTGGCAAAGGGAATTGGGCTCATTTTTATGCTCATTTGTATTTAGGCAATCTGTGAATCTCACCACATAGCTCGGCAGTTAGGCAAAGCAGGTACATATGGGCTGCTTAGACTGTATCAAGTGAAGCCTTTTATTTTCTGGGGTTCATTTCTGTTGTTTTCAGAAAGGAGCCTCCTGATGGCTCTGGGACCACTATGTCCAGCCTGTGGTGCTGTCCCACTGAAGTCAACAGCTCTGATTCAAAAGAAAAGTAGCTGCAGGCATGCACAGACATGAAATGCAGCAAAGACTTAAACTGACACCAACTACATTGTGAATGGGGGAAAATGTTAGGGCCTATTTAAAGGCCAAAGCCTTTCACCAGGGACAGAAATGGCCAGAGAAAAGATGTGAAATCACTGTTAAAATTATTTTGTCCTCCTAGGAAACATTCAAATCAGTTGACAAAGAATGGCTGATGCTGAAATGACTTGCTGTCTCGGTGTGGAGTGGAAACAATCCTGCTAAATTTCATATTGCAGTGACACCAAAGCAAAGGACAGATCTCAAGACAACTTTTATTGAAATGGAAAACAGTTAATTTTAACTAAAGAATAAGAGAAATGCCAACAGAAATAAAAGACCCAGAAATCAGAGGACAATGTGCGAAACTCTATATACTGAGACACACAAATTGAAACAACCCAAATAAATGCCAAATGCACAAGAAAATAAATGTAACTTATCAGAGGTTAATGCCTTTTATGTTTTGTTCATACGGCAACTTGTTCTGTGGTTAAATAAAAAGGATTGGGGACCAGACAGGGCATGAGGCTTTTCTAATCCACATTGAGCCACTGACTCAATGTGACCTCAAGCAACTCTCTAGAGTGTGTTGGCCTCACTCAATCATATGTATATATAATATGTACTTGTACTCAGATAATAAAAAAGAGGGGAGTTAGTAGGCTTGTGAAATCTGCCATTATTTTTGGAGACCAATTATCACTTCTGGTAATTGCAGAGAAAGGGAACTAAGAAGTGTTCAGATCTACAAGGGAGTAGATGTTCTCTTTTGGCTTTTGTTAGGACAGACAGTTCTTACAGAACAGAGTGTTTACTGTGTGCATATTTCTGGCAAGGGTTTTGGAGGATTAACTAGCCTGCTGATAGGAGAACAAACAGTTTAATCCTGCTGGAGCCCCTGCTATGGGTTGGGCTGTGCTCAAAACAGCAGGGAAGCCAGACTCCTCCCTCTTTTCTGTTTTAGTGCAACACATCCTGTACTCCATTGGCTTTCTAGATGTGTGGAATGGTTATTTTAGGGGACAGAGGACCTTTCACAGTATCCACCAAATCACAACAGAAGAGCGTGGTTACTTTGCTCAAGTATAAAGTCTGCCAAATTAGGGATTGCAGGGCCACAAAGACAATGTGCCTTCAGTCAATGGGCTCCAGCTTTGGTAAAGGGCTTGCAATTCCACAGTCTAGGCCTGTGGCACTCCCTTTGTCTGGTAAGTCTCCCCCAAAACTCCCTGAGACTGGCTAAGAGCCAATGTGCCTGCACCTGCTCCCAGGGCACACTGAGCTCCTTTGCACAGTAGCACTTCCTTCCCTTCCATGACTTGAGAAAAGCCCTCATTGCAACTCATGCCCACTGCTCTGCACCCCAGTTTCTCACTCCCTTTCCTTTCTCCATTGTGCTCTAAAGCCGAGTCAAACTGATCTCTGGTTTATCATCTCATACACTCTTTGTTTATATACATTATCTCTGGATGCTCTTTGTGGTGGGTAGAATTATTGAGCCCATTCTGCACCACTCCCTAGCCCCCACTCCTGTATCTGTACCTTTTGCTATATAAATACACTTGCACTAAAGGTAGAATGTAGCTCCTGTCCCTTGGCCCCTTGAATTTGGCCTTGGTCATGTGACTTGCCTTGACCAGTGGCATATGGGCAGGAATGATAGTGTGCTGGTTCCATGTGAGTTCTAAGTCTTTCATGTTTCCATTTGTCCTTTTGTGCTTCTGCCATTGCCACGAGGAGAGCTTCTGCCATATGAGGGCTGCCTCTTTAGCCCAGACCACAGAATGAGATCATGTAGCGAGAGCCACTCCAGTCGAAGCATAGACCTTCAGCAAGGGGCCCTCAGCCTCCATCGCCTGAGGCAGAGCTGCCCCTGCTGACCTGCAGATGCACAAGAAACAAGGGCTCTACCACTTCCTGAGGAATTCCTCCTTGTCCTTTAGATTAGTTCAACAATTGTGGAAGACAGACAGTGTGACAATTCCTCAAAGATCTAGAACCAGAAATACCATTTGACCCAGCAATCCCATTACTAGGTGTATACCCAAAGGAATAGAAATCATTATATTACAAAGATACATGCATGCAAATGCTCATTGCAGCACTATTTACAATAGCAAAGACAGGGAATCAACCCAAATGCCCATCAATGATAGACTGGATAAAGAAAATGTGGTACATGTACACCATGAGATACTGTGCAGGCATAAAAAGGAATGCAATTATGTCCTTTGCAGGGACATCAATGTAGCTGGAAGCCATTATGCTCAGCAAACTAATGCAGGAACAGAAAACCAAACACCACGTGTTCTCACTTATAAGTGGGAGCTGAACAGTGAGAGCACATGGACACAGGGAGGGCAACAACTCACACTGGGGCCTGTTGGGGGTGGGGGTGGGGGTGGAGGGAGGGAGAGCATTAGGAAAAAGAGCTAATGCTAATGCATGCTGGGCTTAATACCTAGGTGATGGGTTGATAGGTGCAGCAAACCACCATGGCACATGTTTACCTATGTAATAAACCTTCACATTCTGCAAATTTACCCCAGAACTTAAAAATTACAGGAAATAAATTTAAAAAAAAGGAACTCAGCAAAGAGAACTTCTTTCAGGATGAGTCTACTGACATGCTACACTTTGGCCTTTCTTCCCATATGCTCCTGTAACTTGGGGTGAGGTTTAAAAACTCTGCCACAGTGCCTCCATCCTTATTAAATCTAAGATGGCAGTGTGTAAACCTTCCTCAAGATATCCTCACATTCCACACTCAATCACTAGTTGAGTCCTATGTCTCTCCAAGGCCATGGAATGGCTGCAGTAGCCTCCTGTCTGGCTTCTCTGCTCCTGCTTCCCATACTTCTCTACAGTGCTCTTCACAGAGTAGCCAAAGTCACCATTCTACAACTGAGCCCATTAGAGCATGCCTCCACTTCTGTCTCACCCTCATTTCCCACTCTTTTTTAGCTTGCACTCTGCTCAACTATGATCTCCCTTTATTTCACTGAGCAAAAATTTACTGGGTCCTGACTTTGTAGTAAGGCACAAATTATAATCCCTATCATGAAAACTCTGCAACTTCTTACCTTCATGCCCACTAACACAGTTTTTCTTCTAATTATTTCCTATTTACCCTTCAAGTCTCAGACTGGTTGTTCGTCCTGAGTTAAGTATCCTTGTTATGTGTTCCATGGGCATTCTATTCATTCTTTACTTCTGTAAGTACATGTATTGCATACTTAATAAGGCACCTTAAAGTGCTGATTTGTTGTAGTACTGCTGGTCTCTGAAATAATTTCTAATATATAGCTATAGATACATAACCACTGATTCCAGTATGTGGATATATTGTCATGCTCTGAATGCTATTGTTTGCTTTAAAACAATGAAAACCAGAAAGGCAGACTGCACTGCACTATGGATTCTTGGCTAACGCAATTTAGCACCTCATGCCACATATGCTTTCAGCCAACAAGTGCTCTGCTGCTGTATCCTGAATAAAGTGTGTTCTGCAATGCAGGCTGTTCATTTTGGCCTGACCTCCCTTTCCACCATTTATTTCATGCCTGGGAAACAGCCTTGACTTATAACAGTAACAAAAGGTGTGCAGGTGAAATGAAAGTTTTACATTAGTGGGAGGACTTCTCTTTTGACATTTTGCAGATCATGCACCTCAATGCAGCCTGGGAGCATTGACCAATAACTCTATCAAAGGCAGTTGAAGTTAATATGGGTGAAGCCATGGCATGTCTCCAAATGATTTAAAGAGAGATGCAGAATAATTGCCAATGTACCATGCCTGGAATGCATTTCCTTAGGAACTTTACTGAAATGGCACTAAGCAGAAATGATCTGCTTAGTGCTCTCATTTATAGGATCACAACCCCCATTTCAGTAGGAATCTGCATTGAATCATCATTTCTTGGTTATGCCTTACTTTCTCCTACAAGTTCAAAAGCTAGGACCTCTCATGGCTCATATAAATATTTATGGAATGAAAGACCAGGTAAGTCACATCCCCGATACCTGTGGTGATATTGAGGACCCTTATCTGTCCAGTATCCTCTGGTCATGTCAGTATCATTGATCACAAAAAATGGTTATAATTCTGAGTCTTCAATTTCATTGCACCAGGATACAACACAATCATGAATAGATCCTACAAATACACCTTTGGTTCTAAGTTTACTTTATTCTTAGGATACTACCAAGAGAACCTGAGTCACAGCAACAGTGGCTTCTGCATCAGCACCATTACCTGTTTATTATCTAAAACCTCAGATCCCCCATCCATGAATCTCTCTTCCTTTGTGAGGTCCTGTGGGGGCTCACACATCCTGTGGCCCTTACATTTCTCCTCTGAAGCTAGTGTTGAGGTAATTGAGTGTGGTGGTTGTGGTAGATCAAATTATTGGTCCCAATTTTTCCATCTTTTCTAATAAAATTATATATTTATGGCCTCATGATGATGGTCTGTCTCTTGGCTCTGGGCTCAGACATGTGAAGTGCTTTATCCTATGGGTGTTAGCAAATGTGATATGAAAAGAAAAGAGGGATTTTCCATGTGTATGTGTATGTGTGTGTGTGTGTGTGTGTGTGTGTGTGTGTGTGTCCAAATTTCCCCCTGCTATAAGAACACCAGTTGTATTAGATCAGGAGCTCAATCTACTCAGTATGACCTCATCTTAACTGATTCTGCAATGACCCTGTTTCCAAATAAGGTCACATTTTGAGGTACTGGGGGTCAGAACTCCAACATAGGAATTTTGAAGGGAACACAAGTCGACTGTCAACACTGCATGTTCAAAGTTCCCTGAGAGGAGGTGCATGTGAAGGCAACTTACATTAATAACACATATAGAACTAGAACCCTCACTCTTTGAATATATGGTCGTTTTCATTGGCCTTTCTTCCTTCTCTTCCCTTTATCCCTCTTTCTTCTCTTCTACTCTCTCCTTTTTTTTTTCTGTTTCTCTCCTCCTCTCTTTTTTTCCCTCTTCTTCATCATCAATACTCTGTAATTGTATTATGTTTTATTGTTTATATAGCACTATTTCAAAAACTTACATTATATCATTGGCGTCTTCATCAAAACCCTGTGACTAGGCAGGTGGGTACATTTTCTCCATTTAACATAAAAGAAATCTGAGGTTCCTGCTGGTTAATTGGCTTCTCTAAAGCTACCCTATTAGAGACTGTCAGAGGAGCCAGATTTCCAACTTCCATTCCAAAGTTCATTCTATTTCACCACATTCTTTGATGTGAAAAAGATTTTGCCCATAAGGGACCAGAGATACTGGAACCCTCAATACCTAGATAGACATCCACAAAGCAAAATGATGTGCTCTCCACTCCGTCCTCCCCATTCCTATAGACAAAGTTTATAGCAAGTAGTAGGAAGAGATTGTAACAGGAACTTCCAAAGATTTAACCAAAGGGTTAAAAAAAGTGAAAAGACTTTTTAGAGCACAGGTAAGAAATCTTTTCCCAGTAAATCTGATGATATGCCTGTAATTAAGTCAAATAGGTTAAAGGCTTGTTATGCTAGCATTAACACGTAATTCATCCATTGAATTACAATGAGATTCATGTAAGGATTACATGTAAAATTCCATGTAATGAGATGTATTCATCATCAAAAGCTTTTTGCCCTTTAAGAAAATGTTACAATAATTATCCCATGAACGTGAAAAGTCAATAGAGGTGAAAATGCATGTCTTTTTATACCATCATTGTGATTGTATTTATATTGGCAAGGCCTAACCCTGCTGACATTTAACTTTCCAGGGAGAGAACCCGGGCTGCTCTCTCTCTTCTCATCTCACCCTTTCCTCTTGGGCCAACCAAGAGATGCTCTTTGCCCTCCATCTCATCTCCCCTACGAGAGATACAGAAGCAAGAATCTTGTTTCCCAACTTACAAAACAGATAAGTTGGAATGTGATTTCTCACTTTGCAGAAGGATTCACTAGAGACTTCCTTTAAAAACTCTTCCTTTTTTTAATTGCGATGTTTCTTAAAGTGAGGACTCAGTGGTATTTAGAATAAGGCCTTTAAAGATTATTGTGCCTTTAGTGTAAATTCAAATTTGTGTATACATGTGTATTCTAGATTTATTTGTATAACATATTACAACCCTTTAAGGATGCTTGTATAGAATTCAGTGATTTAAAAGTAGAGTTGAGTTTGGAGAAAGCTGCAACATAGATAGCCATTTAAAGAGCTGGGCTGTACACATAAAATATTATAATTCAGAAATAGAAGTAAGTTCTTTGCCCATGTGTCCAGAGCTATAAAAAGGGTAACTAAATGGCATCAGACAATGATTTTTGTGTCAATTAAAAAGTTTGGCTCTCCTTAGAATATATGTCTATATCTATATATGTTGAATTTTGAAACATTCAACTTTTGTGTTTTATCCAGGAGAAAATGAAAATATTAAAAGGTGAGTATAGATATGTTAAATTCGTGTTGTCTGAGAGAAGAACATTAGATATGTTAAATCCAACATGTTAAAGGCCAGACTTAATAACATACAGGGAGATTATTGGTATTTCAACACTAGGTTCTGACTTCTCCAACTTTAGCCACCATATGAATAAGGTTAGGTTGGCTAGGACCATTGACATATCCTATGAAAAAACCAGCAGAAGCAGTCGAGGTTATTTTATTTTTCTTATGTTCATAATGGTTTTGGGCAAGATCTGCCCAGCAAAGTGAAAAATTTCAAGTAATTTTGTGTAAATATACAAAATATTTCCAGCAGGAAAATAGCATTGAGAAAGAATTTGTCTTTTAAAAAAATGCACACATGGCCTTGTTTAGAACATTCCGTGTGGGATTTAAATTAGTTGTTTCAGCCATAAATTATCTTTTACCTATGACTGCTTAAGAAGATATCTGTCACTCACAGGCTTTTGCTTTCAGTCATGCTTAATAAAGAAGAGTGTCATCTGGAGTATTAGAATCTAATTTGATATGTGTCTTTAATGTGTGTGATGTCTTAATTTTGTAAGGGTCAGCAGGTACTTTTTACTGAGATTGCTATTATCCGAAGTAAATTCTCTAGTGTTCTTTCTGTACAGTCTAGTTTCTTTTATATAAAAGAGATAAGTCTTTATAATACTTTTATTTTCAGTACATGGAAGCTGAGAGAAGATCTTATGTTCATAAGAATCAGAGAAGCCATTGCCAGAGATCATAAAGTCAGCTCTGAAGACTGAGGACAGTTGGCTGCCACCCTCTGTCTTCACAGAAGTTCCTTGAAGAAACTATAGAGTTAGCAATGTGCCTATGGCTAAAATAGTAGATCTAGTAGTCACAGATTTTGTGAATGACCATTGGTATTCTTCTCTATTTAGCTGATTTTCTTCTCCAATAGTCTTTATTTTTATAGGAGAGAAGGAACGACTTATTTTTTAAAAAGAAATCTTCAGTCCAAACTTTACCTCCTTCTCCATCACAATTTGGTCAATTATTCACTAATTCATCCATTCATATCTCATTTATTCATTCAGCAAATATTTAATGTCTTGTGGCCATGCACCAGACATTTTTCTTGGTCCAGTAAAGAATATAAAGAATAAAGATGAATCGCAGCCCCAGTTTTTTATTTTGCTTACAATATAATGAGGCAATAAATCAGATGGTTAAATAATCATAATGCAAGGTGAAAATGTGATGAGATTCATAAGAGTGGTTCATACAAAATAGTGTAGAGTTTTGGAGGGGATGGGAATTTCCATCCAGTTTCCAGGGAATTAGGAAAAGCTTTTTGAAGAACATGGAATGTGAATTAAGATAGTTGGATTTCTATGAATAGACAGGAAAAGCATATTCCAGTAGACAAATACCAATAACAATGGCATGAAAGATATGAAAATGGATACTATCCTTGGGAAATATTGAACAATTCAGCTTGCTTGTGTTGGTAGATGTGAGGAGCCATTAAATGCCCTAAAGAGGTTGCAATTTATTTAGTAGGAAATGGTGTATCACTGAAAGTTTTAGAACATAATCATGCCATGATCAGAGTAATAGCTAAGGAAGATTTATCTGAATAGAAATGGCATGGTTGGTGACTTGATGTATGTAGGGTGGGGAGAAGTGTTGAAATGAAAACCTAGAGCTTAAAAGATGCCAACATTTTGAGCCTGGGGCGCTGAGAGGATAAAATCATCATGAACTAAAATTGTGAAGTTAGTTAGAAGATGGAACTGGGGCTAAGAGAAAGATGATGAGTTGTTTGAGAATTTGTTAGCTCATTTATTCATTCAGAAACCTCCCCTAAGCACCTCTTAGACAGATACCCTTTAAATAATTATTTAAAATGTGTCAGGAAAGGGTATGTAAAAATGGTATTTTTTGCAGCTCTAATGGACTGCTAAAACTTTTTTAAAAATTGTGTTTAGTAAATTTGGGGAACTTTGTTATAAGATTATGGTCTGCTTTCTCTTTTGGTGTTAGGGTGTTGTTATATTAAGTGACAATGATACAACCAGGTATCTTTAACATATTTTTTAATTAAAAATTATTTTTAATTATCATAAGTTCATAACAATTGAATATATTTCTGGGGTACATATCATGTTTTGATACAGGCCTACAATGTGTAATGATCAAATCTGGGTAATTGGTGTATCTATCCATCCCCTTAAGCATTTATCTTTCTTTGTATTAGGAACATTCTAATTCCACTCTTTTAGTTATTTTAAAATATACAATACATTATTAACTATAGTCACCCTATTGTGCTACTGAATACTAGATACTATTCATTCTATCTAACTGTATTTTTGTACCCATCAACCGTCCTCACTTTATCCCGTACCTTGATACCCTTCTAAACCTCTGGCGACCATCATTCTACCCTCTATTTCCATGAGTTCAACTTTTTTAAGCTACCACATATGAGCAAGAACATACGATATTTGTTTTTCTGTGCCTGGCTTATTTCACTTAACATAATGGCCTCCAGTTCCATCCATGTTGTTGCAAATGACAGGATCTCATTTTTTTTATAGCTGAATAGTGTTCCATTGTGTATATACACCACATTTTCTTTATCCATTCATGCATTGTTGGACACAGGTTGATTCTATATCTTAGCTATTGTGAATAATGCTACAATAAACATATAAGTGCAGCTATCTCCTTGATATGCTAATTTCCTTGCTTTTGGATATATACTCAGCAGTGGGATTGTTGGAACATATGGAAGTTTTATATTTAGTTTTTTGAGGAACTTCTACACTGTTCTCTATAGTTCTGTACTAATTCACAAATCCAGAAGTGTACAAATGTTCTCCTTTCCCCATATCTTCACCAGCACTCATTATTTCCTGTCTTTTGGATAAGAGCCATTTTAAATGGATTGAGATGGCACCTTATTGTAGCTTTGATTTGCGGTTCTCTTCTAATTAGTTATGTTGAGCATTTTTTCATGTATCTGTTTGCCATTGTATGTCTTTTTTTGAGAAATGTCTATTCATATTATTATTTTTTTGCCCATATCTGTTGTGAGATAGCAGAGTTCCCAAATAGTCTTCACCCAGCTTCCCCTAATGTTAATAATATCTTACATGGTACATTTGTCATGGTCTGCATTCCATCTTGGGGTCCCCTGATAATCTGCTTACATTAAAAAAAATTGTGTATAGTAAGATACATTCTTTGTGGCATATATTTCTATGGATTTTGACAAATGCATGAAGTTATATATTTACCAGTGCAGTACCATACAGGATGTTTCCATGGCCCCCTGAATTCCTTCATGCTATCCCTTTGTAGTCAACCCCTCTCCAACACTTAATCCCTGTCTACCACTCATCTGATTTCTATCCCTTTAGATTTGCCTTTTGAAGAATTTCATATGAATGGAATAATTCATTAATAGCCTTTTGATTTTGGCATCTTTCACTTCGAAAAATGCATTTAAGATTTATTTATGTTGTTGCATAGATCAATGGTTTGCTTCTTTTTATTTTTGAGTAGAGAAATAGAGACCATGTGTGGATTTAACACTGTTTATCCATTCTCCCATTAAAGGACATCTGGGTTGTTTCCAGTTTTAGGGGGTTGTGAATAAAGCTGCTATAAATACTCTCACAGGTTTTTGTGTGAATGTATACTTTCAATTACTTGAGTAAATACGTGTGAGTGACATTGCAGTTTGTGTAATGTTACACATTCTAATACTAGCTATACTATCATTCTTATAGGCATATAGTGATGATTCGTTGTGGTTTAATTTTGCATTTATCTAATTACCAATGATACTGAGTAACTTTTTATAGGCCTTTTTGCCCTCTGCATCTCTTCTTTGGTGAAGTGTATATTTATATCTTTTGCCCATTTAAAAAAATCAGGTTGTTTTCTTATTGTTGAATTTTGAGAGATTTTTGTATATTCTAGATACAAGTCCTTTGTCAGAGATGTTTTGCAAATATTTTGTCACACTATGTGGCTTTTAAAAAATTTTCTTAAGATTGTCTTTTAAAGAGAAATCATTTCAACATTTGATAATGTTTTATTTATCATCTTTTCATTTTTTAGCTGGTGTTTTCAATGTTGTATCTCAATATTTTTTGCCTATCTCAAGATCACATGGATTTTCCATGTTTTTTTTTCTAGAAGTTTGCAAAGGGAATCATTCTCCAAGAAAACATGCCAAATTAAATGTGCATTCACATAACAAAAGGGTTTTAAAGTAGCTGAAAGAAAAAATATACCTGAATGGTAAAAGTTTAAAAATCCACAATTATTCTTGGAGATGTTAGCACCCTTTTACAGTAATTGAAAAAAAACAAATAGGTAGAAAATCAGGAAGGACGTGGATAACCCAAGCAGCACTATAAACCTGTTTGTTCTGATACTCATTTCTGGAAGACTATCGAACAGCAGGAGAATATCTTCTCAAATGGATGTGGAAAATTAATCAAGATAGACTGTATTCTGGATTATAAAATTAAAAATAATTGAAATAATATAAAGTATGTTCTTGGACTTACTGGAGTTAAACTGGAAACAATAACAAAAAGTTATTTGAAAATATTCCAATATTTGGAAATTAAACCACATATTTCTAAATAGTGCATGAAATAAAGAAAAAGTCACCAGGGAAATAAAAAATATTTTTAACTGAAACAAATAGGAGATGGAGCAAATAGAAGATAGCTCTTGGATACTCCCTTCTGGTTTTTGTCCCTTCCCACCCTTGATTTTTTTTTGTCTTTGTGTTTCAATTTGGGTGATTTCTACAGATCTAACAAAATTTACTTATTCATTGGTTGTGTGGAGCCTGCTAATCAGCTCATTGAATGCGTTCTTCAACTTTGTTACTGTGTTTTACATTCCTAGCATTTCTATTGATTCTTTTTATCACTCTGCTGAAATTAGCCATCTGATTTTACATGTGGTTCAACTTTTCCATTAGATCTTTTAACACATTAATCATAGTGATTTTAAATAATCTCCAGGTAGTTCTTATATCTGTGTCATATCTAAGTCTGGTTCAGGTAATTGTTTGGTCTTGTGGGAGTTTGTTGTTGTTGTTGTTTTGTTTTACCTTTTGTATACTTTGTTATTTTCTGTTGAAAACCACCCATCCTATGAAGTAAGAAAAACTGAGGTAATAAAGAGTATTAATCTCAAAGCATAAAAACTATTTACCTCAGTCTTTCCTACTACATAGGATGGCTGGCTTTCAACAGAAAATAACAAAGTATACAAAAGGTAAAACAAAACAACAACAACAACAAACTCCCACAAGACCAAACAATTATCTGAACCAGACTTAGATATGACACAGATATAAGTTTTTATGCTTTGAGATTAATACTCTTCATCTTCTAGGCCATTAGTGTGGAGATTAGTGTTAATATAGTCAGGAATTGGGCTCTTTTCAACTTTCTTAAATCCCTGAGCTGAGATTGATGTCTCTTACCCTCTTTTTTTTTTTTTTTTAAATACAAGAGATTTTAAATCTGAGGTCTGTTGGTATTCAAGAAATCTTTAGAGCCTTTGAAATTGGTGTAAAATTTTGTGTGAATTCATAAATTCTTCATTGGTCCATGCTTTAAAGCAATGATTAACGTGATAAAAAATACCCTTGCTTTATAAAATCTTGAAATATTCACCCTACCATCGTCACCATTATCTAATGCTATCAAACACCCCAATCTTAAACTTGAATTGCTACTGCAAGTTCTTTGCCAAATTCTAGTAAAAATGAAGAATGAGGGTGAATTTGTAAATAATTAGGTCTGTGGATTCCCAACCACAAATTTCAGGAAGGTCTGCTGTACCATTTGTTAATTGCAAAAAATAACAAATCTGTAACCCCTATACAATGTAGGAGCCACATGGGTCACAGCTACTTATCACTTGCCTATTTGAAGGGCTGGTTGCTGGAACTGATCCAAAAACAACAGATAAGTGATGACTCCTCCTAGGACTCTTTCAGAAGATAAAGTTAAGGGAGTCCTTGATACCTTTGAGCTATAACTTTGCTTTTATAATGAAAGTTGTAGGAAAATACAATTTTCTTTGCCAAAATTGATATCATACAATATGTCAAAATCATTTGCTGTATAATGTGAGATGGTTTTTAGAGTACTTAACTGAAATTTTTGGGAGAAAATTTTTGTGTTTTGTAAATTGTTAACCACTTTCTGATTTGTTTTCTTTTGGGAGGTAGGGATTATTACTTCTCTGTGAGCATTTTTACTTTTTATTTGCTGAATAACTTAATGACTTTTGTGTTTAAGAAATTACACCAAGAAAAGGAGAGGGTTATTTGGTACCAGCCTAATGCAGTGTTTTATTACTTGCTGGGTGGTCATGAGGCTATGCCTCTCTTATGGGCTAAATTGTGTCCCTCACACCCACAACTGCCCCACCAAATTCATGTTCCATTGCTAATGCCTAATACTACTTGATTTGGAGATAGGGCCTTTAGAGAGGAAATTAAGGTAAAATGAGGTCATATGGGTGGGCCCTAATCCAAAGTGTGTCCTTATAAGAAGAGGAAATTAGGACGCAGATGCAGAGGGAAGAATGACTACGTGAGGACAGAGCAGAAAGGCAGCCATCTGCAGGGCAAGGAGTGAGGCTTCAGAAGAAACCAAATCTGCTGACACCTTGATCTTAGACTTCTATCATACAGAATTTTGAGAAACTAAATTTCTGTTGCTTAAGCTACCCAGCTTGTGATGTTTCATTATGGCAGCCCTAGCAAACTAATGCAGCCTTAAATGTCATCTTGCTAGCCTGTTTCATTAATCGTTTTAAGAGAAATATAATCGTAAAAGATATTGACAATATTATTGACATTAGTGATAGTCAATATTCATTCTTCAGCTTGTATTGCATAATATGACTCTCCTTATGTTTATTTTCTTTATGGGAACATGCATGTAATTGTATCTAGCCTCTCGGTTTTCTAGGGAGATCTCTGTAAAATGACCACAACATGCATTAACATTTTTAAAGAAAACTTCATCTCAAATGAGAGAAATGCACACTTCGGTAAGCTCTGAGAATAAGGTCATACATTACACAGATATTATGAAGCTGAAATTACTTTAATCTGGTACATTGTCAATATTTCACAATGTTTGTGGCAATATTGTGAAATTTATAGAGCATTGTAGTAACTGTCCAGAGTTAAAATGTTTCCAGCATATACATACTGGGCATTCGTTGACTTTTTTATAAATGATGTATCATTGATTCATAAAATTAAACCACTAAAAAGACATAGTGATGCAGTAGGGTGTAGAGGCCAATAGCATATACTTTGATGATGGCACGAACTGGGTTTGAGTCCTGGTTCTGCCACTTGTATGACTTTTGTGCATGGTATTATTAATGGCTTTTAAGCCGCAGTTTCTTCATCTGCAAAATGGAGATTATTATACAGCATTGTGAAGCTCAGTAAGATAATGTATATTAAGTACTTGGCAAGTTGTAGGTGCTCAATAATTATTAGCTATCATTATCATCATGAGCAGCAGCAGTGTTAATAAATGCTGAAAAAGTGTTAACCCAAAGGAAAACAGAGGAAAATGTCAGAGATGACCTCAGTTGCATAATTAACCAGCATTATCAGGTTAGGCTTTTATAAACGCAGCATCAGCATTAAACTTGATACCTTTAATTTTCATGGCTCAGTAGAGGAAAATTAAGTTATAAGAACGTATTTCTCGACTGACATCCTTAAACCAAGCTTTCACGGAAACTTTTTATTTCCTTTCAGGAAGAAGCAGCCTGCTCAATATCTATATAGATCTCTATTGCAATGAAAATTGTCAAGGGTGAGTGCGTTTAAAAATTATAGAAAAATAAAGGTTATAATATTGTTCTATCTTTTATAGGACAAGTAAAATATATGGTCATGACAGTAAATGCCACACCTATAATTAAGTCTCTGGGCAGCTGGATAGGAAAAGATATAACTAAAAAGTGTCTTACTTATAGTCAATCTAAGGGTGTCTAATCAGGATACTGTACTTTCTGTTAAACAGGATGTTGTGAACCAGATAACATGAATAGTTTCTAAGGTAGGATATTTAATTACATAGGAAATATTTACAAGAGAAATATGCATCCCAGTATCTTCTCTTCCTTATTGAATGAGTCATGATCTAGGAGACCGTACACTGGCCATTTTAATTTAACTCCTCATTTGCCTTTTTGTTCAGGATGTCATTGAATGACATAATTTACATATCACCACTGACAGAAATGGTGTTTCAATCTCAGCTTCTCTTCAAGCTATACTAACAGGATTTATTGAGCTGTGTTTTGAGTCTAGTGTGGTGCTTGATGCTGTGAAACATAGTCCTCCTAAGGCTTATTTTTCTCTCTGTAGGAAAATGATCCAAGAACAGGGTGACAACTTTATATTTTTGAGCTAGTAATTCTGGCTGGGTCAGTATATTAAGAAGTCTAGTACAGTTTGCCTATATTTACTGTCATAGTACAAGGGACTTGTTCTGAATTTTGTAGACACCATTACTTAGATGAGGGTTTCCAGATGACTCCTCAGAAATGAGCATCCAGGGGTCAAGGAGGCATGAGAGAAACAATTTAATTGAAAATTGGCAGTAAAAATATTGTCAGCCTGGAGAAGGAATTAGATCAATTAAATATGAGAGGGCATTCATCATTCTGAGTCATTGTAAACCAGTTGAATTAATAGTATACATTCCTTTCCACACAATGCAATAGTTTTTACCTTTGAAATCATAACATGAAAGGTGCCTTGCTTGCTATAGTATCCTTAATTTTCAAAGTTTATTCGCAGTTTTTTTCTTTTTAATTTTGGCCGAAGGTTGTACTCTAAGGTGACTCCCCACAAGTAATGCCCTTGTAAAATCCCTCTCTCCTGAGTAAAAGTGGATGGAGCCTGTGACTTGCTTCTAACCAATAGAATGTGACCGAGGAGTTGGGATGTTACTTTCCTTGACTGAGTTACATCACGCAAGACTCTATTTTAGTAGAATGGAGTGAGAGGTTCTCCTGATGGCATTAAAGAAGTAAACAGCATTTTGTAAGGTATTTACTGAGAGAGGCTGCATGGCAAGGAACTGCATGCAGGTAGCCTCTAGGACCTGTGGGCAACCTTTAGCAGATAGCCAGTGAGAAAATGGGGCCCTCAGCCATATAGCCACAAAGGAATGAATTTTGCCAATAACCTTACTGAGCTTCTTCAGTTAAGCCACCAGATGAGAACAAAGCCTGGATATTGCCTTTATTTATTGTCCTGAGATCCTGAGTAGAGGAACCTGCTAAGCCATGCCCAGACTCCTGACTTACAGAAACTGTGGGATAATAAATACATATTGATTTAGCCACTAAGTTCATGGCAAGTGTTATGCAGCAATAGACACATGAAATAGTAACAAATAGTGAATGAGATACCTAACCTTAATTCAAAGGCATCCTTATGCAAAAATTGTTTTTTTTGTTGTTGCTTTTTATTTATTTTACTTTAAGTTCCAGGATACATGCACAGAATGTGCAGGTTTGTTACAGGTATATGTGTGCCATGGTGGTTTGCTGCACCTATTGACCCATCCTCTAAGTTCCCTCCCCTCGTCCCTCACCCCTGACAGGCCCTGGTATGTGTTGTTCCCCTCCCTGTGTCCATGTGTTCTCATTGTTCAACTCCAACTTCTGAGAACATGTGGTGTTTGGTTTTCTGTTCCTGTGTTAGTTTGCTGAGAATGATGTTTTCTGGCTTCATCCACATCCCTGCAAAGGACATGATCTCATTTCTTTCTATGGTAGTATTCCATGGTATATATGTACCATATTTTCTTTATCCAGTCTATCATTGATGGGCATTCAGGTTCGTTCCATGACTTTGCTATTGTAAATAGTGCTACAATAAACATACATGTGCATGTGTCTTCATAGTAGAATGATTTATATTCCTTTGGGTATATACCCAGTAATGGGATTGCTGGGTCAAATGGTATTTCTGGTCCTAGATCCTTGAGGAATCGCCATACTTTCTTCCACAATGGTTGAACTAATTTACATTCCCACCAACAGTGTAAAAGTTTTCGGATTTCTCCACAGCCTCACCAGCATCTATTGTTTCTTGACTTGTTGATAATTGCCATTCTCACTGGCGTGAGATGGTATCTCATTTTGGTTTTGATTTGCATTTCTCTAACAATCAGTGATGTTGAACTTTTTTTCATGTGTGTTGGCTGCATAAATGTCTTCTTTTGAGAGGTGTCTGTTCATATCCTTTGCCCACTTTTTGATGGGGTTGTTTTTTTCTTGTAAATTTGTTTAAGTTCCTTGTAGATTCTGGATATCAGATGTTTGTCAGATGGGTAGATTGCGAACATTTTCTTCCATTCTGTAGGTTGCCTGTTCACTCTGATGATAGTTTATTTTGCTGTGCAGAAGCTGTTAGTTTAACTAGATCTCATTTGTCAACGTTGGCTTTGTTGCAAATGATTTTGGCATTTTCATCATGAAGTCTTTTCCCATGCCTATGTCCTGAATGGTATTGCCTAGGTTTTCTTCTGGGGTTTTTATGATTTTGGGTTTTACATTTAAGTCTTTAAAGCATCTTGAATTAATTTTTGTATAAGGTGTAAGGAAGGCGTCTAGTTTCAGTTTTCTGCGTATGGCTAGCCATCTTTCCCAGCAACATTTATTAAATAGGAGATCCTTTCCCCATTGCTTGTTTTTGTCAGGTTTGTCGAAGATTAGATGCTTGTAGATGTGTAGTGTTAGTTCTGAGGCCTCTGTTCTGTTTTATTGGTCTATATGTCTGTTTTGGTACCAGTACCATGCTGTTTTGTTTACTGTAGCCTTGTAGTATAGTTTGAAGTCAGGTAGTGTAATGCCTCCGGCTTTGTTCTTTTTGCTTAGGATTATCTTGGCCATATGGGGTTTTCTTTGATTCCTTATGAAATTTAAAGTAGTTTTATCTAATTCTGTGAAGAATGTCAATGGTAGTTTCATGGGAATAGCATTGAATCTATAAACTACTTTGGGCAGTATGGCCATTTTTGCGATATTAATTCTTCCTGTCTGTGAGGATGGAATGTTTTTCCATTTGTTTGTGTCCTCTCTTATTTCCTTGAGTAGTGGTTTGTAGTTCTCCTTGAAGAGGTCCTTCACATCTCTTGTTAGCTGTATTCCTTGGTGTTTTATTCTCTTTGTAGTGATTGTGAATGGGAGTTCATTGATGATTTGGCTCTCTGCTTGTCTATTGCTGGTGTCAAGGAATGCTTGTGATTTTTGCATATTGATTTTGTATCCTGAGATCTTGCTGAAGTTGCTTATCAGCTTAAGGAGTTTTTGGGTTGAGATGATGGGGTTTTCTAAATATAAAATTATATCATCTGCAAACAGAGACAATTTGACTTCCCCTCTTCCTATTTGA
The DNA here is from genome assembly GCF_000001405.40 of Homo sapiens. NCBI lineage: Eukaryota > Metazoa > Chordata > Mammalia > Primates > Hominidae > Homo > Homo sapiens. The sequence continues at coordinate 104,913,178 of NC_000008.11, forward strand.
ATACTCTTTATTTATTTCTCTTGCCTGATTGCCCTGTCCAGAACTCCCAATACTATGTTGAATAGAAGTGGTGAGAGAGGGCATCCTTGTCTTGTACCAGTTTTCAAAGGGAATGCTTCCAACTTTTGCCCATTCAATATGATATTGGCTGTGGGTTTGTCATAAGTAGCTCTTATTATTTTGAGATATGTTCCATCAATACCTAGTTTATTGAGAGTTTTTAACATGAAGGGGTGTAAAATTTTATCAAAGGCCTTTTCTGCTTAGATTGAGATAATCATGGGGTTTTTGTCTTTGGTTCTGTTTATATGATGGATTACGTTTATTGATTTGCATATGTTGAACCAACTTTGCATCCTAGGAATGAAGTCTACTTTATCGTGGTGGAGAAGTTTTTTGATATGTGCTAGATTTGGTTTGCCAGTATTTTATTGACGATTTTTACATTGATGTTCGTCAGGGATATTCGCCTGAAGTTTTCTTTTTTTGTTGTGTCTCTGCACGGTTTTGGTATCAGGATGATGCTGGCTTCATAAAATGAGTTAGGGAGGAGTCTCTTCTTCTCAATTGCTTGGAATAGTTTCAGAAAGAATGGTACCAGCTCCTCTTGTACCTCTGGTAGAATTCGGCTGTGAATCTGTCCAGTCCTGGGCTTTTTTTTGGTTGGTAGACTATTACTGCCTCAATTTCTGAACTTGTTATTGGTCTATTCAGGGACTCAGCTTCTTCCTGTTTTAGTCTTGGGAGGGTGTATGTGTTGAGGAATTTATCAATTTCTTCTAGATTTTCTAGTTTATTTGTGTAGAGGTGTGCCTTGGTGTTCTCTGGTGGTGGTTTGTATTTCTGTAGGCTCAGTGGTGATATCTCCTTTATCATTTTTTATTGTGTCTATTTGATTCTTCTCTCTTTTCTTCTTTTAGTCTAGCTAGTCTTCTATCTATTTTGTTAATTTTTTCAAAAAACCAGCTCCTAGATTCATTGATTTTTTGGAGGGTTTTTCATGTCTCTATCTCCTTCAGTTCTGCTCTGATCTTAGTTATTTCTTGTCTTCTTTTAGCTTTTGGATTAGTTTGCTCTTGCCTCTCTAGCTCTTTTAATTGTGATGTTAGGGTGTCAATTTTAGATCTTTCTAGCTTTCTGATGTGGGCATTTAGTGCTATAAATTTCCCTCTTAACTTTGCTTTAGCTGTGTCCCAGAGATTGTGGTACATTTTCTCTTTGTTGTCATTGATTTCAAAGAACTTCTTGGTTTCTGCCTTAATTTCATTATTTACCCAGGAGTCATTCAGGAGCAGGTTGGCCAATTTCCATAAAATTATGTGGTTTTAAGTGAGTTTCTTAATCTTGAATTCTAATTTGATTGCACTGTGGTCTAAGGGACTTTTTCTGTCTCATTGATCTATCTAATATTGACAGTGGGGTGTTAAAGTCTTCTGCTATTATTGTGTGGGTTGAAGTCTCTTTGTTAGTCTCTAAGAACTTGCTTTATGAATCTGGGTCCTCCTGTATTGGGTACATGTATATTTAGGATAGTTAGCTCTTCTTGTTGCATTGATCCCTTTACCATTATGTAATGCCCTTCTTTGCCTTTTTTTGTTCTTTGTTGGTTTAAAGTCTGTTTTAACAGAGATTAGGATTGCAACCCCTACTTGCCTTTTTTTTTTTTTTTTTTGCTTTCCCTTTGGTTGGTAAATATTCCTCCATCTCTTTATTTTGAACCTATGTGTGTCTTTGCAAGTGAAATGGGTCTCCTGAGTATAGCACACTGATGAGTATTGACTCTATCCAATTTGCCAGTCTGTGCCTTTTAATTGGGCATTTATCCCATTTACATTTAAGGTTAGTATTGTTATGTGTGAATTTGATCCTGTCATCATGATGCTATCTGGTTATTTTGCACACTAGTTGATGCAGTTTCTTCATAGTGTCATTGGTTTTTATATTTTGTTATGTTATTGCAGTGGCTGGTACCTAATTTTCCTTTCCATATTTAGTGCTTCTTTCAGAAGCTCTTGCAAGGCAGGCCTGGTGGTAATGAAATCCCTCAGCATTTGCTTGTCTGGAAAGGATTTTATTTCTTTTTCACTTGTGAAGCTCAGTTTGGCTGGATATAAATTCTGAGTTGAAAGTTCTTTTAAGACTGTTGAATATTGGCCTCCAGTCTCTTCTGGCTGATAGAGTTTCTGCTGAGAGGTCTGCTGTTAGTCTGATGAGCTTCCCTTTGTAGGTGACCTGGCCTTTCTCTGGCTGCCCTTAACATTTTTTCCTGCATTTCGACCTTGGAGAATCTGATGACTATGTGTCTTGGCATTGATCTTCTCATGGAGTATCTTAGTTGTGTTCTCTGTGTTTCCTGAATTTGCATATTGACCTGTCTTGATAGGTTGGGGAAGTTCTCCCAGATAACATTCTGAAGTGTGTTTTCCAACTTGTTTCCATTCTCCCTATCTCCTTCTGGTAAACCAGTCAATTGTAGGGTTGGTCTTTTTATGAAGTCCCATATTTCTTAGAGGCTTTCTTCATTCCTTTTCATTCTTTTTTCTCTAATCTTGTCTGCATGCCTTATTTCAGCAAGGTGGTCTTCAAACTCTGACATCCTTTCTTCCGCTTGGTTGATTTGGCTATTGATACTTGTGTATGCTTCATGAAGTTATCATGCTATGCTGTGTTTTTCAGCTCCATCAGGTCATTTATGTTCCTCTGTAAACTGGTTATTCTAGTTAGTAGCTCCTCTAACTGTTTATCAAGGTTCTTATCTTCTTCGCATTGGGTTAGAATATGTTTCTTTAGCTCAGCGAAGTTTTTTATTATCCATCTTCTGAAGCCCACTTCTGTCAATTCATCCATTTCATCTTCCGTCCAGTTCTGCACCCTTGCTGGAGAGGCGTTGTGATCATCTGGAGGAGAAGAGGCACTCTGACCTTTTGGCCTGTTTCATTGAATCTTTCTCATCTTCGTGAGTTTGTCTAGTTTCAATCTTTGAGGCTGTTGACCCTTAGATAGGTTTTTTGTGGGGACATTTTCTTTGTTGTCAATGCTGTTGTTGTTGCTTTCTGTTTGTTGATTTTTCTTTCAATGGTCAGGTCCCTCTTCTGTGGGGCTGCTGCAATTTGCTGGGGATTCATTTTAGGCCCTATTCAGCTGGTTTGCTCCCACACCTGGAGATGTCACTCAGGGAGGCCAGAGAACAGCAAAGATGGGTGCCTGCTCCTTCTTCTGGGATCTCTGACCTTGAGGGGCACCAACCTGATGCCAGCAGTATTGTTCCTGTATAGGGTGTCTCGTGAGTGGGATCTTCCGATCCGTGGGTTGCAGAGTTCCGTGGAATAAGCATGATTTCCCTAGGTGGATAACATGCTCACTCACTGCTTCCCTTGGCTGGGGGGTGGGGGCTCCCCTGCCCATGTGGCTCTCAGGTGGGCCACCACACCACACTGCTCTTCATTCCTCTCTGTGGATCATGCCAGCTGCCTAGTTCGTTCTGATGAGAGAACCTGGATACAAGCTATATATGGTTCTTTTGATGGGAGCCTCTGATCACCACTGTTTCTAGTTGGCCATCTTGAACCCATCCCCTCAAAATTGTTTTTATTAGATTAAAAAATTTTATTTTATACTAACATTATTGTGGTATAATTTATGTAAAATAAAATATATCCATTTCAAATGTACAGGGTAGTGGGTTTTGACAAATGTATAGTCAGTCTCCTCCTATCCTGCCCCAGGTAACTACTGCTCTGATTACTATTTGTATTAATTTTGAAGTTCTAGAACTTAAAATGAATGGAACCACCCAGTATGTTCTCTCTTGTGCCCCTCTTCTTTTCCTCAGCATTATCTATTTTGTTTCAATTTTTAAAATTGCTATTTAAATAATCAAAGACTACAATTTCATGATTCTCTTCTCTCCCAAATATTCTATTTATTTCCCCTCATTCATAATATATAAATCAGAAAGATACGTAGTGTTCCTATTTTAAGGGCTTTTATAATATAAAATAATATGGAAGAACAATCATTAAATCGGGTATCTAGATAGATGGACACACACAACACACACACACACACATAAATGGAATTGTCCAAATGATCAAGAATTGTTTGCTTTTTTAAAAAACAAATCTCAAGATGATTGGCTTCTGTTTGGAAAGAAAAGCAGTATACATTTTTAATATTCTTAAGAAAATCAGGTCCGTGAGTATTCTCAGTGTAAAGGAAACTTGGGACCAGCTTGTTGAGGACCCTAAAGGCTCAGTTGAAGAATTTGAAATGTATCTGAGAGTAAATAGAGAATTTTAAAGTTTTAAAGGGCTTTGCTGGTCAGCATCATGTCAGAATAGACAACAGCAACAGCACAAGTGGGGAGGCTCTCACCATTCCATTCTATACACATAGTACATGCAGGACATTGGGGTCAACTGATGAGGCTCAAAAAGGTATGATGCACAGTTTCTGCTGTCATGTAGCCTGGAATTTAGTAGATGGATAGCTCTATGCATTGAATAATAATATAAAATATGATCCAGTTACTAAAAGAGTCAAATTAATGTTCAGTAAAAGGTCAGACAGCAGGAAAATAGTTCAGACAAAGCACATGAGAAAGGTGTTTATAGAATAAGGGACTTCTTAAGACCAAGGAAAAAGGGTAGATATAGTTAAGAGGAATGGAGAGATTATTCTAGGCTGAGCATCATCTAACCCAAAGGTGGAGCCTTATATGATGTATACAGGACATGAAAGGTAGATGAACTTGGCTGAAATTGAGAGTTGGTAGAGAGAAGAGTAAGAATCTCATTTCCATAAAGGCAGAGATTTGGTTTATCTTGCTACCTCTTCTATTCTCAGTACCAAGAACAGTAGCTGGCATCAACAAATCATTGGTAAATGAGTGAATGAATGAAAACATGGAGGAGTAAAGGTGGGAAATGTATAGAGTAGATAAAAGAAAACCTTGACAGTCTTACTTATGTAAATGTATCAGTCAAGATTCTTCATTTCCAGCAACAGGGGCTGACTCTGACTGATTATGCCCATCCATTGGGTTGCTCACAGGATTGTTGCAAATGCTAGGAATCAGACAGGAACTTAAGCTACCAAGAACAGAACCATGTTGCAGAGCTGGTCTTATAAAGAAACTTCTGCCTCCTCTGTGACCTTACTGAACCTAAAAGCCACTGCTTTTGCCCACCCTCTGTTCCATTTCTGCACCAGAAACTTCACTTTACAACTTCTGGGAAACCAACATTACTGTTGCCATCACCAAAAATTGAGTGTCTCAATCACCAGAAAGAAATGGAAGCTTTATACAGAGCGTGTTCACTCCCAAATCAAACTGTTATGTAAGTGTATCAGATTACACTTATCAGCAGCTTATCCAGCTGCTTCCTATCTGCAAAGAGACTGGAACTTTTAGATCTGACTTCTATGTCAGGGAGGCAGAACACACGATGCAGAGTTTTTCCAAAAATAGGAAGTCCATTCAACATATAAAGGGCAGTTATGAATATAACAGATGTTTGCTGCTCAGTGGATTGGTAGGCAGCAGGGAAATCAAAGCACAAACTAAATGTCTATTGTGTTGGTTTAGCAAGGTGAATCTGACAATATCAAGATGGACATACATGTGCATTCAGATACAGGAGCTCAGTTGAGAAGCCCCACTGGATAACTATTTGGTTATCTCAGGCATCAGGTAAACTGCACTTGCCATAGGGTGGTAGCTATGGAAGTTTTAAGGGCATGATGAAATAAGGAGATGTAGGAGACTTTATAATAAAGGGGGAGAAAATGAAAGAGAAGAGTCAGTAGTGACACCATGGTGTTTAGATTCAGAGAATGATCTTGCTATAATTGAAACAAGAATGTCAAAGAAAGAAGAGTTTAGGGTAGGAAATATCTCATTTGGGGTGATGTCATCTCTTTCCTCTACTGTAAGTATGAGAGCAGGAACTGTGTTTTTCATGTTTGAATCTCAGGAATCTAGTATTAGGTGGCAGATGGTAGTTGCTCATTGAACATTTGTTAAATAAGGGTGTTGAATGGTAATACACAAAGAAACTGGAGACCAGGGAGAGGACAGGACTGGAAAAAACAATCTGTGAATCATTCACATGGGTAGATAAAGCCCAGAAACTCTGGGTAATCTCTTGGGGGAGAAAAGCCAATTACTAAGTGATGAACCTTAGGAGAGATACACAGTTAGAAATAGAAGCAAGAAAAGAAGCCAACAGAGCAGACTCATAAAGAGGAGATCAAAGAAGCAGGGGGAGAGCCTAGAGTGAGTGATTGCATACAGTCTTTTGTGCTTAAGATAAGAACACTTTTCAGGGGGATAAAAGTAGGTAGCAGTTGCTCATGCTGCTGCAAATCAGAGAAGAAGATCTGAGAAGTGAGTTCAGTGGCTCGAAGTTATTTTCTTAAAATTTTAACTTAATGCCTATGAATGTCATTAAAAGTACATCAAACTGGAAAAAAATTCTAATGGTGAAACACACACACCTATACACACATACACAAGAGCAAGGTAGAACAGGACTTAAATTTAAGAAGTTCTATTTGTGTGTGTGTGTGTGTGTGTGTGTGTGTGTAGAGTTCTCATCCCCTCACTATTAGCATTGGAAGCCTTTTCTTCAAGACTCAGATTAAATATCCCACCTCCCCCAGGTAGTTTTCCCTATCACTTCAACAGAATGATCCTAATCTAGAACTGTGCTTAATATGTAGCAAGTGCTTTTTTTTTAATTCCCATAGATTTCACAACAAAATATGTGAATTTTTAATCTCTCTTTACTAGGCGGCACCCCTGCTTCAGGTGGCCAAAATAGAGGACAGGCAATTGTACTACCGATTGTCAGTAGGAGAACCAGAGAATAAAGGTGCTATTTTTTTTATTTGATTCAGATGTGAGATAAGAAAGATTTGAAAACATGCAGTCACAACAGGCTTTCTGTCCCTCACCTAGACCAGCCAAAGACTCCACCACCTAGGGAGTAACAGGAGTGATGGAAAGGAAGCAATGACTTACATTTGTCCTATTTCTGTGATCCCAGATGGATTTGAAGAAATCAGTAAGGAGAGGGAGAAAGGTCTCCTTGCTCCCACAGAAATATATTGAGATATGATTTAAGAACAACAGAACAGAGATGCCTGTTGAGTCTGCTAGGGCAGAGTGAGTACCTGCTGACAACCCCAGGTCTCCTGGGGTCCCAGAAGGATGTGGGAGAAAGCAGTCAGCCTTCCCTGCACTCATGAGAAACTAGTTGAGACAGAGATAGTGAGAAAGCATGTTTGAGCAAGTATGCGTGCACCTGTGGGGGTGCACCTATGGATGGACAGAGGGTCTCTGCTAAGCAACAGCAGCACAGAGCAAAAGAAGCCAGTTGGCGACTGCTTTAGAATGTGGCAATATGCCAATCAATTGCTTGTGTGGAAGGGGACACACCTAAGGATCAGACTGGAGCAGGAGACCAGCACAGGGCTGAGGTAGATCGAGGTGGAGAAGTTACCCATAATCTGTGTTCACGTAGGTCACCGGAGCATAGCCTTCACTCCAAGGGACAGGGAAGCTGTTATGGAACCTTGAATGTCAGTGAATTTTAAAACCAGAATGAGCAAAAAGACATTGAATTTTATAAACCTGTTTGGAAGGGACTAGATTAAGTTTTCTGTATCAGTGAGAAGACAGGCTGAAGCTCTGGGAAGGTAAACTTCTATTTTGCAGATATTAGTTTATTGATTGACTGTGTGATTAGAAAATTCACACCCATCAGAGGCTGATTAGTCCCATCCACACAGAATTTCCTAGATTACCCTTTATCTCTGGTATTTACATGACATAATGTCAGCAGTTTCTGACTTAATCATCCAGATTGTCACAAGAGGGCATATCATTCATCTGGACAGAACAGAGGTCAGTGGGCATTGGAATAGCCCAGATAATGAAGATAAGTGCTCATAGAAGGGACAAAGTCATCAAGGTTAGGTGAGGAGCTTAGGAACATCATCAGAAGATGCAGGGGCTCCTTGGCAACCAGTTGTAACAAAAGCAAGTAGTGTCTGGGTACCTGACCAAGGGATGAGAGTCAGACAGGTGGAATTCTGCAGTAGGAGAGGCTCCTAAAAGCCAATTGTCAGAATTCCCTTCAATAAGTAGACATTTTCTACATCATGTATCTCTAATCTGGATCATGTGTTGAGATCTGTATTCCAGGGGAAGAACTTTGTACGTTGGGTGAACCTTCTAGAGAAAGTCAGTTTTAAGGGTATATTATTATGAGTATACTATTATGAAGTATAATAGACATAGATGGTTAAGGAATTTGTCAGGGTGTGTCTGCTAACTGCCACACAAGAAGTAATGAGCAAATCTAGCTTGATGTTGAGTCATGGCCCCCTACTTTATTTCTCCTGGATAAGAATAAGGTTAGCCTTACAGTCTGGGGTATAGGTGAGCCTGTACCTGATGAATAAGTGGCCCCAGTTCTATGATGGTCATGACCAATTTTTATCATTAGCCACCCTTATTTCCATCCTAGCCCCTTGAATGCTGTGAAACTTTGGCAATGCCCTTCCAACATCGAGCCACCCTTTATGTTTTGTCCTGAATCTTCATCAGCCACACTTTTTCACAGCTCACATTCTGCCACCTCATCCTCCTGAGGTCCAAGGTTCTGTTCCCTTTCGTGGTGGCTTCCCGGAGACAGTCATAGAGCTCTAGAGCGCTGATAGTGTGGTATTGCATGATCATACTGCTGAAGGAAATTTTTGGACTGATCTATATGCTAATATGTATTTGAGAAAATTATAGGAAATTTAATGTTGTCTTTAAATTACCTTCAGAAGAAACCTCAACACAAAATGTTCCCTCCCGGACGTCCATCAAATTTTCAGTCTTGTCTTCTGTTCTATCAAGTCTGCATCTATCATCAAGACCCAGGAAGCTCCACCTGCTCTTACTCAACTACTAAAGTCCTCTAAACAAACAAGGAAGAAGGTCCTGAAGTTTCATTCATGGGATAAAGAAAAAATTCTTCCTATTCTAGGTTGATTTTGCTAGCGCCACTGAGTGGTAATAGCTTAAAAAATTGTTTCTGGGCTGTCAATTACAAATGAAGCTTAGTGAGAACTTTTGTTTAAAAGTTGTACATTCCAATGTTAATATGGTGCTTCTTAGAAAAGCAGCTGCCTTTTATGGATTTTGAAAAGCAACTTAGTTTTATCAAAGGTTCCTCTTTCATGTTCTCTGATTGCTAAGCTATATGAGTTAACCAAAGATAACTAAGCATTAACCCATGTTGCCTTTTGTTTTTTATCTTCTTTTGAAATCCCATGAGTTTAGCTAAGTACATTAAATGGAGCATAAATCTTTACGTTGTTTTCATTAAGTCACATATTTGGAATATATATCCAAGACTATTTGATCAATTGTAAAATATTAGCTGCCGCACTGAAGATTTGTGACACGAATTTTAACAAGTGAACAAACATTTCAGAAGCACAGTGAAAATCACTGGCTGGGCAGCATGGATAAATTACAACACTTGGGATTTAGACTATTTAGAGAGTTTTACTCCATAGTATTTGCAGATATACATTGTGATCATAATGCTAAAAATGACAAATTTGAAAATAATTTAAAGATTTTCAGTATTTTCCATTTTTCAAGTTTTTCATTTTTATATTCTTAAGATACTTGCCTCTCAAATTTAGTAAAAATTCCTCAGATAACTATTAAAAGTCCTAGATTATACTGCCCCAACAAACATATATTCTAGATTTACATACTCTACTTCTTATACTATAAATATAAACCTCAACTATTCCTTCTGTTCCAGTCCCACTTTGTTGTTTCCTGCCTCTGAGCCCTTGTTAATGCTATTCCCTATGCTAGAAGTTTCTATCCTTATCTCTCTTCCTATCAAAATCCCATTCATTTACTCATTTATAATTATTAAACTCCTATATGCTAGACACTATCTTTTAGGGTATAGTTTGAATATCATTTAATCTATAAAACATTTTATAATTTAATCTCTCCTTTATAACTCATCTCTTTAACCATAGTAGCATTTCATTTATATTTCTCTTTTGGTACATCAAATAACAATCTCATGTTATGGTCATTCTTATGGTTGCTTATTTTCATTTTCCCCCAATTCTAGAAATTCGAATTACTGTGAACAGAGGCTTTGCTTTATTGATCATTGTAACTAAAGTAGCATCTATCACTATGCCTACATATAATAGCTGCTCTATAAACATTTGTTCAATATGAAGTACTCCAGCTATCAAGTCAGATATTAAGGATATCAATCCAATCCATTTCAAACATTTAGTATTTAAATTGGTCTCAACATTACACAGTGCTACTGAAAGTTCTACCAACTCATTTTACATTAGGCTTTTATAGCTAATTTTCTTAACAAGTGGTCAGTATATTCTATTAAGGTAAAGATACTACCGAAAAGAGAAACATTACCAATGGAAATGTTCATTTGCTTTTTGTAAAAATAAGTCAGCGCCTTCTATAATTATCTAGAGTAAATGAGCCACAGGACTATTAAAGTTAAAATCCCCCAATACAATTGAGAACTACTGTTTTAATGTTTTTAGATTCAGATGTATTTCAAGGAAGCTACTTTGCAAGAAGATTACCCTAAGAAAATCCTAATACCTTCCATGATTTCAGTTCTAGGCATCTGATGTTTAACTCTTGTTTCTCTTCTTATACAGATGCCAAAGCACATGAAATCAATTCGTCTAACAAGTTATCAGTTAACTATTTTAGAGAGAGGGTGTCTTTAGCCATTGCAGCTCAGCCTCCGACTGCCTGGAACCCCAATAACTTATATAAGTCCTTGATTCTAAACTCATAGAGATAACTTTTTTAAAGGTTGAAATTCCAATGAAGGAAAATCAACAACACAATAGAAAAGCTTCAGGGATTTTAGAGCAACTTAGTGAATAACCCCTGAGCACCTACTATATATACTTAGCAATATATGTCAAAAATGAATGTTAAAAATTTTCCTAGTTCTGGAGGACACAAACTACATAGTAGAAGGTTTACATTTAGAGAAATTGTAAGTAAGGAGGCTTTATAGATCATGAATGGAATATTTTAAAAATGCCATTGTATACTAACCATTACTACAAGTTATTAGAGTATTTTTAAAGATTAGCCTTGCCATTGAAATATTTTGTGTACTTCTCCTGAAACATTGCCTCAGCATGCCTGTATGGTAGAAAGTGGTCTAAGGCTTTCTTCGTTTAAGTGTGGTCAGGTTTCTTTTGTTTTCCTCTAAGAAGAGTCAAACATTTTCTATCACTGGTGATAGACATGGGCTTGCCAAGCCATAAGCCAGTTCATCCATTGTCTATGATCCACACATCTGTCTCTGTTATGGCCACTGGATTGTGCTACTTAATCCTGTCAGAGTGTCTTCTCAGGGAAGGGAAAATGATTTCTTTGTTGTAACAACCCTGAAAAGACATTGTCTCCTTATTGATAGGAGAAAGGGCTAGAACCTTTCCAAAGTGAAAGGTGTCAGTGAGAGACTCACAGGAAAAACTTATCCTAGGTGGAGTCCATTTTCTCTCAAATAAAGTCATAGTCAGACACTGAATTTTGAAATTACTTATAAAAAGAACAAGGGAGGTCTGTATTATGACTCTTCATGTATTTTGGGACAGTTTTCTATGGAAGCATTTGAGCCTAAAGACCGGGTGTAGTGTTCTTAGGGAAGACATTATCAAGTGTTGCCAGTGTTTGCCACTGCAAAGCAAATGAGGGACCCAGATTTTCATCCAGAAGTTGTTTTTCCAGGTAAGTGACTACAGTTCCAGATAGTTAATAGATGTTTTTCAATTTTTTTTTTTTTTATTTTATGGCAGAATTTTAGCTTGATAATAATACTCTGTAGCTAGAGGTCCTGTTCTGGAATGAAGTTAAATAGATTCTGGGAAGTGTAAAGTTCTTTCAATATCTAGAACTTGAAATCATTTATATCATAAACCTATGATGTGAGATAGAAAATTTTGGATTAAAAAATAATGATATATCTTGGGCGTGCTTCCAGATTTGAGATCAAACAATTTAATAAGAAAAAACAATGCTACTTATGAATGTGGCAGAATAATCATTATAATCATAGTGCCTAGAATATTGCTTGCTATATGGTAGGTTATCAGTAAGTATTTGTTTAATGAATATTAATCAGACTTTCCTTTCTTCTCCCCTCCCTCCTCAACCATGGCCATTATTTTTTTCTTCTCTTAGGCATAGATTTATCATTAGCCCCAGGGGATAACATTAGCACTGAAGCTTGAAAACAGTAGGAAAAGATCAGCATTTTTTGCTTTTAAGTTCAAAGATGTGATGATTAATTTTATGTGTCAACTTTTCTGATCCATGGTGCCCAGATATTTGGTCAAACATTGTTCTGGGTGTTTTTCTGAGGGTATTTTGGAACAAGATTAACATCTGAACCAGTGGACTGAGTAAAGTAGATTGCCCTTCATGATGTGAGTGGGCCTCATCCAATAAAATGTTTTAGAAAGCAGTAAGAATAATCCAAGTCAGATATATTCTCTGTCCACTCTGTTCCCCTCCAAATTCATTACAACCCTCTGAATTTTGGGGGAGGGGAGAGAATAGAACAAAAAGCTACTCTCTCCAGAGCATGAGGGAATTCTCCAGCAGACTGCCTTGGGATTTCATCTGTGATATGGTTTGGCTGTGTCCCCACCCAAATCTCATCTTGAATTGTAGCTACCATAATTTCCACATATTGTGAAAGGGACCTGGTGGGAGATAATTGAATCATGGGGTCGGTTTCCCCATACTGTTCTCAGGGTAGTGAATAACTGTCATTACATCTGATGGTTTTATAAGGGGTTTCCCCTTTTGCTTGGCTCTCATTCTCTCTTGCCTGCCGCCACGTAAGACATGCCTTTTGCCTTCACCATGATTGTGAGGCCTGCCCAGCCATGTGAAACTATGAGTCCATTATACCTCTTTTTCTTTATAAATTACCCAGTCTAAGGTATGTCTTTATCAGCAGCATGAAATTGGACTAGTACAGTCTGCAACATCAACTCTTCCTGGTTCCACAGGAGATACCTTTGGACTCAGAATGCATCACTTTCCTGAGTCTCCAGCCTGCTGGCCTACCCTCTCAGATATGAACTTGCCAAGCCTTCATAATTATATGAGCCAATTTCTTAAAATAAATCTCCTTCCCTTTCTATCTATACACATTCTATTGTTTCTATTTCTCTGAAGAACCTTGACTAATACAAAAGGTAACAGATTCAAGGGTAAGATAAAATGTTTTAGAAAGCAGTAAGAATAATCCAAGTCAGATATATCCTCTGTCCACTCTGTTCCCCTCCAAACTCATTATAACCCTCTGAATTTTGGGGGAGGGGAGAGGGAGAAAAACTAGTATGGAAGCAACAGAGTTAGCATGGGAGACTCTATATCCTGCCCTCTGCTCCTTGATGTAGACTTTTCCCTTGTGCCAGGTGGAAAGCATGATAGACACCCCAACTCTGAGTCTGTGGATCTGAGAGGACAGAGAAACTGTATTTCACATGCTTTATGAGATCCAGAAAGAAGGCAACCATAGTATACTTGCAAATAGCATCTAGTGGAACTGGCAGAATTATGAGTTTCAGAAGAAACAAGAGACAGCTATGAGTTTCCCTGAAGGGTACAGTACAGAGGGAATTCCAAAATTTCATGGGCATTTAAGTAGTGCATCGATGTTGGAGGAAAGAGAAAACAAGTGTGCCTGCAAAAGATTCTAATGCCAGTTCTGGCCTCCTCAGAAAAGTGCAGTGAGAATGGTCACCATGCAGGGTAAGTTGAAGACTTGGCTAGAACTCACCAACTGGCAGAAGGTTGGACAAAGGTGCAAGCTGATCTGGTACCCATGGTTCTGTTTTAGCAAGGCTGGTCACTACCAGAGGCAGAGTAATGTCCTTCTCAGAGCAGGACTGTGAACACAACTCATTAACAGCATCTTGTCAGCCTCCTTGACTGTCTTTCAGGAATGGTTCTTGCCTGTGGCCTGGGCTTGTGCCCACTTCCTTATATAAACAACCTACTCTAAGTGGTCACTACCTTTAATTGGGCTCAGATCAGAGTGGGATAGCCCCTCAAACCTGGGGAACTTGGGAAAAGAAGGAGCTCAGTGGAGCTACGAACAAAGAAAGTATCAGAACACATTTCTTACTACAAGGAGTAATTTCCATAAGATGAAAAACTCATATGATTACATTTTTTAGTTTCTTAGAATCTCACAACTAGAGTGGTTGGAGGAACAGTCTGTTTCTCCACAGAGAAGCCTCCCCGTTGGCATAGCCTAGATGCTGTCCCAAAGCGTGTAACTTGATTTCTAATTTTTGCTTCTTGTGAGCTGACCAAATCACTCATTTATTTCAGGCTTTTGTGTCACTCATCTCACAATCAAACAATTCCTCCTGGGTGCCTCATACTTCTCAAATATATCTTTTCTCTCCTGATAAGGTGTCTTGGAGAAAGGCTTGAAATTTTGAAGCTATTTCCCCATTTTGTGATTATTTGCTGCTGCAGAATCTTTTTGAAAATTGGTAGGGGTATAAAACACAAAACATTATGTTAAAATGTTCTTCATCATATTTTTTTATATGTGGAAAGATGGTTCTACTCTCTGCTCTACTCTCTGCAACATTTTCAAAACATACTTAAATAGACTAAAGTCACAAAAAGAAAGTGCTACAAACGTGGAGAACTCAAGTTTCAGAGATGTATTGATGAGTAAATGATGCAGTACATAGTGAGCAAAAGTTGATGGTGCTTTCTTTCCTGGTCACATCCTTGGAAGCTCCCATTAACTGAGCCATATATTGGGTCTAATAGACTGGGTCTATCAGCTATTTTATTTAGAGCAGCAGGTTTCAAACTTGCTTGACAGAGGAATCATTCTTGCAACAAAAACAAGCAAAACAAAACCAAAACACCTACAAATACAGAAAACTTATAAAAGTGGAGGTTTCTTACTTATAGAGCATTGAGAGCCAAGCATTGCTCCAGCTCAGCTTCTTCTGCTCTCATGGGCAGTGCTGGAGGCATTTCAGGGTACCCAAGGGCTCTAACAGGACCAATGGCAGAGGAGGTTCCTGGAGATTAGGACTCAGTAGAAAACTGTATATGGGAAAAAAATGACTCTGCTGAATGTTCTATCTGGGCCTAGGACCAAGATTCTGAGTTGCATTATTGGTATCCAGATATAATAACCAGAGAACAAAGGTCAAATGTTGCCGAATCATTTTTATTTGAAAGTGGTTTACCCTTTTCTTGCCTTAAAAGATCTCCCCAGTGCCATACAAACCAGTGGGATTGTATGCTTTCAGAGTAAATGGGATGAGAGAAGTTTTCACTAGACACTGTGCTTACCCTGACCTCTGATATATTCTCCAGAAAGCAAGCTTGAGTGTTACATTGCAGCACTTAAATTTTCCCTGCACATCAAACTTCCATATGGAGAACCAGTGTGATATTTGCTTTGTATCAGACGGGAATTCTCAGTGTTTACATTTGTACTGTTTAACCATACTAGAAAAAAAAGAATTCATCTGTTAATGTACATTGCTTTAAGCATTGCAAGAGAATGGTTACTGTCATATTGTTTTAGAATCAGTAACACACCATTTAGAAATCTGCAACCTACTGTTAATAAAGTGTGTATAACCATTCTCTGGAGATGCAATAACCCTTTAAAATTAATATACACTATAGTTCTTCTCGTTTTAACTAAGTTGTACATTAAAAAGATAGGCTAGGTTAGTACTTAATGATGAATTATGTGTGTTGATTAGTAATCTGAAATCTCTTGGGGTCTTCTATATATTTTTCATGAATGCTATGACTAAAAAGTATTCCATAGATAAAAGTCATAAGACTTGAAAGAAAAGTGAAGATCTACAACCTTCTTAGAAAAGAACGAGGTCATTAGTAAGTACATTGTTTAGCTGCCTAGTCAAAGAAATGCCTATTTGATTTGCTTTCGATTACTGTTAATTTACACGGTGATATTTGAAGAACTGACATGCAGAATGGAGTGTATATTGGTAATAATACTATGCAAGTACTGTTTAGTTACACTTTACAGAGATTCAGACGTGTCCATTGCCCTTAGAGTCAGGAATCTCTAGTGACTTCTTTAATAAACCTTACTTCAATGAGCCCTTTGAACTCTTCATTAACCAATTATGGAACAGCTATAGAACTGGACTAGAACCTTGACTCTGCTTTTGCTATATACAAGCTATCACCTGCCATAAGTAAAATCCTATGCTTTCTTTTTCACCAACTAAATAAGAAAGTGGTGTTTAGATGAAATGACAGTGCTAGAAAATTTATGAAAGAGATTACCCTAAGTTCCATGTATCCCAAAACAATATACTTAAAGAAGAGGAAAAGAAATATTTGGGAAAGTTTTGTTGTCTGAGTGGTCAGATTTCTATAGCGGGTGAGGACAACTGCTCTCAGATAATCTTGTTACTCACTGCCGACGTGGTTTTGGATTTGAACAAGGAATAGGATCTGGAAGACAAGAAGGGGTTACCTGCTTCATTATTGATGAGAACTTGGCCAGCCCAACGCACACACACACACACACACGCGCACTCACACGCACACCCACCCACCCACACACCATGCATAAATCTGTAAACTGGGCTAGAAGTCAAAGTCAGTGAGGTGAAGAAGAAAATCTAGACATCTCATTTGTCCGGCCTTAAAGGGGTGGAAAGTAACCAGACAGAAATATGGAAAGCAGAGGGACCTCTTGCAAGGTTTATGTTAAACTGAGTGAAGCTGAGTTTGTAACTTTCTTCTGTGCCTTACCCTGATGATCTTTGTGTTCCTTACCCATGAGGAGTTCCTCAAACCTGCAATAAAGTATCTTTATGACTCTGAGCCAATTGACCTGGAAATTTTCTAGTCACCTGCCTTATTAGTAACGGCAGGTTTTGAAGATAAAAGTCAAACTGGAAACACTCATATCCTAGAGATTACAAAAATGATGAAAAGCCGTAAAACCAAAATTGTATCATAACGAATGTAAAATAACATCTATTTGGCTCTTAAGGCTTGCAAAGTTCTTTCATAAATATGATCTCATTTTGAACCTTGCCCTGAGTCTGATATTACCATTGTGACTACTCTCCTTATTAAATAAAAGAGGATACTGAGGCTCGGATGTAGAGGTTTGTCCAAGGACAATGATGAGCTTACCTTTGTATCCCCAGTGACCAGCACAGTGTCCAGCACTTGGAAGACACTCAACAAGTACACTTGGAGAAATGAATAAAGTTAAGGCTCATAAGGTGAAGTTCTGGAAATATGGCTAATTCTTTATGCATTAGTTAGAATTCTTTTGGTTGCAAGTAACAGAAATAAACAAAAGTTAGAGGTGTTATTATAAACATATAGAACCTAAGGTCGTGTAAGTTGTGCAGGTCTTAAGAAAAAATAAAACCTGAAAGGCAATAGTAAACACAGTATTTTCTCTTCCCTTCCCTCCCCTCCCCTCCCCTCCCCCATGTGTGTGTTTCTGCTGCTTTTTCTATATTTCTTTCTGTATACCAACTGTCTCTGCTTTTCAGGTTTACAGTGGAAAGCACAGCTTCCCCACAACTCCTGAGTTCTTGTATTCCAGGTTAAGTCTTAGTCTCAGTTGCAAATTCTTAGAGAAAAAAATCTCAACTGGTTTAGCCTAGGTAAAATTCCCACATCTGGAGTAATCAGTGTGGCCAAGAGATGAGGTCATGCCTTACAAACACAACCACTGGAATCCTACTCCTAAGGTGATGTTGGGAGTAGTTCACAGAGAAAGGAAGAAGGTGTTGGCTTATGGGCTATGTAGACACTTCAAAGGTGTTCATTACAGTTTCTTTTACCAAATCCCATGTTCACTCTACTTTTCTACTTTGCCTTAGTGTCACCATGGAGGATAATTTTTTGAGATACAATGTTCTCTGTAATTTTCTCTCTTATATTATTTCAAGTGGAGAGAAAAGCCCTTAGTAATTCCCTGGTTTGTCATTCTTGCAGAGCAGAAAATAGAAACTATTTGGGATGAACAGTTATTTCTCTCTTTTGTAGAAACTCGACTTCTTTGTTGAGATTATGGTTTCTGTCTCAGAGGTGGAGGGGACTGAACAGCTTTAAAAGAAGCCAAAGTGAAAATAGCAATTTTACTGTACTATTAATGAGGCTGGAGGTCTGTACATGACATTTCTTAGTCTAGTCTTCGTTGCCAGTTCCCCTTTAAATTGTAAGTCAGGATTGAAGGACAAACCCAAACTATCCTGGTAAAAGAAGAGGATGAAGTATGTTCCATTCAAAGGGACGAACATTTGAGACAAGCTATTACCAGGAACGTTTAGGTATCAGAATAGCTGCAGTGTATATCATAAGGTGGAGGAGTAGCAGATGTGGCTGAAAAGGCAGAAGGAAGGGGCCAGGATAACTAGCTTTGGGGCAGTTTCCTAAGAATGTGAACTTGAGTTCATTGAGCAATGGAAGCCATTGAAGAAGTTGTAGCATCAGTTTTTAGTATAAAATCTCACCGTGATGAAAAAAAAAAAACTGGAGAAGGACTAGAAATAAAGCGGGAAGAGCAGTCAGGAGATTGTTGCAGTTATGAATGACAAGATCAATGTGGAAAAGAAGGGCTTGAATAAAAGTAGTAGCAGTCGGAATAAAGAGCATAGAATTCAATGAGAGATCATAACAAGGATGTCAAATCTATAAGTGTTGTTGAGAATGTGGAAAATAGAGGAAGTTTTTGGCTTTGGTATGTGGTGGTACCATTCATAGAAATAGGAAATCTTATAGGAAGGTCAGGTTTGGACATGAAGATTATGTGATCAGTATCTTTAAACTCAATGAGCTCCAAGGATTTATGCAACATTCAAGTGGGAATATATAATAGCTGGATATACACATCTGGAACTTAGAGAAGAAGTTGTGGCTACAGATGATTGATTTGGCATTCATCAGCAGAGGGTGTTGAAAATCACAAAATCTGAGAATTTTACATTTAGTTTTGCATATATTTAATCTCCGTTTGTAGCGTAAATAGTATGAAAATTCAGTTGAATTTCTAGGCCTGTCACCAGATTCTTTCCTTCCATAGTCTGTCTTAGCCATAACAAATTTCTTTTATCAGTACTATTGAAACTGAGCTTCATAAAACCTTCATCTCTCAGACCACATTTTCCAAATGAAAGTTCCAAAGATGGAAAAGTATATTGGATGGATACTAGTTTAACCTATTATAACATGGCATTCAAAAATGTGTTTTTGTTACTACATGTAACTTTTTGGTAGTAGTATTTTTATAAATTCTTTGAATGAGATAAAATACCACTTGCTTGGTGCTCACAAGTTGAGTTCCTTTTCATTGGTTTTCTGACTTTTATGATGTAGAAAAAATGACCAATTGCATAGATGATTGTTCATGTTGATTCTGTGTGAAATTTTTGAATGCAAAATTTTACTGAGATGTAAAAATTGGGTATGATGAATGAATGAAAAATATCTGTATTCTTTCACGAGTAGTTTTCCTGGAGCACATCACAATAAACTTCCTGTACACTAATCGATATCCCCAAATCTGTTTCATGGGGAACCCTATTTAAATCATTAGTAATTCCGTCTTTATCATCTAATTCTAGAAAATTGTCAGTATCTTAAGGATACAGAATATCTTATTCATATTTATGTTTCAAGGCCAGTAGTTATTCAGTAAATGTTTTCATATCTTACCTTTGTGAGAATTTTCATATAAATCTTAGCAAAGCACACATTTTCCTTCTACCTGGGTTATAGGTAACACACATCCATAAACTGCCTGTTTCTCCTCATCCTCACCTAAAAGCTCTTCAGTATAGCCTCTGTGCTTAGGAACATGGAATTCCAAACCCAAGGGGGCCTTCTTGAAACAAAATGCCACTCCTTTCTATACTATGTATTTTCAATTACTAGGTTTTCAGCAAAATTAAGCAATAACCATAGATCAGATTCATCTTGTGTTGGCAGCATAGTTTAGTGATTGAACACAGGATTTCAGTGTCAGACACACCGGAGTTGAAATCTTATTCCACCACTTCCTAGGCATGTGGCCTTTCTAAATTTCACTGTCTACATCTTCTGAATGGGGCTAATGATAGTATCTACCTCATTGGGCTGCTGGAAGAATTAAAGGAGAAAGTGTGCGAAAAACACTAGACATACAGTAAACACAGAAAACATGTTAGCTATTGTTTATGGTTATTTCATTAATATTTCACTTTTTTCTCTTAAATTTATTTTCATAAAGCTCAAAATACTTTCTAATTTTACACATGATTTTTTTGTCCTGTGGGTTATTTAAAAATATGTTGCTTAATTTCCAAATATTTATGGATTCCCAAATTTCCTTCTGTTGTTGATTTCTAACTTCACTATGGTCAGAGAACGTACTTTGTATGATTTCAATACTTGTAAATGTATTAAGACTTGTTGTATGGTCTAAATCATTCTTTGTAAATTCAGCATAAGATATATAAGATCTAAATATTTCTCCAGATATTTTTATGCATTATTGTTTTGAAAACGAATGTGTACTTCCTTCAACAGATTTTGTAACACTATTTTACTTCCTTTAACAGATTTTGGCCTACATAATAGCAATTTGGGTATATTATCAGTGAGTTTTTTCTTCTTCCTCCTTCTGATAAAGGCCATCTTGGTCAACTCAGCTATACTGGTGTCAGAATTATCCTTCCCGCTCTTCATAAGAGGCACTGAATCCATTGCCAGGAGCTCATCTTTCTTATATGATAAGCTGTGGTCTGAGGACAAATTGTGTACTTCAGCACCATCCACATGTTCAGCTGGTCCTCTTTCTTCCTTTCCAAAGCCACGACCTTATGCAGGGATTGGAGATAAACACACCACCTGTGACCCCAAGTCACTCAGTTCTATCTAGGGCTACAAATAAAGAGAGGGAGGGAGGGAGGGAGAGAGAGAGAGAGAGAGAGAGAGCGGGTGCGGGCGAGCGCGAGCGAGCACAAGCAGAGTCTTTTTCTGGCAGTGTGCTCACTCCTGTGTGATACAGCAGAAGCTGGTCATAGTTTTTGAAAAGCTGTATTAAGAAGTGAGGACTCATTTGTCGTAGATATATTTGGCTGATTTGTTTTATTTTCTATGTTGTAAAATCCAAATTTATAGATGTGTTCAATATGACATAACATAATTGCCATCAACAAATTTAAACCAGATCAGAAGTATTGAGAATATTTAATGTCAGGGAATACTCATTTCCAAATATTTACAGGGGAAAGTTGTCAGTTATTGTATTTACATGTAACTTTTTGTATTGACATTTTGCTTTTCAATATAGAGGCAATAAAAAATAAGTCTAGTGACAAAAAGAATCAAACAATAAATAGGTAAATAAAGGAAATGTCATAGAATATTGGTTAAAATCACCAGCTTTGAATCTAGACAGAACTGCATGTCACTTCTCTGAGCTTTAATTTTCCTCATCTGTAAAATACAGATAAAAATTATACCTGTTTACTAGTCAGGGTTTGTTGTTGCAAGCTTAGGCCAAAAAAAAAAAAAAAAAAAGGAATGTATTGGAAGAAGAATTCACAGGATTTGTGAGAAGTCTGGTGAATTGGGTTTGGAAAATGGGCTGGAACCATGTTACACATGAGGGAGGAAACACAAGTCATACATGGGGACATCTGGGTTAGGGTGGCCCTTTGGCCCTCTGTATAACTCTAAGCTGTGTCTGCTTTGATCACACAGTCCAAATCTGAATTTCCAGGCAGGAGCATCAAATAGTCAAGCCTTGATTACACTCCCATGCCTACATGTGTCAAGGAAGAGTAAATGTCTGGTCTTTTCAATTCATATGATACCCTCAGGCATAGATAAGCACAGCCAAAGAAACAAATACTGGACAAATGTCTTCCACACAGACCACAGGAATTTTCTGTGGGTGTTAAGTGATACAATATATGTGAAATGCTTAACAAGACATGTACTTATTAGGCATTAGTTGGGATAGCTCTATCTCTCTTTTTTTCTCTGAGAAGCAGAACCACTAAGAGTAATAGATATTAAGTGATTGATTATAAGGATTCAACCGTATGGAACTGTGGGAACTGGTTAAAAAGTTTATGAAGACAGGCATAAAGTGAGAAACAGCAGTTGCAAACTGGAAACTGAAGGATGAACTGGAACCCATGAAAACAGACTAGAATCATGTTTATCTCTCATACCACATGCTTCCAACTTTGATGATGTGGGTGACCTGTAAGTGAAGCTAGCACTACTTTTCATGAAGATGAAAATGCATTGCCCAGGAGTAGAAGATGAGGGGGGAGATCAAGTGGGGAATAGAGGAATTGTGGGTCCAGCTGCTTGCACCTGCCAAAGATTATAGATAGATAGGTGTGTAGATAGATAGATAGGTGATTAGTATATGCATACATAATAGATACATACATAGATAATAGGTAGATAGACATAAAACACATATATACATGTGCAAAAATAATTGTAAAGATTACAATTAGTTTACTTAATATTTGTAAAAATATTTACAAAGATTGGTTTTTCTTAGAAAACAGGGTTGAATGGTTGATTGATTCAACAAATAATTTTTGAGCATCTACTCTGTGATAAGTACTATTTCAGACGCTTCAGATAAGACGGTAAATGAAAGATGTTCATCCTGTGGTTCTCACTTTCTTGCATTGGGACTCAAACAGTAAAGATAATGAGTAAGCAAATTATAAAATGCATTAGAATATGACATGTGCTATGGAAAGGAGGATTGGGGTGTCGTCTGGAGTGGCAGGTTGCAATTTTAATAGGATGGTCAAGGTGACCTTTATAATGACATTTCAGCAGAGAAGTGAAGGAAGTGAGGTGTGAGTTATGTATTATCTGGGGAATACTGTTCTAGGCAGAGGGAATGGTCAAATTTTAAGGCAGAATTGTTCTTGATTTCTTTGAAAACATCAAGAAAGATGGTGTCCCTAGAGCAGAATGGGCAGGGAGAAGAGCAATAGGCAAGGGAAAACTCATTCAAAATATATCCCATTAGAATTTCATCCTAAAATTGTATGTCTAACTTCTAAAGATTCTTCAAAAATTATAAAGATAATCTGAAACCAACATATCCATATTTGATGAAATTGTGCAAATGGCTTTTGAAAGTTATTAACATGTTGAATCTCTTGGAGTCAGGGTAGACAGACAACGTAGTGGGTTAACATGTGACCGTTCCAGCTACTATCTAACTATCTATCTATCTAAAATATTCTGGATTTGAATTTTGTTGGATTGCATTCTATTTTAGTTGCCTTCATAAATTCATAATCTGTTGTTGTCTCTGTTGAAAGGTTAAGTATTTCTACTGCCATTGGGGAAGAAGAAAGGCAACTGGGATATGGAAGAGAAGGAAAACGTCTTTTACGTTTTCCCCATATTCTTTCTATTTGATTTGGATTAGATTAGTCAAGGGTATATATGAGTCAAATTATTTATTTAGTGTTGTTCTAATCTCATCTTAGGTATGCTACAGAAAACTAAGACATGGTGTATATCCCTTCAAATTAAGCATCAGACAAATAGAAAATACTAAACTACTGATTGTGGTTCAGTGGATTGTGGTGGTAATACAGAAACAAGAGTTCAGATCTTGGACAGTTTTGGATAAACCTATTGGTGACCTTTCATGGTAAGGGACAGTTTGATTGAGCTGAGACTCATCAATCAATGCACTTGGCCGGAAGCACTGGCTGATTGTTGTCTGCATCAACCTACTGAATCTTTTAGAAGTGCCTGTGTCCTACAAGAGCAGCAGTGGGCCAGTGGGCCTAGGGCCATAACCACAGAAGAACTGAAATAGTTAATGGCACCCTGTGAGCCACTCTCATATTCCATAGTACTAGCAGCAAGAAGAATAGATGGATTGATATTGGGGAATGACAGGTTATTTTGTACATAGGACCTGTGCCTGTGGATAGTTCCTGGCAGGACAAGAGCTGATTTTCTATCTCTACCACACTGAATGTACAATTGGTAGTATCTTAGCTTCATTTGGGGCTACCAGGAACCAGGGCTCTCTTAGAGACTCAGCCCTTGATGCATTTCTCAGTCAGAGGTAACCTCACTCACTAGGTCTGGTTTAATATGTCCATCCACAGTTGCACAAGAGGTATTCCTTGATCCAATTTCACATAACATTTTTCACCCCCTGGCTAGGAAACAGAATGAGGATTCATTAATATATTTATTTAAAAAATACTGGGTATCTACCAAATATCAGACTCTGTGCTCTCTGCTCTGTTTCATTGATCTCTGTGTCTATTGTTTTACTAATACCCTGTTGTTTTGACTACTCTAGTTTTATAGTAAGTCTCGAAATTAATAGTAGAGTCCTCCAATTATATTCTTCTTCAGTATTATGTTGGCTATTTTAGGCCTTTTGAGTTTTCAAATAATTTTAGAATCAGCTTGTGAAGACCTAAAAAATAGTTTTCTTGGTTTGTATTGGGATTGTGATGAATCTGTAAGTCAATTTGAGAAGAATTGGCATGTTAATGATATTGAGCCTTCTAGTCTATGAAGATGGACTATCTTATTTGATTTGTTTGATTAATTTATTGATTTATTTCATCAATATTTAGTAGTTTCCTTCGTACATATTCCATACATATTTTGTTTTGTTTATACCTAAGTATTTCAATTTTTTGGTGCTATTGTTAATGGAATTGTTTTTGAATTTACATTTCAATTGTTCATTGATGATTTATAAGAAAGTAAATAATTTTTGTATATTGACCTTATATCCTGCAATCTTGAAATATTCACTTATTAGTTCCAGGAGATTTTTTTTTTTTTTTTTTTTGTAGATTAAGTGGGATTTTCTACACAGACAATTGTAATCTGGAAATAAAACTATTTTAGTTTTTCTTTTATTATTTTTATGGCTTTTATTTCTATTTCTTGTCTTATTACAGTATCTAAAAATTATAGTACAGTGCTGATAGAAATGGTGAGAGGGAACATTCTTGCCTTGTTTCTAATCGTAGGGAAAAAACATCCTGTTCACACCATTACCTGTGGTAATAGCTGCAGGGTTTTTTGTTTATTTATTTATTTATTTATGTATTTCTGAGGAAGTTCCCCTCTGCTTCTAGTTTGATAAGAATATTTATCATGAATGGATGTTGGGTATTTTAAAATGTGTTTTCTGAATCAATTGATATAATTATATAATTTGTCTTTCTTAGCCTGTGGATATGGTGAATTACCTTGATTTTCAAATGTCACACCAGCCTTGCACATCTGGAATAAATCCAAATTGCTTGTGTTGTGAACTTCTTCTTATAAATTCTATAAGGCTCTTCACTTAGGTGTATAAAGCTTCTCTTTATAAATTGTTGAATTAAATTTGTGAATATTTTTTGAAGATTTTTGCATCTATATTCATGAGAAATATCAGTCTGTACTTATCTTTTGCTTACCTGGTTTTGATATTAAGATAATGATTATCTACCAGAATGTGTTAGGAAGTATTCCTTCTGCTTCTGTTTTCTGGAAGAGATTGTGAAGAATTTGTATTATTTCTTTTTTAAATGTTTGATAAAATTCATCAGTGAAACCATCTGGACCTGGTGCTTCTAAGGTTATTAATTAGTGACTCAATTTCTTTAATAGATATAGGGCTATTCAGGTTGTCTATTTTCTGTATATTTGGTAGTTTGTGTCTTTAAAGAAATTTGTCGAATACATCCAGTTTATCAAAATTGTAGACATAGAGTTGTTTTTATAGATGTTTGTAATATTTCTTCATTATTCCTTCATTGTTCATGGTTCAGTAGTGATGATCTCTTTTATTTTTAATATTGTTAATTTATGTCTTCTCCTTTTTTCTTGATTAGTCTAGATAGAGGTTTATCAGTTTTCTTGCTTTTTTTTCAAATAACTAGGTTTTGGTTTCATTGATTTTTTTCTATTCAATTTTGATTTCTGCTCTAATTTCTTTTATTATTTCTTTTATTCTGCTTACTTTAGGCTTAATTTCTTCTCTGTCCCCAGACAGAAACTTAAGTCACTGATTTTAGGTTTTTTCTTTATTTATGATATATGCATTCAATGCTATACATTTTTCTTTAAGTACTGCTTTTACTATGATCTATAAATTTTGATAACTTGTATCTTAATTTTCATTTAGTTCAAAACATTCCTTCATTTCACTTGAGTTCTACTTTGGCCCATGGTTTATTTAGAAATGTGTTTATTTTTCAAATATTTGAATATTTTCCAGCTATCTTTTGACTATTGATTTCTAGTTTAATTCCATCTTGTGGTCTGATAGCATACATTGTATAATATATATTCTTCTAAATTTGTAAATGTGTGTTTTATGGCCCTAAATTTGGTCTATTTTGGTGAATGTTTCATGTGAACTAGGAAATAATATGTATTCTCTTATTATTGGTTGGAATATTCTATCAATTTCAATGAGAACAGATTGACTGGTAGTGCTAGTCATGTCATCTAAATCCTTACTGATTTCTTTCTACTCGATCTAGCATTTACTGATAGAGGGGTGTTGAAATATCCAACTATAATAATAGACTTGTTTATTTCTCCTCTGAGGTCTATCAGTTTTTGCCTCATACATAGTGAGGCTTTGTTGTTAAACACATACACGCTGAGTATTTTTTTTTAGAGAAATTGGTCCGTTTATTGTTAAATATTGCTTCTCTTTATTTCTGATAATTTTCCTTGTTTTGAGTTTGCTTTGCTTGAAACTTACACAGCTACTCCAGCTTTTGTTGTTGTTTAGCGATTTCATGGTATATCTTTATTCATTCTTTTACTTTTAACCCATCTGAATCTTTATATTTAAATTGGATTTCTCATTAACAACATATAGCTGGGTCTTGTTACTTTTATCCACTCTGACAATTGGCATGTTTACCAATTATTTTAGTTGGTATATTTGCACAATTCACACTTAATGTGATTGCTGATATGGCTGATTTTAATATCTACCATGTTTATTATTCTTTCCTATTTGTTACATTTACTCTTTGTTTCTGTTTTTTTCCCCTCTTTTTCTGCCTTCTCTGGTCTTTATTGAGCATTTTACATGATTACATTTGATCTTTTCTCTTAGAAAATCAATTATACATCTTTATAAAATCTTTTTGGTCGTTATTGTAGTTTATGGTATGTATTATACCTTCAAATAGCACTATGTTGCTTCATGGTACAGATAGGTATATTCTCAATTCTTCCTGGCTGGTCTTGCTGTCACTTATTTCACTTATCCTTATGCTATAATCATCATAATCATCCAATAGGATGTTACTATTATAATTTTAATAGTTTGTGGGTAATTTTGCTTGATATGGAATTTCAGGTTGATGATTTTTTTTCTTTCAACACTTTAAATGTTTCACTCCACTCTCCTTGTTGGCATAGTTTCTGATAAGAAATTTTTTGTAATTCTTATGCTCATTTCTCTACAGATAAAGTGTTCTTTTCCCTTCAGCTTCTTATAAGATTTTCTTTTTGTCTTTGGTTTTCTGTAGCTTGAATATGAAATGCCTAGGTGAGTGTGTGTATGTGTGTGTGTGTGAGAGAGAGAGAGAAAGAGAGAGAGATTGTATGTTATATTTATTCTGCTCTGAGATTCCTGGATCTATGGTTTGGTGTCTGTCATTAATTTTGGAATGCGCTCAGCTATCATTCCTTCAAATATTTCTTCTGTTCCTTTCTCTCTTTCTTATTCTGTATTATAGTTATGTGTAGGTTACATCTTTTAAAATTGACTCACTTCTGTTTTATTTATTCTTCCTCTTATTTGTATTTCAGTTTGGGAAATTTTGATTGATCTATCTTCAATTTTAAATTCTTTTCACAGCCTTTTTGTATCTCCTAGTGAACCCACTGAAAGCATTCTTCATCTGTTACATTTTTAATTTCTAGTGTTTCTTTTTGATTTTTTCTTAGAATTTTCATTTCTGATCAAATTTTTCGTCTTTTCTTGCATGTTGTCTACTTTTCCTATTAAAGTCCTTAGCATATTCATCATAGTTACTTTTAAATCTCATTCTGGTGAGTCCAACATCTATATCATGCCTGCGTCTGGTTATGATAGGGATTGCTTTCTTTCTTCAAAGTGTGGATTTTCTTGACTTTTTTGTTGAAAATCAGTTATGTTAAAAGCCAGACATGCCAGACATAAATAAGCCATTAGTGTGAGAATTTATGTTACATGGGAATTTATGCATAAGATTTGGGTTGTATTTAATGTTTGCCAGAAATTTCAAATTCCTCTAGTGTTATTGTTTGACTTTGGCCTTCCCTAAGTACCCCTCCTTAGAGAGTCTGGGTCTTGCAGCTCTATTAGCTAGAATTCCCTATTATTATACTGGGGACATGTTGGTACAATAGTAAGATTCTGGGGAGAGAGAGCATTCTATAATATTCAATTAAATCTCAGCATTTCAGTGAGCCTGTGTCTTGGGGCTGTGACTCTTACAATAGTTTCCCCAATTGTATAGCTTTTTACCCCACTCCTACTCTTTTGTGACTGTAATATTTGCAACTATTTCCTAAAAGCCCTGACCCCTTTTGACTATTTTTCTTCCCTTATGTGAGACAGAAAGGCAGCTTGAGTTGGGTAAATACTCTCCATTTAGGTGGGTTAAGCCTGTGGTAATTATCTTTTTCCCTGTAGAGTAGGCCTTCGTTACTGTGAAGGCTGTTGATGTATTTTACAATGATTACTTTCCCCATCATCCTACCAGAACCATGAAGTCTCTTTCCTGGAACTTCACATTGGGAACTTGGTGGGATTCCTGCAGGTGAAGCCTACAACAGTATGGAGGACCCCCTGAGACAACAGCTCTCATAAGTTTCTCACTCTCATACCAATCCATATTTAGCCTTCAGAAATGCATTAGAATTTCCATTCAAGTGTTTCTACCAGTTTATGGTCCCAACAGCTTCTGCTTTAGGGAAGCAGTTGTGACTCTCTGGATGCACTTGTTTTCCATATTTTGGAGTGGCAGTTTGCCTTGAGTTCTCAGTTCTCTGTTGGGTCCAAGAAAAGTCACTGATTTTCAGTTGTTCAGCTTTATCTTGTAAAACTGGGAGGGACAACTTCCAAGCTCTGGGACTTTGGAGCTGGATTAAAAGTTACATCTTCTCCTTTTTAACTTGTTTTTCCAGCCTCCATATTTTATTGTTTACTCTAATTTCCATCACAACTCCCTTTTTTTCATTAATTTTTTTTTCTATTTGAATATTGGGGGCTTTTAAGCATTTCCCATCAGCCAAATCTGAATTTATTGTCTTGTGCTTGGCAGTCACAATCACTGGTGCTACCTTGATGGCTTCTATTTTAGGCTGCAGGGTCACCAGGAGACAAATGCTACTTTTATTCACATATTAGCAACATTTGGCAGTAACAAACTTGTTTATAGTGAAAAATGCATTAGTAACTTACTCTAAGGGGTGAAACACTAGATTAGAGAGTGTCATGAACCAGGAAAGAGCATTGTTATCAGAGGACCTGAAGTATATCAGTCAGCATTTCAAATATCCTTATTTTAAATATCATGTGCTTAAATGTTTAGTGTTTGGGGGGTCCTTTAGAGTATCCAGACAAAGTCATAAACAAACGATACAGGTGGTCAACAGACATTAGATCAGTGTACACCAAATTATTATAGAATAGGATCTCTACACTCAATAAATGGACTCAAAAGAAAACTATAACAAACACATACAGAGTCCAGAAGTGAAAAGTAAAACAACAACAGTGAAAACCCTACCTCAGCACATCTACTTTGGGTGTGGTTGTTGCACTGAGAGTATATTTCCTTAAATAAACTTTCAGTAATATGAAGGTTAAATAATCCCGGGAAAATAAAGCTGTTTTTTAGTTTTCTTCAGAAGACAAAGGAAACACTTTTGTTCCCATGTTGATCAGTTTGGTGGATTTAATCTAGAACCTGCAGGGTCAAGAACAAGAATAACAGAAGCAGTGAGAGATCTTTGTTAAGATAGTGATTTCCCCCTGTGTTTTTGCTATGAGGTGGCTGATTTGAGACACATGGTATAGAAAAATACAGTGTAGCTTGGGGCAAGATAAATTTTTCAAAATTTGAAAAATTATCCTAGTGAATAATCTGTGCAAAGATATGCATCACATCTTGATTTATAATAATAAAACTTGAAAGAATCTAGATAGTCGTCAACTGAATACTGTACTTCGCTCATTCCATGGAATACAATATAACCATAGTATCATTTTTGCTCTATTTCAGAAAAATATTGCACTTGCTAAGATCATCAGTGTTCTCCTTGCTGACAAGTCCAGTGTACAGTTCTTTAGCACTTACCCTACTGTGGAAGCTCAGTTCCCTGGGAAACAGACTCTAAAATACAGATTTATATGGATGGGAGGTTAAAGAGCACTCAGGAGCAGCACCAGTGCAGGAGTGCAGGATGCAACACTAGGCTGAGGGAGAACAAAGGCTGAAGCCCATCCTAACGGGCAGTTCTGAAGCTGAGAAGACCCTTGATGGTTGTCTTGGATTGGGGCAAGGGTTGGGACTTTCTTTGCCCTTGTTGAGCAGTCATCACATGCTGGCCATTATGCAAGGAAGACATGACCTTAGGCAAAGTAGTTCCCTTTAGCCGAAGGCAGTTCCCAGAGAAGGGTCAGCTGAGAGCTATTGACCTCCCAGCAAATGGAGGAATGGGGGGTAGAGTAGAAGGGAAATCTGGCCATACACCGTATAATCTACTCCTTCTCCTTCACTTCTTGCCATCGTTTAGTATGATTAGATGTGCCTTCTTTCTGAAGGCTCTTCCCTTTGCTTCTGAGTAGCCACATTCTCTTGGTTTCTTTTTTTCGTTTCCCTCTGAGTCTCATCCTTCTTACCCAAATTTCATAGGGATTTCCCTGGACCTTCATTTCTTTTCACTCTACCCACATGAGCTGATTCTTTCTCATGTCTTCAAATATTAGCTGATAACTTTATAACAACTCACATCTCTCAACTACCTCCAGTTAGAACTATGTACCTAACCGATTATTATTCCTTATTTTTTCTTGATTGTGTCATAGGCATCTCAAACTGAGCACTTTTGATGAAAACTGAACTCATTATTTACAGTTGCAATCCTCTTTCAATGTTCTCCATCTCAGATGCTCATGCTACAATCCAGAAAGTCATCCTTAACAGCTCCTGCATTATATCCTCATTCAAGAATGACCTAGTCCTGGTGAATTTGATGAATAAAATTAATCTCACATACATCTCTTCTGTTATTTTTTTTTCTATGTCTATTGCTACAACCAGCTTTTGTCTGCACTGCTATGATAGTCTCCTAACTGGCTTCCCAACAGCTACTTTTACTTCCCTCAAACTCATTCTTCATACTGCAACTATTATGACTGTTTAGGAATACAGATATTACCGTGTTACTCACATGTTGAAAACCTTGCAATAAGCCCCCTGCACACTTAGAATCAAGTCTAAAATTATCGCCATGACCTAAAAGGCCCTTTTGAGGGTACACTAGACTTATGTGTATTTCTCAAATCTGTTTTTCATATGCTGTTCCCACTGCCTGGAAGATAGTCCCCTCAATATTTCCATAATACTTGATAATTCTTTACATTTCAGGACAGAATCAATATATCACTTTTTCAGAGAAGTCTTTTCCTTCTTCCCTGGCTAAATTTGCTTCCCCTGCTAAATGCATTTTTAGCATTCACTCTTTTCCCAGGTGCCGTATCAGAATTTTATATATAATATATAAGTTTTATTTGTCATCTCTCTCCCACATTAGACTGTAAATTCTTGAGAACTAAAACTATGATTTTTGGTTCACCACTGGACTATCAGCATTTAGAAAGTTTCTTGAACATGGCAGCGTCTCAATAAATTCTAGTTGAGTATTATTAAATACACACATGTATATAGAGATTACATACATACACACATAATAAAATACAAAACAAGTCTGGAAGATACGACAGGAAATCATGACTTCTATATATAAATTCTGAAAATGTGTTAGAAAATTGAGGGAATAAAAGTTGAACAGCATATTATGAGGGGCAAGGAACCTTCCTAGAGAAAGAAGACACCTCCTTATATCTGCTCCAGCAGTCCTAGACTCTTGAGTTCCAGCAAGCCCCACAGCTATTGAGAGTACCAATGAGCAATATGTAAAATGATGCAGGCTGAAAGCACTGTGAAGATCTAGAATTATTGTTTCCTGGGATTTTAGTGCAATCCTAAATGAACTGATGATTTTGAACTTGAATAAGTATTAAAATAGGAATTATTGGAGAGGAACCACATTTTTTTCTAGCAACCTGAGATTTCCTTGGTGAATAAGAAAAATTCCATGTTGAATGGGAGGCTGCCTGAATTGTTTCATTTTTTCCTGGGGAACTTGCCCCTGAATAGGCCATGTAGGTCTATGATGTCATAAAATGCCAGGAGCAGCTTCTAAAGCAACATTTTCCCCATAGTTAATATGTGGACTTGTGTGTGGTTTTGACTGGGAAAGCCAAATAATCTTTCACTGAGTTAGGATGCTACCTGCTTGATTTTTCCTTTTTCATGAATGTTAAACATGAGCTATACATAAGAACAGGCTACCTTTTGCTATGCAGCATTTAGCCTGAGATTCTCAGACTCAACCTGGTACACGGGGATCCTAAAATTAAGAGGCAAGAGCCTGACTTATGATTCGGTTTAGAAAGGTGTGCGGTGATTTAGTTTAAGCAGTCATGCAAATGTATGATCCAAGAAGCATTTTCACCAGTCCAGAAATTGCTGGTTTGTATTTCCCTAGTTAATCAAATTTCTCCTGTGTTTGGCCTAGTGACTATGATGTAATACAGCCTGCGAAATGGGTGCATCTTATTTAAATAGACCTTGGTAAGTTTCTTTTTGTGTTGTTGCCATTTTTTGTGTGTGTGTTTGTGCTCATCTCTGTAAGATTTTAGGAGAGACCCGATGTAGGTGTGATTTCAAGTCTATTTGTTTCCTAATGTCTCTGAGAGTAAATAAATGTGTATAATAATTCAGAAGCATTAACTTCAGAACTTTTGCAGGAATCTCGGGGAGTGCCAAGTTTGTGGTATGTGTTTGGTACATGCTTATTGATGAAATAGGCAATGGAATAAAGAGAATGATCAGCCATATTACCATTTTGTGATCCGGAGTTTGAATACGTGAGTTACTGATAAAAGTTAGGGTGTTGGATGCCCTTTCATTCTTCTCCTGTCTCATCATGGATTATAATGAGTTATGTTCCAAAGTGTGATTTTTCTTGTATGCTTTGATATTAACACATCACAGCTTTCTCTGTTTCAGTGGAATTTGGATAAGCAGGTGAGTTAAATGAAAAGAATTGTGAATAAATCTTAGTTTCTAGCATACAAAATAAATTATCTTCCTAATTTTAAAACCTAAATGAAAAATTTAAAAGTCCTTGGCTCCAGGGTGTTTACAGTTACCATATGACCAAGTGCAGCTAGAGATCATCTAATGATCTATTTTATATTCCCTGACTCCAAATCTGCTGTGGAAAGCACTAGGCAACTGACTGAAGACCTTTCCTGTAAACTAGGCAGAAATTCTGAAGTAATGAACTGTGCTCCCAGTGTGGGTACCATAAACTTTGTAATGAATAACACTCTTTGAATGTCTGGACAAGAAAGATGTCTCACTCCAGGGGGGATGTTTTCCTTTCTGTAACCAAACTGTGCTTAGCTGATATTTGAAGCCTGACTTCACACTCTTCAGAGTTCTTCTTTGATCCAATATGGTTTAGTCAAATTGACTCTGATATGTTTGCAGATTGGAGTAGGGGTTAGGAAAATGTGGGTGTGAGGGTGTGAACCCATATGTTTCTCTTCAGCTGGGAATTTGCCAATATTTGTCCTCTAAGGAATAAGATTCCCTTTCCAGTTTTGATTGATCGATGGTAAGAAGAGATTCCAATATAGCTTTTGGCTCTAAATGCTTTGGGGGAGAGTCCCAAAAAAGAGCCACAAGGTTGGATGTGGTTTGACAAGTGAAATACAGAAGGGGAGATGAAAGAAATGTCAGGCTGGAGGAATGAACATAGGAACAATTGACTAATGGTCTTCAAGCATGGAAGAAGAGGGTTGATTAGTTCTCCAGACATACAGAGGAGAAAAATAAGAAAACCGCGAAACTGTAGACTATTGTATGAATGCTGACCCCACCTAAACATTTTTGTCAGTTAAGTTTATTGAACTAAAAGAAAATTATCAATGGAAATCATGAAATATTTTCCAGAGTTTTTATAATGAGGCAATTCTCTATCTTATCTCGCTTAGATGTTTGATATGCTTTACATTAGAGAAAAGATGATTGATGATACCTTTTAATATATGGAAATTTGGTATGTGTGGAAGCTTATGTTATCATTCAGCAAACACTTACTAGCCTTCCATCATCTGCCCTCCAGCCCCTCCGTGGCAGATGGTGTACTTTCCCACCAAATGGACATTGGGCTTAGCTCTTGATGTGCTTTGAACAAGTGGATCAAAGTGAAGGGTATCAGTTCTACAGTTCTAAGCCTTGTCCTTAAAAGACATCACATGTTTCCACTTAGCTACCTGGTAGTTTCTGCCTTCCATCATGAGAAAAATATGCTCTAGGTGTGCCTTCAATTCTGGATTCAGGCTGGGCCCCTCTAGACTGGATCCAAATTGACACAAATGCTATATAGACCAGTTGACCCCCAGCCTGAAGCAGAGCTGTCCTAGCTGCCTTGTAGACCCATGGGTGAGAAATAAATGCTCATTGCCTGTGTCACTAAAATGTGTGGTTGTTTACATGAGTTCAGTGGTTATTCATCAAGTCTTTATTGGGCATTTACCATGTACCAAGCTCTGTGCTAGATCCAGGAGATACAAAAGACCCAGCATTCAAAGAGCTTCCAGTCTATTGAAGGAGATGAATATGTACACAATGAGCTAGGTTCATAAAAGGCACCATAAGTCTTTTGACAAACACTAAAAGAGGTAAAAGTATAGTGTCATGCAGGTTGAGGAATTGAAGAGATAACCAGCTTGAAGGGGGTGAGAGTATATTAGGGGTGACTTCATAAAGACCGGTTGTTGAATATGTTAATTGGAAACACTGCTTGTATAAATTGCATTGACTAATGCCTCGTGTATATGTATGTGTGTGTACATGGAAGATACTTGCCTCCCATAGTGGAGCTATTTGATTTGTGTCATGCATGAAACAGCTTTACAGAATGAGGGTCAAACATAGGTATCCACAGCATGAGGTCATTTTCAAAACTCAGTTTTTAAATGAGTAACATACCAATTCACCAATTTTATCTGTATTCATACAAATATAAAAACCATGTTACACAAACTGGGATTTAAAGTTCTCATATGATGAAAAATACACAAACTAAATTTGTTGAGTCTTTTTGGAGCAGAAGTAGTCAGTTCCTAGGAAGTAATTCTTTTTGTGAAAAGTCAGATTTCTCATGAAGTGCTGGTACTATTGGAGTCATAATAAAAAAAATTTACATTTATCTCTGCAACAAGTAAATAGAATAAAATTTCAGGAGAACAAACTTCAAGATAAAAATTTGATTTTTGACATCTTGACTTTATGGTTTAGCTTTCAGTTTAGCTGTAGATTAAAGGACAAAGTCAAGACTTCAACAAATATTTATTTGTTTATTATTTATTTACATTAAAATGGAAAGTTCTTTCCTGTCAAGTTAAGAGCACAGGTTGTGAACTCAGGATGCCTGGATTTGAATTTCATGTTCAGTTTTTACCAGAAATATGACATTGAGCAAGTTCTAACTCTAACCTTCAGTATTTCATTCTGTAAAGTGGAGCTAATAACATCTCAAAAATTGTTGAGAGAATGTGGTAATATACTTTGCATTGTGCCCAGAATTTGGAAAAATGTCAATGAATGTTAGCTGCTGTTGTTATTATTGTTATGATGGTAGCTAACTTTCTTGCAGTAGAGGAATAACAACATTTAACATATAGTAGTAGTTATTATCTATGAGACATTTGTGAGTACGAATATATGAGTATAAAAACCTGTACCCTTAAATTATGCACTGAAACTTTGTATTCTTTTGACTTCATGTAACTGAGAACAAAACTTGAGCTCACCTGAATCCTCTAGACTTTATGAAGTACTGTTAGAAGACACTTGTGACAACAAACAGCACAGAGAACCACATTCCCTGCCTTTAACCTCTGAGTCACAGTTATACAGCATAAATCATACAAACCGTCTCGGACATGTACTATAGCTCAAGTCTCTCCTCCTCAATTATTTTCTTTTAAACTCAATCTGTGAGGAATATTTGGGTAAATAACCTTTCTCCTTGTTTCTGTTACTTTCCACATGTCAAAAATAGAATATGGCCAAACTATTCTTTTCCACATTACTCATTTTAACCAGGAGTGCTCAGAAAAGTTTGGAAATGACTTTCAGAGAAACATTTTTAATTGTTTTTAATTTATCTAAAAACAGGCTAAAAAGTTTAATTAACAGGCTCCAAGTAACAGTTATACCATTTTTCCTCTGCTATCAGCTTTCACTTTTATTTACGATGAGTGTCCCCTTGTGTCTCCTCTACGCCAAGGTCCACTATCACTAATATTTCTGTGATATGTGAATAAACCTAAATGTAAAGTTAGCACTTGCAATCAATGCAAATTAATGATTTTTTTAAAAATTTCAATCAGGAAAAGCAGCTTTGTAGTTGAAAATCCCATGCTGGCCCTAGAGTGGGAGTTTTTCCAGCCTCTGCTTAAATCCAAAAAAATACTGCAATCTTCTGGCACAGGCTCACTGTAATGCTTTAAAAACAATTTAGCAACTGTCATTGCTGTAATTACAGTAACTAATTACCATCCTTAGCAAACAAATAGCTTAACATAATACGCAAGCCGAATCAATTTTGAAGAAATGCAAATTCCAAAAGCGAAAAAGGGCATTTTGGCAAACCTGAAAGAGAAGCAGGAAAATAATACACTTTGTTTTATCTGCACATAATTCCCAGGGAATATCATATCATAAATATTTGCATTCAGTTCTTATCAGGACATTTGCATTTGCTTCTTATCAGCGTGCAGACTGGACTCTGCCAGATAGAGAGGGGAGCGCCACACCATGCACATATTTCTAATGAATCACGTCTCAGGCCCAGAGAATATTTTGGCTGGAACTTTATCACCCAGATGAAGAGGTCATTTACTCTTCGAGTTGGTTCATCTTGGAATTGTCTTGAGATTTTGATGTGATTCACCCGACGCCACATTTATTTATTTCTTTATTTTAGACAAACACTGGAAGCAGTTTTTTTACCAGAATATTTCTTCCAGAGGCAGCTATTCAAAGGACACATTTCCCCTCGCCTGCCACCCCCTCCCCACCCACTCCTCAACTTCTGCAAAAAATAAAATCATGAGTAAATAACAACTGATTCTAATTATTTCTAATTCTGTACCAGGGTTGGCCATCTTTATTTTGTAGGAATCAATAGAGAGAATAAAAGCAACACGTAGAATAAATCAAGCCCTACTCGACCATCATTATCTGGAAATTTAGGGCCAAATCCTGTTGTAGTTCTCCAGGAGCACATTTGATCCTTAGTAAGGGTCTTCCTTAGTAAGAGGAGGCAGTGTTGCTGGCCCGGAAGCACCTTACTAATGAGACCATCAGATTCCTCTAACAGTTTATCCAGATAAATCAATTTCTCATCTTATGATGAGTAACAGTGCATCTTACCCATGAGCACACATAAGGTCGATAAGGGAGCTGATAGCAGCTTCTCATATGTGAATGAGAATTCCGTCTTTTTTAACTCTTGAATTATCATCTGACATGACACCCAGCATGCATTGGCTTGCTGCGCCTGAACATAAAGCACTCAAGCAGTCTATTTTGTTTTGGCGAGAGAAGCAGAAATATTATTCATCTTGATTGGATCCTTTCTGTTGGGTCTTGCTGTTTAATTAAACCAGATCTGTGTTTTAGCTCTTTGGTAACATGGGGTTCAAATAGACAGGGATATTATATCCTTATGTAAAACAAGGGCCGGTTGGTGTCCAAGAATCATGGCTATGCAAGTAAAGATTTCTACAGGCGTGCTATTATTACACAATTTCCCCTGTAATTTTATCATCTACTTGATATTATTGCACAAATTCTGAGGTCAAACTTCAAAGTAAAACTCTGGATGGGATCAATCTGAGTACCAGGAATTCAATTTCCAATTATAAATTAAAATATAGGTATAATGGGAAAATTTCTCATTTATAATAGTAGCAAAAATGCATTTAATTGTGCTTCATAGTGATTTTATTCATGAATATGGTCACTTAAACTTAATTTCACCTTTTGCCCAAGTAGAATTTCACTTTGATTTATTTGTTTAACATAAAAAGAGAACTTCTGGCTTATTATGATTCAAATGATTGACACATCTCTATTGGAATCCAGAAAATGCTATTTAAAATCTTATAAGAACATAAACATCTCATGAAACTTTATTCCAATAACAGTAAAAGAAGTTTCTGTCAAATTATTTGTTTTAATTATACTTTTTCTTAAAAAAATCGTAGCTTTTTATTTTTCCCTGAATAGTGGTAACATAGGTATTTGAATATTTTTTATTTTGACATAAATTATTTCATTTAAAAATGTCTAGACACAGTTGCTCTGACTTTAAGAATTTAAAATATTATTTAAGTCTTAAATGAGCATTTTATAACATTCTCTTGTGAAATTATTTCAAGAATTTTCCAAAATTTAAATAAGAAATGAAAATTTATGTCGAGATGAAAGGTTAAAATTATGTGGCATCTTAAAAGAAATTCACATGAAGTTGTCAGGACATTTATGTATTTTGTCTAAATTCAACTTTTGTGTATATATTTACATTATGTGTTATGCTGTAACTCTAGGATGCATCATGAATTATATTTAAAAAAATAAAATATCCTACAAAAAAGTAAGAGCCTAGAGAAAGAATAACACTAAAATATATTTGTGAGACTCAATAATTCATCTGGAAAAGACTTCATATCTATCTTTTATGTTTTATCATTGCTTTTAGCTGTTTCTTTGAGGTGGGAAGAGCATATAGTTAAGAGCTCATTATCAGGGTGAAGGATGCAGGAAGTCCAAAATATTTATGTTTGTTCATGGCACATGGACAAAAGACAGTTCTCAGGAAAAGGGCTTTCTGATTAAGTGATTGAAAACACTCTGGGGTATTTTAATAACTTCTTCTATCCAAGAGATAACATCATCTTTGTCCTTATCACTGTTCTGAAACTTATTTTAAACATTCTCCTGTTCTCTTCCAATTAGATGCTCTGCTCTCTTGGCTTCCTGTGTCCTCACTGCAACTCATCTCATTTGTTTGCTTTCTCATTTTTGTCAGCAGGTTGGGTGTAAAAGAGGCATTTAACAGATAATTGAAGGGACTTGCTTTCCAGAGTCAAATTCATCTACATGGCATTCAGCCATAGGCTTTCAGTGATAAAACATGGACATGTAAAACATCAACTTGTGATTTGTAAAAGCTTAAAATATTGATGATTGAACAGGGTTACAGGAGATGATAGAGGGGAATCTGTTCAATTTTCAATGAAAATTGATAATGCCCAAATAGGTAATATAAAATCAGATCAAACACTCAGGCAAAATTTATTTAAGGAAAACATATATATGGAGAAGTAGTTTATGTCTACATTTGCTCACGCCTTTGTCTAAAACTCTTTTCTCCAGACTTTGGTATTGCTGGTGGTTTCTCATCATTCTGACTCAACCGAAAGGTTGCCTCTTTAGAGAAGCCTTGCCTGGCCATTCTAGCTAAAGTAGTTGCCTCCCACAGACACAGTCATTTTCTGGTTCCTGTTTTATGTATTTTTATTTACTTCATGGTGTTTACTGTTGCCAATAACTTATATGTGTTTTATGTATGGACGACTTTATAGTTTGCACTTAACTCCCTTCTGATGAGGTTTTCTGTTGTAATAAAAGTGTCTAGAATATTTCTTGGCACATAGTAAATAATCCTGTTTCCTTTTATTAAATAAAGGAATTTATTAAAATCCAGGTGATGTGATTAACCTTTAAAAATAATTTTTACAACGATCCTACCAGAAAGGTACTAGTAATAAACCAATCTCATAGATGTGAACATCTGAGACTTAGAAAGGTTATCAAAGGTACACAACTAATAGTCACTGGAGCTGGGACTCAATGTCAAGTCAACTCTGGGTTTCACAGCTCTTGCTCTTAATAACTCTCCATTTGCCTATATGAAAAATTTCAAATAATTTTATTTTCATTAGATAAGTGTATATTTTCATACAACCTGGAACAGAATTGCTGTAACTGAGTTTGGGGAACTTTCGAGAGAAAATGACAACAGACCTTTTTGCTGCATTTTCAGAAGACATATTTATTGACCTTTGAGTTTCCTCTCTTTTGAGCATTCAAGCTTTCAGTAGCACATGGACCTGTGGAAACCCAGGTGACAGCTGTGACTTAGAAAGATCTTTTCCCTTTTGCACAAAGCATGAACGTTGCAAATTTTCCTCTCAAGGAGGATAAGATAAAAGAAAATTAGAAGTGATATTATTCTAGAAGTATTCTGCAGACCAACAGACCAGACAGAGGATATGGATAAAGGTTTCCGAAGGCAGATTACAAAACTGGCCTTGAAGAGAGGGGAAAATACACCCGTCGGAATGTCTGCTGAAGTCTTATTCTACAAAAAGCAGGGCATCTGATAAATGTTAGACTTGCTGACAACTCAGAAAGATGAATAAGCAAGGAAAGAAAACAATATTCTGGACCAAATTATGAAAGGACTGTTTTGTGATAGAGACATGATATAGGAAACTTTGTGGGAAGTAGTCAAATCATTTGAGACATTAGGTTAAAAGAGAGAAAGTGAGCATAGGAGACACTAAGTATTATATCTTAGGCTTTAGGAAATACATTGCTTAGAGTTTATAACAAGGGCGAGCCACATTTCATGGTCAGTGAAGTCAAAAGTTCATGTGGCTCAAGAGTGAATCTTTGAAAAGTCAAATTTCTAATAATTTAATCACAAATGAGAATACTTAAGCAGAAATGTGGTATCTAGTGTTCACAATGTGACCACAAAGAAGTCCTCTGATAAAGTCATCCAGTAGAAGAGCACCTACAGAAATGGATGGAGGGAGGCATTGGCCAAGTTGCTGGCAGGAGAGCAAAGTGGACTTATAGAAGAATGTCAGGAAGTCCAAAGTCCAGGGTGAAGTGTAAGTTTCAAGCAACAGTTGAAACTACCCAAAGGGCTTATTGCTTTCTGGAGAGTAAGAACAATAAATAGATAAGTTGATCTATAAGTGCTACCATAGATATATGCCCAAAGTAACAGCAGAATTATTTAGATCCTGCTTTGATTACATTCTTACCAGCAAGAAGGATCATCTTCAAGATGGACAGGTAGACAAGGATCATTAAGAGGAAATAGATGCCCAGGTTAGATGAGCAAACAAATTGTAAAGAAATATCTATTAGCTTTATATGAGTAAAGGCCTAGATGAATAAAATTGTAAAGTGCCAGAGGATCATGCAGAGAACATCACAGTGTTACTCTGGGTGCTCTGTTTCAAAATCATAGCGGTTGAGAGACTTACGAAAGTACTGTAGTTAGGTATATGACCTGCTTTTAGGCAGGGGAAAATGGTGGAATTTCTGAAACTTGACTGCTCAGTAAAATCTGTCACACCATGTCAATGTCTTTGGAACAATGATCACATATGAGGTTTGTTAGTACTTATACAAAAAAAAAGTAGTGATACTAGGAACAAATATTGACACATGGATATTATCCATTTAATTTCCTTCTAAAATGAGGCCATTGGAGTGCTAGACAGAATGCATGGTAATGGTATATTTTTATTTCAGAAGGCGTTTGTTAGACAAAATAATTGAAGAAATGTTGGATAAGATGGAAAATGTGGCTTGGATGGATTTATCCTAGTAATGCTTTATCCCACACAAATGTTGTTGAAATGTTGATTAAATCAGAGTAGTTTTGATTGATGAGCTGCATTTTAGTTTACCCACCCTGAAAATTTGTGTTCACCAGATTTGCAGATGTCACAAAGTTGAATATGATGGCCAGTGCAAAGACTGCTTGGCTGTTCACCACTAATATTCTGTTTACCTCTGTCATACCTTTGTGCCCTTGAACCTCCTAAATGCAGCTTACTCCAGAGGGAGCTATTGGACACTAGTGTCAAAGCCGTAGGTGCTCAAGAATGCAGAAACTTGTGAACCCTCAGTGGAATGTACCACAGAAGGTGGATTGCTGGCGCTTTAGTGCTATTCACTTTTTTGACTGAGACAGTAGAGCCTTTGTTTGTTTGAATCAATCTTCGCTGAGAATTATTTCTTTATCACTCTCTCTGTCTCTCTCTTTCCCCCTCTGCCAGTCCTTCCTGAAGCTGATACTGTAGATGCTCACCCAAATGTTCTTTAGTGAGCTGGTGCATCTTTCCCCTACTAGCTGGGAGTGTTGGCTGGGTAAATTCACAGCTGCTGCTTCCTCCAGAGAGTCATTCTTTGCTAAAGGAAACAACACCAAACAGAGATGCCTGGGACCTTAAGCCCCACTTCAAGGTGTGTCCTGCAGCCAATGACTGACTCATTTGTGGGTACAAAAAGCTGACCTCTGGCCTCAAGCTAGGATCATGGTGTGGTGTGATTTATGCTCTACAACTCTGCGCAGGTTCAGGCTGAAACTAGACTACAGTGGAGACTCCTTCTTTGATTAGCTCCTTCCCTTCTCTTATCCTATTCTCCCTGCTTCCTCCCTTCTTTCTCTTGAGATGCCTCCCTCAAATATCACTTGCACAAGAATCAGCTCTGCCTCTAGGGAAGTGGACCTAAGGATCCCCTCTTTCTCTCTTTTCCTTTTCTTTCTCTTTCTCACTTTCATCATGGCAAATAAGGTTAATCCATGGCAACACTACTCTGTAGTTCTGTCTGTAACCTAAAAGGAGAGGTCACTTAAATTAGCATTTTGCTCAGTTAGCACTATTTCTGGGTTTGGTGTCAAGAAACACCTGGGAGGTTTATTAAAATGCAGATTCTTGAGCCTCATTTCAGAATTGCTGACTCTCTGGGGTAAGACCCTGGAATCTGTATTTT
The DNA here is from genome assembly GCF_000001405.40 of Homo sapiens. Classification (NCBI taxonomy): domain Eukaryota; kingdom Metazoa; phylum Chordata; class Mammalia; order Primates; family Hominidae; genus Homo; species Homo sapiens. The sequence goes on from NC_000008.11 coordinate 104,956,537, forward strand.
GTCACATCTCCCAGGTGCTGCTTTGTACAGGTACATAAGGATTTAAAAACCCTTGAGACATGACATGATTATACTGCTGCCAAAGTTGTGAGTTTGATCCATTGAAGGCCACTTAGCTAAGCAAGAAACTTCATATACCTGCACACACACACACACACACACACGCACACACACACATATAAATACATACATACATATATACATACACTTTTCCAGGTCACTGAATTTTACTCTAATCTTTCCAAGCTACTGAAAACATGTATTACTCAAATGGACTCACATGTATATAGTACATTGTTCAAGCTCAGTGTCATCTCAACTTTGGGGGGAAAAAGCACATCAAAGGGCCTGTGGTGCAGCCTCTTCAAATACCAGGATTCTTGCACTTAACACAGGCACTCTTTGTCTTGACATAAAGTTCCAGTTGCTATCCTGGGGGTGGGGGTAGCTCCTTGTTTTTCTGCTGGTGTTACTTTTGTGACAAAGAGACAGGGTACAACCACTGAATACAGCACAACTATGGCAGACAGCACCTTTCTGGCAAGAAAGCAATAGATAAACAGAATTCCTGCTTTCAGGCAATAAACATCTTCAATCTAGCAACTTACACAGAGGCTAAATTAATCTAATTAATCCTATAAGATAAAGGGGTTGGAATTGGCTACTATTTCAGTTTTTTGAAGGTGAAGTTCAGATGTGGAGTTTTACCCTCTGCCTTGTAAGGCTTTCCCAGACAGTGATGGCATCTAAGAGTAAACCTGCCCTGCATTCCCCTGTGGCTCTTGGGAGGAAGGAAGAACCACAAAAAATTTATCCTATAGGTGTTCATTCTATCTAACTAAACTGCGGTTTCTGACCACTCCTTACTTGGTACTCCTCCTTCAGGCCCATTGCAAAGCCTTGACTGCTGTACCAGGCCACATTCCACACACTCCATTCCATGCGCTCTCTTGGCTTTGGCTGTCCCATGGCTGTTGAAGAGCCCCCAAAGTTAGCTGGTTAGAGGTTGTTCTGGGGTTGCCATTTGTACATCAGCATCACACTCAGATAAGAAAATTAGATTGAGTTAGGCATCAGTGAATTCTCACAGACAATGTACAATACAAGAAACGTAATATCCTACAAAGAAATGGTGGCTCTGGAGAGCTAAAATTCGCTCTCAGAGGGGAAAAATTGCATGCATCTGGGCTCTCCAACCTCCAAAATTCACAGATCAGAAGAGTGTGGAATTGTCAATATGAGAGGCTGATGCAGGCCAGGAATAATTTCCAGAGCTCTGCTTCTAGCTCCCTGATACCTCTCCACCTGGATGAGCCATCTGAGCTCAGCACGGTGATTCTGCCATCTGTCACATCCCTCTGGGTAGCAGCCGCATTTTTGCACAAGTTTCTTACTGAAGAGAAGTGTTGGCAGCTCTGGGGACCTTCTGACCCACCTGAGGAGACTTTGTGGACACCTATAGAAGAAAGCATTATAAGAATAGGAAGAAAAGAAGAAAAATAAATGAAAAGATGTTCTCTCTGTCTTCCCTTTAGTCACACCCCTTGCATTCCTGACTTACTTTTAGGAGGCAAAGAAGAAAAAATGAAAATCACTAAGGTAACAAGAGCACAAATATTAGGCCATGCACTATAGTTTTACAAATTGCCATTTCCCCCCTCAAGAAAATATTTAAACTAGATGTTCAAACAGATGCAATTCTAAGAAAGAATAGGTAGCTACATAAATGTATGATTATGAGATAATATAGATAACATCTAATACTGATTAAGGAGAAAAATTGCATGTGTACACTCATGCAAATATACATATGTCTGGTTACATGCACTGTGTGAATATAGGTGTTTTGCAGGTGTGTGCATACACAAATATGTGTGTATGCATGCACCTACATGTATGCATGTCAGTGGTTTGTAGGTGTGCACACGTGTGTAGCTGCAGGTATGTGTGTGCATTGTGTGTGTATATGTAGGCTCATATGTGTTAAAACGAAACATAGGCTTTCAATAGGAGAGAACACTTAGACATCCATGATACAGAATTCTTTATGACCATATCTGTAATGGAAAGTATGAATATTTTATTAGTTTTTTATTTTTATTTTTTAATTATACTTTAAGTTCTAGGGTACATGTGCACAATGTGCAGGTTTGTTCATATGTATACACGTGCCATGTCGGTGTGCTGCACCCATTAACTCGTCATTTACATTAGGTATATCTCCCAATACTTTCCCTCCCCACTTCCCCAACCTCACAACAGGCCCCGGTGTGTGATGTTCCCCTTCCTGTGTACAAGTGTTCTCATTGTTCAATTCCCACCTAGGAGTGAGAACATGCGGTGTTTGTTTTTTTGTTCTTGTGATAGATTGCTGAGAATGATGGTTTCCAGTTTCATCCATGTCCCTACAAAGGACATGAGCTCATCCTTTTTTATGGCTGCATAGTATTCCAGGATGTATATGTGCCACATTTTCTTTGTTTTTTTTTTTTTTTTTTTTGAGACAGAGTCTCGCTCTGTCGCACATTTTCTTAATCCAGTCTATCATTGATGGATATTTGGGTTGGTTCCAAGTTTTTCCTATTGTGAATAATGCTGCAATAAACATATGTGTGCATGTGTGTCTTTATAGCAGCATGTTTTATAATCCTTTGGATATATACCCAGTAGTGGGATGGCTGGGTCAAATGGTATTTCTAGTTCTAGATCCTTGAGGAATCGCCACACTGTCTTCCACAATGGTTGAACCAGTTTACAGTCCCACCAACAGTGTAAAAGTATTCCTATTTCTCCACATCCTCTCCAGCACCTGTTGTTTCCTGACTTTTTAATGATCACCATTCTAACTGGTGTGAGATGGTATCTCGTTGTGGTTTTAATTTGCATTTCTCTGATGGCCAGTGATGATGAGCATTTTTTCATGTGTCTGTTGGCTGCATAAATGTCTTCTTTTGAGAAGTGTCTGTTCATATCCTTTGCCCACTTTCTGATGGGGTTGTTTGTTTTTTTCTTGTAAATTTGTTTGAGTTCTTTGTAGATTCTGGATATTAGCCCTTTGTCAGATGAGTAGATTGCAAAAATTTTCTCCCATTCTGTAGGTTGCCTGTTCACTCTGATGGTAGTTTCTTTTGCTGTGCAGAATCTCCATAGTTTAATTAGATCCCATTTGTCAATTTTGGCTTTTGTTGCCATTGCTTTTGGTGTTTTAGACATGAAGTCCTTGTCCATGCCTATGTCCGGAATGGTATTGCCTAGGTTTTCTTCTAGGGTCTTTATGGTTTTAGGTCTAACGTTTAAGTCTTTAATCCATCTTGAATTAATTTTTGTATAAGGTGTCAGGAAGGGATCCAGTTGCAGCTTTCTACATATGTCTAGCCAGTTTTCCCAGCATCATTTATTAAATAGGGAAACTTTTCCCCATTTCTTGTTCTTGCCAGGTTTGTCAAAGATCAGATGGTTGTAGATGTGGGGTATTATTTCTGAGGGCTCTGTTCTGTTCCATTTGTCTATATCTCTGTTTTGGTACCAGCACCATGCTGTTTTGGTTACTGTAGCCTTGTAGTATAGTTTGAAGTCAGGTAGCATGATGTCTCCAGCTTTGTTCTTTTGGCTTAGGATTGTCTTGGCAGTGTGGGCTCTTTTTTGGTTCCATATGAACTTTAAAGTAGTTTTTTCCAATTCTGTGAAGAAACTCATTGGTAGCTTGATGGGGATGGCACTGAATCTATAAATTACCTTGGGCAGTATGTCCATTTTCACGATATTGATTCTTCCTACCCATGAGCATGGAATGCTCTTCCATTTGTTTGTATCTTTTTTTATTTTGTTGAGCAGTGGTTTGTAGTTCTCCTTGAAGAGGTCCTTCACATCCCTTGTGAGTTGGATTCCTAGGTATTTTATTCTCTTTGAAGCCAGTGTGAATGAGAGTTCACTCATGATTTGGCTCTCTGTCTGTTATTGCTGTATAAGAATGCTTGTGATTTTTGCACATTGATTTTGTATCTTGAGACTTTGCTGAAGTTGCTTATCAGCTTAAGGAGACTTTGGGCTGAGACGATGGGGTTGTCTAAATATACAATCATGTCATCTGCAAACAGGGACAATTTGACTTCCTTTTTTCTTAATTGAATACCCTTTATTTCTTTCTCCTGTCTGATTGCCCTGGCCAGAACTTCCAACACTATGTTGAATAGGAGTGGTGAGAGAGGTCATCCCTGTCTCGTGCCAGTTTTCAAAGGGAATGCTTCCAGTTTTTGCCCATTCAGTATGAATAGGCAAACCCAATAGGCTGTGGGTTTGTCATAAATAGCTCTTATTATTTTGAGATATGTCCCATCAATACCTAATTTATTGAGAGTTTTTAGCATGAAAGGCTGTTGGATTTTGTCAAGGGCCTTTTCTGCATCTATTGAGATAATCATGTGGTTTTTGTCTTTGGTTCTGTTTATATGCTGGATTACATTTATTGATTTGTGTATGTTGAACCAGCCTTGCATCCCAGGGATGAAGCCCACTTGATCATGGTGGATGAGCTTTTTGATGTGCTGCTGGATTCGGTTTGCCAGTATTTTATTGAGGAATTTTGCATCGATGTTCATCAGGGACATTTGTCTAAAATTCTCCTTTTTGTTGTGTCTCTGCCAGGCTTTGGTATCAGGATGATGCTGGCCTCATAAAATGAGTTAGGGAGGATTCCCTCTTTTTCTATTGATTGGAATAGTTTCAGAAGGAAAGGTACCAGCTCCTTCTTTTACCTCTGGTAGAATTCGGCTGTGAATCTGTCTGGTCCTGGACTTTTTTTGGTTGGTAGGCTATTAATTATTGCCTCAATTTCAGAGCCTGTTTTTGGTCTATTCAGAGATTCAACTTCTTCCTGGTTTAGTCTTGGGAGGGTGTATGTGTTGAGGAATTTATCCATTTCTTCTAGATTTTCTAGTTTATTTGCGTAGAGGTGTTTGTAGTATTCTCTGATGGTAGTTTGTATTTCTGTGGGATCGGTGGTGATATCCTATTTATCATTTTTTATTCCATCTATTTGATTCTTCTTTGTTTTCTTCATTAGTCTTGCTAGTGGTCTCTCAATTTTGTTGATCTTTTCAAAAAACCAGCTCCTGGATTCGTTAATTTTTTGAAGGGTTTTTTGTGTCTCTATTTCCTTCAGTTCTGCTCTGATCTTAGTTATTTATTGCCTTCTGCTAGCTTTTGAATGTATTTGCTCTTGCTTCTCTAGTTCTTTTAATTGTGATGTTAGGGTGTCAATTTTAGATCTTTCCTGCTTTCTCTTGTGGGCATTTAGTGCTATAAGTTTCCGTCTACACACTGCTTTAAATGTGTCCCAGAGATTCTGGTATGTTGGGTCTTTGTTCTCATTGGTTTCAAAGAACATCTTTATTTCTGCCTTCATTTCGTTATGTACCCAGTAGTCATTCAGGAGCAGGTTGTTCAGTTTCCATGTAGTTGAGCAGTTTTGAGTGAGTTTCTTAATCCTGAGTTCTAGTTTGATTGCACTGTGGTCTGAGAGACAGTTTGTTATAATTTCTGCTCTTTTACATTTGCTGAGGAGTGCTTTACTTCCAACTATGTAGTCAATTTTGGAATAAGTGCGATGTGGTGCTGAGAAGAATGCATATTCTGTTGATTTGGGATGGAGAGTTCTGTAGATGTCTATTAGATCTGCTTGGTGCAGAGCTGAGTTCAATTCCTGGATATCCTTGTTAACTTTCTGTCTCGTTGATCTGTCTCTTGTTGACAGTGGGGTGTTAAAGTCTCCCATTATTATTGTGCGGGAGTCTAAGTCTCTTTGTAGGTCTCTAAGGACTTGCTTTATGAATCTGGGTGCTCCTGTATTGGGTGCATATATATTTAAGATAGTTAGCTCTTCTTGTTGCATTGATCCCTTTACCATTATGTAATGGCCTTCTTTGTCTCTTTTGATCTTTGTTGGTTTAAAGTCTGTTTTATCAGAGACTAGGATTGCAACCCCTGCCTTTTTTTGTTTTCTATTTGCTTGGTAGATCTTCCTCCATCCCTGTATTTTGATCCTATGTGTGTCTCTGCAAGTGAGATGGGTCTCCTGAATATAGCACACTGATGGGTCTTGACTCTTTATCCAATTTGCCGGTCTGTGTCTTTTAATTGGAGCATTTAGCCCATTTACATTTAAGGTTAATATTGTTATGTGTGAATTTGACCCTGGCATTATGATGTTAGCTGGTGATTTTGCTCGTTAGCTGATGCAGTTTCTTCCTAGCCTTGATGGTCTTTACAATTTGTCATGTTTTTGCAGTGGCTGGTACCGGTTGTTCCTTTCCATGTTTAGTGCTTCCTTCAGGAGCTCTTGTAGGGCAAGCCTGGTGGTGACGACATCTCTCAGCATTTCCTTTCTTTAAGGTATTTCATTTCTCCTTCGCTTATGAAGCTTAGTTTGGCTGGATATGAAATTCTGGGTTGAAAATTCTTTTCTTTAAGAATGTTGAATATTGGCCCCCACTCTCTTCTGGCTTGTAGAGTTTCTGCTGAGAGATCCACTGTTAGTCTGATGGGTTTCCCTTTTTGGGTAACCCAACCTTTCTCTCTGGCTGCCCTTAACATTTTTTCCCTCATTTCAACTTTGGTGAATCTGACAATTATGTGTCTTGGAGTTGCTCTTCTCGAGGAGTATCTTTGTGGCAGTCTGTTTATTTCCTGAATTTGAGTGTTGGCCTGTCTTGCTAGGTTGGGGAAGTTCTCCTGCATAATATCCTGCAGAGTGTTTTCCAACTTGGTTTCATTCTCCCTGTCACTTTCAGGTACACCAATCAGACGTAGATTTGGTCTTTTCACATAGTCCCCTATTTCTTGGAGGCTTTAATTCATTTCTTTTCACTCTTTTTTCTCTAAACTTCCCTTGTCGCTTCATTTCATTCATTTGATCTTCAATCACTGACACCCTTCCTTCCAGTTGATCAAATCGGCTACTGAAGCTTGTGCATTCATCACATAGTTCTCGTGCCTTGGTTTTCAGCTCCATCAGGTCATTTAAGGACTTCTCTACACTGGTTATTCTAGTTAGCCATTCGTCTAATCTTTTTTCAAGGTTTTTAACTTGTTTGCCATTGGTTCAAACTTCCTCCTTTAGCTCAGAGAAGTTTGATCGTCTGAAGCTTTCTTCTCTCAACTCGTCAAAGTCATTCCCGTCCAGCTTTGTTCTGTTGCTGGCGAGGAGCTGCGTTCCTTTGGAGGAGGAGAGGTGCTTGATTTTTAGAATTTTCAGCTTTTGTGCTCTGTTTTTTCCCCATCTTTGTGGTTTTATCTACCTTTGGTCTTTGATGATGGTGACCGATAGATGGGGTTTTGGTGTGGATGTCCTTTCTGTTTGTTAGTTTTCCTTCTAACAGTCAGGACCCTCAGCTGCAGGTCTGTTGGAGTTTGCTGGAGGTCCACTCCAGACGCTGTTTGCCTGGGTGTCAGCAGCGGAGGCTGCAGAATAGCGAATATTGCTGAACAGCAAATATTGCTGCCTGATCATTCCTCTGGAAGTTTCGTCTCAGAGGGGTACCTGGCTGTGTGAGGTGTCAGTCTGCCCCTACTGGGGGGTGCCTCCCAGTTAGGCTACTCGGAGGTCAGTGACCCACTTGAGGAGGCAGTCTGTCCGTTCTCAGATCTCAAACTCCATGCTGGGAGAAACACTACTCTCTTCAAAGCTGTCAGACAGGGACATTTAAGTCTGCAGAGGTTTCTGCTGCCTTTTGTTTGGCTATGCCCTGCCCCCAGAGGTGGAGTCTACAGAGGCAGGCAGGCCTCCTTGAGCTGTGGTGGGCTCCACCCAGTTCGAGCTTCCTGGCCGCTTTGTTTACCTACTCAAGCCTCAGCAATGGTGGGTGCCCCTCCCCCAGGCTTGCTGCCACCTTGCAGTTCCATCTCAGACTGCTGTGCAAGCAATGAGTGAGGCTCTGTGGGCATGGGACCCTCCAAGCCATGCGCGGGATATAATCTCCTGGTGTGCCATTTGCTAAGACCATTGGAAAAGCACAGTATTAGCGTGGGAGTGACCCGATTTTCCAGGTCTCATCTGTCGCCCCTTCCCTTGGCTAGGAAAGGGAATTCCCTGACCCCTTGTACTTCCCGGGTGAGGTGATGCCTCGCCCTGCTTCGGCTCACGCTCGGTGGGCTACACCCACTGTCCTGCCCCCACTGTCCAGTGAGCCCCAGTGAGATGAACCTGATACCTCAGTTGGAAATGCAGAAATCGCCCATCTTCTGTGTCGCTCATGCTGGGAGCTGTAGACTAGAGCTGTTCCTATTCGGCCATCTTGTAACCGCCCATTTTATTAGTTTTAAATGAGATATGTCTCATTTCTGATCTGACTTGTCTCAGAAGCTCTCTGTTATTGAGAGTTCAAACTTTGTGCTTGACATTCATGGTTCCAAATTATCTTTCCAGTCAATCTCCTTCCCTTCCACATGTATACTCCGAAGAACAGGGATTATTTACTCTCCATGAATACACCACGTTTCTATGACTTTGCTTATTTTCTATTCCTTTCTTGGATCAGTTTTTTTTATTAGTGTAATGCTAGTGTCTTTAACAAATAAATCCCCAAATGTCAGTGACTTAACAGAATAGAAGTCTATATATATTTTCTTATGCAGCACTCATATAGGTATCCTGGTCTGCAGAAGAAGGAGAAGGTGGGGAAGGTGCATCTGCATCTTTACTGCCTTGATGAAGGAGAGGCCTACGTCACTTCCACTCAGATTCCACTGAGAGCCAGTCACATGGCACAGGGGCCAGGAATGTCATACTGGATAGTAGCTTCTCCCAAGTGACAGCTCTACTATGGAAGTAAGAACACACATATTGGTGAACATCTTTCTAAAATAATGACCATCTGTCTAAAATTTCCAGTGATCTCAAATTCAAATTAATTGTTTCCCCTTCTCTGACCCCAAAGCACTTTATTTACACCTCTCCTATAATAAGCATTATGTTATTGTTGTTATCATTATGACTGTCATTTGTTTTGGAGTATAGCACAAGATGCAGAGTAATGGTCAAGAGGACGTAGGCTTTGAATCAGGCAGACTGGGTTTGGATTCTGGCTCCATGGTTTGGTAATGGACCCTCTTTCAAAGGCTCTGGATTGTTCTTATGAGGGTAGTTGTATCTGCATAATGCAGATAATGGTAATATCTCCTAGGATTGTTGTAACAATTAAATAAAATCAGGCATTTAAAATACTTAACAAAATATCTGGCACATAGTAAGGGGTTAACAGATAGTAACTATCTGTTAGCTCTGTCTCCTCAGTAAATTACAAATTTATTGAAAGTAGAAGAATCTTTATAGATTCGCATCATCCAATACAGTGCCTGGGACATAAAAAGGGTCCAATAATGTTGAAGTAAATTATAAGAGCTGGTCTGGTTTTTGCATTAGAAGTGTAAATGGGATCAAGACAAATTTACTTTCTCTATTTTATTTTCTCTAAACAGAACGAGTAGCCATCTGTTTTAATTGGTCTGTCACTTATCTATAAAGCTGAAAAGCATAGGGAGAAATGGCATTATTCATGCCTCTGTCGTGAAGCAACTTGATGTCTGGTCCATGGATCTCCCTGGAGATGAAGTTCTTCAAGATTCTCTGGCTGCCCATTCCAATTCCTTATCCTTCCATGCTGAGAAATTCTTCCTTAGGTAAGGGCCACATTTCTCCTGTATGACTTAAGACTATTTCCTACTTGAAAACCTTTGATCAAAAGCAAAGATTATATCCGGCTTCAATTTCCCCTATTTAGATAAAACATCTTTATTTTCTTTACATGGTATATATGTTTTAAATTTAACTATTTTAATTTGTACTACCAGAACTCACTTTCCTTTGCAGAAATGATATCTCAAACTGGACATATACTTTAATTAATGTCTGTTTCATATTCTTGGTAGAAAAAGCCATCTCCCATTGTTGACCATCATAGTTTCTTTAATGAAGAGAAACTCACTCCAAAGATGGTATGGTTGTTTCAACTCAGAGCAGAGGCATAGGGTGGCTGACTGTAAGTTCCCTAGGCTGTAAGTTAGGAGACATTGTGTTTCTTTTCATTTGACAATGTAGCCAAGTACCAAACATAACCTGGCACATAGCAGATGATGTATATGTATCATAGGGGTTCAAAAATAAATAATTTAATTAATAATGAGTCAACTAACTTAATTGGTTAGTGGAAGGAGGTGATCATTGGTCCCCGTATAAGAGGAAACTCATACTTCTTTATTCCCCCTATTTTACTAAGCAACTTGAAAATATCCCCCCTGCATTGTTGCTGGAACAAACAATCATCACTTATGTTTAAATTTCTATAGCTAACTTTATGTACTTTTGGCAGTTCTAAAACTTTTTTGAGCATTCCAATCCTCTTTGTCTTCTAGGGTCTTAGGGACAGAATGAAGCATGAGTAGCTTGTGCTTCCTCACCTCCCTCCCCCTCCCACTTTCCCCACTCACACAATCTACATTTATTCATCATCAACAAGGAATCTAACAGGCGCTTAAGATCATGGGGATGGCAACAGTTCATGAAACACCCCAGAGAATGACAAGTTTATTAAACTAATGCCCCAACTGTACTTCCAGATTGATATGGCCTAGGGAGAAAGCTTTCATAGTAAACCTTCACAGGGATTTCTAGTTTACAGAATGCTTGGATGTACATTATCTCTTTTGATTTTCACACTAAACTATTTGGTGACTGAAGCTCAGAGGAATTAATCAACTTGTCCAGGATCACATAGTCAGAAAATCATGAAGACTGGCCTTATAGCCAGCATTTCTGATTCCAAATTACAGCTGTTACAGAATCTACTTTTGTTACTTATAATGACCACATTTCTGCTGGAAGCTAAATTAGTATTCTACCCTCACATATTTTCTGCATGTGTGAAATTCACCCAAAGGAGTTGATTTTCTATCAGCATTCATTCATTGATTCCCCCTTTCAACAACCATTTATTAAGCACTTTATACATTCTAGGCAGTGTACTAAATGGTAAGACACAACACTAAATAGCATAGTCATGATCCTTGCCCTCTCAGGGCTTATAATCCAATGGGAAGTGAGGAGTGGGATATAGAACATGCAGAATTCAGATTCTGCTCATGTACTACAGAAAGAGCAGCAGCAATTCCACTTAAACTCTTTGCAAATATTAATAGGTCATGACCTAAATGGGCTTTGCCTACCATCTTGGGCCCAGGCCCTAGAAACTGTGGCACTGTCATTTCAACTGCTAAATAATTTGCTCCCAAGCCTTTGTGTAATGGGAAGAGTATGAGTGTGTATGTGTTTACTATATTAGACCGAAATGTTTTAAAGAATACACATGCTGTTAGATTCTGATGTAAGTGTTAAGATAGGAAATGTGTCAAGAGCTCTAGTGGCATATAGCTATAGCTAGTGTGCATTCATGGCTTACTGCATGTAAGATTGTATTCAAAGAGATTTGTATTTGTATTATTTAATCTTCAGAACAGTCATGTGATATAAAAATGATTGTTACCTACATGTTTCTAACAGGGATTCAAAGAACAGAGAGGCCAAGAAAATTCCCTAAGGAACTTTGGCACCAGGGTATATATCCTAACTACTGCATTACAGGAGAAATGATTAAATTGAACCTGAGAGTTTGGGAAATTCTCTGAGAAAGTGCCATATAAATGTTGCATCAGTTTTCTTATCTATAAAATATGGGCAAAAGGCTCTCTACACCAAAGGATTGCTCAAAACAATAAATGAGGTGATATATGTAAAGTCATAATGATACACCTGTCATTGTAAGCACTCAATAAATTTAGCCATTATTAGTATTCTTATCATAATTATTAACAGAGACAAAGATGTTGATAATGAGTTAAAGGAAATGAAGTGAGGTGGTAAAGGGTGCTCTGAAAGAGGGAAGGACATTGGTGAAGGCTCAGAGGTGAAGGAGAACATGGTAAGATCACATTCAGATATCTGGAATATTGCTTATGACACTTTTGTAGTCTGGCATTTTTTTCCTGGGCCATATAAATTGTCTTTGCCATTGGGTGGTGTGCTGCTTGATGGCAAAAACCAGGAAAAGTTTTCAGTTTAGAAGTGAGGGTGGGTTGATATGTTTACTTTCTACCTATGTGAGTGATGATGGTAATGATGATGCTAACAGACTTCATAGTTGATGTAGCATATCTAGAAACATTTCCTCATCTCCATCTCCATCAATTGTTATGAATAGCAATATCAATTAGAGCTGCATAAAATGATTTGACTACAACTGAACTTTTCTTAGAAATAATGCTGGTCCACCTTTACCATGATGGGGATGCTCTTGACTCTGAACCTGAACCATGAGGGTGAAGCTCTTGACCCTTCGTAGTTATTACTTTGTTACAGGGCAGACTTCTTTAAAAGATAGCACAGATTTCCAGGTTAAAATGGTTGATTGACCACATGTTTATTTCCTCTTTCTCTACACATCAAATGGAAAGATAGGCATAAACACACAAGAGATGATGGATGGCTTGATGCTGTTCTTGAGGTACTGAGTTCCCTCTCTGATGAGGACTGGATTAGTTTTTGTTGGAATAGAGTGGATCATTATACAGACGGGGCACCCTTCTGGTTTTGCCTCTTTGCATGCGTCCAGTTTCCCCAGACCTTCTCCACCGTGATTTGACACAGCTTGAAAGCTCTTGCTGGAAGCCAAGGTCATGCCCTTGAACTCTCAAGCTTGCAGAACTGTGAGATAAGATAAACCTATTTTCTTTATAAATCACCGAGTCTCAGGCATTCTGTTGTAGCAATACAAAATAGACTAAGACAATACCCTTTATATTCCCTATTCCACCTAAGCTAAAGACTGGAAGTTTACTTTCTGGAGAGGCTGCATCACAAAGACTCTGGTGTCTGTATCACTAAGCAAAGCAGAGGGAGGATGTGTTACATGGAAACAGAGGGATTAAGTAGACATTTCATACTGGAAAAAAAAAAAAAAAAAACACTACCTTTTTTTCATTTTTACCTACCAGAGCATTGGGAGTCTCTCTTTTCCCACTCATGCAAGAGTGGGAAGGATTTTTCTCTGAGGAAACTGACCCACTCAAGAGACAAAGTCTACAAGACTAGACATTTGTGATTTCCCCACAACACTGACAGTCTGGCAAATACCCTCCACCAAGTTTCTCTTACTGAATAAAGCCCACTATGTGATAAGCCCCTCTCATGTACACAGACATATTCCAAGCAGCACCTTACTACTTTGCTGAAATTGGAATGGACCTAAAGATTACCTGATGTTTCAGATAAGTCTCTAACATCAAAGACAGAGCCCAAAAGATATAGAAAAAAAGGAAGCCAGAAGATAAAGAAACCATACAGGAACCTAAATAAATTTCAGAGAAACTATATTTCTCTGAAAGATAAGACATTGCAGATATGAAATGCAACCAAGAGGGTATAAGTACCATTTAGAGGCCAAAAAAATCTTGAAAATAAAAAAATTAAAATTTTAAAAATTAAATATAAGGGTTGACTAATAAGCAGATCTTCCAGAAGAAAGACCAAAATATTAAATACGTAAAAATATAGGAGAAAAGGACAAGAAAATTAGAAGATGATTCTAGAAGTTCCAATGTCAAAAAACAGTTACTGCAGAATATAACAAAATGGTGGGACAGAAACTATTAAAGAAGTAATAAAATTTACCACAACTAGCGGGGCTGGGCACAGTGGCTCACGTCTGTAATCCCAGCACTTTGGGAGGCCGAGGCAGGCAGATCACTTGAGACCAGGAGTTTGAGACCAGCCTGACCAACATGGCAAAACCCTGTCCCTACTAAAAATACAAAAAAATTAGCTGGGTGCGGTGGCACATGCCTGTAATCCCTGTTACTCTGGAGGCTAAAGCAGGAAAATGTTCTGAACCTGGGAGGCGGAGGTTGCAGTGAGCCAAGATCGTGCCACTGCACTCCAGCCTGTGCAACAAAGCAAGACCCTGTCTGAAAAAAAAAAAAAAAATTCTAGGTCAAAACTCTTACCAAGTGAAAATGGCCATCATGTGAAGGGATCCATAAGAATACAAAATATCCAATATTATTTTATGAAATTCAGAACAGCAGAGATAGACAGCAAATCCTAACAGATTCCAGAGAGAAGCATTGAAATAAATAGATCACATGGTCACACACTAAGAAAGGAGCAGAGATAGAAATGACTTAGTTCTATGACAATGGGGAAATACCTTCAAAATTCCGAGGGAAAATGATTCTCAACCTAGAAATCTATACCTACTAAAGCTGTCAATCAGTTGTCAAGATGGAATAAAAATATGTCCAGTCAAGCAAAGTCTCAAAACCCAAGTTCCTCAGTACCATTTCTTAAGGAGCTATTAGAGGATGTGTTTCACCTAGGGAATAAAGGAAGGAAGAAGAGCTTGGGCCAGGCAAATGTTATCCAAACCAAGAGAAGTGTAGGGACTTCTCAGGTGGCCAGTGGAGGAAATCTTAGGATAACTGCTGTGCGGCATCTGGGAGAATCATTATCCAGGCTGGAGTAGGCAAACGGAGGCTCTAGGTCAGCCAGTGTAAACTCACCATGTGTACCAAAGTCTGTTGTCAGCATTGCTGAAGAGCAGAGGAGGCTGCACTCTGGAACAAGCATCAACTTGCAGAGAATTGAGAACGGGCCACATTGTGCTAATGGCACATTTGTATTTCCTTTAAAGGAAAAATGTAAAAAGCATGATATCTATGCCTAGCAGCTTTTTTTTTTTCTCAGATAGAGGTTTTATTTTTTCCCACTAAGTGAACATATGGAGTGCTAACCAGATTCTTTAGAAAAGCCATGTATTATCTCTAATATTGAATAATTTTCAGTGAAAGCTACAGTACTTCCGAAATGCCACCACCATCATAATCTTCCAGAAAGATTTAAAATATTATGGTAGCCAATCTCTTTCAGTCGGTCAAAACTCATGTCAAATGGCGTGCTCAGATAATGAACTCAAATGCAACTCCAAGCCTTACAACTCTGTTGTTGTTAAGGTTAGTGTCATTGAAGGTGGATATTTGTGCTTTTATTCCATGAATAACTTATTGGGTTTTAGAATTAGGACTTTGTTTTTGGACATGAGTGAGTTGGTTTGTGTCATGGATGTAACATGAATCAGATCCAGTATGAGGCATTACCTAGACTCTACATGAAGGGGCATTTGAAGAAACAGATACAGTGAACAAAAGACTTTGAATTTTTACTTGAATCTTTCAAACATAGAAGGAACTCAATTAAAAACCCGCAGCACATATCTCAATCATCTCTTCTCTTTTCTCCAACTGTAGCTCTGGAGGTCTTCACATGCCAAACCTTCAAAATTCTCCCCAGAACACAGCTCATGAGGCTTCACTGTGCCACTTCCTATTTACCCTTCTTCCTCAACTCTTTATACCGTAGATCAACTTGATTCTCTTGACTTAATTCCGTACTTGGCTTTGCTGTAACAAAGGAGAGCTCAATAAATGACTCAGCAAGGAAGATTTGTTTTTTTATTTTTTTCTCCTTTAGAATTCCATGTCTTTTATCCATTCTCTGGATGTAGCTTCATGGCAAGGTGTCAAAGACATACCTTAGAAAACAAGGGGGAAATTTAGCTGATCCTAGAAAGGCAATATTATGTGTGGTAAAGGGGGAAGAATACATGTGAGGTGAGAAAATCTACACATTAAAAAGTCATGTTGATAGATAGGGAATAGTTTTCATTAGAGGTTCTAGAAGTGGTGTAATTCTTCTCTCAGTTGATACGTCAGACCGCCCAGCTCAACCACTGTCAGCAACACTACCCATAGTCCTACTTTCTGCAGCCTGAAACAATAAACGAAAGCCCTTCACATCCAGAAAATATACTGATTGAAATATCATCTTTGGGAAGTCTGTTCTAAAGACGCTAATTGATATTGTGTGAAGAAGTGTAAGTGTCTGTCATGAAAACCATTTTAACGGCGGGCTTGTTTTCTTCTTCAGTTTGCGTAACTTGGCAGAGTGTTAACTTCCCCCTTAGAAAACCTAATTTGATTTATGGATGTTTTCAAATTTTTAAGATTCTCCAAACTGTTGTTTCACCTGTAAGTAGAGAGATAGCTTGTTTGGCTAACTGCCTTGCATGACTCTGTGCCAGGCAATGAATAATGCCATGTTCAATATTCTAAATTTGTGTTCCAAATTCTGAATTTCCAATGAGCTGCATGGAACTCTACTGATAAGTGACTGATTTTCCCTGCAAGGATTGTCTTATTTTAAACTTCAAATTTAGTTGCCTTACTTTATGTAAGGCAATTTTGAATGGGTTTTAAAGTGCAGCTGAAGACTATTCATACCTTTCTAAACCTAGAAGGCAGGAGTAGTGAACTAACGATGGAAGGTATCTTATCTAAGAGGACTACAGGTCTTAACAGCAGCACACAGGGAACTCTCTTTCTTTTGAAATGTTGCTAGCCAACATTTAATAGAAACTTCAGGTACAAGGCATTACTGAAGTTGCTGGTATTCACCCCAGAGGATTTCTGTATATTTAAAAATACATACTGGTATACATCGAACTGGAGCCGAGTAAACAATTAAGAATCATATGAGTGACCAGATATTTCTTCAGTACTTAAGTAGGCTGATCTAAAATTCTAAAGTTTGACTGAACCTAAAAATGCTATTTACCAATTTTTGTCATCCTCTGCACTTTATCCTAGGGTGTATCCCAGCCTTTCCAGCATAAGGGGAAAGAGGGCTTGTCAATGGGGAATGTCTGAGTATTCCAAAATAATTTTGTGAACTTGGGCATCATTTTTTTTTCTCTTCTTCTGTTTTTTTGTTTCCAGGTTTTATGTCAGCCAGGACTGTACCTAACCGACTCTGAGTTTGCATAGATTATGCAGCTCACTTATTTAATATAGATGGTTTGAGTACAAGTGCTTAGATAACTCACACAGCTTTCCACACTGACCTGGGTTGACCAGATTACTGCACATTCTCATATATCTCTTTAGCTTTGTAAACCTGTCAAGAGCTTAAAAACCAACAAGACTTTCTTAAAACTTAAAATATATTTAATATCATTCATGTACTACATATTTTTGATTAAAAGTATAAAAGATGGCTTTTTTTTTTCCCTGTATGTAGGGACCACTGCTCTGGAAGAAATGAGTATGTTAATTTCTGAAAAGAAAGACTCAGTATTTCTGTGGCTAGAACTGAGATTGGGCAGGCAGGATTCTTTTGTTTTCTGTGGTCATATCATATTGGTAGGTGATATTTTGTACATCATCAGAGGGATAAAACAAAACTGATGATAGTCTTCAATAGTGACTGAACCAGGAGAAAAATACAACATAGGGCAGTTAAGCTACCTATCAAATTACTGCCTGGTGGAGTTAGATCAGGGAAGTGTGTTAGTGCTGGCAGGCATTTTGAGTGAAGAGACAACTTGACAAGCTCTTTCTCCAAGCTAATTGGGTAGATGTGCTTAATATTGCTCCCTCTAGTGAGGGGAGGATAAAGGTATAAAGACAGACAAACCAGGGGAGGAGACCACTTCACATTTTGTTCTGACCTAGAATGTGGAGAACATGTAGGAGACAGATGCACCGAGATACAAAGCCAGCCATGAACTTGCTGCACAGAGGCCAGAGTGACTGATTTTCCTTTTGGTTACCCCTCATTTTCAGAACCATCTTATGTAAAACACCCATGAAATACAAGAATGAATTATTAAACTTAAAAAAGAGTAACTTGTGGCCGGGCGCGGTGGCTCATGCACTTTGGGAGGCCGAGGTGGGTGGATCACAAGGTCTGGAGATCAAGACCTTCCTGGCTAACACAGTGAAACCCCATCTCTACTAAAAAAATACAAAAAGTTAGCTGGGTGTGGTGGCATGTGCCTGTAGTCCCAGCTACTCGGGAGGCTGAGGCAGGAGAATCATCGCTTGAACCCGAAGGCAGAGTTGCAGTGAGCCAAGATCACGTCAGTGCACTCCAGTCTGAGTGACAGAGTGAGACTGTCTCAAACAAACAAACAAACAAACAAACTTGTATTAACATCTCCATTGCCCCATTTGCACTCCAGAAATGGCTCATTGAGGGGAATTACAGTTTTCTGCAGAGATGTAGGGAAGTACTTTGAGTGGTAGAGGTAGAAGTGGTAACATCTAGGGGAGAGTTTGTGTTTACTCGGACTGGGGATGGTATGGCAGAGGCCAGTAGCATAAAGAGCTTCATATGGAGACACTGGGTCTGAGAAAGGGAGTCACAGTCAGTGTGGCGGGGGCCAGGTGTGGATCTCTGAGAGTCCACTTGGAGTGATGGTGACTGAGACAGCATTGGCAAGTGCTCAGCTAGGTGCCATGGACCAAGACATGTGAGGACTACAACAACCTTGGAGAAAAGAAGCTACTTCTCAGCCAGTTGTCTGGTACTGCGTAAGTTCAGCATTTTTATGAGGTACGAAACGGATGACGGGCACCCCAGTGACTGAGATTGAAGTTCTCAGCAACCAAAAGATTAGGGGTTTAAAACAAAAATTTGATTCAGAGAAACTTAATAAAAGTGACACTTTTAAAACTCTGATATTTTAGTGTTAAATTCTTCTGTGTTTTGGAGGAAAGATCTATAAAACGCCAAGTTCAGAGCATGGTTTATGACAGGTGTTCATTTATTTCTTCAGAAAATGTTTATTGGGTACCTACCCTGTGCCAGACTCCATGCCAGATCTTGGACGTAGTGAGTCATAAATAAAACAAGACTCAATTCCTGTGCTCATGGAGCTTACCTAAATCAATGGGGCTCACTCCATTCATATTTAGTTACATGAGGGGAGCCAGGCTTAAGGACGAAGATGACTCACAGATGAGGTCAAAGCCAAGGAAACCACAGGGAGGTAGAGTCACTGGCCTGATGACACTGTGAAAGTCTGGTTTAAATCCCTGCTGGGAGTCCTACCTCTCGACTTTCAACTACAGGGAGAAAGAAATTCCCCTGCACGTGCATGCGCACACACATTCTCTCTCTCCCCCACAAACCCTTTCTCTCTCCCCCACACACCCTTTCTCTCTCCCCCAACCTTTCTCTCTCCTCCCCCACTCCTCTTTCTCTCTCTTCCTCTCTCTCTCACCATTTCTTTCTTACTAAGCCAGTTGGAGAGTTCTAACACTTGGAACAAAAGATTATTTACTAAAACACCCAGAAAAGAAGAGAATGGCCAGATGTGTATCATATTTAAGGATGGTAAATCAGAAAAATCAACCAGTCCAAGGAAACTTAAGCATGTTTGCATAGCCTCAAGACCAGAAAGGAAAGCTGTTCAAAGAAAAGCCCAGTGAGTTGCATGTAATTGGCATGTGATAAAGAGTGGTTTACTTGAGTAGGGTGAAGTTAAGCTTTACCAATATTATAAATCAGATGACTAATAAAGAGAATGCTTTTAAGGAAGACGCAGTGATGGTTACAGGCTAGAGGAAACTCTCCATCGTTAAGCATTCATAGAAAAGAGTGAAGGAGGCACCCATACACCAGCAGGAAAACGACAGGATAGAACAGCCCTGTAAGAATTCCATTATATTCTAGACCAAAGCTCTAAGATGCTGAGGTTTGTGAAAACTGCTAAGAATCATAAAAAGGAATTTTAAAAAGTTACAGAATAAGCTCTCCTAACTGACCTCTGCCTAATGACATGCCAGATTAACTGACACTCTTTATTCTGTTTTTTAAACATCCTGCCTAAAGACCTCAGCCCACTGAAGGCTCCTGATTGAATCCCAGGCTCTTTCTAATGTGCCTGTGCATACTAGGCAAGCCTGCAGTTGGAACTGCATGCAACTGGGGATTCCACTTCGTTTCTCCCAGTTCATGGCAGTTTTATGTGCCATAGTAGTGAAATATTATGTGAATTCATGAAATGATTAGAAAAGTTTAAAAATTCTAAATTGAGTGTTTTAAAAGACTTTGTAAAAATAAGTTGCTAAAATAGTATAAATGAATAATAAAAATGAGATAAAATAAAGAACAATAAAGGAAACCACACTATAACCAAAGTTTCTCTTGTTAGTGTTCTAAGTTTTTACCACACTTTAAGAAATCAAAAGTGGAAGATTGGGGCCTATGTTTTTGAGTCATGGCATATGGAGGAAAGCAGGGCAGAACTCCAAGCAGGAGATTCACACTCAAAAAACAGGCTCTTACTCTATATCAAAGGAATGGGGGAAAATGTACATTTAGATTGTTTAACACACACACACACACACACACACACACACACTTAAATCTACCCACTACACTAGGTGGATCACATTAATTAAGGAATTTCTACTATGTGTTCAGAGGAAAAACATCAAGATGGAGCAGATCTGTATAGGACATTTTGTGTTATGCTAACTGATGAAGTCCACAGAGAGAGCTATGCAACCCTGTTTTTGTTCCATCTCTTCTGTCAGGAAGAGTGCTCTTTATATTAGAAATAACAGAACCATTCTAGTTAAGAGGGAATTAACAAACAACGCAGGTGAAAAAAGTGCCAAGATGTTTTAAAAGTTTAGTTCTTCAGGCTTTAGTAAATTCATTCTACAGGTTTCAAGAGGAGATATAGTTGAACTCTAAAGAATGGTAAAAAATAGAAGAAATAATAGACGATTTGTTCTAAGTTTCCAAAAGGGAAGAATTTGGATTCAGTATGTTTGATTCAATGCTAGGGAAACACTGGAATGTATTATTAAATGTATTATTTATGAGAACTTAGAAACAAAATCAGTGATCACTTAGAAATCACATCAAAACAATCTCAAATCCTTCTTATTTTATAATATGCTGATGAAATCACAGGAAACAGCCAGAAAACTCTAGACATAGGACTTCAGCATATTTATTATGATATTCTGATGGACAACCAGAGGTCATATGGAAAGAGCTGGCATTGATTGAAGGACTCTATCCAGAGTAGAGTAAATGCTAGACTAAAGAAAGGCTTATATTGGTACAATTACATTTTCCTCTTTGTCTTTCTTAGCTGACTTCATCAAATAGTACTGATCAGATTTTCAGATGACAGGAGACAAGAAGAAATGTTTAAGATGAAGGGTGATAGAATCAGAATCAAAACAACGTGACCAAATAGAGTAACAGACTGAGGTCTGTTAAGACTAAAATCCAGCAAGATTGGATTTAATTGGACATAACTCATGTAGTTATGAGGAGTTGAATTTGAAACTCATTTATCCAGGTTGGTTCACTAGGAAGTCTTGTAGCAGCCATGGAAGCATCATTAAGGGATCTTATTGTTAATGTTATGCAATTGGCAATGTCTACCTTATAACATGTTGAGGCTATAAATCATTAGCCATTAGACACAGTGTCTAGAGTTGTATGTCAAATATTCTCAGTTCTCATTCCAATCAGTTGCAGAGCATCCTGCACAGAATGGAGACTAGCTATTGGGGAAATCTGGGCAGCGTGTGGATATTCAGAATTCCAGAGAGAGCTTCAGGTCATAATCTTGTGAAATCTATTCGTATGAAAAGGACCTCTAAGGAAAGTGTATCCAGAGAAAACAGAGTGAAAGCTAGCCAGCAAACAAGTACCCATGGATGGCACTGGAGTCCCAGAAGTAGGGCCATGGTCAAAATTAGACAGATTAGAAACCTAGACTGAGCCTTTATTGATGGACTCAGTGAAGGCAGGAGAAATGAGTTAGGGATTGACCAAAGAGACCATGTAAAGACAGTAAAATAGAAGCACTTAGAACAGTAATTCAAAGTTCTACGTTAAGTTCTAAGTTAGGAATGGGCCTAAGCTTGGGCTTCCCAGTGATGATCAGCAGCACTTGCACATTTTTCTTTTGGCAACACCAATCTGCTTTCCATTTGGGAATTCCCTGTCACCCACTGTGTATTCTTTGTGGGACTACAAACCAAGCCACCTTGCCTTTCTCTAACCAGCATGAGGATGTGACCCAAGATAAGACACTGGACTCTGTCTGGACTTTGAGCTTTAAACAAAGTGGGATGCAAGAATAAATACAAGTACAGTGAAAATTCTTTCTTCTCATTTTTGGTTCAAACAAAGGTCTGTTTAGGTTCTTATTTTTCTGTTCCTAGTTCTCCTACCTTCTTGGTGATTATTCAACCTTTGAAGGAAGTTATTTGCTGCTAGAGAAAATGAAAATTGGCCAAATACTATGGTATAACACGTTGGGTTGCTGTTTGTATATTAAACCTCAAGCTGCTTTCTGGGGGAAAGTCTGGCTTTTCCTATGGGTACCCGGGGAGGCTACCTCCAGATTGCCTTTCTCCACCAAATCATTTTGACACACTTGTGCATCACCATCGATTGTGTGGTGTGATATGAATGATTTGTTTCTGTAGAGTAGTGATGTTTGTGAGTAGCTTATATTTTCTTATAAATTAAATCAGATCCAAGACACTCTTTACAACAAATTCACTCCCATTCTAACTAACTTGGTTGCAAATAGGCTTTCTTAAGTGGGAGAGAAAAGTCTGGAATGACTGGCAATTAATGGAATTATTCAGAGTCTGGTGTTGGCTGATGGGAATGCGTCATGATAGGAATCTCTCACGTGTATCACTATAAGCTGACTGCTTTCTAGAGCATAGTGAAGTCATCAGCTGAGAGATGAGTAATATTACCTTTAGGAATCTAAATTCCATCCTGAATAAAGCTTCCCAGCCTAGCTTGTGGCTATATAATCAGATAATAGTACCTTAGTTTGTTAAAGAATCATCTATACTGATACGTCCTTTAACATTTTACCCTCTAGTTTCTTTTTATAAGGACACATGAGAAAAACATACTAAGTTCTTACTACATGTACTGCAAAATACTACTGAGGACACTGCTTGCCATGTTTTCAAAAAATATATTTTTAGTACCTTCTGTGTTTCAGATTCTGTGATAATCTCCAGGTATACGATGAGAATAAGGACAGACCCAGTTGCTCAACTCATGGACCTTGCATTCTAGAGGTGGAGACACATTAATCAAGCAATCACAAAATTAGATGTATGATTACAAATTAATAATTGGTATGAAGAAAAGACATAAACAGTGTTGTGAGTGCTTTGACAATGGACTGTCTTCAGTCTAGGGAGGACTTTCTGGGAATCTGAAGGATGATTTAACAGCTGAAGGATGAGTGGAAGGCAAGCAGGAATAAAGTCAGAGCAGGGACTTCCATCACACATTTGCTGGATATTTGGGTACTGTTATTGTCTCTTTACCTTTCTTCAACTCCTATATCCAATTTGGACTCTGCGTAAGTTGTGTTTTTTTTTACCTTGGAAAATCTGTCCAAGGCAGAAGGAGGCTTATCTTTGCTATATTTTGAACAATGAAATAGTTTATCTTATTTTTTTTTAGGAACATTCCCTCCCTAGCTTGAATTCAAATCTTTTTTTAATTGATCTGTTTTGTGAATTTTGGTTACTATGACAATAAATTGATTCACTTCAAAAGCTATTAACAGCAGATTGGCTATTCTGTTTTCTTCGTTGAGAATATTATAATAGGTAAAATGTCAGCAATAAGCAAGAAAATTCCAGGGACAGAGAAAAATGGCACAGGAACTTGGCAAGATATGATATGCCTCCTGATGCATTATAGAATTTAATTTCTGATGGATAATTGAGAGATATTAATTCATCCCATGTGAGAAACCAGAAGCACAGGTTTAAGAACGGTAACCTTTCTTTGGTTTTCACCTAATTTCATTCAATACTTCAAATCAACATTTATTGATCTTCCACTATGAGCCAAGAACTGTTCTAACTACTAAAAATAAAAAGATGAATAAGACAGACTCTTCATCCAATGATGAAGCTACAAGCCTGAATTGTCATGGGCACAATGGAGAAACATTAAAGTCAGAAAAAAACGTGAAGCTGATGCCAGGTATGTTTCCTTTCTTTTATGCACCATATCATAAAAAAGACAAGAGCACACCTGAGCCAATGACAATGTCTTCAGTGTATTTTCCATTTTCTAAAAACAGTGGATGTGAGGTAAATATATTGTTCAAACCACTACCTGATGGTAAAAATACCATCACCATGGACACTCAGTACAAAGTCGAGAAGGTCCATGAATTACATACCCTGAGAAGAGGATATGTCCATGAGTTCCCAACCAAGAACTTTCTGCCTTAGTTAAGAGCTGGCCTGACTTTAGGGCCAGAATGCCTCCACTCAACATTCCAGCACTGCCAGTTGACAGCCATGTAATGTTGGGTGTGCCACCTATTCTGAGTTTCAGTTTCCTCATCTGTAAAATGAGGATAACAATACTAGTATCTAACTTAGGGGGCTATCATGAGAAATACATTAATATTTATAAAGCTGTTTGAATAATGACTAGCAAATGGTAAATACCCATGTATGTATGCGTGTGTGTGTGTGTGTGTGTGTGTGCGCGCGCATGTATGTTTGTGGTAAAATGAATATGGCACACTTAAGGCTGAAATGAGTTTTTCTTTAAAGGGAAAGGACCAAGATCAGAAATCCAAAGGAAACACCCAGCTTACTTTAGACCTTGCCTTTAGGCTTTTTTCACATTCCAATTGCAATGCACTGGAGAATATTGTCAGCGTGGGATGCAGTCCTAGGCCACAAGTCTGTACAGTCCTTTGCACCTGGTCCTGTGATGGCAGAGCCTTTCATCTCATCTTTATTTTTTTTTTTTTTTTTACTATGACTATGACTATGTTATCTTCAAATTAAATTATCTGTTATCACTTTTGTTGTCAAATGACCACTTCTGCACTTGAACTTCTGCATATACCTTCCTTCTGAGTTCTGATTTGCCTTTCTTGACTGTGGCATCACCATGGCACCCACACCAGCATCAGGAAGTCTATTCAGCTGTCTCTTGATCTCCTTCATCACGATGATGTGCAGATTTTCAGCTTCTGTCCCATCAGCATAGTGGATCACTGGTCCTAAGGAAGACCAAGGGCAATCTGCAAGTTTGCCTCAGAGGACCCACCATGTCCTGGCCTCAACACTTTTAATGCTGGAAAGGGACAGAAGGGAAGTGGGTACACAGGACATTGGGATATGAATTTTGACACCCCGTCCACTCTCTTCACATCGTAGTTCTCTAATCCTGAAAGGTTAAAACATGAAAGGTTTAACATGTTCCCAGTCTTAAAAGTCTCATTTGATCATGCTGGGTTAGAAACTCATAGCAATTAAGAATAGCAACTACAATTTCTTAAGCACTTACATTGAGCCAATACCATTATGAGCAATTGACATAAATTAACCCCATTTGTATGCACATTTTAAAGATGAGGATGCTGAAGCTCAGAGGACTTAAAATATTGCTCACATTCAAATAACTAGTAATCGGCAAATCCCGTATTGGAGTTCAGATCTGCAAAACTGCAGAGTCTGTTTTCTTCCTATTGTCACAAAATTTCTTCAGTCTTCAAGTCACTTCTACTTCATTTCCTACAGGGAAGAAAATAGATTGACTTCATAGCTTATTATCGTCCATCATCTTTCAATTATCCAGGATCTATTTTCCAATTTCTGAAATATCTTTCCCTCTTATTGATCAATCTCTTTTATACTATTTACTCTTTATATATTAAATGGCTTATGAGTAAGTTTCCTGAACCATGAAATGTGGAAGGACTAAAGTTTGAAATCAGTGAGTATTCTTATCCAAAACTTATAAAACAATTCTAATATAAGAGAAGCCTAAAGGCAAGGCCTAAAATGCCACACTGTTGAGAATGTAAAAAGTGTTTGAAGGCTGCTACTTTTAGAAGCTTTGTGTTTTTGTAAGTTTCCTATGTAGGTTTAGTGTGCCTCCCCATTCTGCTAACTCCCCACCCCACCCTGGTCTTATTTTCCTTTTAATTTGCATAGCAAATTTTTTCTTAATCAGTAATGAAAAGTAGCATTTAGTCTCACGCAGGACATAATATCATGAATTCTGCATTAGTGGAAGCCAAATTAATAAAGTTTTACCGTATCAAATTCCTGCCTTATTTTTTCTATTGTTCCTAGGTTTATTAGTTTTCTTTTGTTGAGTATTTACACCTCCATAACGAAGGAAGATTACTTAACAAATGACCTTCCCAAATGACAGAAATACCAGTATATGTAAAGCAAAGGCCAGTAAACAGCAATGACTCACGTTGATCTTAACTTTGTTGAAAGCATCATTGTGTTCCTTGGCATGAGGAAAAGTCATACTTTAAGTCTTTCAAATGCAATAATAAGAGGCTGTAGTGCTTTAGGAAACTGGAATCTGGAAGTCATAGGATGGGTCAAGAGACCAGTTCCTTCTCTAAGGAGCCTGGGTAGAAGGAAAAATAGCAGCATTGTGCTAGAGGTCTAATGAGACACTGCCACCAGGGGCTCTCCTGCTGAACTCCCGTGTAACCTACTGAATGCTTTGAAAAAACCTACTTAGGTAATTCTACAGTTGTGAATTGGCAAATTGGCCAGAGTCCTGAATAGCCTTGAATTTAAGTCTGAAAGGAGGAAAAAAGGATATTTTATCAGGTCTTGTAAACTTATTTGGTTTTCCTCAGAGTCCAGACCATCACAAAACACCCATTTTGACTTTGAATATGTCTTACACAACCTCCATGAGGCCATCGAATTCTTACCTATTTATATGCAGACAAATGTGTGATGTGTGTGTATGTATGTGTGTCTATGGGGGTGGCAGGGTAAATCTTTTCAAGTGCAAAAGTTTAATGTTTTGGCTTATTTTGGGTCCTGCAAAATAACTTAAAATGGTCATACATAAGTGACATAAATTTATTGGCTTGCATTCCTAATTTTTTTTTCCAGAATAAAAAAGCTTTACAAAAATTACCTGTGGGTCCCAACACTTCTCTCCCCCAATTTTGGAATTGCTTTTTTGTTTATTTTGAGGTTGAGGGTTATCTATGACTTATTGGCAGACTCCAGTTCAATCAATTTAGAAAGAACTTTTAGGGCTGAGTTATTTTTAAATGCCTGAAAATGAGAGAGCTGTGAATGGAAATCTAATCACAACTTAACCTGTAGTCATGCAAACAGTCAGCTATGAAATCAAATTAGTTTCCAACCCTCTTAACCCATTAATGCTTACTGACTAGCTGTGTTGGCCAAACATCATTTTTCAAAGAGCAGGAAAAGGGAAAGGCACATATCTGGATGGGGGTGCGGTGGATAGGAAGGGAGTGGTGCTGCGGATGCAAAGAAGGAAATCTCTAGGATACAACAATTTCCTCATAGACACAAGCATGCAAGCTTCCATAAGCATATATCTTCCTGTGTTACACATTGTTCATGGTTTTTTCATGAAGCCTTTCCCTAGTAAATATCAAGCAAAAAACTGTATTGTCCTAGTTCAACTGCATCTGATTTTGAATACTTGACATTTTACAGATTCAGCCTCTGCTGTCCTTGTGATTGGACTTGCTAAAAAACAGTCTCACGATTTCTTGGGGTTTTATGTCCATTTGAAAAATATATAACTTTGGCTGGCTCTCTGTCTAGCAAACCTCTATTATCTTTCCCATTTTGCAGGTTTCCATCACTATTTCCGTTCTCTCTTTTTTCTTTTTTTTTTTCTTTTTTTTTTTTTTTGCCTTTGACTCTATCTCCTTTTTCCTGCCACTTTGCAGGGTACTCTGATCCTTTTCATATGCTCAGCTCAACTTTAATTCTGCTACTATCCTAAGAGCTGCATCAACAAACAACCAAAAAAGTATCCAGAAAGGCTACTCTGGGGAAAAATAGTTGTCTAAATGTGTAAGAATTTGAATTAGTGATCAGCGTGCATGTAAGAAAGGAGGTGTATGTGTTTGTGTGTATGTCTCTCTAACACATGTCTAAATGTCTGGTGTCAATACAGGTGGTTAACTAACTGATATGTGTTAGTTTTCTTTCTTTTATTTTTGTACTTAGGCCTCTTCAGAAAAGTCAGGCATTCTGTTATGACACATACACCAACTACTGCAAAATAACAACTGAATTAAAATTCTCTACTTCATTAAATTATCAAGGCTCATTTCTTACCTCCTGAGTTGCCACCCCAACTAATCTGAATCTAGACCAGTGTAACAAACCTGCATGAATAAGGAAAATCCAGTTTGGCATTCAATGAAAGCCATGCTTGACTATTTCATCTCTTGGTAGAAAAGGCAAGCTTGTTAAATGTTGCTTTATTGCCAAGTGGTAATTACCCCCAAATGATTTCCTGGGGTTGGACCAAGCCTCTTTTATGAACATTTACCTCCAATGTCAGAGTATGAGCGAGAGTAGAAACAGTCTTTCTTTTTCTTACACATGCTTTCATAAAGATGAAAAAAGGAAAGCCAAAGTAAACATGTTCTGTTCCTTTCTTTTGTTGGGTGTGGAACCTTGAGTAATATATCTTTCCCTGTGCATTCTGAGAGAGGCAAACTGGGAACATGGTCTTTGGGTGGAACTTACACAATCTATTTATTATACTTAGCACATGAAGTAGCCGGTTCTTAACGCTATTACCCCTGTTTCCAAAAGTCCATCCCAAACTGCAAACTGCAAGAAAGAAAGAATCATGTCTTGGTGTTGAAAAGGTTGAAATTGCATGGAAAAAAAACACCCCCCAACTTTTTTTTTTTTTTTTTTTTTTTTGCAGGTGTCATTGTTCCTTTACTAAAGATCTTCTTTGCCATTGTATACTTACCTATTATACTCTACCATATCCACACCAAATGGGTGTACATTTGAAATTGAACGAAAATCGCCTGCCTAGCATGTGCAGCTCTCATTTTATTAGTTGGTATACGCAGTGCTTAAAGGCCTTATGCGGCCCTCCTTTGAGACATGCTATCACAACATTTAATAAGCTGGCAGTTGATTCATACTCCAGACTGCATTCTAAAGAATCTCAAAGTCCTTTCAAAATGTTGCGAACAAGCAACAAAGTATTTTTTTGTAAGTTTTTAACATTTGTGATAGTTATAAACTACTTTGTCATTAATATCCATCCAACTAGAGACATTTGGCTGAAAAATGAAGAAAAGATTTATGAAATTTAGCTTCAATTCTATTCATGAGACTGAAATAAATGTAGGAATATGAAAAAGACTAATGTCTCTATGTTAAATCGATTTCCAGGGTGCCAAGTGGAAAAGTGTAATTGAAATTGACCCATTACATGATTACATTATTTGTGTACCAAATCTAATATATTTCATAAAACTATAGAGCTGTTTCAGTAACTACCTGACAAACTGTATATATTGTTCCTAATTAAATTTTATAAATGTACTTCTAGAAATGTGAGGTTGCAGAATTATCCAAGTAATATGTCTCTACATTTATGAATCCTGTTCCAGAGAATTAAGACAAGGGAGAGCATTTCTAATCTCATGACTATTTCATGACTCGTGAAAGCTATAATAAACAAGGTGACAAAATAAATATTCAAGGGAAGATTCCAAGTTAAATTTCTGAAATATACTTGGAAATACATCTATTTCTTTCTTATTTTCCCCCGATTAATCACACTGTAGTAAGCACCTGACCTTTACATACACATTTAAAGTCTACTCTTTGAGTACCTACTAAGGTGGTAAAATGCCAGGTGCATACATTTTCAAACACAATTTCCTTTAATCTTGACCACCCTAGGTATCATTATTCCTATTTGTTCAGTGACAGGTGATGGGCAACTTGTTTATGGTACAAATATTTAATTTTATGGTTGCTTTAAATCTCCCCCCTTTAATTATTAGATTGTGAGTTTCTGAAGGGCAGGAATAGTGCCCTATTCATTTTTGTATTGAAAGAATAAAAGAAAAAATGTGTTGTTTTGCAAATAACTTAAAGGTGTGTTCCCCTTTTGATTTGGTTTTGTTTACATTTAATTTTCACTGAAAACAACCAAAAGACTCTAAGATAATTATTTTATTTTATTAGGGTATAATTGACAAAAAATTTGTACATATTTAGTTTCATAATATGATGTTTTGATATGTGTACACATTGTGAAATGCTTAAATGAAGCTAATTAACATGCATCACCTCTCATACTTATTTTTTGTTGTGAGAACATTTAAGATCTCTCTCAGCAATTTTCAAGTATATAATACATGATTATTAACTATAGTCACCATATTGTACAATAGATCTCTTGAACTTATTTCTCCTGTCTAACTGAAATTTTTATCCTTTGATCGAAGCTTGTCTTTCCCCCACTTCCTCCTCCCTCAGCCCTTGGTAACTACCATTCTACTCTCTGCATCTATAAGTTTGACTTTTTTAGATTTTAGGTATATGTGAGATCGTGAAATACTTTAAAGACTCTAAGACAGTGTAGATTATTCTAATTTACCATATATATATGGTAAATATATATATATATTTTACAATCAGGATAAGAGTAAGTTTTTTCACAATGTACTCTTTGGGAGAAAATATGTTCTCTTTCATATAAGAAGATGATTCTACTGACCAATCTTATTTTTTAAGAAGTTACCAGGTATAAAACATGCATGCTGCACTATGTTAAGTACATATAGAGATGAAGAAGGCAAAGTTCTCAAGAAGTTTTAGAAAATTTGTGAAATAGTCTCCCTGGTGCTTTTTCTCTCTTTGGTCCCTAAGGCTTGTTTTTCACCCAGGACTACCTTTCTTGGGGAGAATTAAATACTTCTTATTTGGACCGAACTCAGAATGAGTGAGATGACACAGGTAGGGGCCTGCTCTAGGAATTCATCTATCCTCCTGTGATGGCCATAGAACACAGTGTCTGCAGAACAAAGACAAAGGCAACAAGCAAGTCAGCAAAACAGTTGGCTTCCTCTAGGTCAAATGGGTAAGCAACATGGGGAAAATTTACAGCAGGGAATTCAGGACCAGGGGAACACATCACAATCCAAGAGAGCAGATAATGCATTGAGATTAACTGGGCTCCAGTTTCCAATCCCATCAGAGTCTAGTCCTGAGCAGTGGAAAGTGGCAAATTTGGTCCCCAGACCTAGTAACTGGTTTGCTAAAAAGTTTTCTAAGAAAAGAACTTAAAAACAGGGAGAAACCCAGGTATGAATGGGACCAAGGTTGGTGCTAAACTAGTTAAGGGTGATTAGATGACAGCCTTCCCAAAATCATAGTTAGCAGCTTCTCATATCCATCTACTCATGATAAGGGATTAGTTCTAAAGACAGTGTTGGGGTTAAATTTGTGTGTTACCAGATTAGCTTTCTATTATTTCAATGCTATATATCAAACCACATCAAATCTAAGAGACTTATAAAAATAAGCACTTATTATTGCTCGTGTGTTTATGGTTCTGCTAGTCAGGCGGGCTTTGGCTGATTGCATCTGAGCTTATTAGTCTGCAGTCAGCTGGCAGGAGCTGGCTGGGATTGCTAGTCAAGGATGGCCTTGTGCGGCTAGCTGATAGGGTGATAGGGGTTACTGGGATGCATGTCCCACATCATCCAGCAGCTTAGCTCAGCCTTATTCTTATGGCACTAGATTGGGTTCCAATAGAACAAGCAGAAGCATACATGGGTTTTTGAGACCTAGGCTCAGAACTGGCATGCTGTTGCTTCTCCCTCATTCTACTAGCCAAAGTCATAAGGACAACTGAGATAGATTCTACCTCATGATGGGAGAAGAAGTAAAGTTGCATTCCAAAGGGGATGGATATAGGGAAGAGTGAGGAATTGTGGCCATTTTGCAATCTACCACATTTGGGGCCCTGAACTTCACCTGTTAGGAAGAAGCAATATGTAGTCTAGAAACCAGGTGGGGCCAGGTGGGTTTCTGGCTCTTCTCCTATTTCCAGCTATAAAAATGCTTCTCCTTTCAATGTTGTTCTCACCTTGTTGATGAGGGATAAGTATATAACTATAGTAACTCTCCTTAGAGCATGAATAACTAGTCACCTGTTCAACAATCTAGTACTTCTAAAACAATTTTAATCGCTACCTTACATGCAGTTTCTTCTTCTGTAAAAGGTGGATAATTATAATACTTACCTCATATGATTTTCATGAGGATTAAATAAGCTAAGAAAAACACGTAGAATGGCATCTTGCATAAAATGAGTGATCAGCAGGTGTTAGGTGCTGCTGTTATTGTTTTATCATCAGTTTCATTATCATTATTATTTGTCCTAGTTTACCTAAATAAAATGAGATGGTTGCAGACAATGCAGAATATTAAGCAGTATGGGGCTTTAAATCCAGAAACAACCTTCTCCTTCACATAAGGACAGTTTTGAGGAAGACAATCATTTTGAATCTTTTTTTTTTTTTCTGGTAAGGGTGATAAATGTGTGCCAACTGGCTATACTTTCTGAGGAACACAGCTTGAAAATCATTGCTGTAAGAGACCAAGGATCACAAACTCAAATATCCATGAGGCCTGACTGGTAACACCAATCAGCAAAGTCAGTAGGGTGTAATTCAATAGAGAGGTGGGTGCTGTGGCAAATTGGAGCACCATCTATATGTAAGAAAGCTAATCTTAGATAGAATCGGCCTTGACTGGTGATAGAAGGAAAAAAGAGGCTATTTCTTGTGATCACAGCTTTTTCAGAAGGTAATAAGACTGGTTGGAAGGATAGAAAATAAACATGATTCCACTGGGTATGGTGGCTCCTGCCTGAAATCCCAGCACTTTGGGAGGCCAAGGTGGATGGATCATTTGAGGTCAGGAGTTCAACACCAGCCTGGCCAACATATAGTGAAACCTCAGCTCTACTAAAAATACAAAAAAAGAAAATAAAGCCAGGCATGATGGTGGACACCTGTAATCCCAGTTACTTGGGAGACTGAGGTGGGAGAATCGCCTGAACCAGGGACGTAGAGGTTGCAGTGAGCTGAGATTGCACCACTGCACTCCAGCCTGGGCAACAGCGAAACTTTGTCTCAAAAAATAAAATAAAAAGAAAATAAACATGATTCAAGTAGTGAGAGAAGATTATGGAAGCTCTTGAAATTGAGACGTAGTAGGGAAATTTAGATTTAACATGGTGATGTTGATTCAGTGGAAAAGATGACTTTTAGAAAATTTAGCTCCATTGGATAAAAAATAATTTAAAAATAGTATAAACCATGAAAGTATAAATATTGTCAGGAAAGTATAAGTGTAACCAGTAAAGTATAAGTATAACCAATGAAAGTATAAGTACTGACAGGAAAGCTTGAGCTTGCTACTGAAAAGCTGGGCCAGAGGTAAAGACTATGGATTTGGGGGAATGAATATTCTTTGAAGGCATAAGATACTGGCCTGAGGTGCTGAGGAGCAGTAGTGCTAGGAATTTTGTGTGCATGACTATAGGGCTCTTTAGAATTGTGCCACAGTACAGCATCATGCAATAGAATCAAAGTTGTTCTTTGCAATAACGAATGCCAGTAATAAAGAATGAACCTGAGACATGTGCATTTCAGTGTATGTGTGTGGACAGAACTAAAAGGTTTAACATCACCTACAGATATTGCTGGAAATTCTGTGTACAGATTATTGTCCTTATGTGGTAAATCTAGAATATATTTCCAGATATTTCTATAGCTTGAAAGCTTGGTTTTCTTTGGGGTGTGTCATCTTCCTATTGCAAACACATGAGTACCAATGCACTATGGCTCTATTTTATGATGATAGTCTCTCCCAGAACCATCATCTACTAATTTTGTTTAAAAAGTGTAAGCCACATCCTACCTCTCTGATTGGTAGATTTCTTCCCACCTTCCTAATGAATTTCCTTGGAGTTCTTCATTTTCCCCTGTAGGTGATGCTCTTGAGTTCATCTTATTCCTTCTCCATTTAGTGGCACTTGGCAGTGGTTCCAGGTAGCATGTTTATATTTTTTAACATGCCCACCTTTAGCCACAGGAGATACATTTTTTTCCCCTCCAAATGCTGATTCTGCCCATAAAGGTACTGAGCCTTTCTTCATCTATGCCTTCATCAATCCCTGTCTCTGAAATGCGCTGACCGTTTTCAGATGCCCGGGTTTACCCTGCTGGGTTTATAGTAGCAGTTCCATAGTCAAGTTACAGCTCAGTCTCTTGAGTTGACCAAGAATGCAGATTATAGAGAGAGGCTGACTTCAGAGGTGTGTCTTCTTTGGACTCGATGTATTCCAAGAGAGAGGTATTTTTGGTCTGCTGAAGGGGTCAATGCTTTCTTCTGACCTGGAAGCTAAGGTCGAAGTAAACTTCTAAAACTTCACACTGGGACTCCTCCCTACAACTGTCTCACCTGAGAAGAATCGGCTCAGATTCTTCTCCAGAAAATGGGCTTTGAAGGCAGCTGTGTCAGCTGCTTCAGGAATACTGACCTGTGTTTAGTCTGAGCAGAATTCTGTCATAGGCCAGTAATTTTACTTCTATATGCCTCAATTTCTTTCTTCCTAGAATAATGGGTTCACACTAGGTGATTATAAGTGTCTTTCAGCACTGACTCTAATCCATGTTAATTCATAGGGAACCATGGTGGGTTCTTGAGTAATATAAATTATTGTGAAGCTATGTGAGCCACATTGAGCTACTCTTCTTCGAACAATTTTTAGTAGATCAAAACCTCATTGCTCTTCCGAACCTTTCTATCATATGCCTGCTTGTTCATAGTTCCCATTTTTATAGAGAAAGCAGATGAATAAAGAGCAAGTGGAAAGTGGAAGAAAAATAATAGTCACCCAAATGGGAAAAGCTGGTTTTGTATATCAGTCCATCCCTCCAGATAGACTGTATTAGAAGGTCATGTGAGGATAGAAAAAAGATGTGTTAGATAAACTGAATTTTTAAATAAATTAGGATAAAGAATTCTGACACATCCATTTCAGGAGAGAGACTGTGCTGCTAATGGGATTAGAAATCTGCCAAATTCTTTGATTTTTAACTTTATGCATTCATCCTCATGCAAGAAATGGCCTTTCATTCCATCTGGAGAGGACGGACTGATGTCCAAAAGCTCCCTTTCTTTTGGACAGTGCTGAAGTCGGCACTGCCAATGTTTGTCTGCATGACTCTCCTTTTGTATGCTTTCTTTGCTGACTGAGTCTTATTAGCTGATATTTTCTTTTTCAGATATGTTTGTTTATTCGAACAGGATGCAGTCCAGTCTTGCTGACTTGTGAGTCATTTTTTGTTTCTTGCATGGCTTTGTACATCTCTGCTTTGCTCCATTGTAGGTTGATATTACTCTTGATTTCTCAATGGGAAATCTTTTTCCCTTTCCTAATACACGGGAAGTGAAAACGTCACTGAATTCCCCAGTAATAAGAAACATACAGATACTTTCATTTTTGTTCTTGGCATGATTTGTACACAATCTTGCATGAAGAAATTGGGATATATTTCAAAGTTATGTTCTATGTCCATAAAGTGTTGTGGGACTTTATTAGAATCACAATCTATGAAGCTGTCTTTTCTCAGCTATTATGACAACAATTTTTAAAAAATTAATAACCAGCCTTTTACCTCTAGCATTACTTATTTAACTTTGCTGCCTGACCATTAGCTCTAGGAGAACATGTATTTATTTTATCTACAGATCTTTGGGGCATCAAAGTCACAATGGTATACTGTTGAAAACAATATTTAAATATAATCTAACCCAAAGCTCACTCCTCCCAATTACCCTTCCTCTCACTTCTCACCCTACCTCTTGGTAAAATGGCATGCAACTTCTCCAGAAGTATGTGTATAGCTACATAGCCTTGTGTTAAAATATTATTTTACTTTCAAACAAACCATTTTACAGTTGTTATTTAATGAGAATTTTTGGAATATTTTTTGAGGAAAATGTCATAGCTTGCTTAAGGAACTGTTTCAAATAGTTAGCACCCAACACTCTCCATATCTTCTTTAAATCTAAATTGACCTTTATCTAGATCTCTGTCCCAATAGAGGATTGACTTGCCATCAGCAAGTCAAAATTTCACTTTAGCAGAAGTCATAAGCTTCCCTGAATTTACCCAGATGATGGTTTGCTATTTTTGTAAGAGAACACTGCCATTTTGCCAAAAGTCTTCTGTCTTGCAGGAATTGGCTGCCAGTACTGATTTCTTGGGCTGCAAATAGGGCAACAGCTGTGCCTTCCATACCAGGCTGTGGGTACAAGGTTGCCAAAGAGGCATTGTTCTAAAAACTGAAATACTCTGATAGTCAGCTCAGCCATCCCTGTAAACTTGTGTTTTTATCTCTTGGACTTATGAAAAAATTAGGATCAAACATAGATATTATTTGATTTTATGTAACTTTTGTTAAGTCCCTGAAGTTCACTAGTTTGAATTCTAGTTAGTACAATAGGCAATGATGATGTAGTGGAGGGAAAGCAACTCTAAGTGAAGACTGAGGAGACGTGGGGTTTGGTCCTTGCTCTGTCTTGCTGGACCTATTGAGAATTTGGTCTTACCATGTATAAAATGAGGCTGTTGTAAAAGGTGATATTTAAGGTCTTTTGGTTCTAAGATTATCTGTGAGCATTTACCTCTGTATTAGTCAGGGTTCTCTAAAGGGACAGAACTAATAGGATATATGTATATATGAAGGGGAGATTATTAGGAATATTGACTCACACGATCACAAGGTGAAGTGCCACAATAGGCCAACTACAAGCTGAGGACAAGGAAGCCAGTCTGAGTCCCCAAACCTCAAAAGTAGGAAAGCTGACAGTGCAGCCTTCGGTCTGTGGCTGAAGGCCCAAGAGCCCCTGGCAAATCACTGGTGTAAGTACAAGAATCCAAAAGCTGAAGAACTTGGAGTCTGATGTTCAAGGGCAGGAAGCATCCAGCATGGGAGGAAGATGAAGGCTGGAAGACTCAGCAAGTGTGCTCTTCCGTCTTCTCCTGCCTGCTTTACTCTAGTCGTCCTGGCAGCTGATTAGACGGTGCCCACCCAGACTGAAGGTGGGTCTACCTCTCCCAGTCCACCAACTCAAATGTTAGTCACCTTTGGAAACTCCCTCACAGACACACCCAGGAACAACACTTGCATCCTTCAATCCAATGAAGTTGACCCTTGATATTACCCATCACAACCTCTAATCTTAGAAAAGGACAATCATTCTGATTTGTTTTCTTTGGGCTATGAAATGTTTAGAGTACGTTTTTGATAAGCCAATAGACATATGTTACGGATTTCCAGGTCTAATGGATTAGATGAAAAGATCAAACATTGTTAGAGGAATTTCCAGTCACACTTTAACTTGCCATTCATTCAGACATTATTTGGAAAACAATTGTAAGCTCCATGTGGGGAATCTTCCTCCAACTGAGGGATCTGCCTCCTTGTAGTGGTGCCTCCATAATCTCTCTCTCTCTCTCTCTCTCTCTCTGTCTCTCTCTCTCTCTGTGTCTCTCTCTTAATTCCAATATCTGCTCTCTAGTTTAAGAAGATAAATTCTTAGGGTCCTAATGAACATTCTTCTTACATAATTAGCTATTTAGAGGGTCATTTGAGGATTTTATTTAGTAGTTCACAATGTGTTTGTGAATTTCATATGAAAACTCAAACTAAGTATATGTCTTTTACAAAGGAATAGATCCTTCATATTCTTTTGAGTCAAAGTATCTCAAATAGGCTTCATTGCCTCACTGAGCTGTGTGTTTCTGCCTAAAAATGGTGTCTTTCCCAAGCCGCTTTTACATCCTCAAATTTAAGCAGCAAGGTCCTAATCTCTCTCCAGTGCCAATGATTGTTCTTTCTAGTTATGTGAATTTTGTTTTAGCATGCAACAGCATAAATCATTTATTTGTTCTGCATGAGAGAAGAAGAAAAGTGTAGAGCTTAAAAAATTATTTTCAAAAACCGATGAGATATGTTTTTTTGATTATGTAAGATTTTTTGCTTACTCAAGCTAAAGGAATATGGAAAATAATAATTAGCCCATAGTAAAGCTACTTGAGGGCCTTTTGAAGAGTTAAATCGTGGTATTATTTATAGACAAAAAGGTAATATTTTCTGTGTTTTCTCGCCTCAATTTGTCTTGTTGCTTTAACACATTACATGTTATAATGTAATCTATGAGATAGAAACAATACCAGGAGTCCTAATTAAATTAAAAGTAATTACCAGTTGTACAGATAGGGCTTTCAATTGAGCAGCAGGAAGTTGATATTTTGTCATCCCCAGTTTATCTCCATGCACCGAGCACCATTCTTTGTACCAGTTATTAATGGCATTTTCTCAACGGTCATGAAGAGTGTGGGAAATAGGGAACAGGAAAGAACAAAAGGAAGAGAGGAATTAGAGGAGGCTCAGAGCAAGACAAAGACAGAGAGGAATCTTTCTGATGCTCTTCTTCGACTAAGATCCAGAGAGATTTTTCATACATTGAGGGGACCTATTGCTGTCCTTCACTCACCTATGAAAGAAATATTTGCCCTGCCCATATTAGTAGCATATCCTAATTTTTTTCTGACTATGAGCAGAATTTTAAAAAGAGAACCGCACACATTCTGTGCTCAAGGTTTGGTTTATGATGTGACAGATTTTCCATTTTCAGAAGGAAAAAAATAGTTCCAGCTCCCAACAGGAATTTAATTTGAGAGAGGGAGGGAAATGGCAATATATAAAGATTTCCTACTGTCCAATTTCTTATTCTGCTTTTCAACTGGGCATCTTTTAACAGTTGGAAGCAATGCCATTCTCCCAAGAAGAAACAGTGCAGGCTTTTTAAGAGCATGTTCAGAGCAATGTCCGTTTGATTGACCGTTATCTACCTGGCATGCTGCTGCTACAAATATGAGCAATTATTGGGAAAGCAGTCAAATTAAATTTTCATAACTGTAAAACTGCGTTTTACCTTAGGGGCACAGCTTCCTGCCTATTTCTACAATCTATTTGCTGTGCTTTATATTAAATCTAAACAAATGAATGTTTACCAGCATTAATATTTGAACAGCATGCCAGTCTGTACCCTCTCTCCCAACAACTTTCTCATCTTTCTAGGAATGTTCTACAGGGAGTTTAACTTTTCTAATATAATGTAGATGTTTTGGATTGGCTTTACTTAATGGGTTCTTTCCTGTCCACCCAAGTACACCTTTGGTTCATTCTTGCCTTTAATAATCAAGCAAAATCAACAAATGGCTTAAATGAAATCAAGTTTTTTTTTTTTTAGATCATTTTTACCAGGGTTTTAAAGCCTGATGACTTCAACAGGTCCAACCATTGTACAGACGACACATGTTGTACGTGGCAGGTGGGACAGTGTGTTCCTTTCCCATACTTATGGCCAACCTTGCTAACTGATTACAGCACAGTGCATCATGGAGAACAGATATTGGCTCTTGGCAGCCATTCGAATTGATTTGAGTTGACACATAAGGCGAAACCGATCTTGCCATCCCTGGTGTAAATGGTTTTATCTTTGTGTTCTTGCTGCCCTGCCTGGCATCTTTCTCGTCACTCCGTCTTCGGCCCAGCCTCACCTGGGCTCACTCTTCCCTGAATCACATGAGCCTGCTGCTCCCACTTTGACCTGTCCTTCCGATCTAGTTCGAGTCCCATCTCTTTCATGAAACATGATGATTTTCTAGATTTCTCTGGATCACATCGACCTGCCTTCTCTGATGATTATACCCTTGTCACTAGAGTGACCATATGTCTTGGTTATTTTGGACAGCCCAAGATTTGCCTGCTGTCTTGGACTCCTGGCTGGCTAGTTCACCTCTGTCTCTTAAAAGTGTCCCAGAGTGTACAATATATGACATGGTCTCCTTATTCATAGCCTGTAACTTATATTTGCCTTTTAATAACCTGTCATCTTATATGAGTCTAATTGTTTTAAGTGAACATTCCCCACTGGCTGAACAATGGAGGGCTTCTCTTTTATCCTCTCTCTGGAACTAGGTTAGGAACAAAGAAAATACCTCATAAATCAATGATGTTTGAATACTGGTACATTCTTAGTGGAGTGTTCGGAAGATTGTTTTTTATTTTTTTTTAGATGTGCTTGGATAGCCTTGATTTGTGAAGGGCCTCTTAGGGTTCTGCCAAGATATATGGCTTATTCTTGTTCCTAATCCGTATCTTCCCTCCGGTGCCCTCCCAGGGATAATGTCCTTGGAAACAACCTCTCCCAAGTTGTAGGGGTTTCTGATGGATGATAAAGTAGCTTTTTTTGGCCTACTCTGAAAACCCAGAAACTCCTGTCATCTCTGACTGCCTTCATTTTAGCAGACATTTATGTGTTACCTTGTTTCCTTACCTTTCAAGGAGGCACTAGAATACATATATTATTTAATGTGCATGGAGATTCTTTTGATCAAAGGGAAAGTTTAACTTGTGTTTATTCCTAAGTGATATTGTTTGTTTTAATTTTGTAGAATTGGGTAATATTAGAACAGAAAAAAATCCCCAGAGATGTAATTTAAGCCAGCATCTCATTTACAGAGGTTAAGAGCTTCAGAATTTTATATTTGAGTTCTCATCTGGATACAAAACTGGGCAGATTGCAATGAAAATATTTCCAAGTTATTTTGTTGCTTGTTTTCTAAAAGGTGATGTTTTGATTTGAGGAAAAGAAATTCTTGCCAGGAAACAGCCATGGGAAAGGAAAAATGGAGAGCAAAACAACCTAGAAAGAAGTCATAGGTTCTTGAGAGTCTGTGGTACTGATGGATGGGATGAGGTCTTCATAGCCCAGCTCATTGACTTTGTTCATCATCAACAAACTTAATAGTGAATGTGTTAAGATGAACATTTACTCATGACTGTTACTTTGATCTTGTTGCAATATTACCTTGTTTGACAGGGATGTTATCATTACCCTCTCACTTTGTCTTCAACTCTCTTTTAAAAAGGCAAGAAAAAGGAAGAAAGAGGAGGAAATACTTAAACTCTTTGTGGTCCAGAGAAAATTAAATGAAATGTTGTTTGTAATATAGAATAGAGTAGAACTAGAGAAATATCGTTTAATTTCTCACTCTCAGGCCTAATACCCGAACCCATGCATATACTATTTCCAAGAAGTAGAAAAAGAAGAGGACAAAATAATAATTTCTGTAAATAAATGATTTATTATATTAGAGACTACCTGTGCAAAAGAGTGATGCAAATAATGTTTAGTTTTCCTAATAATTCACTTTTTTAACCCATTCCATCCTGACGTATCTTTGTGACGATTTCTTTAACTTTTTATATCTTAAGACTTTGTGCTAAAGGTATATCAAAAGTGAATGCCACGCTGATCACCAAGGGAAAGAGTTTTTGAAATATCCACTAATATTCTCAATCTTAAACACTTATGCAGACTCAGACGGCTTTAGTAAGTGGAAAGAAAGAAACATAAAAAGTGATTCATACCTTCACCATAGTAAAATTTGGGCAGTTGTGGACTGAACATCTGTGTTTCTCAAGGGACTCAATCCTATGGTTTCAGGCAGTGAAAGACATTTTTGAATCCTTTCCAATGGCTTCCCACCTTTTCTGGCCACATAGAACTGGGCTAGGCAAATAATCAACAGCATTTTTTTTTTTTATCTCTCTCTATGCTGAGTGTTACACTAGGTGCTTTGGGGAAGGATGCCAGAAGGTGTATATATGGTGCATTGATATGGCTGCATACTCTATTCTCACTCTCAACTTATTCTCAAAAGTCTTATTTCTCAAGAGAACAGCTGGATGAGCTGTTTCTTCCTTCAGCAAAGTGATGCCAAATATTGGTTTCTGAAACTGGTCCCCTGATACCTGCCTTTGTTTCCTGAGAGACCCAGGCTTCAACCACCTAGGATAGACCACAATACACCTGCCTGCTTCATTTGTTAAGTTGCCAATAGATGCTCAGCATTTTTCAGTGTGATAATCAGTAAATAAAGTTTTAAAAACAACTGAATACCCATTTCAGCATTATTTTCTTAATTAGACCTTTTGGGGAAAGTATTGAATCCTGATTTGGGAAATAATATTGAATTTTACATTATTTAAATCCTGAATTAATAATGTATAGTTTACATTAAACTGTAAAATGGAGACAATTCATATGTATTTCAGATTATTCTATAGGAATTTTAGTTTCTAATTTTGTTTAATCAGTCATTTATTTAACAAATATTTGAATACCCTTTATTTGGCAAATTTTATGCCAATTGCTGGGGATACAAGTAGTAAAGATGACAGTCAGGTTAGCTGATGTAATGGAAGTTAAATATGGTATGGGGGAACTACATTACATAGTAATTTTTTACTTTTAATTACAGTAGCACACTTCTAATTCGTTAAGCATTTATGAGATATCTACTGTCTGAAATCATGCACACTGCTGCAGACACTGTGGAAGAAGTATACTATGGTTCTTGCCTTCCAGACCATCACAATGTGGTCTCTGATTGAAACATTTTTAAAATTATTCTTAAAGCAGACATGGTGACAATAAATGAAGTGCTAGGAGAGTTGGAGGAAAGAGAGGACAACTGTAAAAGAGAAAGTAAGAGAGAGAGGGGTTATAAAGGAAAGAATTTGAGAGAGCTTCTTGAAAGATGATGGGTTGGAGTTGAAACTAAAATAACATATTGAGAAAAGGGGTAGAGAATAAGAGGGGGAGATGGCAAGACCTTTCTGAAAGATTAACCTGGCTAGCCATATGCAGAAAACTGGAACTGGACCCCTTCCTTAAACCTGATACAAAAATTAAGATGGATTAAATACTTAAATATAAAACCCCAAACCATAAAAACACCAGAAGAAAACCTAGGCAATACCATTCAGGACATAGGGATGGGAAAAGACTTCATGATAAAAACTCCAAAAGGAATTGCAACAAAAGCCAAAATTGACAAATGGGATCTAATTAAACTAAAGGGCTTCTGCACAGCAAAAGAAACTATCATTATAGTGAACAGGCAACCTACAGAATAGGAGAAAATTTTTGCAGTCTACCCTTCTGACAAAGGTCTAATATCCAGAATTTACAAGGAACTTAAACATATTTACAAGAAAAAAACCCCATCAAAAAGTGGGCAAAGGATATGAACAGACATTTCTCAAAAGACATTTATGCAGCCAACAAACATAGGAAAAAAAACTTCAACATCACTGATTATTAGAGAAATGCAAGTAAAATCACAATGAGATACCATCTCATGCCAGTCAGAATGGCGATTATTAAAAAGTCAAGAAACAATAGAAGCTGGTGAAGCTGTGCAGAAATAGGAACACTTTTACATTGTTGGTGGGAATGTAAATTAGTTCAACCATTGTGGAAGACAGTATGGCGATTCCTCAAGGATCTAGAATGAGAAATACCATTTGACCCAGCAATCCCATTACTGGGTTGATGCCCAAAGGAATATAAATCAGTCTATAAAGACACATGCACCCGTATGTTTATTGCAGCACTATTTACAATAGGAAAGTCATGGAACCAACCCAAATGCCCATCAGTGATAGACTGGATAAAGAAAATGTGGCACATATACACCATGGAATACTATGTAGCTATATAAAGGAATGAGATCATGTCCTTTGCAGGGACACGGATGAAGCTGGAAGCCATCATCCTTAGCAAACTAACACAGGAACAGAAAACCAAACACTACATGTTCTCACTCATAAGTGGGAGTTGAACAATGAGAACACATGGACACAGGGAGGGGAATAACACACACCAGGGCCTGTTGGGGAGTGGGGGGTGAGAGGGGAGGGAACTTAGAGGACGAGTCAATAGGTACAGCAATCCACCATGTCACACGTATACCTGTGTAACAAACCTGCATGTTCTGCACTTGTATCCTGAAACTTAAAGTGAAATTTAAAATAAATACACAAACAAACAAACAAACTGGATGTTAAGGTAAGCAAGTAAAGTCATTTTCTAAGAATAGTGAGAAAAATTGCTGTAGATTGAGAATTAAATCTAGACATGTAAGTAAAGCCTGTGTTATTAAGGAATTTAAATGACAGGTCGAGGAAGCAGGACATTATGGAGCATGTGAAGGAGGCCAACTAAAAGCTTTCCAGCAGGGAGTGACATTGGTTTGATGTTTCAGAAAATAATGTGGGTGGCAGTACTCATATGTATTGGAATGGACAGAGACTGGAGATCAGTTAGGCAGCAACTGTAATTGTTTGGGTGAGAGGTAATAAGGAGTACAGCTAGGGCAGGGGAAGTGAGAACTGAAAGGAGGGATGGAGGGGAGAGAGTGAATTGATACAAAACCAATAGAGCTTTCTGACCACTTAGAGGATAGAAGTAGGGAGATCATTATTTGTGAGTGAAGTGACAGGGATGCTTGAAGGTGCTAATACTGATATTCTATGAGTGAGTCACAGATTGGATTTTGCACGTAGCAAGTTTTCGATGGCTTTTAACAGGGCTGTTTTAGTCAGCATCACAATAGTAATGAATTGATGACAAAGTAGGAAAGAGGAAGTTGCATTTATGAGTAGAGTCAACTCAACTTGTCAATTATGGAGCTAAAAATTGGCCAAAAAATAGAAGAAACAGATTTTTTTCTATTTACTTAGGACCAAATGGATGGTTTTCTTTTTTTTTTTTTTTTTTTTTTGCTGCAAAGAAAGATTATAAAAAGATTTTCTTACTTTAATAATAAGAATAAAAACTAACATTTATTGAGCACTTCATAGGTACCAGGGACTGTTGCAGGTGGGCTTATATGTACAATGAGAATGTCAATCATATAGATCATACAGGATTGGTAATTATCAAATATCAGTAGCAGCTTCATTTTCTGTTATAAATTATAAATACAAAAAAGATTAAATCCTGATGTCTAATTTGTATTATGTTGTTTGTCCTATATTTGTTTGAATACCTATCATGCAGAAATTCTGATGCTGAAACAGAAAATGTGATAAAATATTCTGCAATTTCTAGCTGGCTGCTTGGCTCTTCTGAGCCCTTAGCTTCAAGGATTTTTCAAAATATATAT
Organism: Homo sapiens; assembly: GCF_000001405.40. NCBI lineage: Eukaryota > Metazoa > Chordata > Mammalia > Primates > Hominidae > Homo > Homo sapiens. Next base: position 105,001,433 of record NC_000008.11, read on the forward strand.
ATTTTTTCTGCACCACATCTCAGAGTTGCTAAATCCAGAAATTGAAACATTCTGAGAACCAAATCATTTCAGGGTGAATCAAAGCTCTTGGAACATTGCCCTAGGATTTTGAAGATAGTGTTTAATAGTGAAAAATGTTCCATATTTTTAAGGAAATCCCAATTATGGAAGCTGCCCTGTTTGCATCCCCAGCAATGCAAGGTGTCTGACACAGGGTGTCTTGGCCCAGCTTTCACTCATATGACAAGCCGGGAGGCTGTGGGTCAAGGCAAAGGTCTTCTGGCCCCTTAGGCTGGTGACTGTTTCCAACTCCATCTTAAAATATAGAAATAGGCACCTTCTTTATTCTGTTGTAACAAGCTTCTCTCCCGGCTGCCATTTTAGTGCCAGCAACTGTGGGACAGTTTTGAGCAGGAGTTTCTCGCCCTGGTCAAACCCCACCACTATCTTGCCTGTGTTTTTGCTTGTTTGTGCTCTGCAGAACTGGTGATGGGCCCAGAGATGGTGAGAGAGAGCGAACATTGACAAGTCTTAAGACTGAGAGGCATGAGTTATGGAGGCTGACATGATGTGATGTTACTAATTGTGTCACTTGAGAGCAAGTTATTTAATGCTTTTGTACCTTAGTTTTCTCATATAAAGAGAAAATAAAATGAGAGTAATAAAACCTACATCCCAGGGCAATTTTGGGAATCACACAAACAGAGCATATTGTACGTGGTTAATACATGGGAGCTGCTGTTATTATTATTCATAGTAATAATAATAATAAAGTAGAATAAAAACAAAAGTGAAGCAAGAATGATGAGGAGCCATGGAGTAAAGGCCATTAGCTGGAATACATCCACCTCTGAAACATGATGGAGAAACTTGACTGTCATTCCACAGGGACTTTGCCTCTAATAAGCAGGAATCCAAGGTAGAGTGAAGCTGCATTAACTTGTAATATTTTCTCTCTCCTCTTCTCCTTTAAGTTCAACTCATTTTTCATATGCTACCTGAGCTGTCCTTTTCTATGATGCTGTCACCACTGACTTTTTCTAATCATGACCTCCTTTTGTATTGCATTAAGGCAATACATTACATATTGTCTGGTAATGTTCTCTGATTGCTTTTTGGAGGTATGGCTTCCAAATGAGATTGGGATTTCCCTGAATATAGGCAACTTGCCTTATATTTCTCATATATCCACCACAGGACCTTATATAGCTGAGTACACTGAGAAGAGCTAAGCCAAATACCATAATGAGATACAAAGAGTAATAGCCATAAGTTTCTTGTTTTAAACTTTTTTCAAAGTATTTATTTTTATGCTTTATTTTTCATAGCAAAACTAGTATATATGTGCTGTACAAAATCGGAAATTTACAGAAGAACACAAAATCAAAATATATTAAACAGAGCTATGTATTGTTACATCATTTGAATTACTCTGAATACATATTAAGCTTTGAGCTCTTGTGGAGTGATAACCCTTCCCATACGCTATTTGGGATTCTTAGTGTTAAGTTTCTTATACCATATAAAACCTTTTGGGGAACAGGTACATTTTTCTTCAATAGATAGTATAGGTTGGTGCAAAAGTAATTGCAGTTTTTGCCATTGAATGTAATACCAAAAACTGCAGTTACTTTTGCACCAAACTAATAAATTTTCCCTCAAAGATGGAGGAAGTATGTGCTTTTTCCTTGTTAATTTTCCACATGTGACCTCACTTTCCTCTCTGATTCATACAAATTCATAGATCCTTGACTTAGGTGGAGTCTTTAAGATCATTTTATTTAAGTTTCGCATTCGAACTATGGGGACATTGCTAGCCCAGAGGCTGCAGTGATAATAGTCAAGTGAGGTTTGGTGCCCAAGACTCAGGCCTTCTGGGCCAGGGTCCATGGCTCCTCATCCTTCTTAATGGAGAATGATACCCTTCAGCTGACCATCTGCATATACTGTGCCTGTGACCTTCTCTTATTTTTCCTCTATTGAAATCATTCAAGAAATTCCCATTTTACAGAGGCGAAATGTATTACCAAAAAGGGATTTCTAACTGGACTAAATTAAAGTTTGCTAGGGTTCTGTGGAGGCATTTCCACTAAGTCTTTGTATTTCTTTCTGAAATTAATTCTATTTTACATTTCTAAACTTGAGTACATGGACACATATGTGTCTGCATATACCTGTATATATGTATGTGTGTGTGTGTGTGTGTGTGTGTGTGTATATGAGAAGTATATATATATATTCTTATATGTAAGTATACGTATATATATACTTATATATACATATAAGTATGTATACTTATAAGTATACATATATACTTATATATAAGTATATCTATATACTTCTCTCATATATATATATATGCAAACATACACACATTTGTATAATCTTTCGATCAACAACACTCATCATTATCCTCCACAGCTGTTTGTTCTAGTGTAACCAAAGATTGTGTCAGAAAGCAATCAGTATAAATATTGTCACTTAGGTCAGAATATATTATTGTAAGGCCAGGGGAGGTTTGATTGGTAAAACCCAGAGTACAAAGCATTGAAATGAAAGGAAAAACTTAAGCAAATAATTTTCACAATCTCCACTCTTAACTTGATTATCCTAGTATCATCTCTTCATCCTTTTATCCCATGTCCTCTCCTCTCTTATATTAGTTATCTGCTGTTATGTAACAGACCATTTCAAAACTTAACAATTTAACACAACAAACATTTATTATCTCAGTTTCTGAGGGTCAGGAATCTGAGAGACTTAGCTAGGTAGTTCTGGCTCAAGTGTCTCATGAGGCTGAATTTAAGCTGCTAGTCAGGGCTACAGTCATCTGAAGGCTTGACTAGGGCTGGAGGATCTGTTACCATGCTCACTCATGTGGCTGTTGGTATGAAGCTTCAGCTCTTTGCTATGTGGGCCTTTCCAAAGGGATGCTCCCAATATGGCTTTTCTCCAATCAAGTAACCAGAAAGAGGGAGAGAGAGAGAAGAGAGAGAGGACAAAGGAGATAGAAATCACAGTGTCTTTTATAACCCAATATTGGAAACTGCAAACCATCACTTCTGCTGTGTTTTATTCACCACACAGAGCAAACCTGGTACAATGTGGGAGGAGACTATATGAGGATGTGAATACCAGGAGGCAGGGACCATTGGAGACCCTGACGTTGAGGGGTCTACCACATCTCCCCTCTCTCTTAATTTTCCTCTTTATCTTGAAATCTCTCCCTTCAGCATGGATTGTTGGTTGCCAATTGGCAGAAATTTTGTTTCATTCCTATCTGTCATATATACACACATAAACATGCACATGGGCATGCACACACACACACATCATCAAACGTTAATGCTTGAAAAAGTGTGTTCATTTGAAACGTGTAGATGATTTGCGACTTCAGAAAAAAAAAATGTGACCCACCCTGTATACACAGTGTTGCTGCTAGACAGTTTAGGGTGCTGTTGATGTGTGTGGACCTAAGGTGAACTCTGAAGGTAGAGATAGGATGGGGCTGGTTGAGTTCATATTTTGAAAAATAGCCAGATGAATTTTTAAAAATCTGATTAGTTTCTAAATATCTGTATTTAATTTCTGAAAAATTTTTTTTAGACAATAGACAGGCAGCACCAGGCTTTCCATAAATGCTACTGCTAATTCTCAAGGGTCTACTTGTAATCCTTTTCAGTGCATGTTTTTTGGACATAGTAATGGCTGAAAGAGGAAGAGGAGATCCCAGAAAGTGCCTGTGACATGGGTTGTGTGCAGAACCTGAGGGAGCATACCATGTTTTACTAGATTTGGCTTTTCCATTAATATTGAACATTTTAAGTTCCTTTTTTGTATGTTGGCATATTGCAGGAGCATAGAATGCTACCAGCTGTTTTCATGACTGGTACTGAGTTGGTAAAAAATGAGATATTTTCTCCTCCAGGAGAATGGGATGAGTGTTTGGTAGGGACACAGGAGGGAACTGCTATTTCTGTCCTTGACTCTTCACTTTCTTTCAGAAAACATTCCCATCAGCGGTACAGGTCTTTTCTATGTATACTCAAGTACTTTTGGAAACACGACTATTTAAATAAATTCCTAGTATTTGCAACAACATCCTGATGAGATTACTTTGCACTTGGCATGTCAATTTCTAGGAAAAAGACCCTATTTCATCTCTCTAGTCTGAAAAACGTTGTTCTCTATCATATTTCACAACATCCCATTTAGTCACCATTCATTCTATTGCAATGTAGTGGGAAGAGTATTCATTTTTGGAGTCAAAAAGACTCAGGTTCACATATCACTGCTACTCACTGGCTGGATGGAGTGTCATGCCTCAGTTTGCACTTCTGAGAAATGAAAAGTAATAGTAAAGATATTAGGCACGGTTCTAAGGGCTTACCTACATTCTTCAATTTAGTCATTCTTCAATTTATTAAAATGTTAGCATATGTGGTAAGTTTTCATCACATATACTAATATTTTCCATATTTTGAAAATAAGAAGATTGAGATAAAAAGACTTTGAGTTATAGAGCTGATAAGTGGCAGTGTTTTGATGGAGACTCAGATGTGCATGACACTAAAGTCTTTCCTTAACCTGTTTGCTGTGCAGCTCTCCATAATAGCGCCAACATATGAATTATGTTGGTTTAAGATTTACATGTGAAAATGAACTTGTGTCGACCAGCAGAGTCTCGTAACATTAACACTTTAAATAAATGTTAATTCTCTTTACTTCTTTTGTTTTGAGCAATTTAGCCAACAGATGAAAGGAAGAACATCTGTTTAGCATGATGACCTCTGTTAAAAGAGGCTTCTATCTTAGTTTTGCATAATGATACCATGATGGTTTTTTTGGGAAACAGATTATAGATGTTCATAAAATTGACAAAGGAACAAATTGGGCACCCCTGGATTCTTTCTAAAGCTTAAAAACCTGTACGGAAAAAAAAAAGCACATTAAAGGTAGTTTTTCCTCTCTTAAGTAGTGCCTATTTTAATCATAACCTTTGGAAGAAAATTTAAATGTAAAAAGGTGAAAATTAAAAGAACTATAAATAACAACAAATGGCTACCTTGTAAATACAAAGCCACATTCACTCCTGGGGCTGTTATGTCTACAAACTATTTGAACAACAGTTAATAAGCACATTCCCGATGAAAGAAACAGCTAACTGATGTTTCATCTGAGTGCACCCTTTGTTGAGCATGTTCGGAAATGTAGAGCTGGGAGATAGGGATTTCTGTGTTTTTCACATTAAGATGTATACATGTGCCCACTGAAGAAAATGAAGGGTTTTTCAGGTTCTCCAAATATTCCTTTACAAATATTCATCGCTGTCAAAAAATAATAATGTGCTCTTCATGGATTAGCTGAAAAATTACCTCCCATTCTTGGTGGCTTTCCTTTTCTCTGTGTTCTCAGGCTGAGATAACCCGCGTATGGCTCATGGGCCAGTATTACCTTGATTTGTATGCTGTTTTTTAGGCTTTTGGGGATCAATGGCCTAGACCAGGGACAGCAGAGTCCAACTTTGGCTCTTTCCGTGTAGCAAGGGCAGACCAGCAAGTCACTGGCCTAACTGAATTTCACTCCATCCTGTACATTCTTTTTTTTTTTTTTTCAGATTACTTCAAATTTATTTTTCTTTTTCTTTTTTTTCTTTTTTTCACGTCTGGCTGTAACTTTATTTTTCTTGCCACATTACAATCTTTTCAGGGATTTTTAAAATTGGTGCTTTTAAGAAGCATATCCCAGGTTTTTATTATCTTCAGTGATGCCCTTACAGAAACTCTTAAATTTATTTGTGTGTATATATGTATTTTTTCATTTTTTTTTATTATTATACTTTAAGTTTTAGGGTACATGTGCACATTGTTAACTACAAACCTGGGGGCACTGTAGGACTAAGAACTTAGACTTGCTTTTTAGAAATTTGACCCCACATTCTTTGGGCCACAGAAAATGAGAACAACCCTAAATACTAAATTGTGCTTTTTTTTGGTCTTCAAGTTCCCATTTTCCCTTGAATTTTTCTATTTTTTTAGGGCAAAATCACTACCCCAAATAATATTATTTTATATGAAAATAAATTTATGCTTTTGAATGGTCTGGCACATAAACATGCTATTGGAGTGATTAAAGCTAGGATAAAATGGATTTGAATCAATTTTTATAATAGTTTGGTTTTCAGATTACCCAGTTTCATGTTCTGATTCCATTAGTTACTATGTTTGATTATGGAAAAAGTTATCTAGCTTTTCTGAGTCTTATTTTCTTCGTCTTTAAAATGGGAGAAAATAATGGCGATTTGATGGAGTTGTTTTGAAAAGCCATTGATATGGTCTGTACATGCTTGGCATGGAGCTTAGTAGAGTTAAATATCATGGCATATGCCCCTTGACTATTTGAGTTTACAAGGACAAGGAAAATTAGCTGGATTCAGTAACTTAATGCATTACAATTACAAATTAGTTAAGCAAAAATGACCTGTTTCTTCTAGCCTACAAATATAGGTATTCGGAAGGCACATCTGTAGCTCATAATAACTGCTATTTACTGAGTACCTAATACATTTGTGGAAACCAATGTAATACATTTTTTCAAAGATATACATTACCTAAATGAATCCTTCTAGTCACCTATTTTTATTTTATAAATGATGAAACCAAGGCTCATAGACAGTAAGGACTTAGTCTATGATCAAACAGAGTTAACAGAGCAAGAATTTAAAAGCAACGTCTCACTTAGCCACCGTGTTGCACTGTCAACCCATCAGAGAAGCTAAAATATAGTCTGGGATTGTACCACAGGACCACTCAAAATATAGAATCATAAATTATAAATATTATATGAATATTTCAAAGTATGCCTACTGTTTTTAAAACCTTTTAACCAGTTCATTTGTCCCAAGCCAGAGCCTTTGAAAACCTTTGAGTCATGGAGGCTTGCAAGTCTTCATTTGGACCATTGCATTAGTAAGAATATGGCTAAATTTCTTCTTTAAGCTTTTCTTATATTTTTATGTTCATGCTAATTACACCATGTACAAAGGAGTTTCACATATGTTTACAAAACAAACCCTTACTACACTTTTGTAATTACAAAGTCTGCCACTAAATTACTGTTTCATGTGTTTGTGTTTCAATTATTAACTGTGGCGGCATATAACTAAAGCTGAAAACATGTCATTTCTGTGATAATAAGTGAACGCAATTAGCAGCATATCTATTCCACACACAAAATATATTCATTTGCATTCTGTCTCCTTGTATTATTTAACTGCATTTAGGCCAAGTCATGTCATTTCTCTGTTACCTTTTTTTTTCAATCTAGAAGAACTCTGTCTGATTATATAAGTGCTTTTATGATGTCTAAATAAACAGAATTGGGTGAAGTGAAGATCAACAGACACATACCTCACTCACTCATTTGTTTATTTTCTGAATATTCTCCTAAAGCTCTCAATTCTTCCAATTTGTGGTGATTATTTTTAAACTGATGAGCTGGACAAACAATAAAACTTTGCAAGTTCTATAGTTTTATCAATCTCTTTTCCTGGGTGGGGAGCCAAGTCTCTTTATTACTTTCCAGCCATAGGCAAGTAGAAAAGTAGCTCTATTGTCAGTGTTGCATTCACATTATATTAGCCAAAACTCTGGGTGGTATGTAACAGAAACCCAACTCAAAATTGTTTTGGCAAAAACATGAATTAATACAGAGAATTTGGGATCTCACATAGAACTCAAATCTAAGAATGTAGCTGAACCTAATAAATGAATCGAGGTCAGGGACTCAAAAGTCATCAATTCTGGTTCTCTCTCTGTTGTCTTAGTGTCTGCTTCTTTCTTCTCTTCTTTCCACACTCTGCTTTATCAGCCATTCAGCTATGGCCATGGGTGGAGTCATCTGTTTATACTTGGCTGCTCCTTCTGCAATCTTGTGGATTAATTGCACATTTGTGATGATGAGGAAAAAATTCTTAGGAATAGGAGTGTTGGTCAGGCAATTCAATCCAGCAGTCACACATGTACACAAGTGAGCACACACAAATCAATGGCATGTTTGGATGACCAGAAACCATTTCCAACACCATCGCCTGCTTAATATTGGTCATGTTCTCAGACTACATGAAAATCAAACATGCTATAGTGTAGGAAAGGGCAATGGTTTCACTAAATGCAGTGAAATAATGACAATAGTTGCCATTATTGAGCTATTACCTTTGAGTAAGTCACAGTGTTAGAAGCTTTAAAAGCATAATCAAATTTAATTTTCACAATACTATAAAGAGGAAAATATTATTATCCCTATAGAATAATATTATAATGATGAGCTCCAATACTAGCATTATTATTACATGATGAAGCAAAGGCATAGAAAGAGCAAGAGCCATCTCAAAACTGCTCAGCCATGTGAAGTGGCAAAGCTGGATTCATTCTGCAGGCTCTGGGACTACAGAACCCATGTGGTTAACCACTAACCAGTTTATAATTGCATTCAATTTTCATTGTTGTGTCTTCTGTTCAAGATCTCAAAGTCAATTCCTAGAAACTAAGCACCCAGAGCATTCCACTGTGTGATGTTTTGATGGATTGAGATAAACTGATAAGTGATAAAATGATATTAATTATAAGAGAGTTGTAATTGTAGCAGAAATTGTCTGAAAATGGCTCTGTAACACTTGTATCTTAGTCCAGGTCCACTGGTTTTTGTCTGCCTAACCAGTTGTCCTTTCCGTTGTCCACTTGTTTGCCTTGTACACATTTTTTTCTACTCTTGTTCCTTAGAATAGGATTCTGTCCTATTCTGTTACCCTGCTTTTTTCCTTTACTTTAAACTTGGAAGGCAATCCTACCCTCAAAAAAGAGAAGAGATCCTAAACCAAACTCTGTTCACCCAAAACAGATGTAAAGGATACTTTATAACACCTATGTACATGCCATTCCAAAATGAAAAAATATTGACATTTAGTCATCTTTGATTCAGCACATCTTTAGAAAATATTAATAAAACACTACAGATATATTCATCAACAATATTTTTGTTTTGTACGTATTTTTAAATTTACATAATTTGTATTATACCACACATAATACTGTGCTGTTTGCTTTTTTTAATGAGATCTTATGCATTTGAGATCTGAATTGATTAATATCATGTATTCCCAGTAGCTGGGACTATAGGCATGCTTCCACCACGTCAGGCTAATTTTTGTTTTTGTAGAGACAGGGTCTTGCTACATTGCCCAGGCTGGTCTCAAACTCCTGGCCTCAAGCAAGTCTCCTGCCTTGGCCTCCCAAAGTGCTAGAATTACAGATATGAGCCACTGCACCGTGCTCAATATTTTCTCCTAATAGTTTTAGTTATATTTTTCACATTAAGATCTTTTTATACATTTAGACTTCATTTTTGTTTTATTTGTTTATAGTGTGTGTCGCAGATGCTGCTGACATTGTCTACACCTACCTAAGCTCTCCTGCAGCTTAAGAGAATTTCTGCAAGCTGACTATCCCCTTAAAAGTATTTGCATCTCTCTTCTGTGCATGGGAGGCTTCTCTGACACAAGACAGGTATCAAGATCCTGGACAGGTGTTGGGGGAGTTGATGCCCTGGGGCAACCTTCAAAAATGAGATCTATAGTGGTTCTAGGCATTTCAGGAGCCACGGCTTAAGGTGCAGACATGGCCAAGTCCAAGAATCACACCACACACAATCAGTCTCGAAAATGGCCCAGAAATGGCATCAAGAAACCCTGACCACAAAGATACGAATCTCTTAAGGAGGTGGACCCCAAGTTCCTGAGAATCATGTGCTTTGCCAAGAAGCACACCAAGAAGGGCCTAAAGAAGATGCAGGCCAACAATGCCAAGGCCATGAGTGCACTTGCCAAGGCTATCAAGGCCCTTGTAAAGCCCAAGGAGGTTAAGCCCAAGATCCCAAAGAGTGTCAGCTGCAAGTTCGATTGACTTGCCTATATTGCCCACCCCAAGCTTGGGAAGCATGCTTATGCCCACATTGCCAAGGGGCTCAGTCTGTGCCAGCCAAAGGCCAAGGATCAAACCAAGGCCCAGGCTGCAGCTCCAGCTACAGTTCCAGCTCAGGCTCCCAAAGGTGCCCAGTCCCCTATAAAAGCTTCAGAGTAGAGATCTCTGTCTGCCAACGTGAGGACAGAAGGACTGGTGTGACCCCCTTGGGCTGCCGTCTGCATAGGGCTGGTGTCCTCCTATGCTATTTGTACAAATAAAACTGAGGAGGGAAAAAAAATGGAATCCATAGATAAATGTTAGTTTCCCATCTTCTGGGGGACAATCTTAAGGAGTATATGCCACATGTTTTCTCCAAATTCACAGTGAGGATTAAGCTCCAATTTTCATTAACAGCAATCTGTTCATTAACACACCTTTTGTTAACTTTACTCTTCTCACTTTCTCCCGCTTCCTCACTTGAGCCACCAAAGATTGCCTCCAAGTAAACTGCTTGCACCCAAGTCTTCATCTCAGGGTCTGCCAAGCTAAGACACTGTGTGAGACTTTCTACTTTTATTTTTGGAAAGCCATTTTTCTCAATGCCATATATGGAGAAAATCCACTCTTTCTGCACAGATTTGAAGAAGATAATCTCTTATGAGCTTGGTTCCATTTTCCACCTCTCTATTCTACTATTCCATTCATATATTTCCACCAGTACTGCACTGTTTTAATATTCTGCCTTCAATACATGTTTCTTATCCTGCTATGCGAGTTTTTACCCCACTTTTCCTTAGAGAATATCTTACCTGTTTTAGTCCTTTATGCTTTCCAAATCAATTTTAGAATCACTTTGTCATGTTCCATAAAAGATTCCAACAGGATTTACACTGGAATTTTATGGAATTTATATATTGATGTTAAGATCATTTGTCCTTATAAAACTGAATCTTCCTGTACATGACAAATAAACATGCCACATCCCTTCATTTAATGAGAAATTCAATTAAGTCTTTCTGGAATTTTTTTTTAAATTTCTCTATAAAGACTTTGAACACCTGTTACGAAATGTATTATTGGTTTACAGTATTTATTCTCTATAATCAATGTTATTTTTTGTTCTATTATATTTTCTAAGTAGTTAATGCTGCTTCCACTGCTGCATGCTCATCATTAATCCTTGCCATTAATGGCAAGTATTAATTTAGCCTTAGCTCTGTGCCAAGCACTATAGTAATTGTTGAGGATACAGTAGTAAGCAAGACAGTTGGTCTTGCTCTCTAGGAGCTTCCAGTCCAATGGGGTAAGATGTCTCTTATTAGTGAGTACTCACAAATGCTCCAAAAAATGATAGTATACTAGGAAAGAACATGACTTGGAGCAATAAGATTCAGGAAAGGCATCTCTGAGCAGAAACATGAATATGATGAGGAAGAAAGTTACTCAGTATCTTGAGGGAAAATCCTTCCTAGCAGAGGAAATAGCAAATGTTGAGGCCCTACAACAGACAAATTCTCAGTATACTAATATTTTATCCAAAAATCTCAATGAACTATCTTAATTATTCTCATTAATTAATTAGAATTTCTATTGCATTTCTACACAATTCTGCTATCTAAAAATAATAAAGGAGTATTACTTCCTTACCAATCTCTATAATATTTATTTCTTTTTCTTATTTTATGAGATTGACTGAAAAGTCCAGTACAATGTTAAGGAAAGAGAGATAGTAAATAACTTTAATAAGAATATGTCTAAATGCTTAAAATATCTTTAGTAAAAAAAACCATTTATAAGGTTAAAGAAGCTCTTTTTCTTATCATCTTACTATTTTTTAAATTGGTAATAAGTAGTACATTTTTCTGCAGGACTTTTAATAAAAATTAGCAGTCACCTTGGCCACTCCTCTCAACTCTGATTCCTATCCTAAGATGCACCAATTTTAACCTTTTCCCTCTTGTTTTTAGAATTTCCTCCACATTTTTGAATAATACATTACTATGGTTATTTCTTTGTTTTTTTAGTTGTAGACATTGTTTTAGAGTTCCTGCTAGAGGAGCTTAGGATTTAGTTCTGTTTTTAGCACTCCATTCACACTTCTTTTACCCCCTTCTTCTGATGACAGATATATCAAAATTTTTGTTAATAAAATATTCAGTGTTTTTATGATATGTGGATACAGATATCTAGATATACATTTCACAGCCAAGTCATATAGTATACTATGTGTACATTTCTCATGTGACATTTTGTTTCTTTCCTTCCTTGTTTCTGTGGAGCACATCCTTCAGTAGCTTCCTGAAAAAGGATGCCAGTGGGAGGCAATACATATTTTAGATCTTTATTAAGTGTAAAAGTCTTTATTTCTACCCTCATACTTGATTGGGAATATGATTGGAAAGAGAATTCTGTAATCAAATTGCTTTTCCTCAGAATTATGAGGGTTATTTTTGCATTGTCCTCTAGTTGCCAGTGTTGCTGTTAAAATGTCTGATGTCATTCTAATTTTTAACACATTTTGTATGATTTTTTTCTCACTAGAAACAAATGTTAAGTTCTTATCACTAGAAACTTTTAAGATCTCCTTATCCTTAGTGTCTTGAAATTCCATGATAATGTTGCTCGAAGTCTGTGTATGTGTGTGTTTGTTCTCATATTCATTGTGATAGGCACTCAGTAGGGCTTTTCATTTTGAAGACTCATACCCTTCAGTTATGGGAATTTTTTTTGTCTCTAGTCTTTGACAATTTTCTCCTTCCTGTTTCTCTGTTCTTTCTTTCTGAACTCTTAGTATTCACATACTCATTTAAACATCTTTTCTTTTTTAATCTCTTGGGATTTTTGCTTTGCTTTCTGGGAGATTTCTCCAACTTTATTTATTTATTTTTTATTTTTCTGAGAGAGGGAGTCTCACTCTATTGCCCAGGCTGGAGTGCAGTGGCATGATCTCGGCTCACTGCAACCTCCGCCTCCCAGATTCAAGCAATTCTCCTGCCCCAGCCTCCTGAGTAGCTGGGATTACAGGTGTGCACCACCACACCAACTAATTTTTTGTATCTTTAGTAGAGATGGGGTTTCGCCATGTTGGCCAGGCTGGTCTCGAACTCCGGACCTTGTAATCTGCCCGCCTTGGCCTCCCAAAAGTGCTGGGATTACAAGCGTGTGCCACTGCGCCCGGCCCCAACTTTATATTTTTATTGCCCAATCCTTCTATTAACCTTTTTATTTCTGACACCATTAAAATTTTTTTCCAAGACCTCTTTCAGAATTTGAGTGTTTCTTTTTTTCAGACTTCCTATTCTCATTTCAAGAATGCAATATCTTCCCTTTTCTTTGAGACTATTAAATTATTTCTTTAGAAGTTTTTTCTGCTTCTTTTGTCTTTGTTTCCTCCATTTTTCTTTTTCCTTATGTATTTGCTTTGTTTCTGTCTCGAAGGTTTAGAGATCCGTCAGTGCCTGGTCATGTTAAAGTGTGAAGCACAAAGGAGCTAACCAGAAATGGGGATGTTGGGTTCCTCATAAAGTGAGCTCATTGTAAAGTGACAAGACAGTTATTGTTAGGTCTATGCTCTTGGGCAGGTTGCTTTTCTCAAAAATGCACCCACTAAGGGTCTGCCTGATGAATATAAGCAAGTCTGCTGGTCCAGGGCCAAAGGGAGGAGAGGCTGGAGTTCTCACACATCAGGATGTAAATGCTCACTTAGCCATCTTGTTTTCATGACCACTCCCTCAGCTCTAGTGTTTCTGCCCAAGCTCCCTCTGGTTTAAGAGAGTGAGTCTTCAGGCATTTGCCTCTGACTGGTCTGATAGTGACCCTGCTCTGTTGGGTGGATGAGGGTATCTAGCACTCTAATTTCTTCAAATGCAAATTTTCAACTAATCTTTCTGTCAGTCCCACCTACATCTTCCTGAAATATATGTCTCTAAGTCCTGTGTTTTTCAGAGCTCAAAGGCATAAACTGGATTATTTCTTGACTCCCCACCCTCCACTTTGCTTCTCCACAAATGCAGACTTAACTTCTAAGAGAAAGCGAGTTTGTTTCCCAGCTTCAAACATTTTGTAGACATTTCTCATCATTTTTCTGATTCCTTTCTCCTTGAGGATTTTACCCTTCTGATAACTTTGTCATCATTTAAATGGGGTTTCAAAAAGGAGTTAAATGCATGGAAGCAAGAATAGTTTGTAAACGTCAGGGTAATGCTGAAAAAGTTGCTAACAAATTAATTCCTGCTAGTCAGTTGTAAAAAATCTGAATATATAATAATATTAAATGTAATTACTGATATTCTTGTTATTGGGGTTATTGTTAGGGTCAGTTGGAACAAACTGAGTCTGTGAAAGGTCACAGATCCTTAATGATACTCATACAAGACAGAATATAAAGTGTAAAATGTTAGATGGTTGTAATTCAAATAGGGATATAATAGTATATATTTGATTTTTATAGTTTTTTTTTTTTTTTTTTTTTTGAGACAGAGTCTCACTCTGTTGCCCAGGCTGGAGTACAGTGGCATGATCTCAGCTCAGTGAAAGCTCCGCCTCCCAGGTTCACGCCATTCTCCTGCCTCAGCCTTCCAAGTAGCTGGGAGTACAGGTGCCCACCACCACACCCAGACAATTTTTTGCATTTTTAGTAGGGACAGGCTTTCACCACGTCAGCCGGGATGGTCTGGATCTCCTGACCTCATGATCGGCCCGCCTCAGCCTCCCAAAGTGCTGGGATTATAGGCGTGAGCCACCGCACCCAGCCGATTTTTATAGTTTTTAATAATGAGAATACGGTTTATATATGGATGTATTTGTTTCTAAATTATGAATATGTAATTGTTCCTTTTGGAAAAAGAATAAGGAAACAAACATGGGACTTTGAATAAGCTAAATAGTTGTAGAACAAGTGGGAGAAAAGATAAATAAAAAGACTATAAATATGTAGTTTAAAAAGACTTCTAGAAACATAAAATTCAAAGATTATAAATCATAGTCAAAACTACACACAGAAGTTGGTATTCTGACATGAAAGAGAGTGGGAGTGGTCTCTAGGTGAGTACCTCTCATGTATTGCTCCTCTAGTATCAGCCCAGATTACAAGCCCATTGATTCAAGATCTTTCCTTTGCTAAAACGATATAAACCTTATTACACAGAGTAATATAACACATTATAAACTAAGCATTTAGATTCTTTAAATAATTACAAGTCCTGAATCATAAGAGAAGATAGGCAATTTCCTAGCTAGCGTAACAAAAAGAAAGCAAAGAGTTTTCTCATGTGCATGGCATATATTACAATGACCACGGAAAACATGTCTAAATTTATATAATGTGAACGTTAATCAGGTAAAAAATTATAAGAATCAGAACTTGGTACTCAATTATATCATTCTTTTCCTTTTCAGTGTTTGGAGTTTATTTTGATTTTGATGTAAGTTGGTCTTAATTGAGGAATTCTCAGTTTTTCTGCTGCTGGTATTTGTGTTTCCTTGCCTGAGGAAATGGATGATAAGGAGTCCAGGGAAGTCATGTTGTGATAATTTGGATAAGTTATCTTTCCCAAACTGAAGTCTATTCTACTACATTATGAGTCTAAGAGTCATGAAGTTGGGTGTTTCCTGGAAGTTTGAGATTTTGCATGTTCATTTGTCTGTGTAGCATCCAGTAATAAAGGTCAGGTTTGCAAATATTATGAATTTTCTGGTCCAAGTACTCATCTGATATTTGAATTTTCCCTGCAGCATTTCTACCAAGTGGCAAACTATCAATCTCTGTAATGATCTTTCCAATTGTCTTGATTTCTTGTTCTTCTATGGAATCTCCCGTTGTTTCTAGTTTTATCCTTTGTTCCATTACCCCTGCCTATAATGCTTTTTTTTCCCCACCTTTACAAGACACAATCTTGCTGATTTTTAAAAATCAGATTTTATCTCTTATATAAGTATTCTTTTGTTATTAAAAATAATCTTAAAAATTCCTTCTCTAGGAAAAATCAGTTGCCCTCTTCATTATATTATTATAGACATTGTTCCAAGCACCACTATAGAAGTTATCACATTAGACATGGTTAATTGTATAAACATTTATTTCTCTGCTAAATTTTAAGCTACTTTAGATGTCATATCACTGTCACCTTGCACTTCCTAGTACAATATCTTGAATAAATCATAAGTATAAACAAAATACACTGAAGTTAATTTATTTGAAAATATTCCCAGTTCAGTAGCCATTTTTATGGTGATGGGCTTGTCAGAGAAGAGTAGCATAAAAGACAAGACAAAACAAGCAGGATTTCATATTCTTGCCATAAAGAGGTCTGCAGAATTTTTTAGATTTCTGTATATAATGATTTGTCCATTATGAAAGGAGAAAAATCAAGCTATCCCCAGCTATAGCTAATGCCCTTGAGCAGCCCCAAACCAACATCTCAATCCAATTTAAGGGTTTGCCCAAAGGAGTAATGAGAACAGCATTTATTCTGAACAGACTATATGATAAGCAGTTGGAGAGTTTTTGAGTTTCTTCTAATATCAGCAGAAGAATTCCAAACTGGTGTATGCTGGTAACTACCAAGTCAAGCCAGTGACCAGATCTATGATCATTTGGCAAATGTTGGGTCTTCACAGGTTATGGAAGTGATTTCCTCCAGTGATTAGTAGTTGTCTATTTCTTTTTTTTTTTTTTTGAGACGGAGTCTCGCCTTGTCGCCCAGGCTGGAGTGCAGTGGCGCCATCTCAGCTCACTGCAAGCTCCGCCTCCTGAGTTCACATCATTCTCCTGCCTCAGCCTCCTGAGTAGCTGGGACTACAGGCGCCCGCCACCACGCCCGGCTAATTTTTTTTGTATTTTTAGTAGAGACAGGATTTCACTGTGTTAGCCAGGATGGTCTCGATCTCCTGACCTCGTGATCCACCCACCTCGGCCTCCCAAAGTGCTGGGATTACAGGCATGAGCCACTGCGCCCAGCCAGTAGTTGTCTATTTCTAAAGCGGTTTTGTTGTAAAGAAAATAATTAAACTATTATTACTAGAGGTGACACAGATTTTATTGTAGTTAAGAGTGTAGTTTGGAGTTTAGGGCTAAAGAGACATTACTTAGTTCTTTGATCTGCAGAGATCACACAGAAGGACCTTAGATAAGTAAAATAGCTTATCTTTGTTTTCCTTTTCTCATCTGAAAAATGGAGATATTTATCTCCAACTGATGTTCTCTAGATTATATAGCATATTTAAAGCACTTAGCTAAATGCCTGGTACCTAGTAAATACTCAAAACCTGTCAGCTCTCGTTATCATCACCGTCATCATCATTATCACTATTATTAACAAGAAACTCAGTGCTTTATTATGGGTCTATAAAACAAAAGACATACTAACAAATTAGTGTTAATAAGTGTCAGATGAAAACTAAATAAATATTCGGGGTGCATAGGGACTGGGAGAAAATTTCTTCCTGACATTTTTTCCTCCTTCTGTTTGTCAGTCAAGAGTATTGGGTACAGTAAGAAAATAACAAAGCTTTAAAAATAACTTTATAAATTCCTCCTTGTGCATGTGTCCATCTTTGTATGCTGTTTCCTTTAGATTGCAAGGACCTTTAGGCCAGAGACTGAATTTAACCTAGTGTTTAATATGGGCATTTATTTATTCAGTCTTAAAACTTCACTCTTGAATAAGCTGCCTTGGAGCTAAGGAGATCAGGCATCCCATTTTTTGAGGGATTATTTTATTTTTTAGTACATTTGGTGGGTGGCCTGTGAAATCCTAAAGCACGGCAATTTCTCCTCCCCACTTTTTTTTCATATTGCAAATATGCTTACTCTAGTGTAGTAGGATTGTCATTCCTGGGTTCAGGCAGTGGCTCTGCAGTCAATACTTCTTTAACATTATATAGCACAACTCTGCCCAGACTCTCTAACTTTACAAGTTCTAGAATTGGTGAATGAATGAGCATTAAGCATTTTCTTTCGACTAGGCCCAGACTACACATTTTGAAATATATTATTTCAGTTAATCATCAAACAACCCCAAATATACATATTATAACTCCCATTTTACAGATGAGAAAATAGGCTAAGAGAAGTTAAGTGATTTACCTAAGGATATTCCAGGTGGAGGACAACAAGTTGAGAGGCAAATTTGGAATTGTTGGAGCATAGAGTGCTGGGAAGAAGGCAGGTGGAGGAGGTTCAGCAAAATAGATCTGGAAAGACAAGCAAGGGCTGTAATAGGAAACACTTTTTCACCATGCTAAAGGATTTGACTTTTATCATGGAGATTAGAGGCTTTCAAAGTTAAGATTCATTGACATCATCTGGTATGACTATTAAAAATGCAAATTATTGCTCTAATCCACCACTCTGGTTCAGTAAGTCTGAAGTGGAGACTAGAATCTGTATTTTAATAAGCAGACCAAGTTATTCTGTTGGTTTGCAGTCTGTGGCCAATGGGGAGCTTTAGAAGGATATTTTACAAGTGAATTTCATCATTCTTGGGGAATGAGGAGGATAGATAATGAGGATACTAAATTAGAGGCAAGAAACCACTTAGATCACTGGTTCTCAAACTTGTCTGTATATAGGAATCACCTAGAAAGCTTTAAAAAATACTCATGCCCAGGTTCCACTCTCAGAAATTAGAATTTAATCAGTCTGTGGTACCGCCTTGGCATTGTAAATTTCCCATAATAATTTTTATATGCAGCAACTTTTGAGAGCCACAGTTTAGGAGATTATTGCAATAGGAAACATTGCTGCCCTGAATTAATGCAATTGTCAGTCCATTAACATTTCTGGGTAGATTAGAAAGTAGAAGTTATTTCTCCAAATGACTCTTAGTAGCCTTGTGCCATGGCCTTGGGCTGATTTACTGACTGATTCTCCACTGCTGCTGAACACCTGCTTGGTGCATTGCCTAATACAGCAACCTAGAAATGTTAGGGAGGTAACAGAGATGTGAATAAAGCTAGAGAGGAGGAGAGAGAGACTGGTTCCTAGCAATGTGGTTTCAGTCTTACCACTGTCTACTTGAAGTCCCTACTTTGGTCCCCTCTGGTCTGGTTATGCCCTGGTTGGGAGAGTTGATTAGCTTGACAAATATAGCTGAATGGTAGTGGCTACTTGGGATGTTGTGTTGAGAATTATTTTGAGGTCAGGTCAGGAGTCAACAAGAAAAAGACCCCAGTTAAATAAAACTTTCTGCCCGGGGATCTGAAGGGGGTTATAGGAGCCTCAGGTCAGATATTTGTTATCCTGAGCAAGATGTTAATTATGAAAACATTCTCAGCCTAGACTTTATATGCAATTGCTTAAAGTCCAATTCCAAAAACAAAGAAAAAATTCCCTGCCTTGACCTACCATGCACTGCTCAGAAGCAGATTTCTTGTACATAATGTTGTTATTTATTTTTTGTCTCCAACTGCTGTTCTACAAATCTCCCATTTTGTAGTAATTTGGATGAGAATATTCTGTATGGCTTCCTTTGCTTGTTCTTTCCAGGGAACATATCCTGTTGTAATAGAAGAGGCTATGTGCACGTTCATTCTCTTAAGAAGGAAAATACTGTCCTCTGATATAAGTGAAACCTAAGAGACTCCCTCATGATTTTCTTTTATGGTTGCAACTATCTTTCACTGTAGGTTGCTTTCTGGAATTTTCTAACCCTAGGATTCCCTACGCTTAGTTGCTGGCTTATGCTATTTCAAACATACTTTTGGGGGGTGAATGTGCATTTCCTGCAAAAGATATAAGACAAAGAAATGGCGTTAGTTAAAAAAAAATCTTGTTTAGCAATATAAGTCTCAATAAAACAGTGAAGAAAATAGAAAAATAACTGTGTCAATATTATCTTACATTGGATAGTAATAATTCCATTTTACAGATGATAAAATTGAGACTCAGAAAAGAGAAAAGGAATGGGATTAATATTTCATGATCGGCAGGTCTGGCAATCAGCTAAGTGTTTAATATACGTATTTCGTTTATTCACAAAAGCTATGTGAATTAGGTATTATCATGTGCTCTGGTCTGAAAGTTCCTCAAAATTTGTATGTTGAAACTTATCCCCATTATAGTAGTGTTAAGATGTGGGGCCTTTTAGGAAGCAATTAAATCATGAGGACTCCATCCTCATGAATAGATAACTGCCTTATAAAAGGCTTGGAGGGAACTAGCTTAGTCCTTTTCTGCTCTTCCATTCCTTCCACCATGTGAAGACATGGCTTCCTTTCTCCAGAGGATGCAGCAACGAGGCACTATCATGGAAGTCGAAACTGGGTCTTCACCACATACCAAACCTGCTGGTGCCTTCCTTGATCTTGGACTTCTCAGCCTCCAGACCTGTAAGGAAATAAATTCTTTTTTTAAATAAATTACCCAGTCTGTGTTATTTTGTTATAGCAGCACAAATAGATAAAACATCATCCCTATCTCATGGATGAGGAAACTGAACATCAGAAAGTTAAAATACATTGTTCAAGGTCAAACAGCTAGAAGTAGTGAAAATACCACTTAAATTTTGCTTTGATTTACTCCATAGCTCCTAAGACCTGGGAGATCCATGACCTTCCAACTTCCAGTCCAGCGTTTTTGCTTTGTCACCATCATAAGTTGCTGCTATTATCCTTCAAGTATCAGAATAGACTTAGCCTGCATCAAATTTGAACCTAAGGTTAAGAAAGTGTTGTCTCTAGAGTTTTAGAGCATGTTCTTTCTACAGATTTTAAGCTGAGAGCTCCAGTTCTTGGGCTATACTTAACCTAAGATGTGAGAATAGTAAACCTGTGTAGAGCATTGTGTTAGTCAATTCTGCTATTGCTATAAAGAAATTCTTGAGACTGGGTAGTTTGTAAAGAAAAGATGTTTAATTGGCTCATGGTTCTGCAGGCTGTGCAGGCAGCATGATGCTGGCATCTACTCAGCTTCTGGGGAGACTTCAGGAATCTTACAATTCTGGTGGAGGGAGAAGGGGGAGCAAGTACTTCACATGGCTGGAGGAGGAGAAAGAGAGAGTAGGGAGGTGCTACACACTTTTAAACAGCCAGATGTCGTAAGAACTCTATCACAAGAACAGCACCAACGGGGATGGTGCTAAACTATTCAAGAGAATCTGCCCCCATGATCCCCTCACCTCCCACCAGGCCCCACCTCCAACATCAGGGATTACAATTCGACATGAGATTTGGTTGGGGACACAGATCCAAACCATATCAAGCACTTACTATGTGCCTGACACTCTTCTAAAGTACCTTACACATATTAACTCATTTGATTTCCCTAACAGCTACTGGAGTAGGTGCTATCCTCAGTCACATGGTACAGCGCAAGAAGCCGGAGCGCATAGCCAGAGCCCAAGCCCCTGTTTCTAGCTACTTCTCCATGCTGCTCACATGTATGACTTCCTTCGTCTCTCCTTCCCTCCAGCCTAACAAATGCTGCCCAGCAGACTGACCTTCAGATTACAGCTACTCACTGCTCACTCCGTTTTCTGACTGTGCTTATCTTACATAAAATCCCTCCTGGGATTTCTAAAATAATTCTTTTCTTTCTTTTTAAAAGAACAGTGCCATGGTACAGATCTTGGGGTCATGCTGGCTGGAGTCTTCCACCTTCCATCATTGCTTGAATTGCATGTTACCCTGTATCTGCTTTAGACTTACCTATTTTGCTTTCTCTGCTTTGGGTTTGGTTTTTCTTCAGGAATAGAATCTATAATCTCCAAAGAATAATTTACTTCACATTATTTTATGTTTCTGAGAATGTTTTTAATGGTAGATATTTTAATGTTCTATTTTAAGGAAGTGACAGGCCCTTTAGCTAATCCGCTTGCAGTTAGATGTATTTGCTATCTGAGCCTCAGAAGATCAAGCTTTTTTTTTGAACTGACAATGGAAAGTATATTAATGTTTCTGGCAGTACAGGTGCTATATAAACTCAAGAGTTTATGCAGATTATTTTCTGAAACTGAAATTGATTATTTCCTATGAAGTTGATTATAGCTATTCAGATCATGAAAATAAAATGTCAGCGCCTTTATTATTTTAGTGAGTAGAATTGCTTTGCTTTTTGTGGTAAAATAGCAGTTTCATGATATAACTTTTAAAGTATACTTGATTCTTTTTTTTCCTAAATAGCCATTTTCAGAGGGATGATCTATGGCTTGTCAACCTACAGTATAGCTGATGTAAAAAGTTTGTGATGGCAACCCTAAATGTTTTATCACCTGTCAGAAATTTCAATGATAATAAAAAGTAACATCCTTTAAATTAATTAGACATGATTAGGACTTCAAGCCCAGAGGCCACATCATTATGCAAAAATTATAACAGTTAGCTCTTTAAATTACCATTAAATTGATTCTTATGTTAATTGATATCTCACTTATAACCCTAGATTTAATTTATATAAGATCTTCAGAAATAGTAAGGTATAATGATACATTATTTTGAAAAAATTCTTTTGAGGAAAAACACACTGAAAAATTGATTGTTATATTTGACTCTGGGTAGAATTTTTGTACTAGAATAAAGCTAATTTCTCATGAAATGGCATGGCTTACATTCATCTCTTGTGTTTGTGCATACCCCCACAAACACCAACAGAAGCTGCATGTGTGGTTCAATAGGGTAATTTTTTTCCCCAGTGAGCACTGTCTTATCTTCTCCTGTCTGACACGGGAAACAGGGTTTAATTTAACCATTTGAGACGCAGCATGTGCTGTGACACATTTTGGAAAAGAAGGGTAATGTGACTGTGCACAGAGTCGACTTTTGAAGATAGGAAGTGACATATATTTCAGAGAAGAACTGACACCCTGGGGTAGAATTAACAAGTAGAGTATCACCCACAGGGCTTGAATAAGCAGGTGCTGATGAAATACAGGTTTGAAGTTAAAATACTAGTTGCAAGCAACTTGGAATTAATTGTTCTTTAAGGACACATTGGGATGAACTCAGTTCAGGTACATAACCTCCTCATGCCTTTTTTCCCCCCGAGTGACTAGTTCTGAATCTGTGAGATGGCAAGACAAAATAAAATGTTGTTCTGGGCTCATTTAGAGCATCAAGTCTCTCCTAACTAAAATACCTTCATATTAGTATTTTGAAATTTCTTGCCATATTGCAGATTCCATGAGTGTAGGAAATATAGCTTATCAGTATTATATGGGCCTAACTCCTGGGGTTAGGTTTTCAATTGCTTAAGAATGCCCCAAGGAACCTCTGATTTGCTTTGTGGGTTTTAGCAATAATGATATTCAAATTGTAAAGTGCAATCACAGTATTACAAATGACAAGAAACTGTATTTGTAAGAATGGAATTAGGATTGAAACATCCAGGAAAAACTGTTGGAGATGGGACCTTTTCATAGTGCAGGCTAAACTCCCCCATAAATGGACGTATTTCCTCATCTTAATGGCTAAGATCTTCATTCATGTTTTAGTTGTTTCTGTTTTGTTTCTGTTGTCTTTATTTTCCACACCTTGTCACCACCCCGGGACTAAGCAGAGATGCAGCTAAGAGGCAAGAAAGGTCAGTACCCACGAATACATAATAGGAAACAAGCATGGTCTGAGATAGGAGACACAGATGATGCTGGTACAGGAGCTCGTGAAGAGGGGATATAATATTATCTAAAATGTCCAGAAGTTATAATGCAAGGAAGGTGCTGAGATGGTGTGTCGGTTCCTAACTGCCTGGAAGAATATTTCCATCACTGCAGAAAGTTCTATTGAGCGGTAGTGCTGTCTAACACCTGTTGAGCAGTGCTGCCTACTTAGAGGTGTGAATTTTAGTTCTGGGGCTTCTGCTCCAAGCTGCTAAATTCTGATAACCTCAACCTCTTCCTAGTTGCTTTCTGAACTTGCTACCTCCATGATACCTTTGTTATTATTATTTTTTTGCCTTTTCAGTTTTTTAATACATAGGTAATGATTCTTTGTATTAAATTCTCTATTAAAATTGGAGCCAGCTGCATAATTTGGAGACTAGTGTAAAAAGAAAATGCAGGTATTCTTGTTCAAAAAGCATAATAAAGGTGCCACAAACATACATAGTAAGATTTCTTTGGTCTTTCTCTCAATTTTTTTTTTTTTTTTTTTTTTGAGATGGAATCTCACTCTGTTGCCCAAGCTGGAGTGCAGTGGCGCGATCTTGGCTCACTGCAAGCTCCACCTCCCAGGTTCATGCCATTCTCCTGCCTCAGCCTCCCAAGTAGCTGGGACTACAGGCACCTGCCACCACACCTGGCTAATTTTTTGTATTTTTAGTAGAGACGGGGTTTCACCGTGTTAGCCAGGATGGTCTCGATCTCCTGACATCATGATCCACCTGCCTCAGCCTCCCAAAGTGCTGGGATTACAGGAGTGACTTTCTCTCAATTTTTGATGATGTTCTTTACTTGCTGTTTAATGCCAATCTAACTAAAACAGAATGTTAAGTTAAAAAATTAAATTTAAAACATTAGCATGAGTTTTACTGGTAGTCTTTACATTGTGCAATGCCAGTTTTAACTGTAAATATCAGAGCATTTACCTCATTTGTGGAATCTCTGACATCACACAATTTGGATTTTGTGGCTCATTCCTGGAAGATGTCTGCAGACGTTCAAGAGGGACAGACTTAAATGCAACTCATGAAGGCTGGAAGGAGGAAAAGAAGATACCTCCAGGCATACAGTTTGGCTAAGGGAGTGCTTTCAGGCATGGTGTTACTCACAAGAGCCTGGGACGTGCCCCATAATGCAGAGGGATAAGCCTGATGGCTTTGGGGTTCCCTATCTCATCGGCTACAGAATTAATGCCGTACGTATCAGCCAGAGATGGGATCTGGGGAAGTCAAGCCAGGTAACCTCCTTTGTTACGGGCCTGACACTGGACCCAGAGCAGTGAGGTAGCCCCCTAAAGATCTTTAAACCTCAGTACTGGGACACACTAGGTATTTAGATGGGTGTGGGTAAGAGGCTCACCCCATCCAGATAGGGCCTCTAGCCAGCCACCTACATCAAAGGCTGTGCTGCTGCCAGCCCAGGGAGGGCATGGCTGCTCCCAAGTCCTGCTCCATGCAGCTATGTAATACATGCACCCAACCCTAACCCTCCTGCTTCCACGCCCAGGCTCATGCTGGGGCT
Source organism: Homo sapiens (assembly GCF_000001405.40). Taxonomy (NCBI): domain Eukaryota; kingdom Metazoa; phylum Chordata; class Mammalia; order Primates; family Hominidae; genus Homo; species Homo sapiens. The sequence goes on from NC_000008.11 coordinate 105,026,505, forward strand.
GGAGGGTGGCAGTAGTCATTGGGCAGGGTTGTAGAGAGGGAGGCTAGTCAGGGTTTGGGCACCAGAGTGAGGAAGAACAGGTGGGCAAGAACCCAATCTTGGAAGGTGTCAAAGGGTGGGACCATGTGTGAGCTGAGGCTTAGAATGTACTCTTAAGTGCTTAGAATGTACTCTCTCATTCCATAGGACTTCACTTACAAAACACAAATTCAATCATAAAATTATTAAGAATTTCAATTGTAATGCAGTGACCATAGAGCATGAAACTCCATGTGTGGGATCCTCCTGAGCACAGGGTCCTGTGCAAGTACATTAATCACATGTATGTGAAGCTGGCCCTGATTAAAATGACTTATGTAGTCCTGTCTCCTGATGGGACCCTGACTGATATGGATGGGAAACCAGAAATTGGGTTAACTCTTGAAAATAAAGAGCCCAGAGCAGCAAAATTCTGCTCAATGTTTTCTCCTCCCCTGACAGTCCCATCTGCACATATATTAGTTGGCTTTTCAACACAGAATTATTTGGGGCCTCCTTTCACTGCTGACATTTCTCAGTTGACTCCAACGTTCATTGGCACATTCTTTTGTAAATGCAAATATTAGTAAGTTGATTTTCTTTAATTACTATTGTTTCATCTCTACTCCCCTCAACGTTTACCTTCTCCAGATGACTCGATTTTACCAAATTATCTCAAGAATAAACATTTCCATACAAAATTATTTCTATTTCTATTTCTATCTTTGATATACCTTTGTCTCTCACTTGTGAAATAGTGTTCTCATAAAGGAGGAGCATTTTAAGTGTTTCATCTTACTCCATGTAGAATGTTTAAGTTCTGAGACTCTACATATAAATTTCTAAGAGGCTCATGCTCCATGAAACTTTCATAAGGATTTCCAAATTCCTTGGGTAGCAAATATGCATACCTATGCTTTATGATCTGTTTCCTCTGCTATATTGACTTTGGTGTATTGCAGGAGCAATTTTCAAGCTAATATTCCTGTATAGGCTGCATGCTTGATCCTTTGGAGGTAAGAAGGGAACTGGCTTTCTTTCCTCCCACATATCTAATTGGAAGTGACCTGGAGTTTCCTTCTTTCCCTTGTACTTAGGGCACTCTTTGCAGGCTTGCTGGCTAGCTTCATGATCCCTCCTATACCAGTGCTTCCTAGTTTTTTTCACCTCTGACACTGAGTTCACTGGGGACAGAATTATAGGCCCAGTAAAAGTTTAATCTAGATTGAATTTAATATATGACATTTGTTGCAATACAAGAGAAAACAGAGGATGGAGCTAGGTTTGTTTTCTGTTCATTCAAACCCTGAGCCACATTTTTCTTCTTAGACAACATCTATCCATATTCGTAGAGTCAACCATTTACCAATAGATTTCTACATTTGAGTTCAAATGGGAAACAAAGTCAGCTAAGGAAAATTTAAAAATCCATGTCATTTGGCCAAATAAAGGAGAACTTTGGTATCTTCCAAGAAGCCCCAACTCACCCCAATTCACTAGTTGAAAAGCAGTTATTAGTAGGCTTAAGTGGCTGGGAAAATAACAGGAGAATTTTGCATATGAAGAAGTGAATTACTCTAAGGAGAGAGACTAGCAGAAGCTAAATAATTGTCCCTTTCACCTGAACATATGCCTGAACTAAAAAGAGAATCTGGGAAAAGACAGAGGCGGTTTCTACCTGAGGAATGTTTCTTCCCAAAACAGAGCCAAGAAAGAACCAACCATATTGACAAGGGCATTTTTGATTAAGATAAGTCATGTAAATATTGTACAGGTATCTGCAGAAAATGTTGCCTCTCAGTAGGGAAACAATCTGCTTTCCCAACACAAAATTGATCAAATGTGCATTTCTGGGATAGACAGGCTGCTGCAAAATTCACTACAGATAGTTGAGGTGTAAATGTAGAGAAAGTGATGCATCTGAGAGTTATGCCCCATGATGATCATGAGTACATGCCAAATAATATTAAGCACTTATCTGACGTCTGAATCTATTCTTTTCATTGCAAATGTACAATGAGTGACTTTTCAGGAATAAAATTGGAGGCTCATTCCATGCATTTTTTCGTCTTATAATAATAAATAAGCCATAGTTATTTTCTTCCAAATATATATGTAGCTTAAAGCTTTAATTGAGGAACATTTTTTTATAACTCATTTTCTATACTGATTTTCCCCTTATTTTATTCAGACACATTTTCATATTATATTATATCAAAGACTATTTAACGTAGAGTTTGGAATGATGGACTTAACAGTCTCTTGATATGCTTTTTATCCCAGAAATGTGACTATTTCATGCTATGGTCTAACTGTTTTTAGTGTAATATGCATTGTGTGCATATAATACAAATATATGCATATGAAAGTTTATGCATATACTGTTTATTCTAAAGGTAAAATATTTCAGCACTCTTACATCTTTGAGTCAGTAGACACTATAAATCAGCCACATCATATGAAACATCTGCTATAATTGGAGTGTTCTTTAAAATGTATATTTCTTCATTATGCTTAAATATCAGCCATCTTGGTATTCACCTTTCCATTATTTATGGCACTGGGATAAATATCAGATGGATTGGATTAGGACTCAGGTTAGATAGCATTTTAAATCAGTGCCTGTATCTATGATGCTACCTTTGCAAGATGCTTTGGGAGGTAGTTGATTTTTCAATTATATGACTACAGAGAAAAGCTACGAATATTTGTATTTGCTTTCCTTGTTTGTATTTTTTCAGCTTGTTAAACTGTGATCTGCTTTGTCTAGGTTATTTGAAAGCTCATCATCATCCAAAGAAATGTGGTTTGCAAATTAAAACAGTAACATCCGCAATTTCCCCTAGAGAGACTTGCTTCTACCCTGCCCGAGGCAGTATCACTGAGTAACAAATAGTTAGAAGGTTTCTCTCAGCTGCTACTGTGTTTATGAGTATTCAGCACTGGCAGGCAGGGACCTGTCCTCTGTAGATGCTAATACAAACTAATGTGAGCCATAGTCACAAATTTCTTTTGGAGAAATGGCATGGCTGTTATCACTACTAGAATGTTTGCCAAAGGCAAAAAGCAAACAGCAATAACAAAATCTTTCTGATCCCTCCACTGTCTGCTTCATTAAGTGATGCTCCAGACCTCAGCTAAATATATTCCCTCTCTGGCCCTAATATTGCAATGCTCATTTCTATCAAAGTAGAAACATTGGCCAAGTAAAGGCAGTTGAACCACAGCATAAGATTGAAAGCCAATTGTGTTTTTATTTAGCTTTGTTCTGTATTTTTGATTGTATGCTTGATGTGTGTGCTTAAGCAAATTTAAAATCTTGAAAAGTAATGCGTCATTCACAATCACTCTGATGACTCTTTGAGAACTCATAACTAGGACAGAGGGAAGAGGAGTACAAGGAAATCTGTGCATGTGTGCACACTTGAAATAACATGAAAAACTATCAACATCATTCTGAAATCACTCTTTATTGTGTATGTACGTTATTGCTTGTATTTATGTAATTATCTCCACTGCTATCTTTCATTATTTATAAAATAAACATTGGTGGTGCTATATGCCAGTTTGTATGATGATGCTAATATGAAAATATGAATTAGCCTCAAACATAAAGTATAAATAGACAACTATAGGGACAGAGTAAGAAGAAATCTGCTTAGTGGATTAAGTTTACAGAGAAAAGTTAGATTGAAGGCCAGTGTTCAAGGTAATGAGAAGATGGAAAAGTATTCCTGAAAGAGTGAGTGATATGAAAAAGATCCTGGCCACGGGAAGCTAATTCCAGAATTCGATCATATCTCAGAATGCCTGAAATGCAGGATGTATGGGAGACAGTGAAATTTGATTTTTCAAATGATTTCAATGACATATCAGAAGGAAAGGACAAGCAGTTGGTTCTGTGGCTTTTTCTCTAGCTTCAGGAATATGTGAGGGTTTGAGTCTCCTTGGCAATATTAATTCAAGAAGTTGTTAGCTGTTTACCTGTATTGGATTCAAGATGAATGAGAATCTGTCTAAGAGTTGTCAGATGAAACACACCTGTACATCATTGTCCAGATGTGTATTTAGTAATGAGTGGCTGGTATTGATAAGATGGGGCAACACTAGAGAACAAGTGCTAGTTATATACCTTGGGGAAGCCACATGGCTAGCTAGGTGTAAAAGCTGAAGAGATTTCTGATTATCTACACACAGTGAGCCTTGTCTATAGTGATCACACACAATTTGAATGCAAAGTGATCAAGATATTGGAAACTGTCTGGTAGTCACTAGGCCTCTTTTTCGGTGTTGTTTTGCATACAGCTGTTTCATTTCCTGACTTCTTTCTTAAAGCTGGATATATGCAGTTCCAGGTAAAACTAGTAATCTTGTAAATTAGATGTCAATCTGGACTCAAGACCAGTGCTGTTAGTAGAACAGAGTGGGAGTTGCAGATGATAGATAATATCTGCACATGCAATTATTATTTTTCATTATAAGTATTTCATTTCTCAGTATAAACATAAGAATTAAAATTAAAGTCACCAGTTAATCTAGAGATGAGTATTGTTAATATATCCTTGAGATTCAGATACATCTATATGTAATGATTATTAATTTCATACATTTACTCTTTTATATATTACTTTTCTCACACGTGCTTTTATATTGCTAAGGGTAAATATGCATCATTTTTAGTGGCTGCATAGAGTTCCATTGTGTGGCTCTTGCATTATTTATTTAACCAACCCCAATAAATACAACTGCTAATTTTTCACTATTAAATTCAATACCATCTTTATATATGTAAAAATTGCTTTTCTAAAAATTCTTATCAATCCCAAAAATAGTATATGCAAAGGTCATCTACCCGTTCTTCTGCCCACACTGAATTTACATTTAAGAAGACTCTTGCTGGCTTAATAGTTGGAAAATATCTTTTTGTTGGTATTTGTATTTTCTAAATACTCTTAATATAAAATGGAAAATTATAAAGACGAAGGTGAGTATCATCCAAAATTCTGTCACATAGAGATAACTATGTTAAAATCTTGGTGCTTACCTTCTGAACATTTTTCAATGCATACATGCATATGATTTTTCAAAAATAAATGGGACTGTACAATACATGCTATTTTCACTCCACAGTATATTTATAAATAATTTCTAATGACAAAATGATATTGTATTCTATGCATTTCACAATTTCCCTATTGTTAAACATTTATGTTGTCTCTTATCTTTCTGCTATTATATAATAATGCTGTGATGAACATCCTGACATACAGTGTTGGACACTTGTCCAATTATTTTCTTAATATCCTTGTCTAAAAAATTGCTGGGTAAGAGTATATTTTATATATGCATATATATATTCAAATTGTCTTTCATAAATACCAATTCCTGCCTTTATCAGCAGTGGATATAAATATTCATTTCTTCACACTCTAGCCAACACTGGATGTAATAATATTCTAAATCTATACCAATATAATAGGGAAAAGGTGTTTTAAATTGTACATTTTAGATTCAGTGAGATTATTCTTTAACATTTATTGACTATTATTATTTTCTCACTTGTAAATTGCTTTCTGATGACCTTTGTTCATTTTTCTAGTAGGTAGTTCATCTTTCTTTTGAAGAATTCTATAAATATTAGAGGATATTAACACTTTGCTATGATTGTTGCTCAACTTTTAATTTTAATTATGACCATTTTTCTGAGCTGAATTTTTAATACTTATTTAGAAAAGTCTACGAATCTTTTCTGATATGCTTTCTGCTGTAGAATTTTCCTCACTCTAAAGTTATTGAATTATTTTAATTTTTTCTTATAGTGTTTGATTTTAATCTAGAAGTCAGTCATTAATTCATTTAGCAATTTTTGTTTCTGAATTTCCCAGTGACATTATAACTCTTCTACCTCCTTCATTGATTTATTATTTTTCTCATACATTTATTACTTTATACATACATATATATTTATCTTTTCTGTCAATAGTGTTTAAAAATAAATTTTGGCTGGGCGTGGTGGCTCACGCCTGTAATCCCAGCACTTTGGGAGGCTGAGGCGGGCGGATCATGAGGTCAGGAGATCGAGACCATCCTGGCTAACACAGTGAAACCCCATCGATACTAAAAATATAAAAAATTAGCCGGGCGTGGTGGCGGGCACCTGTAGTCCCAGCTACTCGGGAGGTTGAGGCGGGAGAATGGTGTGAACCAGGGAGGCAGAGCTTGCAGTGAGCCGAGATAGCGCCACCGCACTCCAGCCTGGGCGAGAGAGCGAGACTCCGTCTCAAAATAAATAAATAAATAAAATTTTAATGGTAGATAGACCATGTCCTTATAATACTTAGTCTTCCATATAAATGTTGGAATATTGTTGCTTCATTCCAATTTTAAATTCATTGAGATTTTCAGAGGCCTTGCATAAAAATAACAGATTTATTGATAGTCTTCACGTTCATACTATCAAGCCTTCTCATCTAAAAAGTAATTACCAATGTAGTTAAGGGTTCTTTTATGAGTCTTATGAAATGCTTACATCTTTTAAAATATATTTTGTGTATTTGTTGTTAATTCTTATGCTTTTTAATGTATGGTATTACCAATGAAGTTTTATATACATACACATACATATATCCATATGTGTATATTTAAATTTATATTGAAAAATAACACGTATTTAAAAAGTACAAAAACATACTAATAAGTTACAAAAAATAACTAATCTTGTAACGTGTAAACCCACTTAACCATCACTAAAGTCAAGACATAGTATTTTTGATGTTCTAGAAATCTAGTAATGTGCTCCTTTCCTATCATGACCATCTTTCTCCTCTCAGAGACAATCAGTAACTTTACTTTTATGATAGCACCTTGCCTTTATAATTCTATCAAGTATGTGTACATTTCTAAATAATATGGTTTTGTTTTGCTTAATATTTAACTAAAATGAATGACCGTTATATTTTCTATCCAAACTTGTGTAATTTATTACCTTCATACTTTAGCTGATATTATTTTCAATATTTTAGCTGATTTTCCCTTTGTTAAAGAAACAATTTACCAGCTGGGGCAATACAGCAAGACCCCATGTCTGTAAAATAAAATTTAAAAAACTTAGTTGAGCATGGTGGGACATGCCTGTAGTCCCAGCTACTTGAGAGGCTGAGGTGGGAGGATTGCTTGAGCCCAGGAGGTTGAGGCTACAGTGAGTCATGATTGTAACACTGTCCTCTAGCCCAGGTAACAGAGTGAGACTGTTGCAAAAAAAAAAAGAAAGAATGTAAGTCTTATGTTGGGTGTAAATTATGTTAGTCATGTTCTCCTTTCCAACATTTGTAATGCTCATTTAAGTTTCTGGGGTTCTTAACTTTTTGACTAATAATGTTCGTTACAGCTAAAGAGAACAATAATAAATAATGGTAATAGTGAGGAATCCCAATTTTGTTCCTGACATTAATGGCCATACTTTGTTAGTATTTCATCATTATTATGATACCAGTGGTTGTTTCGAGATATATATGTGAATCATGTAAAGCAATATCTTTATATCTTATTCTCCAAAACATGTTCCTCAGAACAAATATAAAATATTATCATGGGACATTTTGCTGTCACATATATATATATTCTGGGGGGATGTCTTTTATACCATTGATAATGCCATCTGAAAACATTATATTCCCTTATTTAATATTCTTCAGGAAAACTGAATCATTTTCTTCATACTTCTTACTCCACATTTCTTAAGTTTACTTATAGTGATGCTATATTTTTGTAGGGCCTGTGAATGGGATCTTTTAAAATTATAATTTATACATTTGAGTTTTATAATTTTTTTAATAACTGGACCCATAATAAGCTCTCCTATTAGATCTAACAGCTTTTTCTATTTATTTTTTAAGTGTTTCCAGTAAATAATTATAGCATTTGTAAATAGTACTTATTTTTATGTCTTCCTTTTAAATATTTATAACTTTGGAACTTCTGCTGCTGGCTAAGATGAAGTAACAGGTACAGATTTACTCTCCTACTCTAAACAATAAAAGAATTGGACAAAATATATGAAACAATGACTTCTGGACATTTAGAGAAAGACAATGCAGAACTGTGTCCCCCAAGAGAAGGGAAATAAGCAAAGTTAGTCCACTAATTGTACCAGCTTTCTGCCTGAAGGCAGTTTCCAGGCTGCACTGCAGGGAGGGAGTAACCAAACAGAGCCTGGTCAATTAAGGAGAAATATATTAGAGCGCAGGGATGTTGGCAAGCTAAGGTTTGCTGAATACTGTAGAGGAGCAATCTGCAAGCATAGAAAGAGCCCCTCTTTCTATGTGCAGGTGTCCAGAGCTCCTCTCAAGTCTTTGGATAAATACTGATTTACACCTGTGTGACAGAAAACTATCTAAGCCAGAAAAAAAAAAAACCAACAAAAAACAAAAAACAAAAAACCAACAACAACTGAAAAAAACACTGAGCAGTAGTAGACAGGAGAATTTCCGAAACTCATAAGAGCTGGGATGATTTATGTTTCCAAGGGCCTGAGTGGAAAGATGTCAAAATATATGGGGCATTGAATAGAGTTTCAGAAAGGTATTGTCATAATAGTGGGACTAAGTTAGCATTAGACTAACGATTCTGTGGATTCACCCCAAAGTATCTTAAAAACAATCTTTCATAATATCCAACTTTCAGTGTTCTCATCACAAAGAAATGATAGTTATGTGAGATGATGGATGCTAATTGGCTAATTATCACAAAGAAATGATAATTATGTGAGATGATGGATTTAATCATTTCAAAATGTATACATGTATTGAAACTTCAAACTCCATACATATCAACAATTATTAAAAATAAATATACAATGATCATTTTTCAATTAAAATATAAAAATATAAAGAAAATATTCAATCAATTCCAAGAAGGTTAGCTGCAGGCTAAAACACAACACTATTTAAGGAACTCAAAAAATTCGACATCTAACAATGTCCAATTGATATTTTTTTTACAATACAATACAATATTAACAAAAATACAAAGAAGCAAAAAATTTGACTCACAACTAGGAGAAAAATCAATCCATAAAAAAATTCAGAAATAACAGGGATGGTGAAATCAACATAAAAGGCATTAAGACAGTTATAAGTATGCCTATATGTTCAAATAGGTAGAGGCAAACAGAATGATAAGAAAAATGAACCATACGCAAAAGTACAAGTGGACTAGAGATTAAAAATATATTATCTGAAATAAAAATTACATGATGAGGTTAATAGATTAGACACTGAAGAAATATATTATCAGTGAATGTAAATATATAGTAATAGAGCTATCCAAAATAAATCACAGAGGAAAAAAGACTGGACAAATGAAACAGAGTATCAATATATATCAAGTAGCATAACATAATGTATAATTGGAGTCCCAGAAGGAGGGGAAAAAGGTGAAGTAGTACAATAATGGGAAATAATTCCAAGTTTGATAAGTGTGTACGTACATATAAGAATCTCAAATCATTCCACATAAAATAAACACACTAAACAAAGTCAAAGGACTTCATTTAAAATTTGATAGGCCGGGGGCGGTGACTCACGCCTGTAATCCCAGCACTTTGGGAGGCCGAGGTGGGCGGACCACAAGGTCAGGAGATCGAGACCATCCTGGCTAACACGGTGAAACCCCATCTCTACTAAAAATACAAAAAAATAGCCGGACGTGGTGGTGGGCGCCTGTGGTCCCATCTACTCGGGAGGCTGAGGCAGGAGAATGGCGTGAACCCGGGAGGCGGAGCTTGCAGTGAGCAGAGATCGCACCACTGCACTCCAGCCTGGGCAACAGAGCGAGAGCGAGACTCCGTTTCTTAAAAAAAAAAAAAAGAAAAAAAGAAAAAAAGAAAAAAAAATTGATAAAAAACAGTGATAAAGAAAAAGTATAAAACAGGCAGAGAAAAGACACACTATGCAGAGAAACACACAAAAAATTGACAGTAGGCAACACTTTAGGAACTATGCAAGCCAGAAAATAATGGAGAAAGGGCTTAGCTGTTCTGAAAGGAAAAACAAACCAGTCTGTTTTTTCTAGGTTTCTTAACCCAGAAAAGAATTCTTTCAAAATGAAGGCATTTTAGACAAACAGATGCTGAGAGAATTTATTATCACCAGAATTCTACCTGCGGAAATGTTACAAAGAAGTATTTCAGGCAGAAGAAAATGGTGCCAAATGGAAATTTGGATCTATACTTGGGAATAAGGAACACCAAAAATAATAGGTACATAGGTAAACACCAAATAATTTTTTCTATATATATAGAATATATATGCGTGTATATATATATATACACACACACACACACACACACACACACACATAAAATACTTTAAGTTCTGGTATACAGGTGCACAACGTGCAGGTTTGTTACATAGGTATACATGTGCCATGTTGGTTTGCTGCACCCATCAACTCGTCATTTACATTAGGTATTTCTCCTAATGCTATCCCTCCCCCAGGCCCCCATCACCTGGCAGGCCCCAGTGTGTGATGTTCCCCTCCCTGTGTCCATGTAATCTCATTGTTCAACTCCTACTTATGAGTAAGAACATGTAGTGTTTGGTTTTCTGTCCTTGTGATAATTTGATGAGATAATTCAGCATGATCCTGATACCAAAACCTAGCAGAGTCCCAACAACAAAAGAAAATTTTAGGCCAATATCCCTGATGAACATTGATGTGAAAATCCTCAATAAAATACTGGCAAACCGAATCCAGCAGCACATCAAAAATCTTGTCCACCACGATCAAGTCGGCTTCATCCCTGGGATGCAAGGCTGGTTCAACATAGGCAAAGCAAATCAATAAACATAATCCATCACATAAACAGAACCAATGACAAAAACCACATGATTATCTCAATAGATGCAGAAAAGGCCTTCATCAAAATTCAACACCGCTTCATGCTAAAAACTCTCAATAAACTAGGTATTGATGGAACGTATCTCAAAATAATAAGAGCTATTTATGACAAACCCACAGCCAGTATCATACTGAATGGGCAAAAACTGGAAGCATTCCCTTTGAAAACCGGCACAAGACAAGGATGCCCTCTCTCACCACTCCTATTCAACATAGTGTTAGAAGTTCTGGCTAGGGTCATCAGACAAGAGAAAGAAATAAAGGGCATTCAATTAGGAAAAGAGGAAATTAAAGTCAAATTGTCTCTGTTTGCAGATGACATTATTGTGTATTTAGAAAACCCCATCAGCCCAAAATCTCCGTAAGCTGATAAAGCTGATAAGCAACTTCAGCAAAGTCTCAGAATACAAAAATCAATGTGCAAAAGTCACAAGCATTCCTATACACTAATAACAGACAGAGTCAAATCATGAGTGAACTCCCATTCACAATTGCTACAAAGAGAATAAAATATCTAGGAATCCAACTTACAAGGGATGTGAAGGACCTTTTCAAGGAGAATTACAAACCATTGCTCAAGGAAATAAGAGAGGACACAAACAAATGGAAAAACATTCCATGCTTATGGATAGGAAGAATCAATATCGTGAAAATAACCATGCTGCCCAAAGTAATTTATAGGTTCAATGTTATCCCCGTCAAGGTATTCACAGAATTTACTTTCTTCACAGAATTGGAAAAAACTACTTTAAAGTTCATATGGAACCCAAAAAGAGCCTGCATAGCCAAGATAACACTAAGCAAAAAGAACAAAGCTGGAGGCATCATGCTACCTGACTTCAAACTATACTACAAGGCTACAGTAACCAAAACAGCATGGTACTGGTACCAAAACAGATACATAAAACAATGGAACAGAACAGAGACCTCAGAAATAACACCACACATCTACAACCATCTGATCTTTGGCAAACCTGACAAAGACAAGCAATGGGGAAAGGATTCCTTATTTAATAAATGGTGCTGGGAAAACTGGCTAGCCATATGCAGAAAACTGAAACTGGATCCCTTCCTTATACCTTACACAAAAATTAATTCAAGATGAATTAAAGACTTAAATGTTAGACCTAAAACCATAAAAGCCCCAGAAGAAAACCTAGGTGATACCATTCAGGACATAGGCATGGGCAAAGACTTCATGACTAAAACACCAAAAGCAGTGGCAACAAAAGCCAAAACAGACAAATGAGATCTAATTAAACTAAAGAGCTTCTGCATGGCAAAAGAAACTACCATCAGAGTGAACAGGCTATCTACAGAATGGGAGAAAGTTTTTGCAATCTACCCATCTGACAAAGGGCTAATACCCAGAATCTACGAAGAACTTAAACAGATTGACTAGAAAAAAAAAAAAACCCATCAAAAAGTGGGCAAAGGATATGAACAGACACTTCTCAAAAGAAAATATTTATGCAGCCAACAAACATATGAAAAAATGTCATCATCACTCTTCATTAGAGAAATGCAAATCAAAACCACAATGAGATACCATCTCACACCAGTTAGAATGGCAATCATTAAAAAGTCAGGAAACAACAGATGCTGGAGAGGATGTGGAGAAATAGGAACACTTTTACACTGTTGGTGGGACTGTAAACTAGTTCAACCATTGTGGAAGACAATGTGGCGATTCCTCAAGGATCTAGAACTAGAAATAACATTTGATCCAGCAATGCCATTACGGAGTATATAGCCGAGGATTATAAATCATTCTACTATAAAGACACATGCACACGTCTGTTTATTGTGGCACCGTTCACAATAGCAAAGACTTGGAACCAACCCAAATGCCTATCAATGATAGACTGGATAAAGAAAGTGTGGCACATATACAGCATGGAATACATATGCAGCCATAAAAAAGCCATAAAAAAGGATGAGTTCATGTCCTTTTCAGTGACTTGGATGAAGCTGGAAACCATCATTCTCAGCAAACTAACACAAAACAGAAAACCAATCACCACATGTTCTCACTCATAAGTGAGAGTTGAACAATTAAAATACATGGACACAGGGAGCGGAACATCAGACACCAGGGCCTGTTGCGGGGGCGGGGGTGTGGGGGAGGGATAGCATTAGGAGAAATACCTAATGTAGATGATGGGTTGATGGGTGCAGGAAACCACCATGGCACATGTATACCTATGTAACAAACCTGCACATTCTGCACATGTGCCCTAGAAATTAAAGTATATTAAAAAATTATTATTTTCATTCCCTAAATGAGACACTATTAGGCTTATGTCTTCTTACATGCCCCATAACGTAATACAGAAAAATAGTTTCCAAGAGTTTAATCTTCTACATTCTATCTTGATTTGTGAAATCACTTTTCTAGTTACTAATAAAAATTTCTGTTATCATTTAAATAAAATATATGTATCTATCTGAAAAAAATAAAATAGAATTGACTGCATGAAGTAAAAATAATAGCAATGTGTTTGGGCACTTATAGTGAATGTAGAAGTGAACTGTATGACAACAACGGCACAAAGGATGGGAAGGAAAAATGAGAATATTATTTGAAAGAAGCTGTGATAGGTTTAAGATGCATATTGTAAGCCTTATGGCAACCACAAAAAAAAATAAGGAACCAAACCAAAAAAGGCATAACTAATAATCTAGTAGTGGAGATAAACTGAATTGTGAAAAATATCAACAAATTCACAAGAAAGCAGGAAGGGTGATGAAAAGAAAGAATAAATAGGAAAACAATCAGACCATCAATTTTATATCTGTAATTGCATTAACATTAAATGATCTAAGTTCCCCAAGCAAAAGACAAAGGTTGTATGATTAATTTTTTAAAAGGGTTAAGTTTGTGCTCTGTATAAGAAACCTACTTTAAATATAAAAAGACACAGAGAGATGAGTAAAAGGATGAAGAAAGATATATATTTCTACATCTAAAAATCAATGAATACTAAGCAGTATAAAGCTGATGAGACTACATTTGTATCAGGTAAAGTGGTTTTTAGAATAGAAAATATTATTTGAAATGAAAAGAAACTTTTAATAATGATAAAGGAGTCAAATCATCAAGAGGGTAGAACATTCTTGAAATGTTTGCATGCCTAATAAGAGCTTCAAAATACATGAAGCAAAAACCTATAGAGCAGAAAAGAATAGACAAATCTTGAGATGTAGCTGGAGATTTCAATAGTCTTCCTTCAACAATTGATGCAACATATATTTGGAAATTCAGTAAATATACAGAAGACTTGAAGAACACTATCAACTAATTTGACCTAATTGATAGTTACAGAATACCCTATCCAATCATAAGGGGACATATATTATTTTAAGGTGCACAGAAAATTCATTAAGATAGATCACATTCTGGATCATGAAATAAATCTCAATTAATGTAAAAGGTTTAAAATAATACACAGTATGTTTTTTGACCATAGCAGAATTAAGAGGTTGATAACAGAGGTATTTGAATTATCCTCACATATTTAGAATTTGAAAACATACTTCTAAATAAACCCTAGGCCACAGAAGTAATCAAAATAATCACTAGAAAATATTTTTGATTGGATTATAATAAAAACACAACACAACCTATCAAAGTGTGTAGAATAAAGCTAAGGCAGTGTTTAGAGGAAAATTTATAGCATTGATTACTTATATCAGGAAAGAAGAAAGATCCCAAATCAATGATCTAAACATCCACCTTAATAAATGAGTAAGAGAAGAGCTAAACTCAAAGCAAAAGGAAATATTGAAGATAAGAGCAAAACTAACGAAATTGAAAACAGAAAGACAATAGAGAAAAGTCCATGAAATCAAAAGCTAGTCCTCTAAGAACAATAAATATGATAAATTCTACAGTTAGTAAAAGAACAATAATATAATATTATGAAGAACTTGATGTCAATAAATTGGACAACTCAGATGAAATTGACTCATTCATTGTAATAAACTGAAAGCTCACTAAGGAAGAAATAGATAACCTTTTTAGCACAGTATATTTTAAAGAAATTGAATTTATACTTATAAACCTTCCCTTAAAGGAAACTTCAGGCCTAGATGGCTTTATAGGTGAATTTTACCAAAAATTTAAGGAAGAAACAGTAGCAATTCCATCCAAACTCTTTCAGAAATAAGAGGGAACACCCCCAACTCATTTCATGAAGCCAGTATTACTCTGGTACAAAATGAAAAATATAGTAAGAAAGAAAACTTCCGACCAACGTCTCTTATAAACAGTTGAATCCCAAAATAAATAAAAATATTATGCATTATATCTGTTCATCTATTATAAAGACACATGCATGTGTCTATTCATTGCAGCAGAATTCACAGTAGAAACATCATGTAATTAAATGCCCAGCAAAGACAGACTAGATAAAGAAAATGTAGTACATAGACACCATGGAATACCATGCAGCCATAAGAAGAATAAGATCATGTCCTTTCAGGGGATATGGATGGAGTTGGAGACCATTATCCTTAGCAAACTAGCATAGGAACAGACAATCAAATACTGCATATTCTCACTTAAAAGTAGAAGCTAAATAATGAAAATACATGGACACAGAGATAGGGACAACACAAACTGGTACCTTTCAGAGGGTGGAGGATAGAAGGAGGGAGAAGATTAGGAAGAATAACTAATGGGTACTAGACTTAATAGCTGGGTGATTAAACAATCTGTACAACAAACCCCATGACACAAGTTTACCCACGTAACAAACCTGTGCTTGTACCCCTGAACTTAAAAGTGAAAAAAAAAAGGATTATAGATAATAATAAAACAGATAATGTATCATGACCAATGGGTTTTATCCTAGAAATGTAAGGTTATTTCTGCATTTAAAAATCAATACAATTTCCCATAGCAAAATAATAAAGAAGAAAAATTATATAGATCATCTCAATAATTACAGCAAAAAGCATTTAAGCTGGACTCCAACACCTAGGCTCAAGTGACCCTCCCGCCTCAACTTTCTGAGTTGCTGGGACTATAGATATCTACCACTATGCGCAGCTACTGATAAAACTATAATAGCCAAAATAAATTTGAAAAATATGAACTAAGATGGACTTAAACTTCCTGACCTCAGAACTTACTATAATGCTACAGTAAGTAAGGCAATGTGTTCCACATACAGATACGTGGAACAGTATAGTCAGTCTAGAAAGAGAACAACAAATATATGATTAATTGATTTTTGATTAAAGTGACAAGTTATTTCAATAGGGAAAGGATAGTCTTTTCAAAAAATCATCCTGAAGCAACTGGATATCCATATGTGAAACAGTGAACCTTGATTTTTATCTCACACTGCACACAAAAAAATAACTCAGAATGGATTACAGACCTTTGTGTAACATGTAAAGTTATAAAACTTCTAGAAGAAAACAGGAAAAAAACTCTCTTTGTGATTTGGATTAGTATAACATTTCTTGCACATGACCCCAAAAGCACACACCAAAAAAGGGGAAAAATTATTAATTAAAATTTAAAGCATTTTCCCTTCAAAAAATACTAAGAAAATTAAAAGATAACTAAGAGACTGCAAGAAATTCTTTGCAAAACACGTAATTGATAAAAGCCTTGTGTACAGAATACATAAAGAGCTCTTTCAATTTAAGAAGCCGAATCAAGAAAAAGTAGATTTGAAACAGAAACATTAACATAGGAGATATGTGAATGTCAAATATACTCATGAAACATGCCCAACAGCATTATTCAGGAAGGAAATGCAAATTAGAACTACAATGAGATTTGTGTACACATCATGCCTTAAACTTCTAAAACTAAAAAGAGAAACAATTTTGAGTATTGCCAAGAAATGCAGAGCAACTGGTAAAGCAAAGCATGTTACAGTCTCTATGGGAAAAGTTTGGCAGTTTGTTATTAAGTTAAATGTACAATTATACAATGGTTCATCAATCCTATTCTTAGGTATTTACTTAAGAGAAATGGAAATGTGTTCATACAATGACTTGCAATCAAATATCCATAGCAGCTTCATCATAGTAGCTAGCCTCAAACTAAAAGAAACCCAGATATCCTTCAACAAGTTAATGGACAAACAAATTATGGTATATCCATAAAATGAACTACTATATAACAATCAAAATTAACTGATTACTAATACATTCAACAACATGAGTGAATCTTCAAAGCATTATGCTTAAATGAAAGAAGCCAAATGCAAAATATTCTGCATGATTTTATTTAAATGAAATGCTAGAAAATGCAAAACTATAGTGGCAGAGTATGGGTCAGTGGTTGCCAGAGGCAGGGGATAGAGGAACATGATTGATTTCAGAAAGACAGAAGGAAACATTTTGCACTGATGGCTGGTATCATGATTATGGTCAAAGTGACTTGATTATATAAATTCATCAAACCTCACTGAATTTTACACTTAAAATTCATGAATCTTACTTTATGTAGGTAATGTAAATACAGTTGAAAATATAACCTAATACTTTTAATTTATATTTTTGTTTTCTGCTGTGATAATGTTGACGAGTACTTCTAGAATTATACTAAATAATAGTGGTAAGAGAATGACCTTATGCTTTGTATTAGTCCATTTTCATGCTCTGTTAAAGACATACCCAAGACTGGGAAGAAAAAGAGGTTTAATTGGACTTACAGTTCCATGTGGCTGGGGAGCCCTCAGAATCATGGCGGGAGGTGAAAGGCACTTCTTACATGGCGGCGGCAAGAGAAAATGAGAGGGATGCAAAAATGGAAACCCCTGATAAAATCCTCATGTCTTGTGAGGCTTATTCACTACCGCAGTACTGGGGAAACTGCCTCCATGCCTTCAAATTATCTCCCACCATGATTCAGATTATCTCCTACAAAAATCCCACGTGTGGAAATTATGGGAGTACAATTCAAGATGAGATTTGGGTGGTGACACACAGCCAAACCATATCGGGCTTTTTCCTGATTTCATTACTTGTATATCTATTGTTTCACTATTGGTAGAAAGATGAGCTACTCATTTGGAATTAAATGTCTTCACCATGCTTAGTAAGTATCTTGTATTTCTGTTTTGCTAAGTATCTCCACAAGGAATAGCTGCTGGCACCTAATGATCATATGGATTTTTTTGGGTCTTTGGATATGATGAATCAAACTAACATATTTTCTTATATTGAATTATCCATGTAATAATTTATAAAATACAAGTTTTTATACTATGTTTTATTGTTTTTATATACTATTTTTTAAATGTGGGAGCTTTGCCTTGACTTTCAAAGTGAGATTAACCACTTGTTTTCTTCTTTTCTCTATCTTCATTAAATTCTGTTATTGGAGTAATAGTTCATAAGTAAATTGAAAAGTTTTCCTTTCTTGTGTGCTTTAAGATATTTTAATGAAGTTGTATAAATTCCTTGGGTATTTTGACAGCAGTGGTTTTTGAAACTACCAGGGTCATGCACCATCTTGTAGGTATTTGACAACCTTCCTTAGTTCTCTGAGGGTTATGGAATTAATTTGATTAACTTTCATTTTTCTTGGAAGTAGTTTATTAGAAATAGTTTATTTTCACCAAGATTTCCTGCCTTATGAGAATAGAATCAAATAGATTTAAACATGTTATTTTTTATAATTTTCAGTATGTTCTGCATGGTGTATTATATTGTTTGTGTTTTCTCTTTTATATTAAATGAAACTTACCAGAGTGTTCTACATTGTTGTTTTTTCTCAGAGAGGCAGCTAGTCAATTTGTTTACCAATTGCATATTTTCTGTAATTTCTTCTTTTGTTTTTGTTTATTTTGTTACTCCTTTCCTAGGTTTTTCTGCATTATATACAAATGCATATAGTATATATGCATTTCATACTTTTACTTTATAGTAAGACCTTAAAAATGGACTTTTTTTTCCTGAAAAACAGCTTTGGCCATATTCCCTATGTTTTCATATATAATGCTTTTCTGGAAAAATTGTCAGCATAACTACTAAAGTTTTTATTTCCTCAAGAACTGATTGTGCATTATTCTTTAGACAGTGAAGAGCCAGCAAAGGTTTTGACTGAGGAAATGATATGATCAGATCTATAAAGAAATACCTGACAGCATTGTGGAGAATGGATTGCAATAAAGTGACACTTAATATGAGGTTTAAGAGGCTATTGCAAGAGTATACATAAGTGGTGATGACTCTGATATGAACAAAAGTCACACTGCTGAGAGTTGATGTGTTAAAGGAAGGGAAGATGAGGAAACAATGAGAGTCTGATCATAAACTTAAGCAGACAGGAAGGGCCAGCTATATCTGAGACTACAGCTTCAGACAAAATGATAATCAGGTAAACAAGAGCTGAGTAGGGATTTTTAAACAGAAAGTAAGAAATAGAACAGATAACATTTTCTGGCACAATGAGACCATAGCCACAGTTGCTATTTTATAAGACACTTTGTAGACATCAAGCACTGCTGGAAAGTACTTTTTGAGAGTGCCAGCCCAGCCATGATGGTGCTTCTAGATTATGCATGAAGATGATAGGATCTACAGAGAGGGAAAGAAATCGCACTTTGATGGCATGGTTGGCATAGGCATGTTTGTATTGGGACAGGAAAGAGTCAGTGATAAGGGCAGTTCTATTTGGATTCAGATAATGACATCATGCCTTAAATTGCTGAACTGCCAGTCCATCATTCAAAGGGAAACCTCTTCTTCATCGGGACTTTTCTATATTCTTATCCATGTACTGCATTGTTGAGCTATAATTCTCTTGTTCTCCTTTCTAGAAACCTTCAACTATGAGTAACCCCTATTCTATGGTTTAACTAACTCTAATCTATTTTGTATCATGGCTCCCTGCTAAGACACTCCTATCCTTGAAGTTCTGTCAACTAAAGGCTCACAGGGCTGAAAAGAAAACATTTAGTATTCAGGCTACCAACCCAGTTGGGATCTGCATTGCCAAGATTCCAAAGAAAAGTGCATTGAGGTAGTTTTCCCCTTAAGGAATTTTTCAGTTTGCAAGTGGTATAAAGCTTCAATACTTACTGAAGAAGTTGTGAAGAGATAGCTAAAAAGACTGGTAAATAATTCAAAGCTTTCAGAAGTCTCATGATGCTTAGGAGTAAAACATTAGAATTCAGAGCTAGGTGTAGTGGCATGCACCTGTAGTCCCAGCTACTTACGAGGTTGAGGTGGGAGAATTTCTTGAACCCAAGAGATCAAGGCCAGCCTGAGCAACATAGCAGGACCCCGCCCCCCCGCCCCACCCCCCCAAAAAAGAGTTTAGAATCTGAGGAGAAAAGACACTGATAAACATTCCCAGACTTCTGATAAGGGCTTAAATATAAGGGTGAATTGAAAATAATGAAATCTGAAACCCAGTTTCCAATCAGATCAGATTCCATTTAGATTCAAGAGATCTGCCTTTAGCCTAACTGATGCCAGAAATAATACTGAATCATTTCCAGAAGAGGATAACACTACCCAGAGCCTCAAATAACTTATATAGTTTTTTATATACAATCTCAAGTATTTAATTAAAAATTTACTGGGCATGCCAGGAAACAAATGAGCAAAAACTAAGAGAAAAAAATAGGCAGTAGCATTAAAGCCATATTGTTCTAGCTAATAGAGATAGCAGGTAAGGAGCTAAAGATGATTGTGATGAATACACTCAAGAATATTTATGATGACAAGGAAAATTGAGGACCAACATCTAATAGATGAAAATTAAATAAAAATTCTAAAACTGAACAACTGAAGGTAGAAAAACAATCAAAAGATGGGTTTAACAGCAAATTCCACACGGCAGAAAACCAGATTAGTGAATTGGGAGATTAGTCTATTGAAAGATAAAAGATACCTTGCCTGAAACATAAAGGGAAATGGGGATGGTAAAATACAGAAAACAGAATAAAAATATTTGAACATGGTAAAATATGCCAACAGATGTAATTGGAGTCCAGACAAAGTTAGAAGAAAGTGGGACATATGCAGTACTTAATGAGACATGACTGTTTCTCAAAATTGATGAAAGATATCAAATATTTAAGAAAGGCTATAAGACCCAAACAGGGTAAATAAAATAAGAGCAATATCAATACCAATAAACAAACCAACAAAAAGTCTACCCATAGGCACATTACAATTAAACTGCTGAAACCAAAGACAAATAGAAAATCTCAAGAATTGCTGGCCAAAACAGATACAATGCCTCCAAGGAATGGTTGACGTTTCAACAAAATAATGAAGGGCATAAAACAGGCCGGGCACGGTGGCTCATGCCTGCAATCCCAGCACTTTGGGAGGCCGAAGCGGGCGGATCACAAGGTCAGGAGTTCAAGACCAGTCTGGCCAACATGTGAAACCCCGTCTCTACTAAAAATACAAAAATTGGCCAGACGTGGTGGTGCGCACCTGTAATCCCAGCTACTTGGGAGGCTGGGGCAGGAGAATTGCTTGAACCCGGGAGGTGGAGGTTGCAGTGAGCCAAGATCGCGCCATGGCACTCCACCCTGGGTGACAGAGCAAGACTCTATCCTGAAAAAAAAAAAAAGGCATAAAACAATGGAAGCACATCTATAAAATAAAGAAAATAATTGTCAGTTTAGAAGTGCCCTTTCAAAATGAAGGCAAAACAAATATATTTTCAGACAAATAAAAACTAAGAGAAATTTGTCACCAGTAGATCACACTAGAGAAAAATACTAAAAGTTGTGCTTCAGGGCCAGGAGGCTAGAACTCACATTCTACTACTTCTTTCACACCCGATATACAGAACTACCTGCTTCATTCTCAGGTTTAAAATGCATACTGATTTGAGGTTTCTGTCATTTGGTTATACCATTTTGTATTCATCCTTGTCACCATCACCTGCTTAATATTATCCTTTACCTATTTTTTAAAAACTTTAGATCTATCAGCTCAATCTTTCTTTCTTATCCAAGTCCAAGCATTGTCTTTAGTAGCTTCACTCTTCTGTAATATTTTCCAAAATGCAAATATATATATATCACCTCTACTAGAAATAGACAAGAACTATATTCATTGCTTTCAGGATAAAGGGCAAACTTCTTAGTATAGAAAAAAATGGCCAATAAGCATCTGGACCCTTCAACAATCACACACTGCTCTCTGGCCATGCTGAATCATTTGCAGTTCCGAGTGTACCATGTGCTCGCATGCTTCCATGTTGCTGAATACGTTACTCCCTTTGCCAAGATTGCCCTTCAAGCCCAACTTCTACCTATTTTACCTGCCCAGCTTCTACTTGCCATTCACTTATTCAGTTACCAAGTGTTCATTTAATATTTATGCCACACCCTAAGGGTATAGTACTGACTGAAATAGACATGGTAATTTCCTTCAATGGAAGCCCCAGTCTACTTTTTCTTTGAGGTTTAGCTTACTTTGACTCCTTACTTCAAAAACACACACACTCTGGAATATGAACTTTCCTCTCTGCCAAAGCCATTGAGGCTCATCTATATCATCAGACTTATTACCTGAACTATAATCAATGTTTTATTTGAGCAGCTATCCCATTAGACTGGTGGTTCACAGACTGTGAACCAAGCCATCACAATATGCTGATGAATACTGTGGCATATGTGATATGCTCAAAGGAAACATAGAATCTATTGGACACAGTATGAACCACTAGCACAAAGAAGTTTATGGTTTCAACATTAGATTACTATGTTTCAATTATGTCATATATTTTTGAAGCTGAGCTTTCAATGATCATCATGATCAAAAGCAAGAACCACACAAAAATCAATGTAACAGAAAATGAGGATAGTGGTATCTAATCTGATTCAAAAATTTTAGAAGTTGTGCACTGCCCAACAGGTGCTAAGTTGTTAGACTATAAATACTTAGTAAGTAGGTTGTTTGGATCCAACTACTTAATAGATAGAACTGGTTAGTAATTCTTTTGCCTTAGTGATGCCTGAGAAAATTACCGAGATGCTAAAGTTCAGTCAACTGAGAAAGTTTGGAAACTTCTGTGTGAGATATAAACCCAGTAATTAGCACAGTGCTGGACATTTAGTCAATGTGCAATAAATTTATGAGTGAATAAACTAATACCCAAATGACAGAGGTTACATTCACAAGAAAAAAGATAATTGGCAAATGAAATGATGCCTAACACTGCACCCTAATTATAGTTGTCCTTCAAGTCTTAAAAATCCTACAGAAAAATGTGTGGTACTGTAAATTCCATCACTTGGAATATACACATTTCAAAAAAATCACCATACATAGTTTTAGGCTCCTTCTGATATCTATATCATAAATATTCATTTACATTACTTGATTTACCTTTGAGCTTGTAAAAATTGTGGGCTTCTTTGTGAAAACAAATTATTGTTTTCTATTCTTTGCCCCATCCCTGACCAGTGTATTTATTTTTATGTATATCTATACATTTTCTTTAATAGTAGTGATTCTTTAAAATATTTTATTTCTAAAGAAAACACGCCCATAATTAAAAGATTAAAAAAAACTAGCGCATATAAGATAGCAAGAGTTCTCCCTACTCTCCCGTACCCAACAGCACCTATTTCAGTCCATAAAGGCAGATACTGTTAATAATTTACTTTACATTGCTGGAGAGGATGTGGAGAAATAGGAACACTTTTACACTGTTGGTGGGACTGTAAACTAGTTCAACCATTGTGGAAGACAGTGTGGTGATTCCTCAAGGATCTAGAACTAGAAATATCATTTGACCCAGCCATCCCATTACTGGGTATATACCCAAAGGATTATAAATCATGCTACTATAAAGACACATGCACACATATGTTTATTGCGGCACTATTCACAATAGCAAAAACTTGGAACCAACCCAAATGTTCATCAATGATAGTCTGGATTAAGAAAATGTGGCACATATACACCATGGAATACTATGTAGCCATAAAAAAGGATGCGTTCATATCCTTTGCAGGGACATGGATGAAGCTGGAAACCATCATTCTAAGCAAACTGTTGCAAGGAGAGAAAACTAAACACCGCATGTTCTCACTCATAGGTGGGAGTTGAACAATGAGAACACCTGGACACAGGGTGGGAAACATCACACACCAGGGCCTGTCGTGGGGTGGGGGGAGGGGGGAGAGATAGCATTAGGAGGTATACATAATGTAAATGACGAGCTAATGGGTGCAGCACACCAACATGGCACATGTACACATATGTAACAAACCTGCACGTTGTGCACATGTACCCTAGA
The DNA here is from genome assembly GCF_000001405.40 of Homo sapiens. Lineage (NCBI taxonomy): Eukaryota > Metazoa > Chordata > Mammalia > Primates > Hominidae > Homo > Homo sapiens. Next base: position 105,050,668 of record NC_000008.11, read on the forward strand.
ACTTAAAGTATAATAAAAAAAAGTTACATTTACAGTTCTCTAGCCCATTTCTAATGTATATGCATAGCTAAGCATTTTTTTAAAAAATTGTATTATGACATACACAATGTCCATAATTTCCTTGAATTAACAAAACACAATACATCTTGGACATCTTCATATTTCAGTGTTTATAAGATCTTCCTTTTAAAATATATAGTGTTCCATTACATAGATGTATTGCAATTTTTTAATGAACGTTTATGTGGGTTCATTTGTTCTTTTGCTAAAAAGACCTTCAATCCTTTGAAAACTTTGTAAATATTCCTCTAGGATAAATTCCTACAGTGGAAATGATGAATCAAAGGCTAGGCACATTTCACAATTTCAAAAGACATTGCCAAAAGTTTATATCAATTAATATCCCAGAAATAATTTAGAAGGATACTAATTCTTTTCAGATTAATTCTGGTTTTACCAACATTTTCAATATTTAACCTATTCATTTCTAAGTTAGAAGCCTCTATAAAGAAATAGTGTCAGAAAGACAAAAAATCTTTCATGGTGTTTTCTCAATTAACAATGTACTTAGTGCTTTAATTTTGTGGAGAACTTTCATATTTATTATGCCACTAAATCTTCAAAATAATCCTTTGAAATAAATTTTTTGTCTTCTTATACAGGAACCAATTTAGGCATAAAAGGATAAATTACTTGTTCAAGATCACAAACATGCTAAGTGGTTATGTTGGGATTCAAACTCTGGCCACATAATGGAGGTCTGATAAAAATAGATATTTAAGTTCAGCTGTGTTATGTTCAGATAATTGATAAAGTTTTTGTGACTTAAGATTTTTTTCAACTATATATAACTCTATACTACCTTAAAATTTGTGATTTTTTTATTGAAATATATATTTAAAAATTATTTTCTTTTTAAATATTCTAGAAAGCTTAATAATATATAATATTAGTTTTTAGAGAAAAATGACTTTTAGAGTATAGATGTCCATTTTTTATGACAGCTAATGAATAAATAAGATAGGAAATACTAAAACTTTCTCTGCTGAAAGAGTGTTTTGGTTCAGAGGGATGTGGGTTAGAGCTCTGTTTCTGCTGCTTTCTGTCTGAATGACTTTAGGAAACTTACCCTCTCCAAGCAGTTTATACATCCATAACATAGAGATAAATTTATCTTGTATTGCTATTAGGAAGACTAAACAAGATCTTCTATGTGAAGTGCCTGGAATATAGTTGGCACTCAATACTGTTGCTGACATTATTATTGTAATTATTACTGTTGAGGCTGCTAATTTTAGAAGTAATTTTCAGAAATAAATACATTTGATAATAGTAGATATTTCCTTAAATATTCATGAACTCTGTCTTTCCTGTGTTACAGAAACCACTGTTTATATATCCATTAAGTTTTTTCATTTCTTTAGAATGTATGTAATTTATGTTATAATCATGACATATTAAAGCTGAAAGGGATCTCATATTAAAGCTTAGTTATACAGATAAAGACATTTAAGTCCAGGCCTATTAAGAAATTTGCCAAATCAGACTGATTCTTGGTGCCAGAATAAGAATTTGATTCCTGGTCTCTATTCTCTTCTATTTAGGTTTCAGTAATTTATTTCAAAAATTAGTGTTCACATTTAAAATATTTTAAAGTAATTTTTAAAATTATAAAGCAAACATTAAAAATTCCTTTGACATCACAGGTGATTGAATACATATTTCTTCTAACTTCACTGACATGAATCTCTGCCAGTTTTCCTGATGTGTGGACTTTTCCCCTTTATTATGCGTTCAGTTATTTTTAAGGAAAGATGCCCAGACTGCAATTCTGGTAATTGTGCCCGCTTCTTTAGTGAGACACAACTTAATTTATTTTGCATTTGTCATACATCCTGTCTCTGTGATATTATGGACACCTAAAAACCTTCATCCAGTAAAACTAGTTCAAATTAAAAACATTTCCATGCCTGCATGTAAGTTGTTACCATTTTATGGTTGACTAAACTTATTATCTTACGATCAATACAGTAACATAAGGAACTTAGAAAATAACATAGAAAATGAATGGTTTATGGAGGTAAGAAAGATTGGAGAGATGTTCCACCTTCATACTTTAAAGCATTGGTCCACTGCCAGTACACCACCAACTGCAGAATGAAGTAACAGACACACAAATGCCATCCTTGATTTGTATGGTGGTTGCCTGAAAAATAAACTAGCTTCTAACTTTAATTTAATAAAGAACATTTTAATCTCAAGCTAGTTAGACAGTTTTCCACTGACAATAGCTAAAAATCAATTTAAATATTTATTTACAAGTTGGTTATTTGTAACTTGGGTTATTTTCCCACAGAAGCAATGAGGGTGATTCTTGGTTTGACAACTGTCAGGAAAAAGCCTGGTATCCCATAAATACCTCTAATATTGTTCTCATATTATGTCAATATGAGTAGTATTGTTCCTATGGAAAATGCGCTTAACTTTTGAGGAAGAGTTACATCATTTTTAAAGCGTGTAAGTGGTGGGATTCAGAATTTCCTAATGTTTACTTGCTTTTTTTTAGCCATCTATTCATCTACTATTGGCAAGTTACAACCATCAGTAGCGAAGATATTGCCTTTCAAATTTAAATAGTTTGGAATTTTGGCTTATGTCTTTAAATATAAAAATGTAATTCAAAAGTTTGTATTTTCTGAATATACTCTCCCTCTAAATTTTGTTTCCCTGTAGGTTAAATAATTGTAATTACTACTCACACCTGGAATAATAAAGTGAGTTATAATGAAAGCAGTAAAGGACATATAATGTGAAGAAATAAACAAAAGATGAAAACTAGGTAGATAAAGAGAGAGGAGAAGAATGGAAAGATTATTATCAACTTCGCTCTTTCATACCATAGTGTATACGGGACCATCTCTGAGATTAAACCTTGTTGGTGAACTTACAAGTGTAAGGTTACTCGATGAAGTTCAAAGAGAAAGAGTTATTGGCCCCAGAGAGCAGTGGTGCCTGGAGCCACTTAAGCACTTATTTCTGTATGTTAACATTTTCTGCCTCAACTCTCCTATCTGCTGCTGCTGCTACTTCTGCCTATATTTCTGTCTCTTTTTTTACCCCCATGACTGGACTCAAATGAGAATGGGGCCAAATGGGGAGAAAGACCTTTCCTCCTGAACTAAGTTAGTTTGACGTTGGAGAAGGCCTCATAAAAAATACTTCTGGATTGTGATGAGAGAAAGTAAAAATGCCTGATTCACTCCATTATGCCTTTCCATTGAATCGTCATAAAAAATAAGATGTAAAGTTTTAAGAACAACGGAAAATGGGAATAATAATCAACTATTTGTTGAACCTGGGAAGAATTTCTACTCATCAAAGAATGTGGGCCATGAGGTAGGAAGGTGGTAAGTGAGTTACATTTCTCCCCTCCCCTCTGTTTCCTTTCCACTCAAAATATAGATTCATGGGGTTTTGACAGTGGGAAAGAGGGAATGACTGTGCTCTTAGAGCTGCATTATAAGGAGAGAAGGGCCAGTTCAGTTCCTTACCTCTTCCTCTCTCCTCACCAAAACGTTTTCTCTCCACCTCTTCCCTTTACTAAAAGACACAAGAGGGCATCTTGCTTGGGAATGTAAGAACTGGATTTTGTATCTCTGAGGTTAGCACTGAAGGGCTAGGCAGGAGTAAGAAGCTAAACTTATAAGGACCATGAAATTAGTTGTCCTGTGAGTTACAGTTTGCGATTTATCTTTTTAGCAAGGGAAGAAAGGATCATAGGTAATTTCATCCAAGAATAAATTCTGCTCTTTTTAGTAAGAGTCAGGCAGGGGTGCCAAGAGATTTCTCCTCCAGTTTGTATATTCACAAAACTTAATAAAGTATAACTGATACCTCATTGAGCAATGTTTACAACAACAAATTCTCCAGGTTTAGGTCTTAGAGGGATTCTAATATCTATCTGGGAATCTATAAAGGCAAACTATGCTGGTAGTACTGGATAGACAACAACTTTTTCAATAAAGGATTAACAAGTAAGAAAAGTACCCTATACATATATTCTGAAACTCATAAATACGACATTGCACTCTAGGTGCTGAGAAAAATTAACTTCAGAAAATAATTTCCCCAGGAGTCTAAAGAAAAATTCAAAAATCACCTGCTTTGAATCATTAACAAAATTAAAATATGAGTTTATGGAACAATATATAAAAATAATATATTAATATTAGAGAAAACAGAATGAGCTGAGAGGGAGTAAAAAAGGTAAGGAAAGGTGTGTAAAAACTAAGGGAAGTCCCCAAGGAATCTAAAGATTCAATAGCATTACTAATAACAGCATTAGAAGCAGTAAGGATAACTGGTATCACAGAAAATTGGGCTCATGATGTTGAAGAGAACTGAAGCTGAGAATACATCTGTAATGCAGAAGAAAATAATACAGAAGAGAAAAGGGAGAGATTCTGTTATATACAGAACAAATTAAACTTATATGCACCTTTAATATATTTGTTCCCATCAATATGTACATATTCATATATATTATGTGTAGATATGGTATATTTATGTATAAGTTACATAGCAAATGTAGCAGGATAGCATTTTCATATTATCAACATTATATATTTTTTACTTTTAGGCTTAGGGTCACATGTGCAGGATGTACAGGTTTGTTACAGAGGTAAATGTGGGTCATGGGGATTTGTTATAGAGATTATTTCATCACCCAGGTATTAAGCCTATTATCCATTAGTTATTCCCTCCTCCCATCCTCCATTCTGATAGGACCCAGTGTGTAAAGTTTTCATAACAATGGAAAATAAGACAACAAATAGTGTTGTTTCTATGTGTCCATGTGTTCTCATCATTTATCTCCCACTTATAAGTGAGAATATTCCATGCCATATTCATTAGAGAAATGCAAATCAAAACCACAATGAGATACCAACTCACACATTCAGAATGGCTATTAATAAAAGTCAAGAAACAGATACTGGCGAGGTTGCGATGAAAAAGGAAGGCTTTTACACTTGGTGGGAGTATAAATTAGTTCAAACATTGTGGAAGACAGTGTGGGGATTCTTCAAAGACCTAAAGACAGACAGAAATACCATTCAACCCAGCAATCCCATTACTGGGTACATACGCAAAGGAATATAAATAGGTTTTTTTTGTTTGTTTTTCCTGAGGCAGAGTCTCGCTTTCTTGACCAGGCTGGAGGGTGGTGACACAATTTCAGCTCACTGCAGCCTCTGCCTCCCAGGCTCATGATCCTCAGTTTCCTGAGTAGCTGGGACTACAGGCATGTACTAGCACACCAATTTTTTTATGTTTTGTAGAGACAGGGTTTCACCATGTTGCCCAGGCTGGTCTTGAACTCTTCGTCACAAGCAATCCACCTACCTCAGCCTTCCAAAGTGCAGAGATTACAGGTGTGAGCCACCACACCCGGCATCATGATATCTTTTAAAACTTTTAAAATTGAAATAAACCTACAAATAAGCAATGGATCATAATTGTGAAGCCTATTTAGATGCTACTCAGGTGAAGAAATCTTAAAAAATTACCAGTGATTGGCTGTGTCCCCACCCAAATCTCATCTTGAATTGTAGCTCCCACAATTCCCACGTGTTGTGGGAGGGACCCTGTGGGAGGTAATTGAATCATGGGGGCAGGTCTTTATCATGCTGTTCTCCTGATAGTGAATAAGTCTCACAAGATCTGACAGTTTTATAAGGGGGAGTTCCCCTACCAGCTCTCTTGACTGCCTCCATCCATGTAAGATGTGATTTTGCTCCTCATTCACCTTCTGCCATGATTGTGAGGCCTCCCCAGCCATATGGAACCATGCGCCAATTAAACCTCTTTCCTTTATAAATTACCCAGTCTCGGGTATGTCTTTATCAGCAGCATGAAAATGGACTAATACAACCATCATCCTGAAACCCCCTTGAGAACCTCCCGTTTTCTATTCTTTCACTTTTGCCCAAAGATCCACTCTTTTGACGTCAACACCATAGTATAATTTTTCCTGTTTTTGAGCTTTATGTAAAAATCATCATATGGTACACACTCTTTTGTTTCTAGCTTCTTTTACTCAATATAATGTCTGTGAGACTCATCCATCTGTGTATGCAGGTTTAGCCCATTCACTATGATTTCTAGACTGCACTGTATAAGCGTATCACCAAATAACTATTCATTCTTCGGTTTATGAACATTTGGGCTGTTGCCAATTTTTGGCTATTAGCATTCTCATAAATGTCTTTTGATGCACCTGTGAACACAGTTCTATGGGAGTGAAATTGTTAGGAAGCGTTACACATTCAAATTTAGCAGAATATGTCAATGCTAAAGTGGTTGCAATAATTTGCATTTCCATCACAAGTGTATCAGTTCCTGTGGCTCCTCAGCTTTGCCAACTTAGCATTTCCAATATTTTCATTGTTAGACATTCTGTTATGGTGTAGAATGGCATCCCACTGTGGCTTGAAGTTGCACTTCCATGAGGTCTAATGAGGTGAAGCAGCTTTAAAAATATTCCTTGGCTAAAGACAATCCTAAGCAAAAAGAATAAAACTGGAGGCATCACACTACCTGACTTCAAACTATACTACAAGGCTACAGTAACCAAAACAGCGTGGTACTGGTTCCAAAACAGAGATATAGACCAATGGAACAGAACAGTGGCCTCAGAAATAACGCCACACATCTAAAACCATCTGATCTTTGGCAAACCTGACAAAAACAAGCAATGGGGAAAGGATTCCTTATTTAATAAATGGTGCTGGGAAAACTGGCTAGCCATATGCAGAAAGCTGAAATTGGATCCCTTCCTTACACCTTATACAAAAATTAATTCAAGATTAATTAAAGACTTAGATGTTAGACCTAAAACCATAAAAACCCTAGAAGAAAACCTAGGTGATACCATTCAGGACATAGGCATGGGCAAGGACTTCATGACTAAAACACCAAAAGCAATGGCAACAAAAGCCAAAACAGACAAATGAGATCTAATTAAACTAAAGAGCTTCTGCACAGCAAAAGAAACTACCATCAGGGTGAACAGGCAACCTAAAGAATGGGAGAAAATTTTTTCAATCTACCCATCTGACAAAGGGCTAATATCCAGAATCTACAAAGAACTCAAACAAATTATCAAGAAAATAACAATCCCATCAAAAAGTGGGCAAAGGATATGAACAGACACTTCTCAAAAGAAGACATCTCTGCAGCCAACAGACACATAAAAAAATGCTCATCATCACTGGTCATCAGAGAAATGCAAATCAAAACCACAATGAGATGCCATCTCACACCAGTTAGAATGGTGATCATTAAAAAGTCAGGAAACAACAGATGCTGGAGAGGATGTGGAGAAATAGGAACGCGTTTACACTGTGGGTGGGAGTGTAAGTTGGTTCAACCATTGCGAAAGACAGTGTAGCGATTCCTCAAGGATCTAGAACTAGAATTATCATTTGACCCAGCAATCCCATTACTGGGTATATACTCAAAGGATTATAAATCATGCTGCTATAAAGACACATGCACACATATGTTTATTGCAGCACTGTTCACGATACCAAAGACTTGGAACCAACCCAAATGTCTGTCAATGATAGACTGGATAAAGAAAATGTGGCACATATATACCATGGAACACTATGCAGCCATAAAAAAGGATGAGTTCATGTCCTTTGTAGGGACATGGATCAAGCTGGAAACCATCATGCTCAGTGAACTATCTCAAGGACAGAAAACCAAACACTGCATGTTCTCACTCTTAGGTGGGAACTGAACAATGAGATCACTTGGACACAGCGGGAGGAACATCACACACTGGGGCTTGTCGTGGGGCAGGGGACGCGGGGAGGGATAGCCTTAGGATAAATACTGAATGTAAATGATGAGTTGATGGGTGCAGCAAACCAACATGGGACATGTATACCTATGTATCAAACTTGCATGTTGTGTAGGTTTGTGTGTACCCTAGAACTTAAAGTATAATAAAAAGAAAGAAAAAAAATACAAAAATTAAAAAATATGTATATTCCTTTACTGTTTGTCTATCATCTTGTGAAGTGCCTATTAAAGTATGTTGTCCATTTCTCCTCTTGAATTGTTTGCATTTGTCTTTTATTTATTTGTAAGAATTCTTTATATATTCTGCATATAATCCCTTTGTTGGTTAGATGTGTTGCAAAAATCTTTGCCCTTATGTACTCCAATTTATAAATATGTCTCTTTATAGCAATGCTTCTTTAATATCCTATTTTAAAAACATAATTTTCATGAATGTTACCTTATATTATGAATTTTGTTTTTTATCTCTTGTATTTACATCTACTAAAATTGAATTTTGTGTGTAATAGAAGAGGGATCATGTTTAATCATTCTTGCTGATAGATGGACAATTGACTCAGGCCATTTATTGAGAAGACCTCCCCTTCCCCACTGATCTTTTTAACAAATCCAGTGTCCATATATATATATACATATATATGTATATATATAAAATATATAATATAGGTATATATAATATATGTATATATAATATATAATATAGGTATATATAATATAGGTATATATAATATATGTATAATATATAATATAGGTATATATAATATATGTATATATAATATATAATATAGGTATATATAATATGTATTATATATACCTGTCCATCTATATATAATATACCATATTATATATATAGACACTGGATTTGTTATATATATATTCATGGGTCTGCTGATAGACCTATTCCCTTTCAGGAGTATACATATCTATTCTTTGCCAATATCACATGATCTTAATTGATATCTAGTAGGATATCTAGGAGGATAAGTCCTCCCATGTGACCTTCAAAGGTGCTTTGGCTAAGCTTGATTCTCTGCATTTCCTTATTAATTTTAAAAACAGGTAGTCACTGTCAACCAAATGTTGGTCGAATTTTGAATGGTATAGCATTGAATCTGTATTTCAATCTGAGGGATAATTGACATCTTTATAATAGTAAATCTTAATAATGTATTTTCTATTCCTGGTTATTCCTATTATTCAATGATCATTATTCCTTGCACTTCAATCCAGGCAGGAGCAAGATAATTCTATGGCCATTATTTCAGATAATACCAGACCAGAAAAGAGATCAAAAAGTTGTCAATTTTTGCTTTTGAAACTCATGACAGAGCTAACAGTCCTGCAAGAGAAGGTCTTTAAGTCACAAGAGAGTAAGCTTTTTTAAAACTTCAAAGTCTGAACACTAGAAGACTCAAGGCATCAAGTTGAAGCAAAAGACAATCTTCTGGCTAAGTAGATGAAGAGCCAGATTGCATTACATCCAGACTAATGAAGATTCCTATGCATGGGGGGAAAGGAAATCAGGGAAGAGCAGAAGGGCTCTGTTGTGGTGAATCCTTGAGAAGGGACTGTATGCTCTGCTGCAATTCCAAGAACAACTTCTCAGAGTGGAAATGAAACAATAGAATCCCAGGTGCATTTAACAATTCCATGGACAATACGATTTATGCATAACATGCAGGGTGGAACTCAGAGAAGCAGCAAGCCTTACAGAGTTCCCAATATTTAGCACTTCACAGGAGCAGAAGGAACAGGATTTCAAGGCATGAATGAATCCCTCACTCCTCATTCTCTGAAAGGAGCTTGGAAATAGAAAATTCCAGATCTGCAAGACCTTGGTTGTAAGCCAGGAAGAGTGAGTCTGTTGAGAAACACTAAATTGAGAATATTCAGTGAACACATAGTGGCTTGAAATATAATTGTATATCAAATGTAGAAAATTAAGAAAATATACGTGAGTTTTAAATATTGTAACAAGTTTAAATTTTATTATTATTTTAAAAGGTTTAGTTAACTAAAATTTACTTTGGGGTCCTATATTTATACCATGTCAGATATTCTTTGCTAAGCAGAAAAATGTCTTGTTCCTGAATGGGAATATAATACAGTAAACATGTCAACTTGCCCCAAATTAGTTTACTGTTTTGGAAAATCATATCATCCCTACTCTGCAGCTCATGGAAAAGTATATCTAAAATACATTGGAGAGGTAAATATAAAAGATAACACTGTAACATTATTAGAAAATCTGAGGCGTATTTATCTATTTTGAGGTTTGTAGATATAGCTTTTCAAGCAAAAATTTTAAAAAATAAAACAAAGTGACTGGTCTTATGACTACCTAAGAAATCTAAAACTTCTTGATATAAAAGTAAAATCTAAAAGTAAAACCTAAATTTTGATACACAGGTAAAATTTTTAAAAATATTGATATGAAAATAAAATTTACTATGTAACTAAGAGCTAAGGAAGCACCTGAAAATAAATATTTATAATATATGTCCAAATTGGAAAGGCAGGAAATAGATAAATACAAAATATTGAGTAAGGTGCTGAAAATATTCAATCTCATACTATTACTCTACTCATCAATACCACCAATAGTAGATAATACAAATGTTTTTGACAACCAGTTTGGAAATAGGTATGAAATGCCTTTAAAATATTTGTTTTGCTTGATCCCTTAAATATTCTAAGAATAAAGTCTAACAAAATAGAAGTTCACATTAAGATTGTGGTATTATGATCTTAATAGCAAAAATATAACAGCAACCTAAATATCCCACCTAAGTACCTGGTAGTAGACTAGCTGAATTCTTTATAGTGCATGTTAGTAGACTATATGCTGCCATTTAAAATTCACATTTTAAATAAATAATGATGTGGGAAAATGCTCTCAATACATGTGGGTGATAAAAAATAATATATTGATATACAATAGAGTATATAATCCCAATTTGTAAAACTATTTCTGTAGAAGTTATTTTATCTGCCCTCTATTTCTCAAAGCAGCTGATGTTCCCTCCTTCCTTGGTAAAGTATCTTCACTGGTATCAATACTTATGGAGAGCCAGCTGCTCCCTAGAATACCCACACTTTGTTTCACCTGTTGATTTTTATGTAGACTTAAGAGTCAAATGTTTGTTTTTATGCCATTAATACCATTTTTACTTGCTATTATAAAGTCTATTTACAAATTAAAATGTCTAGTAAGCTCTTACTGCTGAAAGGAGTTGTCTTGTGTAAAGTAAAGAGAATACTGTAGAAAAAGTTAATAAATTTGAGTAGCTAAGAGAATTTGCTGAAATTATATGCAGACAAGGTAACTGTGAAACACCAGGGAAAATGATCAAAATCCAGAATTCTGTGTGGAGATTTCTTTAAGTGTCTTTATATTATTGTTCTAATTTCAGAAAAAACAATCTGGAAAACATTTATGGGCCATTAGGAATATGATTTATATTATAAAGATGACATGGACATCCCATGAGAAGACCTGAAATCAGAAAAAAAAGCTTAGTCCTACATAAAAAAAATAGCAAAGAAATGATTATGTATAAATTAAGTTAAACTTACATATTACATATATATAAGTTCCAAACACTCTGCACCTTATAAAATCTTTTCTGATTAACCAAAAGATTGCTGGCTATCCAACAAGAGGGCTTCTACTGCACATGGTTGTATTATAAAAAAAAAAAAAAATTGGTAGTTTCAACACCAAAATTCATTAGAGTTTGTCTCTTCATAGTCATCATGAGTTGTCTTTCCTTCAAATATTTATTTTCCAATCTCTTAAGAGTATGAATTACTTTAACAACAATTTAAAAGTTACTTGAAATAGGAAAGAACCCCTTCAACTTTCATCCCCCAACCCTGCCCCCACACACAAAAAAGTTGTCATTCGCCTGTCCTTTGGGAATATCTTATCAGTGGTCCCTATAGAGATTGTGGTTATTGTTGTTTGTTGCTTCATCAAAGCAACAGATTATTAAAGCTGAAGATGATCTCCAGTGTCTGGCCCTGTGTAATTGCAAAAACATCACTTTATGTGACTATTTCAGCATCAAGATTTGAGGTTGAGGAACTTGTTGGGGAAGATTATGCAGTTATTTTGAAGTGCTTGCTTCTGCAGCTTTGGTCCATCATTGCAATGTATGATGGCTGAATGGACATAATGCAAAGCTATCTACTCTGGGTCCTCATGGACACAGCCCAAGATGGCACCACCCATCCTAAGGTTTTCAGGTCTACCAACTACGCAAAGCTCATGATAAAAACCAAGGGTACATCATAGCAGACAAATGTACTTAGGGTCCCAATCAGTGTTTAGAACCAGTGTGTGAATGAATATCTTTGTCTAGGATCAACAACTGTCACAGTGGGTGCTTCCAGTCCCTGTTCCAGCACTCCAGGTATGCTCGGCTGCCAGGTCACCCACGGACTTTATTATATATACATGTTTTTCACTCTGCACATGACCGCTAATCTTTTGCCTGGAACATAGTAACTCAGTAAATAGTATGTTTCCCTTTAGAAGATTGTAATAGGGGTGCATGTGAAAACAATACATTTGGTTTAGATAATAAACTACATGACAGTGGACTCTGTGCCTTTTTTCTGTATAACTTCTTTGGACTAAACACAGCTTGCATCATGTTGGAAGTAAAAGCTAGTTAGTGTGCTAGTGAAGTGTCTTCCATTTTGCATAAGTGCTTCATGTCTATAGTGTAACATTACATGATGGCATATTCTTTCAAATTATATTTACATATATTCCCAAACCTAAAATCTCTAATTTGCTTTTCTGTTCTAATGCCTTTTTTCCTTCTGAAGTCCATAGTATTAAAAAATACTTATTCTTTGAGAAGATACTGAGTTTTTGCTTAGGGTCATACATAAAGGAGGTTGATTTAAATAATCATAGGAGTTAAATTGCATCTGTCAGGGAGTTCTACATTTTTGGCAGTTATAGGCTGCCTTTATTCAGTTTAATGATGAAGATTTGACTTTGCTGGATTTTTTTCTTCTTAGTAAAATGAATGGTGCATCTTTCTTTAATTGTGATCCTCATCAACCATTTGGCCCAGTAATGGTATGCAAATTAAACCCTTTAAAAATTAATGCCAACATTTATTAAATAATGCATCACACAAAAAGTTAATTTGAAATTCCAAGTTAGGCTTCCTGTCTGCTCATGAGAAAGTGTTTTTGTGTGTGTGTGCCATCTTCATAAAACATCTTTATAGTCTTTCTAAATACCTTGAATGTTTTTTAGTATTTTGCAAATTATCAGAGACTGTTCATGGGTACAGGATATGCTTTTCAGTTTTAATTTGTATAAACTCTCAGGTTTTGAATTTATATCACTGCTTTGACCTTCTAAACTTACAAGTGCTCATGGATGTTTCTTTATCAAAATTTAAAGACAAGTCTAATTAAGGACTATATATACTTGAATGATACAAGCCTACATTCACTTTTGATTCTAAAAAAATCAAAATGTATATCACGTGCTAGTTTGGCAATTGTAAACCTTAGGTAACATCCTCATCCAGACAACAGTGTGTACTGGCATTCAGCCTGGTGCATTAGTGATTTTGTAAATTTGATTTGGGAAATTTAAGGGAGATTTTGAAGATGATCAGTATAATCTGAGAAGAATGAGCCATCTTAGAAGGCAGCTATGTATATTGCTATAACAAGAATGCTGGAATGTGACTGCTGGGGTTTGAATACCAGCCCTTGGTACTTTTGGTCCTAGACAAACTCCTTATCCTCTCGGGTCTCAGTTTCTTTATCTGTGAAACTAACAGCAATAAGTGTACTTATAGGACTGTTATGAAGCTTAAAATACACAATAAATATAAAATACTTCTAACAGTCCCTGATTCATAGTAAGCACACAATACCTGTTAGTGCATTATTATTACCTTGAACACTTTCCTCTGACTTAGATTGTAAGAAGATTAGATTCTAAGAAGATTTTAGCTACACTACTTAAATGAGTATTCAAAGAGTTTAACAATACTTTAGGTTTGACTTGCTACTGCAAGAGGAGGAATCGGATATCTTTTTGCATTGTTTATAAAAATGAAATTTGGAAAAGAATGTAGAATTTTTCATTATAGCTGTTGCTGTTCCTTCCATCCGATGTGAATTACTGAAAAAGAGCTTTCCCATGTATGTTTTTATTTCAACAAACATGCATTTAACACCCAACATATGCAAGGCTTTGAGCTGACATTAGGAAGGGAAACATAAGAAGATGAAATACGGTTCTTATCCTCAAAGAGTTAGCCCTACAGTTAACAATAGAGATCCCAAAAATATCAAAAAGTTAATCATGACATAGAAAATAAAAAGGCATTTCAATAATTTATAATAAAGAAAAAGATCTACCATAAGAAAGGATACAATTAAGCATCTATAGGGTGATAGGAACAATACATGCAAGTTTCTCTCGTGTTTTTTATTTATAAGCTTGTTTCTATAAAATGTGAGCTAAGTATTTAAAGAAGAGGAAAATCCTTGTGGTTGGGTTAGTCTTGGACAGCTTTATGAGGAAAGTGTGCTTCAGAAAGATCTTGAAGATTGAGTTCCAGTTGAGCTTAATCTCGTAGGCTGTCTCATAGGTATTAATAAGGTATGTATATACTGGAGGTGGGTATAGTTTAGGATCTCACAGGATGACATCATGCTTAGTTGCAGTTCAGATCAACCCTGAAGTAAGCTTACTGAGATTTCATCAAGAACCAAATGGAATTAGATATCATCATACATCATATCATTTTGATAGTTCTATGTTTATTGAGGATCCAGTCAATATCTGGGGGGGAAATGAATATAAAGAAAGAGGTGCATTCATTGTTAGTTACTGGCCTCCAGTTGCTCACAACACATGTAACAAATATTTGTTATGCTTTATGATACATGTCAAGAAGAGAGTAAGCCAGGGGTGTGATGGATCTGAGGAGTGGACAAGAGGCTGTGACAGGGGAGGCTTCAGAAAGGAGCCAGCATTTTCTGTTCTATGAATTCCTGAGTGGAAGCCAAATTCAATTTTTAATTTTAGGTCAATTCAAAGTGCTTCACAACTTTTTCCTTTCCACCAAATCTAAAGCTATGATCTGTGAGTAAAAATTGCTAAGATAAGTATCAATCAGCTAAGAGTCTGTGGGACAATCACTCTTTTTGACTGGCACTTTGGTGTCATTAGAGTTTGTTTCAAAAATGGATTTGGGGTTTAGATATCTGAGTTAGTCGAAAAACACTTTAAATCACAAATAAAGAGAGTGTCCCAAACTAGTAGTGGATTTAAGCAAAAGGTGTTTCTCATTATATCTAATAGAGATTTTCTTCAATTGTTCATTTATTCTTTTATTTTTTCAATCATTTATGCACATACCTAGGCTCTGTACAATTTTTTGGCTGATTTAGTAATGAACAAGCACCATATATTTTTTCATGAATTGTAAGAATCTAGAATTTTTTTACATAGTTGTACCACAGAATTGCCAGTCTATTGAGTGATAAGACTAATTGTCATATAGGCAGGGATATTGCCATTGCAGTAGAGTATTGGATGAAGAGGCATCTTACAATAAGGCAAATTTTGAAGTACAATCTAATTTGTCATAAATGGAATGAATTCAATTAAGACAACATATCAACATAAGTAAGCCACAAGCCCTTAAACTTGAGGACAGCACAGTCTAAATTCAAATGGTGACCAGAACATTTATTAGAATATTATATTGAGATTAAGTCACTGTGATTTTTAATTGATGGTTAAGAAATTGGGGGATTTTTAAGAATACTACTTACTATTACACTATCACCACTAATAATGACTGCCATTTTTTGGTTCTCTTATGTATGTTATTGAGCCAAGGGCTTTACATTTAAGACATTTTTGTTCCCTACAAGATGTGCATAAGTATGTGTAATGGAAATGGGAGGAGTTTTCCCTTATCCGTCTCGCAGGGCGTGTGTCAGGGCCGTGGCTCATTTCTTTGGTGCCCAGGAGCTCAAACCCCTAGGGGGAGCATGCAGGCGGGCAGGTCGTGGGGAGCCTAGGCTCTGGCCCTGTGGCAGCAGCAGTGTCCAGGGATGAGTGTTTATGGCTCCTGAAGCCCCATTGGGCGTGTGTTACAGTGTACTCATTCAGCTTAGTTGTCTGCAGGTGGCTTATGTTAATCAGCTCAGTTAGACCCTCTGCTTTATGGCAAGGACAGAAAGCTTTCTGTATCCCATGGTTCTTGCCCTAGTGTACTAGGAAAAATCGGATCACGAGTGGGCTTGGAAAATGAGTGCAAGGTTTTATTGAGTGGTGGAAATAGCTCTCAGCAGATGGATGGGGAGCCAGAAGGGGGATGAAGTGGGAAGGTTTTCTTCCCCTGGTGTCGGGCTGCTCAGTGACCAGGCTCTCCTCCAAACGCCATTGGCTGAACTTCCTTGGCGTCCATATCATTCAGTGGCTGATGATCTGCCGGTGTCTGTCGGTGTGTTCTTCTGCTGGTGTACTCCTCTTGACGTCCACCCACTTGTATGTGTGCCCGCTAGGGTCTCAGGGTTTTTATAGCACAGAATGCGGGGCGTGGTGGGCCAGAATGTTCTTGGAAAATGCAACATTTTGACGTGAAAACAGGAGTGCCTATCCTCACCTAGGTCCATGGGCACAGGTCCGAGGGTGGAGCCTTAGCCAGGGACCCCATGTTTCTCCTCCCAGCACTTCCCTGCCCCCTCCCATATCACAATCATCTCTATTTGCAAAGGAAGAAACTAAGGCTGAGTAATATTGAATGATTTGCTATACGTCAGAAAGGGGTCAATAAGTGACAGAGCCTATACAGGTTGGGTATTCCTAATCCAAAAAATCCAAATTCTGAAATGCTGCAAAATCCAAAAGTTTTCTAATTTTATTTTTTAAATTGGTAATAATTATATGTACTCATCAGATGATGTTTTAATACATATGATGTCAAAATGCTTTGGCTGTGTCCACACCCAAATTTCATCTCAAATTGTAATCCAAATTGTAATCCCCATGTGTCAAGGGAGGGACCTAGTGGGAGGTGATTGGATCATGGGGGCGGTTTCCCCCATGCTGTTTTCGTGATAGTGGGTGAGTTCTCATGAGATCTGATTGTTTGATAAGTGTCTGGCACTTTCCCCTTCTCTCACTCATTTGCCTGCTGCTTTGTAAGATGTGCCTTGCTTCCCCTTCACCTTCCACCATGATTGTAAGTTTCCTGAGGCCTCCCTGGCCATGCAAGACTGTGAGCCAATTAAACCTCTTTTTCTTTATAAATTACCCAGACTTTATAGCCATGTGAAAACAGACGAATACAAATGTGTAGTGATTGGATCAGGGTAACTACTATATCCAACATCTGAAACATTTGTCATTTCTTTGTGTTGGGAAAGTTCCATATCCTCCTTCTAGCTATTTGAAACTAGTATGTTTTTGTTAATTAACTACAGTCATCCTACAGAAGTATAGAATAGTATAACTTATTTCTCCTATCTAGCTGTAATTTTGTATCCTTTAACAAATCTCCCCTTTTCTCTCATTTCCCCCACTCTTCTCAGCCTCTACTTCCTCTATTCTGGTTTTTACTTACATGAGATCAACAACTTTTTATTTCCTGCCTATGAATGAGAACATGCAATTTTTAACTTTCCCCTCCTGGGTTATTTCACTTAACATAATGTCCTCCAGTTCTATCCATGTTGCCACATTTAACAGAATTTCATTCTTTTTTATGGTTGAATAGTATTTCATGGTGCATATATACCACATTTTTAAATCCATTCATCTGTTGTTAGATACCTTGGTTGATTCCATATCTAGGCTATTATTAATTGTTCTTCAATAAGCATGAGGTGAAGATGTATGTCTCTTTGATATGATTTATCCAAAGGAAAGGAAACTCAAAACTTTTTGAGCACCAACATGATACTCAAAATACTCATTGGAGCATTTCAGATTTCAGATTATTGGAAAAGAGATGCTCAACCAGTAAAATCAACCAGTAAATATTCAAAAATCAAAAAAAAATCCAAACACTTCTGCTCCTAAGCACTTAGGATAAGGGATAATCAATGTGTATTGTATTCGATTTCTATCTTACAGGTGTCTAATAAAACACCAGATAATTGTTCAATGACAAACAATTAAAAATAACAATTGATCAAGTTATTTTTATTTTTTAACTACAGTTAAACCAGTTCGCTAAAGTTCTATGAAATATCTGCCATGACATGAATCTAGTGCTTCCTGGGTCATTTTAACGGAATCTCACTCATGCATTTAAATCAAGAACAAAAACAAAACTTTTTTTCTGATTCAAAGCATTTCATTAAGGAGACACAGAACTCACTTTTCTTTTCTTCAACTACTCTTACTAATCTTTTCTGCTCTTTTAAACATGTTTTCAAAGCCTTTTACTAACTTCCACCTTCAAGTTGCAGCCTCTGCCAAGAAATAACACTTCTGCCCATCTCTGTCAACTACCTCCCTCCCATCATTCAACTGGGCTCTCAGATAGGACCCGTTCTAAAAGATCTTCTCTGCCTAATTTAAAGAATGGTAGGGTTTATGTAATAATCATTAGCCATACATCCCCTAGCACTAATTTATACATTTGTTTTACAAATATATTTCATATTTTTCTGCCCCAGTGTTTTATATTTTGATTCTGTTAAAACATGGAAAGGCTTGTTTGGTAGTTTCCATAAGAATCATGTATACTGAAGTTCTTACCTTCAGTGATCATCAGCAACTGAGCTATCAAGAAGACCATGTAAATATAGATAAAAAGCAGCCCTCTCAAACAAACCCTTAGACACTGCTTAAAATTCAGTGCCTTAAGGCTGTTAGGAAGTAGGGATTGGAGAGTAAACTGGTAGAACTATTTTATTTATAAATACTTTTATCCAAGATTCCCTACAAAACAGAGCGTGAGTCAAGAATTAAGAGGTGATGCTTTATTTAGGAAGTGCAATTCTAAGACATGGAAAATGAGAAAAGATAAAGTAAAGTAGGTAAGGATGAGAAGCAATGCAAAGTGATGTGTTACGTCACTGGCCATTGCTTTATAAAAACCCTAAAAGAGACAAAGATGGTTGCTTGGGAGGTATACCTTCTTGGCCACAAAGACCATCTCTGATCAGACTGCGTGATGAAACTGCCTCAGAACAGAAAGTGAGAGGGAACAAGAGGGTATTTATCTGTTTTGATGTCAACATTTCCTATCTCTTCTTTCTCCTTGGCCAAATTTCATCTATTGGAGCACCCCACCCCCAACACCAATCCTCAGTGGGGTGCTGCATTCCAGTCTGGAGGTGATGAGAGGGACTCAGGACTTGTGGCTGGTCAGGCATGTTGGCTCCAGATGATAGGACTATCATGAGCAGAGTTGAATGGTTGCAACTGCGTCAGATCAAGTGACTGAGAATGAAAAGAATCTGAGGAACATGAGCAATGGGGTATCACGTTTACTTCCTATTTATTATGTGTCAAGCACTGCAGAGCACTTAGCTTGCCTTATCTCTTTTGATCTATTGTTATTCCCATTGTACAATGATGTAGTCAAACCCTAATAGGATTACTCATCCTCAGATTTTAAACCAAGCAGTTATTATTAGCCTTACTAGAGGGCAACATTTTTTCCTTCACTCTCCTCCACCTTCCACCCTTCGTCTTTTTCCCTCCCTCCCTTCATCCTTTCCTTCCTTCACTCTTTCCTTTTTTCCTTTTTCTATCCCCCCCACTTCTATCTTCCTTCATTCCTCCTCTCTCAAAGCTTTCTTTGTTTTTTTCTTTCTCCCTTTCTGATTTTTAGTTCCTCTCCCTTTCTTCCTTCTTTTCTTCTTCCCTCCTTTTAACTCCTCCCTCCCTTCCTTCCTTTCTTCAATAAATATTTTTTATCTACTATGTTCTAGAAACTGGTCTAATTGATAAGAATACACAGTCAACATGGCCCTTGCTCTCTTGTTTCTTAAAATCAAGCTGGGAATGGAGAGGGAAGCACACAATTAAAAATAAACAAATAGTCAGAATATTTTCACATCATGATCTGTACTATAAAGACAGTGAGACAGGATATGGGAGGGTGACAGCAAGTTTAAAAAAAGAGTAGCATGAGGGAAGATGCTTCTCTAAATGATGTGTTCAGTACAGTTATTTCTATAAGGAGGTGACATTTGACCTGATATATGACTGATGATAAGCAGTGAGAGACAGGTCAATGTAGCTGCTAAGTAAAGAGTAGACTGTAGGAGAGGCTACTTATGAGGCTAAGGGATGATCCAGGACAAAGGGAATAGTGGGTTGGATTAGGACGGTTGCATAGAGGTTGACAGAAGTGGGTAGACACAGTATCATGCTGGGAAATAGAACCAAAGGGAGGTCTCAATGATGGCACCCAGGCTTTTGATGTCAGCCATCAGGTGAATGATAGTTTCATTTACCGAGATGAAGAAGACAAAGGGAAGTATACATCTGGAGTGGAGGCAAAAACTTATATTTTGCATGTGTTAGGCTTGAGGTGTCTGTTAGCCATACAAATAGAGGCATCAGGGAAACCTGAATATAAAAGCCTGGGTTTAGGAGAGAGATATGGACCAATGATAAAATGTGGGGAGTCATTGGCAGGTAGATGGTATTGGTAGCCATATTTTATTTAAGCATACTGATTTTAACAAATAACTGACTAACACATGCTTTCCTGGGACTTCTCTTTTTTATTTTACTCTGTATTTTCACTCTTAAATATAATGAAAAGTAGTTGCACATCCTAGTAAAGATAACTTTATAATACTTTGTTACAGTTTAATAGCCTTAAAATATGACTTACCTTGTTTGGTTTTAGTATTCAATTTATAAATGTATATGCTTTATTATGCTTTAAATTTGTAAACCAAAGCCATAAGAAAAGCAAACTCTTCTCTCTAGTGGATTAGAGTGGTAAGCATCAATGTAAACTAATAACATATCCATGTATATTCATAGAAGTTTTTTTAACCTATAAAAATGTACAAATCTAATTAACAAGCAGCAGAATACTAACAGGAACACTTGGAAAATGATCAAGTGGTGTTTGTATTTTAAGTGATAGAAGGTGGAGATAATGGAAAAGAATGAACTAACTTATGCTCCTGGCATGACTTTGTTTGGTGAAAGCAACTGTCTTTGGAGTAATTTGGAAAGCAATGTGAGATGCTACAAATGCATTATGGAATCCATCTTTGGATACTTGGTTTATGACAAGGCCAAAGGAATGCTGCAGAAAACAATATTGTCTTTTATGCTACTAAATATTTCCTATTCTTAAAGCTAAGAAAAGAGCTAGTTTCTAGTAAATATTCACAGAGGCATCACTACGATAGTTTCCCAAAGGCTCGTGTGAATTTGAAAGCACTGGCTGTTTAAGGAAACAGTGACTGTGTCATGTTTCTGCACTATGCTTGCCTCTCTATGAACAGAACACTCTTGACTTCTAAAACACATGGAAAGCAGCGAATTCAGTATCCAAATGTTAAATCCTATTTTATATGCTACTATATAAAGTGCATTTAGACCAGGAGTCAATAAAGAAGGAGGAAAAATTCCCCTCTGTTATTTGAGAAGATGGGTTTAGGATTCATGATAGAGGATAAAATTTCAAACATTTTCAATGAAGAGGCAGAGGGCTGATCTGCTGTGAGCTGTCATGTATTCCCAGTATTTGGTCAGGATGCATGGAAGCAACAAGGTGTGAGCTCTCACATCATACCCCCAGGACTTCCGTCCTTCACTCTGCTTCTTTGTGTAATACAGTGAGCAGCTAAATATTTTGACCATTACTATGAAAAATTTGGGAGATGGCTACAGAAATAGATTATTTAAAAGCTTCATATACTGTTTTTACTGATTCAGTACTAACTAGGAAAAGGCATAATTGAATAAATATGATTAACTGTATATGTAGATAAATAATCACACTGTCCATTGATAACTTTCCAAACTCTAATTTGTTGGAAACATGAAAAATAGTATTATCCTTTTCTGTGATAACTGAAACTGTGAGATAAGGGGGGAAAGTGGATCTAATTGTTTCTGCATTTTTAAGTGTAGACTGAATAGATTTCAACTAAACACCTCTTATCAAAACTCTTTCTGATTACAAACATCTATATAGTATTTCTAACGGTCTCAGTTCATAATTTTTTTTACAATCTCTCAGGCTAGGTCTTTATGTTTAAATTTTCCACAGCAAGGACTGAAGATCTCTGAGTTGTTCAAAGCAAAACAAAATAGATATGACTCAAATTACTTGCTTCTACATCTCCTTGTACTTTTTAAAGCCTCTTATTTTTGTTTCCTAAGTTATAAATTTTCTGATATAGCCTACTTAACACTGTCAAATAAATGTTTCTCAAAATCTATATTATTTTTTCTGCTTAAATACCTGTAACATAGTGTTTGCTTTATGTTTTCCAGGAGCACTAGTTCCATGTAATTCAAGCAAGGAATCAGGGCTCAAACACTTTGGGGAATTGTTCTATGCTCCCATTCACTTTTCAAGATTCCCCATATACATTAGAATATTAAAGGCAATAGAATTCCTGCAGCAAAAAAAAAAAAAAAAAAAAAAAAGCTATTTAACTTTGTTTAATCCAGGTGGTTCCAGAATCATTTGAACTTTAACCTACTTCTTCCATCGGGAGCACACTTTGAAAAATGCAAATGTAAAGGTGTTGGATTAGCTTAAAAATTTTTCAAAGATCCGTTAGAACTGTAAGGATGTTTTGAGATCAAATAGTCCAATTATTTCACGTTACAAATAGTATAACTGGACTTAAATAGGACAAGAGACTTATAAAAGTTCACAATATCAAGAACTTTTCGAGTTAACAAAGAGACAGAATTTGAATCTCAATCTCAAAACTCATAGTTCTTTTCATCGCATTTTGCCTCTCTTTCAAAGTAAGTTTTAGGAGCTAGAGATCCCTTTTGTACATCTTATCTATCACTTACAGCTCTGGATCATGGCACAGTGTATGGGAGAACATGGCTTAGAATTATTTACTCAGAAAACAGTGAATGGAGTGCTGGGTGAACAATAGTGGGTACAACCAACCATCATAGTTATTACTCTCATGGAGATTATTGCCTCCATGGGGGTCAGGCATAAAACAGACAAATCAATAAATAGGCAATTATAAATGTGGGCAGGAAATAAGAAAGTTGCATACAGGGATCTGTGATTGTGATTAATGAGGAATACTTAGATAAGGCTCTTAGGAAGATTCATCTTAGAAAGGGAAATATTCTAACTGAAAGAGAAGCCAGCTATGCAAAGAACCAATGACAGGCCTTTCTAAATGGGATACTCCCACATTGTGAGGATCATAAAGAAGGAAATGGCTCTCCAGGAGTGGGACCATGGCCCAGCTGGCTTGAGCATGGTGGTATGGGAAACATTGTTAGACATAAATTTGAAGAGGCTGACAGATAATACATGATGCAGCTCAGTATAGATCATAGTAACCTGTTGGATTTTAAAGAGCATAGAAAGCCATAGCCTCGAGCAGTGAACTGGTGGTCTGATTGCTGCTTAAAAGAACATCACAGTGATATGGTAGATTCCTGAAAATTGCTTCACTGGGATTCTTAGATGGCAGTTCCTACGAGCTCAGGATGTCAAGGAACTACAAGTTCTTCCACAAGTGGAGGAAGGTAGATTCTTACTACAGCATCCATGTAGCTAATATTAGGAAGCCGGAGGAGTGGAAGCAGCAGGTTAGGCATGGAGCTCTCAGGATGGTAGTTTGGGAAGGGAGGAGGCCCATCCAGTGATGCAGATAAGATGGCAAAGAAGTCACCTTGCCAGGACTGTTCTTGACCTAAAAGGTAGGCTTTCAGCCTTCAGGCCAGAGTGAAGGGGTCAGGGGTGACAGTGGACAGAGCAGGAAAGGGGCAGGCTATGGGCTATGCAATTGTTAGGGGAGAACTGAGAAGCTCCTTGTCTTTCATGTGGACTACATGTGAGATCCATCCAAAGGGAATATGATGAGAAGGGTCTCTGTCTCGTGGCAAGTAGTGCAGGTAAACATGTTGTAGCTGTGTTTAGCATCATGGTGCGAGCCAGATCAAAAGGGCTTAATCTGAAACTGATCCTTTTGGTGTGCATTTTCACCCTTCAAATAAGGATTTCCCTGAAACAATTTAGGTACGGCCTATATGCTCTTTTACAACATAGGAGTTACATTTTCATCATGGCAACTGAAAAAATTTTCTCAGCACTGTAAACTCTATTTTCTTATTATTTCAAATTATTTTAATATAAAACTTCCCCTTCTTTCCTTCCTTCTTCCCTCCCTCCCTCCCGCTGCTGCTGCTGCTGCTGCTGCTGCTGCTGCTTCTTCTTCTTCTTCTTTCTTCTTTCTTCTTTCTTCTTTCTTCTTCTTTCTTCTTTCTTCTTTCTTCTTCTTCTCTTTTCTTTTCTTCTTCTTCTCCTTCTCCTTTTCCTCCTCCTCCTCCTCCCTCTCTCTCTCTCTTTCTTTCCCTTCCTTCTTCAATGTTTATTGATTGTTAACTCTGTGCACACATGATCTAAGCAATGGAGACTCGTAATGAACAAGATAGAGAAGTTTCCTGCTATCATGACATTCTAGCTGAGATTTTCTAAGCATATATCTCATAGTATTCTGAGTTGGAATTTTCACTGCCATGAAATGATTATCAGAGGTTAATAATGTTTGAAACCTAGAGCAGAATCAAAATTTTATTGTAATTCTGTAAATCCTGTTTATAAAAGTATTATTTCTATTGGTATAGATATTAGAAAGAGCTAATCAATTATATAATAAATTAATGTTGTGATTAAGCAAGGAATGGAAGAATTTTTGGTATTCCCATCAGAAATTCAAATTAATATTTATATATAAAGATGTTTATCTTAAAATTTTTGAAAAGCTGAATGAAAAATATGGCAAAAGTTAAACAAATAATTATGTAGAAATATGATGAAATATGTACCCATTAAAATTATGATTCTTAAGAAGCAATATTATCTAGCTATTAAGGCCACAGACACTGGAGTTAGAGCTTTTGTAATCTTGAGGAAGCTTCGGTGTATCAGTTTCCCCCTCCGTAAAATGGGAATAATAATAATAATACGTACCTCATACATGTGTTGTAAGGATTCATCAGGTGCTTAGACAGTGTTGACACATAGTAAGTGATCAGTAAGTGTTACCAATCAATGTCTTCTTATTATAATTAGGTAGATTTATGCCATAATATTATAAAATCGTATATATATATATAAAAGTTCAATTTTAGAGAATATGCATATTACCAGAAATAAACATATCAAAATGTTAACAGGTGATACCCATGGATGGTACAATTATAGTTCATTTTAATCATATACTTCATAAATATTTTGATTGTATATTCTATATGAATTTAGTATTAAATAAATAGTATTAAAATATATTATTAAGTTGCATAATTACAATTTCAACATGGTGTCACAGAGGATTTGTTATATACTTGTAAGAAAAAAATCAAAGAAGAGAATTTCTGATTTTGGTGTATATTAACATCAAGAACACAATTTGAACCAAAGAGTTAAGGTATAATAGCAGAATAATTAGAATAATATATTCCCCCTTCCTGACTTAATACAACATTTAAAAATAGAGATATGAAAAATAATATGAATACTGCAGTGCATTTTATATTTCAAAAAAATAAACAATGAAAATAGTGTTAACTTAAAGGACACTTCCTGATATCTGAAGCTTGAGTAACGGCAGGTGAATTTTATAATAACACCCTCCCCACAAAGTCATTGGCGGGCCCACACTATATAAGCTTTATAGTAAGATAAGAGTTAGTCTTTTGCCTACATCTTTGGAAGCTTTAACTTTATTAGCTCTTCTTTCTTTCCTATGCTGCCTATCTGCAATGTGCAATAACTTACTTTTGGTTTAAGATCAGGAAATAATAATTGCTAATATCTTTATTATAAATCGTTTACATTAGACTTTTTACAGGGAAAATATGCATTGTTTACTAAGTTCAGGTATTTTGTGGTTACAATTCATGTTAGTGTAAGGAAAGTGATATATATTCTCCACTGTTAATTTCCCAGGACTATCCAATTCTATTGGGAAGTAATTTTGAATGAATTAGATAATTATTATAATTTATTTAAATTGGGCTCATACAGAAACTTCACATCAATAATGCTACAATAAATAATTTTCTAAGAGGAACTGGATTAACCCTGTTGCATACACGGTTGGAAAAAATGTAGTTTAAAGTGCAGAAGCTAAAAAGATGAACAAGACAAAATCTTGCTGTCATGGAACTGACATTCTAGTGAGGAAGAGCAAAAATGATAAAAGCAAACAAAAACAAATTCACACAATGAAAGTGCTACGCATATAAACAAAGTCAATGCTATAGTTAAGATTGGTGGAGACTTTTCAGAGGAAGTGACAGACAATTGGAAATATGAATGGCATGAAGACTCCAGTGAAGCCAAGATTAAGGAAAGGATACTTCGAGTAGAGAGAAGCCAATAGCAAATCTAGGGTGTATGAGAAACAAAGAAAACCACTATGTCTTTGATGCCATGGAGGAAGAACAAATGCTACCAGATTAGTTAGGAATGATAGCAAAGGTGAGATTTTATAGGGCTTTGTAAATCAGCATTAGAGAGTGGAATTTATTCTAGGTGGAATGGGACATAATTTGAAGGTTTTAAGCAGGGATATGATGTCATGTGATTCACATTATATAAAGAATGCCTGGGCTGGGCATGGTGGCTCACACCTGTAATCCCAGCACTTTGGGAAGCCGAGGCGGGCAGATCACCTGAGGTCGGGAGTTTGAGACGAGCCTGACCAACATGGAGAAACCCCCTCTCTACTAAAAATACAAAAAATTAGCCGGGCAGAGGTTGTGGTGAGCCGAGATCACACCATTGCACGCCAGCCTTTGCAAGAAGAACAAAACTCTGTCTCGAAAAAAAAAAAAAAAAGAATGTCTGGCTTCTCTATGTACATTGTTTATAATGAGGCAATGGTGAAGGCAGGTGACCTGTTAGGAGACCTTGTGCAGTTGCTCAGGTGAGAGAATGATGGTGTGGGCTGGACAGAGGTAGTGAAGATAGAGGGTGTGCCCAGATTCAAAGCAAGTTTTAAAGGTAGAATCAACAGAACTTGATAAAGTGTTAGGTGTATGTGGTGAGGGAACATGAAGAATCAAGATTTTTGATCAAGAGTGGAGGATAAGTTTATTTACTGAAAAGGGGAAGTCTAGGGAAGGAACACATCGGGGAGTGGGAATCAAGGTACTTATTTTGGATGATATATTATAGTCTGCTAGGCCTGCCATAAAATACCACAGGGTGACTTAAATAACAGAAATTTATTATTTCACGGTGGATGCTGGGAATTCCAAGATCAAGGTTCCAGCAGGGTTTGATTTCTGGTGAGCGCTCTTCTCCTGGGTTATAGATGGCTGCCTTCTCACTATGTCCTCACATATGTCCTCTTTGATGTCTCTTATAAATGCACTAATCCAAATGGGTCAGGATCCTATCTTTATGACCTCCTTTAACTTTAATTATGTTATTATTCCAAAGACAGCCACACTAGTGGTTGGGCTTCAACATATACATTTTGGGAGGATGCAAACATTCAGTTCATTATAGATGGGTTAAATTTAAGTACTTGATACATAGATTATTTTTGCCACCTAAGGACTGGATAAGGTGAACAATGACTAGGTAGTGAAAAGAAAGCATCCCAGCACTGAGCCTGGGAGCCTCCAATATTTGACATAGTATTAGGAAGAGTTGGCTAAAATTACTGAGAAATGGACCATGAGGTAGAAAGAAAACTAAGAGTAACAGAAGCCAACAACAACAGATTTTATGAAAAGGAAAGTGGTTAACTGTGTCAAATACTGCTGAAAAGTCAATCAAAATATAGTAAAGAAACTGATCATTTGGTTTAGTGATACCCAGATCATTGGTGAACTTGACAAAAGCCATTTCAATAGAGTGGTGGGGTGGATAATTGTGGGTAGGAAAGTGGAGATAGTAACTCTAGAGAAAATTTTGCTGTGAGGAGAAGTAGAGAAACTGAGTGAGAGTTAAAGGTATTATGCTGTCTTGCAAATGGTTTCTTTTAAGATCTCAGAGCATATTTGTATGCTGATGAGAGCAGTCCAACAGAGAGGGAGAAATTGATTAAAGAAGGAAGTTTCAGGAGTAAAGTATTTGAGATAGTAAAAGAGCATGAGTTGCAGAGACCAAGTAGTGGAGAGGGGCTGGTCTTCCAGATAAACTGAGACACATGATCTATAGTAACAGCGGGAAGAAAACAGAGAGCATGGGTCTTGATAAGTCTGGGTTGGTAGATTTGAGAGTGGAGAGCTGAAGGAGGTTCTTCCTGTTTGATTGTTTCTAGATGCAATGTATTAACATGCTCTGGTTTTGTGAAGGTGCCATAACTTGAAATCTGCTACTAAAGTTACAAAAGACTTCTGTATGAGTTCAGTTGACTTAGAAGAATGCTGAAATCCATAATTAAAGTTAGATTTTTCCTGGGAGATAGTTTTATTATAGATGAGCGATTTATTTTACAATTAATAAAACAACAAGGGAACAAGAGTATTTTGTGAAAAGCAGGCCACGATTTTTTATGTCTGTGATCCATCCTTCAGTAAGCAGTGTAGTTAGAGATTAGTACATTCAAAGTAGTACTCAAAACAAAAAATAGTATACTTGTAAGTACCATAAGAAAACCAAATCAAAAATATTAATCCATGTTGTCACAAATGACAGGATTCCCTTCTTTTTTAAGGCAGAAAGTTATTCAATTTTTGAAAAGTACATCAACAAGAAAGCATAAATTGTCAAAATCATTGCATCTATAAAGATTCATATTTAAATACAAATTTCTCAGAGAAATGGAAATCATTATGGTCTTTCAGCAATAAAGAGATTGTCGACTCAATATTGATGTAATGGTCACCATGGGTACTCATATTTCCATCACAACTTTTACCTTTGTGCCTCAAAACCTCAGTTGAACCAGAAGAGAATGGAAGAAAGAGAAAGAGGGAGGGAGGAAGGAAGACTATTTTCTTTTTTCCTTCTAAGATAGTTTTTTGAGAAGCTTTTTCTCCCTCATATCCTGTCTGTTTCAAAAGAGAATTTGAAATAGCTTCAAAAAATACAAACTGTACAATAAGAAAATAAATAATACGGAAAAAACGAAGACCAATCCCGAGGTAACAGAAAGATATAGTTTGGATACTTGTCCCCTTCGAATTTCATGTTGAAATTTGATTCCCAGTGTTGGAGGTGGGGCCTGGTAAGAAGTGTTTGGGTCATGGGGGAGGATCTCTCATGAATGGCTTGGTGCTGTCCTCCCAGGGTAACGGGTTTTTGTTCTATTAGTTCCAATAGGATTGTTAAAAAGAGGCTGGCGACCCCTGCCCTCTTTCTTGTTCCCTCTCCCACCGTGTGACACTCAGGCTGTCTGCCCTGAGTGGAAGCTTCCTGAAACTCTCACCAGAAACAGATTCTGGCTCCATGCTTCTTGAAGAGCCTGCAAAACCATGAGCCAAATACACCTCTTTATAAATTACCCAACTTTAGTTATTGCTTTATAGCAATTCAGATGGACTAAGACATAGAGTTTACGTAGAAGGCAACTGACTCAAATTCAGTACGGTTGCTGGAGGTGGGCTTCCTGGAACCCAAAGTAAAGAAGTAAATTCTGTCAATTACACAAAAGCACAACATCATACAGTAAAGAGACTTTTTTTCCCAGCATAAATATATCTGTTTCTGTTTTCTTTCATGTTTATTTATGAGGGAAGTGCCATGTAATATCCTTTGCTATATTAAGTTAATATAGCTAATTGAGTTAATGTTTCTTAAACTCCAGAATTTTAATATGTATTTTTCTTGTCATAATGGGCTCATTGTGAAAAAATTAGAAAGACAAGGAAAGAAGCAAACTTAATTGGGTTCATTTCTTCTACCTTTAGTACTTTTTCTATTTTCAGGTAGTAAATCATATTTAATTTTTTAAAATTAAGTAGAAATAAGCAGATGACATTTTGTATTTTTATTTTTTCCTGATAAAAATAAAACACAGTTTTAAAACAGAAATTTGAGAAGTGCAGGAAAACAGAAAAAAGTAAGTGTTTCTACATAGCAAAAGAAATGATCAACAGAGTAAACAGACAACCTACAGAATAGGAGAAAATATTTGCAAACAATGATTCCAACAAAGGTCTAATATCCGGAATCTAGAAGGAACTTAAATTAACAAGCAAAAAACAACCCCATTAAAAGTGGGCAAAGGATACGAACAGTTTTCAAAAAAGACACACAGGCAGCCAACAAGCATATGAAAAAATGGTCAACATCACTAATCATTAGAGAAATACCAATCAGAACCACAATAAAATACCATTTCACACCAGTCAAGGCTATTATTATAATATCAAAAAATAACAGATGCTGGTGAGGTTGTAGAGAAAAAGGAATGCTTATATACTGCTGGTGGGAGTGTAAATTAGTTCAGCTATTGTGGAAAGTAGTGTGGTGATTCCTCAAAGAACTAAAAACAGAGTTACTATTTGTCTCAGCAGTCCCATTTTTGGGTATATACCCCAAGGACTATACATTTTTCTATCACAAAGACACATACACATATATGTTTATTGCAGCACTGTTCACAATAGCAAAGACATGGAATCAACATAAATGCCCATAAATGGTATCCAGGATACAGAAAATGTGGTACATATACACCATGGAATACTATGCAATAAAAAAAAATGAGATTGTGTTATTTGCGGCAACATGGATGGAGTTGGAGATCATTATCCTTAACAAACTAACACAGGAACGGAAAACCAAATACTGCATGTTTTCACTTTTAAGTGGGAACTAAACGATGAGAACCAATGGGCACAAAGAGGGGAACAACAGACACTGAGGCCTACTTGAGGGAAGAGGCTAGAAGGAAGGAGAGGATCAGGAAAAGTAACTATTGGGTACTATGCTTAGTACCTGTGTGATGAAATAATCTGTACACCAAACCCCCATGACATGAGTTTACCTATATAACAAACCTGCACGTGTCACCCTTGAAGCTAAAATAAACATTAAAAGGAGAAAAAAAAGTATGAAACACTCAAATCCCAGTGCTAGTTTTTTCCTTGCTTTTGAGAACAGTTTAAAGTAAAAACTAAAATTTCTCCCTTTCCTTTAACTCTATCAATCTATTCCCTAGAGCTGATACCTATTATCAGTCTAGCATATGTATACATTAAAAACTATAATATAGATATATGTTATTTAGACACACATATTGGTGAGCATTTTTTTTCACACAAATAGTAACAAGTATGTGTGTGGGTGTACATGTGCATTTTCTGCAATATGCTTCTTTTCACATAACAAGTTATGACTTTCTGTCCAAGCCAGCACAGTAGTCCCCATTTATGGGAGGTTTTGTTTTCTGGGCTTTGCTTTCTGTGGTTTCAGTTATCAGCGGTCAACCATGGCCTAAGAATATTAAATGGAAAATTCCGGAAATAAACAATTCATCAGTTTCAAATTGTGTGTCACTCTGAGTAGCACGGTGAAATCTCACACCATCCCACCCAGGACGTGAATGCTCCCTTTGTCCAGTGTATTCACACTGTACACACTCTGCATCGGTGAGTCGCCCAGTAGCCATTTTGGTTATATCAACTTTCTCTGAATTGCAGTGCTTGTGTTCAAGTCACCCTTATTTTACATAATAGCCTCAAAGCACAAGAATAGTGATGTTGGCATATTGTTATAATTGTTTTATTTTATTGTTAGTCTATGTGCCTACTTTATAAATTTTATCATAGGTATGTATGCATAGGAAAAACATAATATATATGGGATTTCAGTACTAAGCTACTGTTTCAGGACCTACTGAGGGTCTTGGAACGTATACCCTGAAGATAAGGGGGACTACTGTACAGGTTAACTAGCCTTTTCCATTTTCACAGCTGCATGGTATGAACTGGGTTGTTATTTAACCATCTTCCATTCATAGATATTTGAGATGTTTTTCCTAATTGACATAAACATTGCTGAAGTAGACGTCATTATACATGTATTTTGGTGTACATGGGTTGGCATTCCTACAAGACCAAATCCTAAAATTGATATGGCCCACTAATGATTCTACACATTCATAATTTTGAGAGACAATGCCGAACTCCAAAAAGTTTGAACCACTTTTACTCCCCAGGGTACAGAGTTAAAATTCCCCAAACCCTGCAATTTAGTGTTGTATTTAACAAACGCTCATGTTTTAATGTACCCATTTTTATGTGCATTAAACCCTCCTTGAAACTCTCTGTCGCTGTTAGCTCTCTAATCTTTACTGAGTTACTGACTCTCTGTGCTTTAGCTTTCTGCTGCTTATAATGGCAGTATCAATGGGTTTTTATTTTGTTTTGTTATTTTATTTTTGTTTTATAATTTGTTGCTTTGTATTAAATAAAACAGTGTAAAATGTTAGGATTGCAGCTGGCATATTAAAAGAGTCAGAAAATGCTATTACAGTGCAGTAGCGAAAAGTGCCATTTGTGGAGTCAGACACTCATGGTCATATTCCAGCTTAACAATATACCAGCTGTCTTGATGTCTCTGTATCTAGTACCAAACCCCAAGGGTTGTTCTGAGATTAAATCGGGATGCTTTGGAAGAGTCTCTACCACTCAGTACATTCTTAAATGTTTGTGATTAATAAATATTATTACTATGGAGCTTAATTATTTAACAATCTTGAATTTCCAAAGTTCTCACTACTGCTATAAAGAAACATATTTAAACTGAGTACCTATTTCTGATTATTTCTCTAGACTAGAATCCTAGAAGTGACATTTCTGAATCAAAGAATGTGCATTATTTTAAGCTTTTTGATAGATTATATTCAAATTTCTCTCCAGAAAATTTGAGTATTTGTTACTTTTACCAATTTATACTCTTATCAGCAGTGGACAATCCAGGATCTATCTCAATACAACCCTGGCAGTGTTCAAAGGTAATGTTGATTTTTTTTCTCTTTTCCAACCTGATAGTAAAATTAGTAACTCAGTGTTGTTTTTATCTGCATTCCTATGAGTACTAGAGAAGTTAAACCATTTTTCCCCAGGTAGCTGTCATTTGTATTTTTTTTCTGTGAAATATCGATAGTATTTTTTCTAGTGTTTAACCGGGTTTAATTTTTATTTATCACTTCAGAAAATAATTTTAGATGTTAACCTGGCTCTAACAATATTGCATAGCATAAATATTCAATTACACCTTTCTAAGAGTCCTTTATGTCCTTCTTGCTAATTGCTCAAATTCTTCAGTTTCTCAGTTTTGTATTCCTTACAGAATGGTCTTATAATCAAGCTCATATTTTTGAACCTAATGATACAGGACAGAATATAGAAGACTATATATCTTATAAATTATATGTCTTGATTCAAGTATTATAGTCAGAGAAATAGTGACGACATGGTGTAGAAGATGACTGTGCCTTTTCTGTTATTTGTACAATAGGTAGCACCCCTAAATTGGGGAATATGCAGACACTGTAAAACATGTCTAGTTTTATATTAAACAGTATTGACTTTTTTCCTAGTCAACTTCTTCAACATCATTATTGAATAATTTATTTCTTTTCTTTATTCTTGTATGCATCTTTTGTCCCATATTAAATTCTCCTATACACTAAGATGTGTTTTGAGTTTGTATATTCTATTACATTGATCTGTCAATTCTTATGCCAGTTACATGTTTTAATTAATTTTTACTTCTAATTCGTAATTATTGCAGGCAACTATCTTTTTATCTAGTTTTTCACAAAATTGCTTTAATTATTATTTTTGACGTTAATTCAAGATGAAATATAGAGGAATTTTTTAAAGGCTTCTGTAAATAAGAATCTCATTGAAATGGTCAAATGTGTACATTACTTTGGAAGAATTTTATATTCTTCCCAATGCTATTAATTTCTTGTAATGTTGTATTATGGTCCGTGATTATCACTAGTGAAATAGTTCTTCTTTTTTAATTTATTATGATCATCTTTGTGGCCTTGAAATGGTTAATTTTTGTAAATGTTCTAAGGATACTTAAAGGAGAAAATTCTCTTGAAGTTCCAAAAGTTGGAAATATTTGCAATGGTACAACCATATCAATTTTATTATTCAAATTTTCTTTATCCCTATTTTTAGACTTTGTGTTACCAAAAAAAATCTAAACATTTTCAGAAGCACATAAAATAGTATCATAAGCCTCCTTTTTTCCACACCCAGTCTTTATAATTACTAGCTCACAAGTTTTGTTTCATCCTTACCCTTAATATGTTCCCCATTCCTGAATGATTTTAAAGTAAATCCTAGACACCATATAATTTTATTTATAATTGTTTAGTATATGTCTCTAAAATATAAAGACTTATTAAAAATATCACAAAATTATTATTGCACCTAAACAAAACTAACAATAACAACTTAATATCAACTATCTCCCAGCCAGTGTTCACATTTCCAATTGTCTCATAATTTTTTCTCTATCTTTTTAAAATAGTTAGAATAAAGATCTAAAAGTTCAAGCAGCATGAATGCATTTTATGTCTCCCACTTAAAAAAAAAACTATAGATTCCTCCTTCATTTCCTGAGGTTTTTTGTCTTTTATTTGTAGAAGGAATTAGATTGATTGTTTTATGGTCTAACAGTGTGGATTTTGCTGATTTCATCCCTGTGTTCTGGTTTAAAATGTTCCTCTGTCGTCTATACTTGCTGTAATTTGGTAATTAGATATAAACACGTGATTGGATTCAGGTTTAATTTCTGTTTTAAGTCACGCTGCTTCACAGGGTGTGGTGTGTCCTTCCATCAGGAGCCACATAGTACTGGGATGTTGCTCTTTGTGATGTTAGAGGTCTCTAATCATTGTGCAGCTCTGGTATCCTGTTAGGAGTTGCTAAGTGGTGATCTTTTTATTTCATCATTTCTTCTTCCGTTCTAGGAAGACTTATAAAGTGAAAATTTCCCTCATCCTCCTTTTAGTTACCTTGAGGTACAATCCATGTAGAAAAACATATAGAAAAATACTTGAGTCTTTTCCTTCATTTGTCACTCTTTTAAAATCTATTTTAAATATTCAAAGTTGAATGAGACTTTAGTTTCTAAAGATGGCACTTCTGTGCACTTCTTAAATTTCTAGCAGTTTTTGCTTCAAATAATGAAGGTACTATTTGGCACGCAACTTTTGTTATACCTTTATTAATCAGAATTTATATCCTTTGTCTGATGAAGTTAGGGAAGGAGGTCTGAATTTTATTTTGTCTGAAATTAGCATCACATTCTTACTTGGATTTTAATTAAATATGTCTGACAAATTGTTGCCCATATTTCTCTTCCTTTTTTATTACAAATTATACATTCCCATTGAAAAATTCAAATTATACATAATTTTATATGATGAAAACTAAAATATTGCACTCCTGATGTTTACTCATCAAGAAGAAATGTTTAATAGTTTGATGTATGTGCTTTTAGATATTTTCTATATACATATAGATTTTAAAAGAGTGACAAATGAAGGAAAACACTCAAGTATTTTTCTATATGTTTTTCTATATGGATTGTACCTCAAGGTAACTAAAAGGAGGATGAGGGAAATTTTCACTTTATAAGTCTTCCTAGAAGGGAAGAAGAAATGATGAAATAAATGTACATGCACATACGTTTCTGAAAAAAATGGAATCCTATTTATATAATATTCTACAATTTACATTCTGCCTTGGTATAGATCATGAATCTTTTCTCAGCAGATGTCCATTGAACACATTCTTGTAGTGGGTACATTGTGTTTCATAGTATGGATCTACTATAGTACGTTTTACCAGCCTGCTCTTAATGAGCAAGATTTTATTCTT
Source organism: Homo sapiens (assembly GCF_000001405.40). Lineage (NCBI taxonomy): Eukaryota > Metazoa > Chordata > Mammalia > Primates > Hominidae > Homo > Homo sapiens. Next base: position 105,086,555 of record NC_000008.11, read on the forward strand.
ATAAATTATATGACACAAATATTCCTGTATGGATGCACTTGTATGAGTATTTCCAAAAAATAGAAATGGCTTCTAAGAGTATACATATTTTAATTATTTTTAAGTACTGAACAATTGCTTTCTAAAGGGGTGGTATTTATTTCCTCTAAGAATGAGTGTGCTCTTTCCCCCACACTCTTACCAATACAGTTTATATTCATTCTTTCAAAATGTTTGTTGATTTGATAGGGAAAAAATGGTGGCTCATTATTTAATTTGCATTTTCCTGATTACTCATGTGGTCAGAAATTTTTATTTGCTCTACTGCACTTATATTTCTTCTTTGAATTATCAGTTCACATCCTTTACTTGTATGTTTTCATAGGTATTTTATTGTCAAGTTGGCAGAAATTTTGGTTTGTGTCTACCCACCAGGTACAAGCTTAACCTGAAAGGGTGATCAAGGATTTGGTCATTGTAGGCTAGCAGAGAGTTCAAACTTGACATAATCTGGCAAGAATGTAAAGTGTAAATATTTTCTGTTGATAGGTGAAGGTATAGCCTTATGTTTTGGTGAACAACCAAAGGAAAGAAAGGTTAATCTTTTATGAAAACTCAAGAGCCTACTTGGGGCACACACAAATGTAAGCAGAAAGTTCTTTTCTCTTAATTCACCTCACAAAGGATGGTACAAAAGTAGGTCATGGTGATATATGTGACTAGTACCAGTATTTTCCCTGGGGAACAGTTCTGAATTTGATGCCTGTAGTCCCAGGGTAATTTCCTATGAAGTAGGAGTAGCAAAAGTGTGGCATGCATACCAGGGCTTCCCTATCCTGTTCCCATGGCAGACATCACTAGTCAATCATGGCAGTCTTTCCTCTTGAACTTACGTATAACTATCATAGGCTTTTTCATCATAGTTTGCTAGACTTGTCTCTAATTAATGTTCATAGACAATAAAATGAATTGATTTACAGTCCCTGTTGTGTACCCATGCTCATTAGAATTTAAACTCCAGTAGATCATGGATTTATCTGTCTTGCTTTTTTTATGCTTACAACAATGCCCGGAGCACACTAGGCACTCAATAAACGTTTGTTGAATGAATGCACAAATAATGCATTTAGACAGAAATTTTCCAAAACGAATTCAAATATTCTTCATAGTACAATAAAATTCTAATAAGCATTCATGATATAGCTATTTCTGAACATTTTAACTTTGTAGTCACTAGTTCTAAGGTTATTGAGGGAAATCTTTGATTTTGATGCTATTTAGATATTGAGGGGTTTTTTTGGTCAGAGTATCTTTTTTTATTAACTTGAAAATAGAATTCTTTTGAGTGGCTGTGAACAATAGCAATTACAACAGAAACATTCATGGGAATTCCTGTATTTTCAAACACTTCCAGCATCATCAGTATGATTAGCATTTTCTAGTTCTATTCCTCCTGAATTTACAATTTGACTTTAGATCAAATTTGGCAGTAGGTATGACTGTGACTAAATTGAACTTGATGGTAAAACTTATACCCTATTTTTCTAAGGTCAACATCTTTTCTGATCCGTTCATAAATGTTAGGCTGGGAAATGTGCTTTTAAGGTGGCTTGAGCAAGGGGCATGCAAGGTTTTCTTTCTTTCTTCTTTTTTTTTTTTTTCTTTTCTTTTCACTGAAGCTTTGGTGCTGACACAGATCAGGGAAATCAGGAATTGCAGCAACTTTATTTGTATTGCTTGAAAATTGTAGCTCAATACAAAATTCAGTAAGGTAGGAAAAGGGATGGAAAATAAAAGAAAACCATGTCTTCCAGAAAACAGGAAACAGTTCAGTTATGTGAGAGGGTGGCAGATTTTCTCTCAAGAAGCCCCATTATATATGGCCACTTAGTCTATATCCTCAGCTGGGTTAATTTTCTGGATCCTGGTTACCTTCTTCATCAATCTTATTTGAAAATTAACAGTGTCTCAAACATTCATTTTCAAATCATCTCTCACAATTGTATAAATGTTTCTACTTTACAAAGTGGGAAATGTCTCTGGGTGCATTCATTTAATTCTATTAGGTGGGTGTTTCTATCATTATTTGGATGCAAAAAAAGAAAAGAAAGAAAAGAAAAAGAAAGACTACAACAACGAGACCTGGTAAGGAAGAGCCCTTTGCCATGTGATTGCATGGCTGCTAAGTGGCAAAGCTGTGTTCTTCCAACTCCAAATCAAATGCACTTTCCAATAAACCAATTCTCCCTGAAATCACATAACTGTGACTATTTTTTAAAAAGGAAAAAAAAGAGGGGGTACAAGAAGAACGTAGAAAGGAGAAATTTTATGGCCATTTAAAAATGAATGCAAAAATGACTACAGTGGGTAGTTAGGTACTTCCTCTGTGAGGGTTTTATTTTTAAGCATCTCGTGAATTACTGAATGCTTCTTATTCTTTTTTTGTGACTACCTTCACTGCTCTCCTCTTTGTTGAAGCTTTGGTGGCTAAGAGCGAAGCACCTCTTCCTTACAACTGAGCTCAATTTGCAGTTCAGATCATTTCCTTGCTAGAAGTGAAAATAGCACTCTAATAACTTGGTGGCAGTAACCATTTGACCAGGCATGCATAGTAATCATTAGATTATTTATGCCTTCTATAGCAAAATGTAATCCAAAGATCTTTACAATCCTGTCGTCCTAGTAATTA